>NC_000010.11:26260000-26885000 GCF_000001405.40 Homo sapiens | reverse complement strand
AAGTGAGGTAGAGGCGGAATTGTTTGTCTGTGACTTCCAGGGACTTTCCTTACGGGAGGAGGTCTTTTGTTTTTTCTACTCCTTTTTCATGACTGCAGCTTGGGATGCAGTTGTGTTTCCTGGAGCTCCAGCAGTCGTATGTGACTATGAGGAAGTGAGCTGTGTCCTGGGCACAGCTGGGGAGTGCGGAATTTTGATGGCTCACGAAGCGGAGCTGCCACAGCAAACCTGGATGGCCAAGCCTCTGCCTGATTTTACATGAGCAAGAAGTATGCTAACTTCTCTAAGGGACTGTTATTTTGGGGATTCTCTGTCACCTTCAATTGAACCTTATTCTATGTAAGAGAGGCTATACATAGATCTACTCCATAAACACAGATCATAGAGAAGGATCATGAATGACACAGGCAATGTGGCTTTGCCATCATGAATCGGTCAAGATTATTCCATTTTCACTTCTGGGTACCTTGAATGTGGTGTTTGACACGTGTTTCTTTTTCCCTTATCACAATTTTAGCTCATGTAACGACTGCTGGGCTAACCATGGCACATTCTTCCTCTGCATGTACCATACATCAAGGTTCATGTCACTGTCTGATATCAGTGTCATTGTGACAGCCGTAAGAGGATACAGGAGCAACAGTGCAACAGAGTCACCTCTTGCAGCTGATGTATTCCCTTAGGTTTAAGTGAACAGGAAAATAGACAGATTGGCAACAGGGAGCTCAAAAACAGTCTGTCAGATGAGGTCACAGAAACTATGTGCAAATTTAACGTAAAATGCTGAGCTCTGTCCTCAGCTGCATGTGCCTCTGCACAACAGGTTTCTATTCAGGAAGGGCAGCGTAGTTCTTCTCACATTTTTCCCCTTTGTTTTCTCCCAGGCTTCACGGTAAAGCAGAAGATTCATGCTAGGGCATCTGCAGACTGGTCCTAAAGTGCTTTTCTCCACAGGAATGTCACCTGGCCACTGCAGCCAGGGGTCCCAGGTGCCACTGAGGAGGGCTGCGTTCCCATCTTCAGTGAGGGAGAGCTGAGAGAAGGCAGGCAGGGTTCACACTTCCCTCACCCACTTGCTTAAGCAATACATTAAAGGTTCAAACTGAAATAAATCCGAGATGTTACAGAAGCATTTAGAACAGCGTATAAAGCATGGATCACTTTTAAATATTTAAAAATGCACACAAACCACATGAAGCTAACTTTGTTAAAAGTATATGTTCTTTGCAGTAGTAGTTAGTAGTATTCTTTTGTGAGATGGCTTTTTTTTTTTTTGAGACAGGGTCTTACTGTGTTACCCAGGCTGAAGTGCAGTGGTACGATCACAGCTCATTGCAGCCTCGAACTCCTGGGCTCAAGCAATCCTCCCAAGTAGCTGAGACTACAAGGACACACCACCCTATCTGGCTATTTATTCATTTTTTGTAGAGACATGGTCTTACCTGTTGCCCAGGCTGGTCTGGAACTCCTAGCCTAAAACAACCCTCCTGCCTCGGGTTCCCAAAGTGCTGGGATTACAAGACTGAGCCATGGTGTCCTGCTAACATTTTTTTTTTTTTCAAGCAATCACCATTTGGATTCTTAGTTCTCTTAACTTTCAGGTTTTTAACAGTTCAATACACCTTCCAAATGTTCCTTGGAATATTTTTTCTGGTTTAACTATTGGTTTAGGTGATGTCTATGGCCTGTTTTAACGCTAAGACTCTCTGATCTGTATCCATTTGGTTAGAGCACGTATGAGTAAATCCAAGGTTATTCAATGACTTCACTCCAACACCTTTTCTGTGATCTCTAGTTCTACAGTTGCCTAATGATTTTGGGATAAAAAGTGCTTTTGAGACACATACTTTAGAGTCCCTGCTCTGCTAATGCAGAGCCAGTCTTAATTAATAGTTAAAATGACATTGTTTTGCCTTATTCGATGAGATTAACTGAGCAAACATTTATTGAGCAGCAATTATGGACAAGACATTAAGAAACACAAAAAATGATAACCGTCTTGACATTAGGAAGCTTAAGGGAAATACGACATATTAATAAATTACTACAAATTAAGGCATAATATAATAAAATAAGAAGAGAACAAACTATTTTAACAAACGTGTTCTACCACCCGCAATTCCCAATGTGCAGCTTCACTCAGGGGACGTTAAGTTTCTAGGCCAGCAGCTAAGGATGCATTCAGTTTATATTCAGCCTCTCAAAATGCAGTTCTGTAATCACAATACAAAAACAACCAACAACACTTGCCCAAACTTCATTACGTTTCAGGTAATACTAAAAGTCATACAATGCTTATAACATAAAACTTTGTCGTAGAAAGTAAATTCGGCTGGGCGCGGTGGCTCACGCCTGTAATCCCAGCACTTTGGGAGGCCGAGGCGGGCGGATCACGAGGTCAAAAGACTGAGACCATCCTGGACAACATGGTGAAACCCCGTCTCTACTAAAAATACAAAAATTAGCTGGGCGTGGTCGCAGGCGCCTGTAGTCCCAGCTACTCGGGAGGCTGAGGTAGGAGAATGGCGTGAACCCGGGAGGCAGAGGTTGCAGTGAGCCGAGATCGCGCCACTGCACTCCAGCCTGGGAGACAGAGCGAGACTCTGTCTCAAAAAAAAAAAAAAAAAAAAAAAAGTATATTCAATAAACCTTGCGTGTAAAGCAGTAAGAGCTCTTTGCCTACAAAATATAAAAAGTAATTACAATTACTCTTCAATAAATCTGGGTTGCATCGCTATCACTCGCTGACTTGCTCAATTGATCCTCTCAGTCAACTTTTGTCTCTTCCTTACCACTAAGCGGCAGTAAAGACTAAATAATGACGCAGCTCTACTCAAGCGTTCCCTATCCAAGTGAAGTTTTCCCATTATTTCTACTTCTAAAAAAATGAATGTAAGATGGGATTTTAAACTTCCACATTAAAAAAAGAAGAGTGGAGGGAAAAGTATGGAGGGGAGAAATAAAGACACGTGAATAAAACATTTGCTTTACCATTTATCTTTTAAAATGACATGGAATGTCAATTTCAAGATCACTTAATCTTTAAAAAAAAAAAACCCGCAATCTGAACACAGTCCTTACAAACGTGCCAATCGCTGGTTCACTGTGGTAGGTCTCCCATGCTGCCTATGTTGTCACTGAATTACACTTGACCCTTGCATGGGATTACCCTCCACCCTGTGGGTCTTCACTAACTAGAACCCCATCTACTGCATGCTGTGCTCACCACTTTCCTTGCCATCTATTAGCCCCTTCTTCAGTATTTGATCTTCAGGTCACCTCTTCCCTTCCTAGCTCTTTCTAGCACTCTGATTTTCTCTGTCCCTATAGCCTACCCTATTCCAGATCAGCTCTCAGAGACGAAAATGGGGACTTCAGGATGGAGAAATCAAAGGAAGCTGTTATTATAACCCTTCCTATCTTATTTTCCTATAAATTCTCTCTTTCTGTCTTAGTCTCTTTCTCTCTCTCTCTAAGAAATAGAGAGAAATTTACAGAGTAAGAGATATTAGGAAGACAAATTTCTTGGCAGGGTCAGGAAAAGTTTGAAGAGTTGCTGATATTAAAACAAATTTGAATTAAACCTTTTTAGACTTCATAGGTAGCTCCTCTCAAAAAGGTTAAGTTAAAGAATTTTGTTAAGGGCAGATTACAGAATATATGTAAAATATTTGATACTTTTTTGTTATTATTACAATACTAGTCATGTCTATAATATTTTAAAAGTAAAGAATTATATAGTTTATATTTCTTTCTAATCTAGAAACAGATTCTTATTTTAGCTTGGATATTTGTTAACCATTTCACAATCATTGAGATAAAATTAACTTATATTTTATGGAAATTATATTCCCTTATGAAATACCATAGAATTGTTATTATAAATCTTAAGTAAGAGGTTATGTGTTTCATATAGCATTCCAAAAATAAAACCAACAGTATGCTTTGCTTTGCATTATGAATCTATAAGTTATAAAACTTTTAGTATTGCAAATATTGTTACAATAAACAGTTAGACTGAAAATGTGTGCAATTTCACCTAAAAATAGAAAATAAAAGCTTCGTCTTCAGAAGCTATCAAGGAAAATTATAATAAAAGCTATATTTTCCACAATTCAGATTTAATTAATTTTATATATTGCCATTGATTTAAATAGAATTTTAATTTTAGAACCATTTTAGATTTACAGAAAATTTGTGACGATAGTATGGTGTTCCTGTAAAGCCCCAAACCCAGTTTTCTCTATTGTTAATATCTTAGTATGGTATATTTGATACAATTAATGAATCAATATTGATGAATTATTGATATATAAAAATCATACTTGTTCAGAATTCCTCAGTTTATTTAATATTCATTTTCTGTTCCAGGATACAATTTAGAACATCACATTACATTTAGACATTAGGAGAGAGATTCCAAGTTACATTGTGCTGCTGCTCCATTTAAAACTTTGTGTTTGAAAATGTGTAACAAATTATATTTTCCAGTTTTAAAAGTCACATTTTTATATTACAAAATGTTTAGAGTGCACGAGTATGTGAAACACAATTTCATCATTAAAATACTAAATTTTGGAATATATGTTTTCATTACTAGAAAATGTTTTCAACTGTGGGTGTGTGTGGTTTATTTAAGTGTTTTTATGAAAGCATTTGGGAAATCTCCACCCATGAATTGATGTCTCTTAACTTCTACCTGTATTTCTAAGAGTGTCAATTATATACATTTTACAGTTTTTCTATTTAATGCATAAAGTTATTTTTGAGTGCGATGTATATCTTTTAACAATATAAAAGGCATAACTCTCTTCTTTTTACCTATTAAATGGATACACTTTTATTTACTTGTGTTCCAATATCACTGATTCAATTTTTGCAACGTGAATTCTGCTTTCTACTCCCATAAACACATCATTTAATTGCAGTTTTGTTTGTTTCATTTCCTTGGGGTTTTCTTTTTTGTGTACTTCTGCACCATCCGTTCTCTTTCCTAACAGCTTTACTTGAAGTATACTACTTAGTATTGATTGACAGCCTACTCTGTGCCAGTCTTTCCTCTGTAGGACTGGCCTCTACGTCAACACTTCCGGGGCTCTGGCACAAGTGCCACAGGCAGGTCAGCTGGCTCCTTTGTTTCCATGGGCACACCCGTCAGTCAGGTCCTTTTGCAGCTCCTTCAGTTGGCTTCTCATATTGTTCATCCCTTTTGTCAACAGAGTCAATGTTTTCTAGATTTTTCTTAAACAAAAAACTCATGCTCTTTGAAATTTAATTATATTTCTTGAACTGAAATTTTTCTTTTTGTTTTATACTAAAAATATGTTTTTCTTCTTAATTATTCCTTTCCATTTATGCTGTAGGGTGTTTCTAAACCTTCAAAAGTTGTTTTAGATTGTGTTGTTTTAATTATTTTTATTCTGTTACTCATCTTCAAAATAAATTAGATCTGGTGTTTGCCAATACACTGCATGGATAAATTCTTGTTGGCTCTAGTTATTGTCCACCTGATTGCTCCCCAGGCTGGGCTCAACCTCCTGAGCTCAAGTGATCCCCCACCTCAGCCTCCCACCATGCCTGGCCTGGAGCTATTTTTTAATGGGTACCAAGTTTCACTTCGGGAAAAAGGTGGTGATGGTTGCAATAACAGTAAATATACTCAATACCACTGGACTGGATACTTATAAAATGTTAAAATGGTCATTTTCATTTTTGTGTTATATATATTTTACCATAACAGCAAAAATTAACTTTATAAAGTTATATGCTGTTGGAAACTCTGGAAACAGTGGGAAAAGGGGGAAATTCTATTACATAAAAATTAATTTTGCAATGCAGATCTTTTTTTGATAACTCAAGCTTTTGTTTATTTCAATAAAGCCAAATCCAGTAAACTATTTTCAGCCAGGATTAGTCAGAACTAAAAGGTTGGACTGTTTTCCTTCAGAAACTGAATGTTTTTCTTGCCTGCAATAGGCTGGTGTGTTCCAAATAATAATGGAATTGTCCTCAAAACCAGAAAATACTGGTTCGTATATATTTTAGGGCCTGTTTCTGAATTTTCTATTCTTTTGTTCTTATCTCTTTAACTATTTATGTACCATTACCAAGCCATTTTAATTATAGTAGCACTTAAATTGTTTTAATAACATACAGGGCTAGATTTCCTTGTGTAAAATAAAAACTATTTATTGCAATATTGTGGTGATAGTCGAGGATTAAAAACAATTTAAATGTCTTTCAACATGAGACTGACTGAATAATTATGACCAGTGGAATAGCACGAAAAATAATGGGGAAGTTTTTAATGTTTGATATAGAATGATCTCCAGAATATATGGTTAAATGGACAAAAAAGCGGCTGGGTACAGTGGCTCATGCCTATAATCCCAGCACTTTGGGAGGCCAAGCCGGGTGATCACCTGAGGTTGGGAGTTTGAGACCAGCTTGGCCAACATGGTGAAATCCCTGTCTCTACTAAAAATAGAAAAATTAGCCAGGCATGGTGGCGTGCACGTGTAATCCCAGCTACTCTGGAGGCTAAGGCAGGAGAATTGCTTGAACCCAGGAGGCAGAGGTTGCAGTGAGCCGAGATCAAGCCATTGCACCCCAGCCTGGGTGACAGAGCGAGACTCCATCTAAAAAAAATACTTTCTATCAGAAGTGCTTACATTTCTTGAACACTCACCTTTTTTTTTTTTAGACTGGGGTCTCACAGTGTTGCCTAGGCTGGTCTTGAACTTCTGGGCTCAAGTGATCTACCTGCCTCAACCTCCCAAAGTGCCAGGATTACAGGCATAAGCCACTGAGCCCAGCCTCTGAGCACTCACTTTTAAAAATGTATTTATTTTAATTTATTTATGTGTATTTTTTATATTTATTTATTTATTTATTTTTGAGACGGAGTCTTGCTCAGTCAACCAGGCTGAGTGCATTGGCACCATCTCAGCTCACTGCAACCTCCGCCCCCCATGTTCAAGCGATTCTCCTGCCTCAGCCTCCCGAGTAGCTGGGATTACAGGTGCCTGCCACCATGCCAGGCTAATTTTTGTATTTTTAGTAGAGACAGGGTTTCGCTATGTTGGCCAGGCTGGTCTCGAACGTCCGACCTCAGGTGATCTCCCCGCCTTGGCCTCCCAAAATGCTGGGATTACAGGCATGAGCCATCTCGCTGGGCCTAAATGAGTGTTGTGCTAACTACTTTACGGTATTATCTATATTATTTCATTTATTGTTTACAAGACATAGGTAAGTCCTGGCAAAATTATACACCTTGCCCAGGGTCACACAGGTGTGGATAGTTAAGCTTAGATTTAAAAGAAATGAGCGAGTTAGGCACGGTGGCTCATGCCTAGAATCCCAGCACTTTGGAAAGCCAGGGAGGGAGGATCTCTTGAGCCCAGGAGTTTGAGACCAGCCTGGACAACACAGTGAGACTCTGTCTTTACAAAACATTTAAAAATTAGCTGGGTGCAGTGACTCTAGCCTATGGTCCTAGCTACTAAGAAGGCTGAGGTGGGAGGATTGCTTGAGTCCAGGAGGTTGAGGCTGCAGTGAACTATGATTGGATCACTGCAGTCTACCCCGTGTGACAGAGGGAGACCCTGTCTCAAAAAACAAACATACAAAAAAAGAGCAAATAAGGGATGGCACTTCCAGAACAGTGGAGTAGACACCTTCAAAGACCATGGAAGCAATGAGAACACTGGCAAAAATTGCAAAAGTCATCTTTTTCAAAACGTTGGAAATTAAGGCTTGCAATAATCTGAGCAGCATTGATTCAAGAAAAACATCTGAATCTCAGTAAAAACAGGAAGCTTTTTATATTTTAACTTCTCTTACTCTTATCCTTCTCTCCCCAGCTTCACAGTAGCCCTGAAGGTGAACTTGACAATCATGGTAGCTATGAAAAGCAGCAGCATAACAGTTATTTGAGAGGGAGGAACAGGTTTGGTGTAAACCCCCAAACTCTAATCTAAAGAGAATTGTCACAATTTTACCTGACTGAAGGCTCCTGGGAAAGATCCCATTCTCAGGACTCACCTTTATTTGACCAATACATTCCTATCCTCAGGACATTTGTCAAAACCAATCAGTGGCAATGATTTGCAATTGAAGTGACTGAGGCAGTGATACCAATCTGGCAAATAAAAAGCTGAATCAGAAACTTAAAAGGAGACCAGCCTGGACAACATGGTGAGATCCTGTCTCTAAAAAAAAAAAAAAGACAGCTGGGTGTTGTGGTATGCACCTGTAGTCCCAGCTATCCAGGAGGCTGAGGCAGGGCTTGAGCCTAGGAGTTCGAGGTTACAGTAGCCATGTTCACACCACTGCACTCCAGCCTGGTTGACAGAGCAAGACGTTGTCTCAAACAAACAAACAAACAAACGAACAAAAAACTTAAAAGAGGCTCAGAGTAGTGACATGCACCTGTCATCCGAACTCTTTGGGAGGCTGATGGGGGAAGATTGCTTGAGCCCAAGGGTTGACGCCAGCTAGGGCAACATAGTGAGACCCTCATCTCTAAAAAAAGAAAGAAAGATAGAAAAAGGGAAAATCTGGGGAATGAGACCTCTCTAGAAGGCTTTGAAATGCAGTAACAAACACATACACAAACACACACACAAAAGGGAAGAGCAGAAAGAAAATGCAGTAACATACTCTTGATCAAGAGGCAATGAATATCATATTAAAAGTCTTTAAAGAAAATTACTATCAACCAAGAATTGTATACAATTTCACCAATACTATCCTTCACAAACAAAGGAGAAATTAAGACTTTCCTAGCTTTAAAAACAACAACAACAGCAAAACCACTAAGAAAATTTTATCATTAGGAGACTTGTTCTCAAGAAATACTAAAAGGGGATAGGAGGGGTGGCTCATACCTGTAATCTCAGCACTTTGGGAGGCCAAGGCAGGAGAACTGCTTGAGCCCAGGAATTTGAGATCAGCCTGGGCAACACAGTGAGATCCTGTGTATTTTAGAAATAAATAAATAAATTTAAAATTAAAAATAAAATAAAGAAGTCCTTCAGGTTGAAATGAAAGACACTACACAGTTACTTGAATTCACATGAAGAAAGAAAGAGCACTAACTATGTAGGTCAATATAAAACAAATATAAATGTATTTTGTTTGTAACTCTTTCTTCTAACTGATTTAAAAGACAACTGCAGAGATCAATAATTATAAAGCTGCGTTAATGGGCTTATAATGTTTAAAGATGTAATTTGTGACAATAATAGCACAAAGTGGGAGAGGGAAAGGAGCTATATTGGAGCAAAGTCTTGGTATAGTATTGAAGTTAACTTGGTACTAATTGGAACTAGGTTGTTTAAAAATGTTCATTATAACCCACTAGGCAGCCAGTAACAAAATAACACAAAAATATACAGAAAAAGAAACAATAAGAGAATTAAAACAGTACAGTAGAAAGCATGTATTTAACATGAAAAAAGGTACTACTCATGGAATAGAACAAAAAAGGTATAAGCCATCTAGAAAATAAATAGAAAAAAATGTAAACATGTATTACTTTATCAATAATTGAGTGTAAATGGACTAGCACTTTGGGAGGCTGAGGCGGACAGATCACCTGAAGTCAGGAGTTCAAGACCAGCCTGTAATCCCAGAACTTTGGAAGGCTGAGGCTGGTGGATCGCTTGAGCCCAGGAGTTCAAGATCAACCTGGGCAACATGGTGAAAGTCTGTCCCTACCGAAAAAAAAAAAAAGGCCAGGCGCGATGGCTCACGCCTGTAATCCCAGCACTTTGGGAGGCCAAGGAGGGCAGATCACGAGGTCAAGAGATGGAGACCATCCTGGCCAACAACCCTGTCTCTACTAAAAATACAAAAATTAGCTGGGCATGGTGGCGAGCACCTATAGTCCCAGCTACTTGGGAGGCTGAGGCAGGAGAATCGCTTGAACCCTGAAGGCAGATGTTGCAGTGAGCCAAGATTGTCCCACTGCCTTCCAGCCTGGCGACAGAGTGAGACTCCGTCTCAAAAAAAAAAAAAAAAATTAGCCAGTTGTGGTGGTGTGAACCTGTAGTCCCAGCTACTCAGAAGGCTGAGGTGAGAGAATTGCTTGAGCTGGGGAGGTGAAGGTTGCAGTGAGCTAAGATCGAGCCACTGTACTCCAGCCTGGGTGGCAAAGTGAGACCCTGTCTCAAAAAAAAAAAAAAAAAAAAAAAAAATCGTATTTCTATACAATAGCATTGAATAATCTAAAAGTGAAATTAAGAAAAGTTACTTTTATATTAGCATCAAAAAAATTAAATACTCAGGAGTAAATTAAACAAAAAGCTTGTACACTGAAAAGTGACAAAATACTGCTGAATGAAATAAAAGAAGATGTAAATAAAAGTGAAAATACAAAATACATCCCATGTTTATGGACCAGGAGACAATATTGTTAAGGTTGCAACACTTCCCAACTTGACCTACAGATTGATGTAATCACATACAAGAGATATTTAATAAGATTAACAAACTACCAACTGGCTTTTTGCAGAAATTGACAAGCCAATCCTAAAGTTCATATGGAAATGCAGAGGACCCAGCATAGCCAAAACAATCTTGAGGAGCCAAATTGGAGTATTCACATTTAATAATTTCAAAACTTACTACAAAGCTACACTAATCAAGACAGTGTGGCACTGGCACTAGGCTACACCTATAGATTAATGGAATGAAATTGAGAACTCAGAAATAAATCCTTACACTTTTGTTTCATTCGTTTTCATCAAGGGTGCCAAAACAAATCACTGGGGAAAGAATAGTCTTTTCAATAAATGATGCTGGGACAACTGAATAGCCACATGCAAAAGAATACATTTGGACCTCCACCTCACACCATATATAAAAATTAACTCAAAATAAAACATAGACACAAATGTAAGGGCTAAAACTATAAAACTCTCAGAAGAAAGTTAGGCATAAACCATTGTTCCCTCAATTATGCCATGGTTTCTTAGGGCACCAAAAGCACAAATGACAAGAGAAAAAGATATACTTTGAACTTAATTGAAATTAAAACCTTTTGTGCTCCTAAGGATATCACTAACAAAGTGAAAAGAACATCTACAGAATGGGAGCAAATACTACAACTCATAGATGTGATAGGAGAGTTGTATCCAAAATATATAAAGGGGCAGAGCGCGGTGGCTCAGGCCTGTAATCCCAGCACTTCAGAAGGCCAAAGGGGGCGGATCACTTGAGACCAGGAGTTCAAGACCAGGCTGGCCAACATGGCGAAACCCTGTCTCTACTAAAAATACAAAAACATAGCCGGGTGCAGTGGCTCATGCTTATAATCCCAGCTACTCGGGAGGCTGAGGCAGGGGAATCACCTGAACCCAGGAGGCAGATGTTGCAGTGGGCCGAGATCACGCCACTGCACTCCAACCTGGCAACCGAGCAAGACTCTGTCTGAAAAAAAAAAAAAAAAAAAAAAATTAGCCAGGCATGGTGGGGCAAGCCTGTAATCCCAGCTACTTGGAAGGCAGAGGTGTGAGGATTGCTTGAACCTGGGAGGCAGAGGTTTCAGTGAGCCCAGATTGTGACACTGCACTCCAGCCTGGGTGACAGAGCGAGACAGCTAAACCCTCATGTGGCCATTCATACAAGTCCCTATTTAGGGAACAAGTGATTATGCTACCTTTGCACGGTCAGGATACGGCAGCCGTTGAACATATGTCACTGGGCATTCAGTGCCTCTAATACTGGTAATGCTAGATCCATCTCAAAAAACAAAAAACAGGCCACGCGTGGTGGCTCACGCCTGTAATCCCAGCACTTTGGGAGGCTGAAGCAGGCGGATCACAAGGTCAGGAGTTCAAGACCAGCCTGGCCAACATAGTGGAACCCCGTCTCTACTAAAAACACAAAAAATTAGCCAGGAGTTGTGGTAGGTGCCTGTAGTCCCAGCTACTCGGGAGGCTGAGGCAGGAGAATGGCGTGAACATGGGAGGCGGAGCTTGCGGTGAGCCGAGATCGCGCCACTGCACTCCAGCCTGGGAGACAGAGTGAGACTCCAGCTCAAAAAAATAAAAAAATAAATAAATAATAAAAAATAAAAGACAACCCAATAGAAGATGTCCAAAGGATCTGAACAGATAACTTTCTAAGGAAGATATACAACTAGCCAAGAAGCACATGAAAAGATATTGAACATACTAGTGATTAGGGAAATGCAAATCAAAGCCACAGTGAGATACAACTTCACACCCACTATGATGGCTATATTCAAAAAGACAATAACAAGTACCGGCAAACGTGTGGAGGAGAGAGTGTTGGCAGGGCAATCAGACACTGTCAAGTAAGACTTTCTGTGATGATGGAAATTTTCTGTAAATCTGTATTGCATTGCCAATATGGTGACTGCTAACCATATCAGTACTGCCTGAAATGAGCACCTGAAAGTTGAAGTATAAATAGAAATTTTAATTTTATTTAATTTCAATTAAAATAGTTGCATGTGGGCTGGGCACAGTGGTTCATGCCTGTAATCCCAGCACTTTGGGAGGCCAAGGCGGGTGGATCACCTGAGGTTGGGAGTTCCAGACCAGCCTGACCAACATGGTGAAACCCCGTCTCTACTAAAAATACAAAAATATGCCAGGCATGGTGGCACCTGTAATCCCAGCTACTCGGGAGGCTGAGGCAGGAGAATTGCTTGAACCTGGGAGGCAGAAGTTGCAGTGAGCTGAGATTGCACCACTGCCCTCCAGCCTGGGCTACAGAGGGAGACCCTGTCTCAAAAAAAAAAAGAAGAAATAAATAATAAAATAAAATAGTTGCATGTGGTTAGTAATCACCACATTAGCACAGTATTTTGGACCATTATAATATACAGCTTCCCCAAAGGAATAATAACCCTTTCTCTCTCATATGTAGTAAGGTAAAAACTTACAAACTGTGTATCAGATACAAAAAAAAGTTGTATTATTTATAACTCATCTTGTTCTCAAGCCCCAGTCCAAGTGAAAGTGCAAGAAAAATCTTTGTATTGCCAGGGAAAAGCAAATCAGCCTTCTCCTGTTTAAGCACAGTCTCTTTCAGTCCATACTAGTTCCTTTTGTTAGATAATCTATCTATTCCTAGATTTCTACCAGGCTGCCTTTCTACCTTGAAAATGCCTCCCCTCTCAATCCTCCTTATCAAATGGCATTGGTTGAGGGGAAGTTCATGTACCATCAAAGCAGGGGCTGGGCACTGTGGCTCATGCCTGTAATCCTCGCAGTTCGGGAGGCTGAGATGGGAGGATCCTTTGAGCCTAGGAGTTCAAGACCAGTCTGGCCAACATGGCAAGACCTCGTCTCTACAAAAAAAATTTTTTTTTTTTTTGAGATGGAATCTCACTCTATCGCCCAGGCTGAAGTGCAATGACGCGATTTCGGCTCCCTGCAACCTCTGCCTCCTGGGTTCAAATGATTCTCCTGCCTCAGCCTCCCTAGTAGCTGGGATTACAGGTCTGCACCACTACACCCAGCTAATTTTTGTATTTTTAGTAGAGACAGGGTTTCGCCGTGTTGGCCAGGATGGTCTCAAACTCCTGACCTCAGGTGATCCACCCGCCTTGGCCTCCCAAAGTGCTGGAATTACAAGCCTGAGCCACCGTGCCCAGCCTACAATTTTTTTTTTAAGAAATTAGCTGAGTGTGGTAGCTCTCACCTGTAGTCCCAGCTACTTGGGAGGCTGAGGCAAAATGGTCACTTGAGCCCAGGAATTTGAGGCTACAGTGAGCTATGATGGCACCACTGCACTCCAGCCTAGGCAACAGAATGAGACCCTGTCTCAAGAAAAAAAAAAAAAGGCAGGTGTGGAGAAAAGACAGTGAAATGTGGCTTGGCTGCTCTGGCCTGGACATCAGTGCTGGAGATCATGGATGTGTAGCTTGTCCCACATGATTACTTTAGGCACTCTGTCAACATCAGCTGCTAAATTCTAAGGTTCCTTTTCCTGCCCTGGTCTCCAGTTGTAAAGTCCCTGTAACAAGCAGCTTTTATATTCTGACCCCAGGTCTTCTTTGGAATTTCAGTTCTCTTAGCTTTTCCATGTGCCCCATGGAGGCTTGTGTGAACTTTTGATTTTTTACAAAGATCTGCAGTTATTAGGGAATGCAGGCACTATCTTGGGCCCATTTGCCTAGAAACCTCCTCAACCATTTCAAAATTAGCACTTGGATGCAGTCATGTGTCTCTCGCCTTTACTGAATGGAGAGTGTTTTCAAAGGGGCTTTTGATTTCTTGGATTATGCACTGAGAAGTCAGGAGAAAGCACCCCTAGACTGAGTCCCAAAAACTTATTTGGACGTTTCTTCCCAGAAGGTGAACCTAAACCTTCCCCTCCCCCTTTCTTTCTTTTATTTTATTTTCTTTTTTTTTTTTTTTTTTGAGATGGAGTCTTGTTCTGTCGCCCAGGCTGGAGTGCAGTGGTGCAATCTCTGCTCACCGCAACCTCTGCCTCCTGGGTTCGACCGATTCTCCTGCCTGAGCCTATCAAGTAGCTGGGACTACAGGCACTCAACACCATGTCCACCTAATTTTTGTAATTTTAGTAGAGACAGGGTTTCACCACTTTGGCCAGGGTGGTCTCGAACTCCTGACCTCAGATGATCCACCCGCCTCGGCCTCCGAAAGTGCTGGCATGAGCCACCGCGCCCAGCCTTTTCCCCCTTTATTGCTTTTCTTTCTCCTCCTTCCCTGAGTCTTGGGCTCTCTAATTCCTTTTCATGATTTGGATCTTCTCTATACACAGCTTTATAATAAAACTCAATTTCCCAACATCTAAGCCTTGCTTTTGATATATGAAAGGATGCTTTTAAAATTCTGAAATCCTTTTCTTATAATAAAGTCTGACTTGCCAGGCCATTTTCTCATGACTGGTTTTAAGATCCTAGTTTGCTTTATAAAATCTGAAAATTGACTTTTTCATCCTATTTTCCATTTGTGACCTAACAGTCCACATTCTCTCCAGAGCAAATGGTTGCCTCAGAATAAAAAAAAAAAAAAAAAAGATAAAAAATCTCATTCCATCACTAGGAAAAGAAAAGCATATTAATATATTTTTAAAACGATTACTAGAGCTACTTCCTGAAAGCTGGTGAAGCACTCTTGTGCTAATTTTAAAAGGGAACCTCTTCCTCTGAGTGAATGCAGCCCACACCAGAGCTTTCAGCTTGGGGCACCAAGCTCAGATCCTACTTAATCCTCAGCCAAGTGTGCTGCGTGTGAGTAACCCGCATAACCACACATGGTAGTCCTGGATAGCGCCCAGGTAACACGTATATGTATTGCACAATTTTCCTCAGTAGACACCTGACACTGTTGTTTTCTTGATTATCTATTCTCTCCGGAAAGTTCCCACGCCAACCTCAGGGTGGTTCAAATAGTTTCGCTGCTGCTGTTTGAACATGCCCCTACTGCCAAAGGTGATAAGTGGAAAGAAGATGAAATTCAAGCTGATGGCTGGGCATAGTGGCTCATGCCTGTAATCCCAGAAATTTGGGAGGCTGAGGCAAGAGCATCACTTGAGGCCAGGAGTTCAAGACCAGCCTGGGCAACAGAGCGAGGCCTCATTTCTTAACAACAACAACAAAATCAGGCATGGTGGTGTGAGCCTGTAGTCCCAGCTACTTGGAAGGCTGAGATGGGAGGTTGAGGCTTCAGTACGCCACAGTGAGCTGTGACCATGCCACTGCACTCTAGCCTAAGCAACAGAGAGACACCCTGTCTCAAAAGAAAGAGGAAGAAGGAGGAGGAGGAGAAGGATGAGGAGGAGGAGGAGGAGGAGTAGGAGGAGGAGGAGGAGGAGAAGGAGGAGGAGGCAGTGGTGGCGGTGGCTGCTGGGGGCCGTGGCTCCCGCCTTTATCCCAGCACTTTGGGAGGCCGACGTGGGCAGATCACAAGGTCAGGAGTTCGAGATCAGCCTCGCCAACATAGTGAAACCCCGTCTCTACTAAAAATACAAAAATGAACCAGGCATGGTGGCACGTGCCTGTAGTCCCAGCTACTCGGGAGGCTGAGGCAGGAGAATCACTTGAACCTGGGAGGTGGAGGTTATAGTGAGCCCAGATCCGGCCGCCGCACTCCAGCCTGGGCAACAGAGCGAGGCTCCGTCTCAAAAAAATAAATAAAATAAAAATAAACTAAAAAAAGAAATTTAACTTGGACTAATCAGATTTTCTTTTTGCGAGATATGGGTTTGGAACGGAAGGATTTCAATCTCAGATTGGGCTTCTTGAATGCAGTAGAAGGGAAAACTTGGGATTTGAATTTACATGCTCTCCACCACTTAGAAAAGGCAGTGAAGAAAACCTTTAGGCAAAGAAACAAGACGTTTATTGAGAATGCTGCCAGGTTCCTGCTGTCCTTCCAAAGGATTCATTCTAGTACTTTCTTAGGACTGATTACTGATTGCATTTCTATTTTTGAGTTCTGTAAGCCTGAATTTTTATAATAAAATTTTTTTCTCCCACCCTCAACTGATGCTAGCTTGAGTCATTTTCTGTAACTTCCAACGAAAGAAACACTAACTTTATGTGGATTGTCATTTGTCTCTAGAACTGTTTTTTCAGAGACTAGGTCTTGCACTGTTGCCCAGGCTGGAGTGCAGTGATATTCACAAGTTCAGTCATTTCCCACAGCAGCCCGAACTCCTGGGCTCAGGTGGTCCTCTTGGCTCAGTCTCCTGAGTAGCTGGGACTACATTGAACTTTTATTTTCCCCCCACATCAGATGGGTGATATGCCAACATCCTAACAAGGTTTGATGGAGGCACATCTTACACATAGTGTGAAAACCCAATCATGCTTATGAACTATGAAAGGATCAGAATTTTAAATGTGTTTTGTGTTTAGTTGTATCAGAGTTCAGTCAGGAAACAAAAATTACTATAGATATTTCAGGCAGTGGGGGATTTAAAAAACCATTGGAAAAGTTTGAGGCTCAAAGCTCAGGGAAGACCATCACTAGCTCCCAGTTCACCACTAGGCTCAGAGAATGAGGTACTTGTTATACCTGGCCAGGTTAATTGCTCCAGAAACTGCTCTGTTACAAATGCTTACAATATCTTACTGAAGTTCAAAAGGGAGGTGGAGGAGGAGATGTTGGAAGAGATGTTGGTTCAGCAGCTTCCAAAATTAACAAGAGATTTACTCATCTAAAAACCATACTGGCCGGGCACAGTGGCTCATGCTTGTAATCCCAGTGTTTTGGGAGGCTGAGGTGGGCAGATCACTAGGTCAGGAGCTCGAGACCAGCCTGGCCAACATGGTGAAACCCCATCTCTACTAAAAATACAAAAAATTAGCTGGACGTGGTGGCAGGCACCTGTAATCCCAGCTACTTGGGTGGCTGAGGCAGGAGCATTGCTTGAACCCGGGAGGTGGAGTTTGCAGTGAGCCAAGACCATGCCACTGCACTCCAGCCTGGACAACAGAGCAAGACTCCATCTCAAAACAAAACAAAACAAAAACAAAAACAAAAAACCACAGCTGGGCACGGTGACTCATGCCTGTAATTCCAGCACTTTGGGAGGCCAAGGTGGGTGGATCACTTGAGATCAGGAGTTTGAGACCACCCTGGCCAACATGGTGAAACCCCGTCTCTACCAAAAAATACAAAAACTAGCTGGTCGTGGTGGCACGTGGCTGGAATCCCAGCTACTTGGGAGGCTGAGTCATGAGATTCACTTGAATTCGGGAGGTGGAGGTTGCAGTGAGCCAAGATCACGCCACTGCCCTCCAGCCTGGGCAACAGAGCAAGGCTCTGTCTCACCAAAAAAAAAAAGAAAAAAAAAGAAAAAGAAGCAAGGAGAGGAAATAATTGAGAGTTGTTGTAAAACCCTAGAATGTCAGTCAACTTACTGCTATGGACTGAATTGTGTCCATTCAAAATTCACATGTGGAAGTCCTAACCCCCAGTACCTTTAAAGATATGACTAAGATAAGGTCTTTAGGGTGGGGCCCTAATTCAATATAAGTGGTGTCCCTATAACAAGAAGAAGAGACACCAAATATGTGGGTGCAGGTGAGGGCACAGCAAGAAGGCAACTATCTACAAGCCAAGAAGAGAGACTTCAGGGAAACCAACCCTACTAACTTCTTGATCTTAGGCCTCCAGCCTCCAAAGCTGTGCGAAATAAATTTCTGTTGTTTAAGCCACCCAGTCTGTGATATTTTGTTATGGCAGCCCTAGTAGAGTAATATACTCCTCCCTACCCTGTTTTCACGGAGGAGGTGGTCATGTCACATAGTGGTGGTGGTGGTTGTGGCGGGTGCATGGGGTGGCAGGGGTTGGGGAGGCAGGCAGGTTTAGGGGGAAAACCTTGATTGCCTGACCCCTGGTTTCTTTCCACTAGTTCTCACTGCTGCTCTACATTCTTGTCTGTGGACCACTCACTTCCAATGTAATGTCCTAGGATGCCATATCGTGAATTAACTTTGCAGGATTCTGAAGTTCTCTCAGTATGTGGTGTGCTAGATAATAAGATCAGCAATTATGTACCAAAATAATCCAAATTATGATTTCGCCTGGAACATCTCTTAATTCTTCCAAAATGAGTCTTTATGATCGTCAGTGATCTGCTATTTCTGAGTGAGATACATGAAATTTCAATTTCTCTTCATGCATATGTGCCGAATTTTCAGTTACACACAGTTTTTCATGACCAAATTGATTAGTCTGACTAGACATCCATGAAATGAAATGTGCAAGGTCTGATTTAGCCCTAGGAATACATCATTAGGTATATACAGCCACTGTTTTTCCTTATTCTGTTGGGATTTCTTTGAAAGGCATTTCATTATAATTTATTTGCACAAAATCCACAGAAAAATACTAACTCAATGAAGAATATAATAGGTGCACATTATGGGAGAGAAGTTAGACTTAAAAAGTTAGCATGATGCCCTTAATTCAGTGTCACAGTGTCTACCTGCAATTCTTCTTCTTTTTTTTTTTTTTTTTGTGAGATGGAGTCTCGCTCTTGTTGCCCAGGCTAGAGTGCAATGGCGTGATCTCAGCTCACTGCAACCTCCGTCTCCCAGTTCAAGTGATTCTCTTGCCTCAGCCTCCTGAGTAGCTGGGATTACAGGCACCTGGCACCATGCCCGGCTAATTTTTGTATTTTTAGTAGAGACAGGGTTTCACCATGTTGGCCAGGCTGGTCTCAACTTCCTGACCTCAGGTGATCCGCCTGCCTTGGCCTCCCAAAGTGCTGGGATTACAGGCGTGAGCCACCGCACCCAGCCCTACCTGCAATTCTTAATGTTAACTCTTGAACTTTCACTCACTTATACTTTTCATCATACATCAAATACAACAAAAATATGTAGTTTTTCCCTTTTTATTATTCGAAGCAAGGAATTGTTTCCCTGCTTGCATTTTCTTTGTCCAGTTTCATTGAGATATACTTTATTTATTTATTCTGAGACAGGATCTTGCTTTGTCACCCAGACTTGAGCGAAGGGTCACCATCATAGCTCACTGCAACCTCAGCCTCCTGGGCTTCTCCTGCTTTAGCCTTCCGAATAGCTAGGGATGCCACCATGCCCAGCTCAGAGGTATAATTTAGTTGCAATAAAAGGCACAGATTTTTTTTTTTTTTTTTAGATGGAGTCTCACTCTGTAGTCCAGGCTGGAGTCCAGTGGCATGATCTTGGCTCACTGCAACCTCCGCCTCCCAGGTTCAAGTGATTCTCTTGCCTCAGCCACCTGAGTAGCTGGGATTACAGGTGTGCGCCACCACACCCGGCTAATTTTTGTATTTTTAATAGAGACGGGGTTTCACCACATTGGCCAGGCTGGTCTTGAACTCATGACTTCATGTGACCCACATGCCTGGGCCTCCCAAAGTGCTGGGATTACCGGCATGAGCCACCACGCCCGGCAAAAGGCATAGATTTTAAGTGTGCAATTCAATGTGATTTGACAAATGTATGTAGTTATGTAGCCCCCAGTACAGTGATGATATTGAACATTTCCTTTACCTCTAAAAGTTCACTTGCATCCCTTTGGTGTCACCCCACCACTACTCCAGCCTTTGGCAAAGTCTGATCTGATTTCTATCACTGTAATTTTGCCTTTTCTAAAATTTCTTAGAAGAGGAATCATACAGTAGGTTATTTTTTTATTTTATTTTTTAGTTTTATTTTTTTCTGAGACAGAGTTTTGCTCTCGTTTCCCAGGCTGGAGTGCAACGGCTCAATCTTGGCTCACCACAACCTCCACCTTGTGTGTTCAAGCAATTCTCCTGCCTCAGCCTCCCAAGTAGCTGGGACTACAGGTGCGTGCCACCACACCCAGCTAATTTTGTGTTTTTAGTAGAGACAGGGTTTCTCCATGTTGGTCAGGCTGGTCATGAACTCCCAACCTCAGGTGATCTGCCCGCCTCAGCCTCCCGAAGTGCTGGGATTACAGGTGTGAGCCACCGTGCCGTTTTTTTTTGTTTGTTTGCTTTCTTTTTTTGAGATAAGAATCTCCCTCTGTCCCCCAGGCTGGACTGCAGTGGCATGATCTCAGCTCACTGCAACCTCTGCCTCTTGGGTTCAAGCAATTCTCCTGCCTCAGCTGCCTAAGTACCACGCCCGGCTAATTTTTGTATTTTATTTTTAGTAGAGATAGGGTTTCCCCGTGTTGGCCAGGCTGGTGTCGAACTTCTGGCCTCAAGTGGTCGGCCCACATTGACCTCCCAAAGTGCTGGGATTACAGATATGAGCCACTGTGCCCAGTCCGTGCCTAGCTACTTGAAAAAAACATACATGTTGTAGAGAGAGCCTGTTGCTCAGACTAGTCTCAAACTCGTAGGCTCAAGTGATCCTCCTGGTTCAGCCTCCCAAAATGCTGGGATTACAGGTGTGAGCCACTGTGCCCAGCCTTTTGGCTTGTTTTAAAAAACTGGTTTGTCATCTTATTACTGAACTGTAAGAGTTGTTTATATATTAGGGTACAACTCCTTTATCAAGATATTTGTTTTGCAGATATTTTCTCCCAGGTTTTGGTTTTCCTCGTCTTCCTTCTTTCTTTTTCTCCTCCTCCTCCTCCCCCCGCTCCCTCTCTCCCTCCTCCTTTTTCTTTTCTCCTCCTCCTCCTTCTTCTCCCTTCTCCTCCTTCTCCTTTTTCTTCCTCCTCCTCCTCCTCCCCCTCCTCTTCCACCCCTTTCTCCTCTCCTTCCTCCTACTCCTGTTCCTCCTGCTCCTGTTCCTCCTCACCTTTAAGGCATGAGGGATAAGTTCTTTTAGTGAACTTTACATGAGCCACAAATATTTGTACAAGTTTGCACTGTCCACTGGATTTTGGAAAGATCACTGTATTAGTCCATTCTAGCACTGCTATAAAGAACTATCTGAGACTGGGTAATTCATAAAGAAAAGAGGTTTAATTGGTTCCTGGCTCTGAAGGCTGTACCAGAAGCATAGCTGCTTCTGCTTCTGGGAGGCTTCAGGAAGCTTCCAAAATGGCAGGAAGGCAAAGGGGAAGAGAAATGTCTCATGTGGCAGGAGGGGAGCAGGAGGCAGGCGGGGAGGTGTCATATACATTTATTTCATTTTTTAGACATGGTTTCCTTCTGTCACCCAGGCTAGAGTGCAGTGCTGTGATCTTGGCTCACTGCAATCTGTGCCTTCCAGGCTCAAGCAATCCTCCTACTTCAGCCTCCCAAGTAGCTGAGTCTACAGGTGCTCACTACCACACCTGGCTAATTTTTCGTGTTTTTTGTAGAGACGGGTTTTTGCCATGTTGCTCGGGGTGGTCTGGAACTCAAGCGGGAGTAGTTCGTCATGTTGGTCTCCCATTTTGGGAGTCAAGTGGATTCTCCCACCTTGGTCTCCCAAAGTGCTGGGATTACAGGCACAAGCCACTGCACTGGGCTGTCATACACTTTTAAATGACCAGATCTCAGGAGAACTCACTCGAGATCATAAGGAGAGTTCCAACAGGATGCTGCATAACCATTCGTGAGAAATCTGCTCCATGATCCACTCCCGCTTCCCCCAGGTCCCAACTCCAACATTAGGGATTACAATTCAACATGAGATTTGGCAGGGATGCAGATCCAAACCATATCAATCAGTAACCTAGGAAACTTGACGGCATTTTCAGTGCCCTTAGCTAAACTCCTTAACCTATCTAAGCTTAAATTTCCTTATTTGATAAGGAAGGAAAATAATATTTATATTATCTGTCTCTCAGAGTTGTGAGAAGAAATCTGACAGTACTTTTTATTTGTATTTATCATCATCATCATTATTATTCATTCATTGCTCAACTGCATGGACAGTACGTTGAAAATAGTAAATTAGTATCACCTCCCTAATCACTTCCCCAATGTTGTTGAAATGTGTCAATATTTGAATATATACAAACTGAGTGATTTCTACAGTTAAACCTCAAGTAGAGACCAAGATCAATAATACATTAAATTTTAATAACTTGGATTAAGTCGTGTTTGGGTTAACGATAAATATCAAAAGATAACTATTACACCTATTCCAGATAATAAATGTATTACTTTCCATAATATCTGGAATAGGTATAATAGTTATCTTTTGATAGATTCCTTGATGGAGAATCTGGTGGCAAGGGGAAGTTAACGTTTTTAGTAGGAAACTGAGTTTTTCCTTTCAGAGGTCGAAGAGGGAAACTGGTTCCCTGGGGCCCTGAATAAGGCCCCAGTAAAGGCAATATTCAATAAATACCTGGTGCTGGCAATTTTTAATTTGGTTGAGTGATGTTTTTACTCCTAGTTATTTTGATTCTAAATGACTTTATGGAGATACATGAACATATGTCCAAAGTCTTTGGACAACACTTTTCATAGCTGATTATATCCGAAGCATTTAATGTTCCTGTTGAAGTGAAGAGCTTGAAATATAGGGCCTTTTGAGACTATTCCAAAGCAGGTGATAAAAACAAAACAAAACAAAAATCCAGGAGCAAAAAACGAAGGATCAGGGTGGGTGGCTCATGATTGTAATCCTAGCAGTTTGGGAGGTTGAGGCAGAAGGATTGCTTGAGGCCAGGGGTTCGAGACGAGCGAGGGCAACATAATTTGATCCCTGTCGCTATAAAAAATTAAAAAGCTCAGCCAGGTGTAGTGACCGACGCTTGTAGTCCCAGTTACTCTGGAGGCTGAGGCAGGAGGATCGCTTGACTTTAGGAGGTCTAGGCTGCAGAGACCCATGATTGTGCCCCTGTACTCCAGGCTGGGTAACAGTGAGATCCTGTCTCAAACAAGCAAACAACTCCCACCCCTAAAAAAACGTGCACATGACCTTAAAAGTGTAGGAAGATTACATGATAAGGAGAGTCAGAGAAAAGAGAAATTAGGACAGGAAAGCACTACAAGCTATGTATGTTTATTTTATAATTGAGTCTTTAAGGGTACGGAGTATTCGTACTCAACTTGTACCCCCAGTGTCTAGTACGCTGCTTGGTAAACAGCTGGCAATCAAGAAATGTTTGCTAAATTTTAAATGAATTGATGGGGGCGGAACTTCAGAAAGTAAAGCCTGACTCGCTTTATTTCTAAGAAGGCAGAGGAAGTAAAAATCTAGTTTTCCGTACTCTGTCCCCTTTTTAATCCTTCTCTGAATGGGTGTCCTTGATTCACTGACATTTCCTAATTAACCAAGTTCTGCCAAGTTTCACATGAAACTTGGGGAACCGATTTCATTCCCCCAGTATCACCCTGTGGCGCCACCTTCCGGAGCTGTGAGGAAACTCCGGACTTCCCCCCAACACCGCCCCCTCCCTCCACCCTCGGTCTCCGCTTTCTGCGCTCTGCCGCGTTGGTTTTCGGAGGTGTCTGGGCGCATGCGCTTTGGACGGGCCGCCTAGCCTAGGAGAGACTACAATTCCCAGAAGACAGTGCGAAAGAAAAAAAAAATCCCGCGGTCCGTGGGGGTGGGAGAAATAAACGCTCGCGAGAGAACGAGGTTCAGGCGGCTGCACGAAGGGGGTGGAGGGGGGCTGGAGAGAGTGAGGAGGAAGGGGAGGAGGTGCCGTCCCACAATACCAGGCGGGAGGGCGGGTAGGCGGTTTGTATCCGGGCTGTGAGGTGCTCGGAGCCTCGGCGGACCTTGCTGCCTCTGTCTCTTTAACGCGAGAGGAAGCGATGCAGAGGGGTGGAAAATGGCAGAGCTGCAGATGTTACTAGAGGAGGAGATCCCGTCTGGCAAGAGGGCGCTGATCGAGAGTTACCAGAACCTGACTCGGGTGGCAGACTACTGTGAAAACAACTACATACAGGTGAGGCGCTCTGGCGGCCGGCGGGCGCTGGCCGGGTCGAGGACCCGCCGGAGTGACCAGCCCACTGGGCGGGGTGGGGAACTGCCCTGACCTCAGCGGCTGCCACCAACCCGAGCCCCTACCGCAGCCCCAACCCCAGCCCCAACCGGGGACAGAGCGAGTGGCCGGGCTGAGGGAGTCGGGCTGCGATACAGGAAGTGGCTGTGGTGGTGGAAACCGATAGAAGGGGAGAGAGAAAATGGGCGAGGGAGCCGGGAGCCCGCCGCTGCCGCAGCCCGGCGCCCCCCTCGCGTCCGCTTCCCCCAGGGCCCGGCCACCGGGGTCGCGCGCCCCCCAGGTAGCCTCCAGTCCGCAGGGCTGGAGTCCCGGAATACCCCCGAGCTGCCGCCGCGCCGCCTCTCTGCGCCGGGAGAGGAGGTCCAGGACGGGAGAGGGGAGAGGAGAGGGCAGGGACGAGGCTGAAGCCGCAGAAGGGAGAGGACCAGCGGGGTGTGTGTTGTGTGTCGGCGGAGGGTGGGGTGGGGGCGATTATGTCAGTTTCAGCCCCCAGAGGGTGTGTCTT
The DNA here is from genome assembly GCF_000001405.40 of Homo sapiens. NCBI lineage: Eukaryota > Metazoa > Chordata > Mammalia > Primates > Hominidae > Homo > Homo sapiens. Next base: position 26,860,184 of record NC_000010.11, on the reverse strand, counting down.
TTATTTATTTATTTATTTAAAAAAAATTTGTCATGAGTCACATTACACCGACCTCCCGGAGGAGAGGAGGAAGCGGGTGTGGGGAGTGAGGGAGGGCGTTTGAGAGAAGTTCATCTTAAAATTCCTTTAATTGAAGGTTTGTAAATCTGTCTGCTTGTCCATTTTCAAGTCGGGTTTTTTTTATTTTTTTCCCCCTCTCATCGTTTTCACTTCCGCCCCACCATAATGTATTCTAAGAGGTTGTTAGGGCTGCTATCATTAATTATCAAACACGAATTGTTCTTAACTCCTTGGAAAAACGGCTTACCCTCCCTTCTCCCAAAAGTTCTTGAGCTGTAGGCTTCATAAGTAACTTAAAATAGACTGGTGTCATCGCCGGTTGCTTATTTTCTGAGGTTTCTCTCTTAACAAGCTAAGTAAATGTATAGTATGTGAATCCAAATACAGAAACGAACAGAGGTAGCCTCTGAACTACAACGTAAAAATATCTGTTATTGTAAATTAGAAAACTCTTGGGACTTTGTGACAGATGCTTGTTTGTTCGTTTCTCTTTGGATGATTGGAAGTGAATTGTGTGTGGTAGTTTGTTTTGAAGATCTTTAACTGTGTAAACCAACAGTTTGCGCTAGAAACAAAGTAGCACAGTCCTTTGTATAAATATAAAGGCACCAGGAATGCTCTTGCTTTTGGTAAGGCAAGGCCAAAACGTGCTTTGAAAGGTTAGGGTTATTGCAATTCAGAACTAAATTGTTTATAGAAATGTCTCCCATGTGATTATAATTTTTAAGAACCGATGTTTCTGTGTTGGCAAATGCTTCCCCTCTTTATTTTTAGAGGGAGATGCTGTTTTCAGAATGTTTTGAATATTTCTCAGTTTTCATGTTAGTAACATTGTATCTTCAGTAGCACTACTCGGAATTTATCTTCACAATTTTTTTTTCAAGCTTTCACTTTAGGAATTCTCCTGATAAGTGAACTTGTTGAATGCCTGCCACATCTACTGTATCACTTTGTGCAAACTTTATATTTAGCCCTTCGAAAAACTTTTAAAAATCTAGTAGGGATGTGGATATGGTTTGCAAATATAAAAGTGATCTCGTAGTTTATCGATATTAAAAATAGGCAACTTTTATTCAACTTAACATGAAAAGCCTTGAAATTGAGGAGAACCTTAATTTGCTGAAAGTTTTAAAGATTTTTGAAAGCCAAAAGGAGAGCACAGTAAGTTTAATTTCTCGCTTTCCAGAAAAGTTATGTGTTCTCTGTAGAAGTCAGTAGATAAGTGCTTCATACAGGGGTGGCTCCTTTTTGTTTTGCATGTTGGGAAATCTGACAAGTATATAGTGTGGTAACTATGTGTTGGCAACTGTTAGTAACTGTAAACGTGTTTTAACCTGTCTGTGTACTATTACTTTTTCAGGTAGTTGTATGTTGTAATGCTTTTTTTTTACCCCTCTCTGACCCCTTTCCTTTACTCCTCTTGCTACAATCATGTAACTTTGAAGCACTTTAAAACTTCATTGCTAATATCTCTAATTAAGTCATGTTATTTTTCATACAGTCTCTCACTTTATAAAATGTTAGTGCCATGGTGCACGAATAGCCACAGTCAGTGGCCCCGTTTTTTTTTTTTTTTTTTTTTTTTTTCTTTTTTTGTGGGGGCGGGGTGGGGTATAATCCTAAATCTGACACCAGTGAGGTGTTTTGTTCATATTGGAAAAAAAAAAAAAGAATTCACGCAAAGCAATGATTATCTAAATACCTTAGTAGCCTTTATACGTTGGGCTGCATGATCCAGGCCACTAGTTGCCTCCCTAAGGGACTCAGACAGGGTCAGGCTCAGAAAGTGATGTGGAAGTTGATGTGGTAGGTGGTGCTGCTGACTTTGGTGCTAAGAATGGGGAATGAATAATATTAGAAATATCCATTAGGGTGTCTGTTGAGGTCTTTCTGTATCCTTCCTGTGACCTGATTGGGTTATTTATAACTAATACTCTTCCTAAATATATATCTCTTCTCAGTGAAAGTATGCAGTTCACGTGTGCTTTGAGAATTTTTAAATAAGGTGAGCTAAGTTATTGCTTGGGTGATTTTTGTTCTGAGATTCACTTTTCATTTCGTTTTTCTACAGTTTGAAAGTGCAGTCCAGTTTAGCTAAGGTGTGTAGCTGAGAAACTCTTTTGGCTGTGGTGCATTTAAGTTCTTGCGGCAGTTTATTAGTTCTTTGGTTCTGTTGACTTTTAACTAGTAGGTTGTATTATTAATAGCAAAACATCTGAAAAGATTCTACTACATTAAAAAGGACAGTTTTTTTCTTTCTTTTTTTTTTTTTTTTTGAGACAGACTTGCTCTGTCACCCAGGCTGGAGTGCAGTGGTGTGTGAACACCATTCACTGCAGCCTTGACCTCCTGGGCTCAAGCAGTCCTCCCACCTCAGCCTCCCATGTAGCTGAGACCACAGGTATATGCAAGGACAGGGTTTTAACAGTTGCCATGGGGTAAATAATACTAAAAATAGAAAGTTTTTTTTTTTTTTTTTTTGAGACACAGTCTTGCTCTGTTGCTCAGGCTGGAGTGCAGTGATGCCATCATGGCTTACTGCAGCCTCAACCTCCTGGGCTCTGGAGATCCTCCCACCTCAGCCCCCCCAGGTAGCTGGGACTACAGGTGCGCACCACCACTCCCAGCTAATTTCTGTATTTGTTTTGTAGAGATGGGGTTTTGCCATGTTGCCTAGGCTGGTCTCAAACTCCTGGTCTCAAGCAGTCTGCCTGCCTTGGCCTCCCAGTGTGCCAGTATTACAGACATAGGCCACTGCACCTTGCCAGAAAGTGTTTTTTTTTTTTTTTTTTTTTTTTTTTTTTGAGATGGAGTCTCGCTCTATTGCCTGGGCTGGAGTGCAATGGTGCGATCTTGGCTCACTGCAACCTCCACCTCCTGGGTTCAAGCGATTCTCCTGCCTCAGCCTCTCAAGTAGCTGGGATTATAGGTGCCCACCACCACGCTTGGCTAATTTTTTGTGTTTTTAGCAGAGGCAGGGTTTCATCATGTTGGCCAGGCTGGTCTCGAACTCCTGACCTTAGGTGATCTGCCCTCCTCGGCCTCCCAAAGTGTTGGGATTATAGGTGTGAGCCACCATGCCTGGCTGAAAGTGTTTTTATATAGTCATTTATGTAGACATACAGAAGAGACTTTTCCATATTCCTTTACTATGACCAGATTGAATTTTTCATGCCAAGGACAGTGCTTAATTTGAACACACATGTTTAGCCAGTTCTCTGTGCTCTACCTTAGAGTTAGTTCATACTGCCTTTGTTATGGGAACTATTCTGGGAAATAGGAAGGAAAGCCGAGTGAAAAGGAGTAGAAACTGCTTAAGAAGGTTTGTCAGGATGCAGATTGGTAGGTTGGGGGTAAGGACAGAAAAGTCTTCATACAGCTTAACTTTAAAATTTAATTTTATTTTTTGTCTGGATTTCTACCAGGAGCTTTATTTGGGTTAACAAGTATGTTCTAAAGCCTAGGAGTATGAAGGGGATATCATCCCAGTATGTTACTGTGAGCTACTCACTTCAGCTTGCTTTCCTCCTCCTGTGACATTTGCTTCATTAGCACATTTAATCTCAGAAGGTGGGTAATTTTTGAGCAGGATCCGTTTGGAGTAGGTAAAAGCTAACATTTCTGATACTGTACACTTTATGCCAGTTTACAAACTGTGTCAGTTTTTTTTTTTTTTTTTTTTTTTTTTTTTGAGTAACAGATGGACAGTTAGAGGTTCCGAGGTATTAAATACCCAACCTAAAGTTCAGTAGCTTGTATGAGGTGGGGCCTGGAATCAAACCCAGATTTTCTCGATTCCAAATCCCAAATTCCATCTAATTAATCCTGAATGGGTTTTTTTTTTTTTTTCTTTAGACAGAGCCTTACTCTGTCACCCAGGCTGGAGTGCAGTGGCATGATCTCAGCTCGCTGCAACCTCCAAGCAATTCTCCTGCCTCAGCCTCCTGAGTAGCTGGGAATACAGGTGCATGCCACTGCACCCAGCTAATTTTTGCATTTTTAGTAGAGACAGGGTCTCACCATGTTGGCCAGGCTGATCTCGAACTCTGGCCTCAGGTGATCCACTGTCCTCAGTCTCCCATGGAGTTGGGATTACAGGTGTGAGCCACCATGCCCAGCCCAGAATGGGGTTCTTTTTTTTTTTTTTTTTTTTTGAGATGGAGTCTTGCTCTGTCACCCAGGCTGGAGTGCGGTGGCACGATCTCAGCTCACTGCAATCTCCGCCTCCTGGGTTCAAGTGATTTTCCTACCCCAGCCTCCCGAGTAGTTGAGATTACAGGTGCCCACCACCATGCCTGGCTAATTTTTGTATTTTTAGTAGAGACGGAGTTTCACCATATTGGCCAGGCTGGTCTCAAACTCCTGACCTCGGGTGATCCACCCGCCTTGGCCTCCCAAAGTGCTGGGATTACAGGTGTGAGCCACCGCACCCGGCCCTAAACAGGGTTCTTATGGCAACATAGGGGATAAAAACAATGTGCGCAGAGGGTAATAGAGAAGGGTAGAGGGTAATATAATTGCCTCTATTTATTGAATACGTACTCCATTGCAGTCTCTGCTGGTTGGTTTTGTATTATCTTTAATCCTTACAAACTCGCCACGACAGACAGTGCTGTCTTACATATGAGGAAATTAGGACTCATAAAAGTTAAGTTTTGTTTAGTCATAGAGTTAGTAATTGGCAGTCAGGACTTCCTTCTGACTCTGGCAGACTCCATAGGCTGTGCTCTTTTCATATCATACTGTTTTCACATGAAAGAATCTAGAACTCAAAACTGGTTCAGGAATACCGTGGAATAAACAGAATAGACTGGTATTGGGCAAGCCTGGGAACCTAACAACTCTTTACCATTGTTTCCAGGTTGTGAATATAAGAAGAGATATGTTTGTAATTTAGGGACTTGCCTATATCACCAAAAGATGGTAACTTTGGCATTTGAAGTGTTCAACTACAGGTTAAGTATCCTTTATTCAAAATGCTTGGGACCAGAAATGTTTCAGATTTTTTTTTGAATTTTGGAATGTTTGCATTATATACTTACTGGTTGAGCCTCCCTAATCTGAAAATCTGAAATCCAGAATAGTCTAATGAGCATTTATTTTTGTGTCATGTTGATGCTCAAGAAGTTTTGGGTTTTGGATTTCCAGATTAGGGATACTGAACCTGTATAGGAATTACAGCCTAGCTTTTCACTGAGCTCCCTGGATCCTTTTTTCTTTTCCTGCATCCTTGCCTGTCTTTTTTCTATTGTTAGTCTGTGTTGCAATTGTGCTAAGAAATTTTGAAGAAGCATTTGTAGAGATTAACAAAAAATATGTGGAAATATTCTGGGTAGATGTGATTTCTATACAAACCAGGTTTGGGGAAAAACAGTCAAAGTGATTCAGGAGATGAGGATAGACTGGAATGGTTAGAATTCCTAGAATTGCACTTTGAAGTGTGAGTAAAACAGTGACTAGCAAAGTTAGAGATGTAGGTTGGAAATGTAAATGTATTTAACAGAAGGTTAGATAATTTTATGGAAGATCCTCAGTTAATTGTTAAATCGACCCATACCATGTCATTACATGTTTATTCATGCTGTTGTGTCAAGGTGATACAGGGCTGGGTAGAGCAGGATCTGACCTAGCATATCAGTTCTTTTTTTTTCTTTTCTTTCCTTTTTTTTTTTCTTCTTTCACACCAAGTCTGTGAACCCAGCATATCAGTTCTTATGAAAGTCCATATCACATATATCAGTTCTTGCTAATACTCTCAAGGTGAGAATACTGCATATTTTTAGGACTATATAATATTTGCAAATTTGTATTAAAACTAATGTCTTCTCTTTTTTCTTTTGTGGCTTTAATACTAATAACAGCTTTATATGTAGTACTTCTGACTAGTCCTGGTCTGTTTAGAACCTCAATTTTAGCATGCTTCTGTCTTTTGGAGAGTTTTCTTAGAAAATTATTGAAATAATCTCTTAGGATACTTGCAAATTTTTCTTGTGTGCTTCTGCGTTCTCCAGTTGATTCTGATAGCTCAGGAATGCTAATAGTCCTTGTGGAAAGGAGATATTTAGGCAACTGGGGATCTGCTGTGTGACCATTTACAGTAACCTTATTTATATTCAGTGAAATTATGTCCTAAGAATTAAGACAGTTAACAGTCAAAAATATGTTAGCCAGAAAGGAAGAGTGTTCATATTGGGACAAGAGGTTGGATCAAACTCTAGGATATTGTGCAGATATAAATCTATAAAACCCATGAAAATAGTGTTGGCATGAAAAGTAAGGTAAAGGCTGGGCGTGGTGGCTCACACCTGTAATCCCAGCACTTTGGGAGGATGAGGCGGGCGGATCATGAGGTCAGAAGATCGAGACCATCCTGGCTAACATGGTGAAACCCCGTCTCTACTAAAAATACAGAAACAAAGTTAGCTGGGTGTGGTGGCGGGCATCTGTAGTCCCAGCTACCTGGGAGGCTGAGGCGGCTGAATGGCGTGAACCCGGAGGCGGAGCTTGCAGTGAGCTGAGATTGTGCCACTGAACTCCAGCCTGGCAGCCTGGGTGACAGAGCGAGACTCCGTCTCAAAAAAAAAAAAAAAAAAAAGTAAGGTAAAATTGATAGTTAATGCTAATTTTGAAGCATTTACAAAGTTTTGATTGGGAGGTTGTATATTTTTCCTAATATCATCTTGTGTTGATTGTAATATTTATTGAAATTATGGTTTGATTGTAGAAGAAATAATAGTCAAACCCCAGAACTACAAACTTTGTAGATCTTAATATTTACTAAGACATCATGTTAGAAAAAAGGGATTTTTTTTAAAAAAAAAAAAGGGCATTGTTGAGAAATAAGACAATAGGAAAGTAGCAATTACTGGATTTTTTTTTTTTTTTTTTTTGAGATGGAGTCTCGCTCTGTCACCCAGGCCGGAGTGCAGTGGTGTGATCTCGGCTCACTGCAAGCTCCGCCTCCCGGGTTCACGCCATCGATTTTGTTTTTAAAGGAAATAGTTGACGTGGTCATTTTAACAGTAAATATCCATCCCTTAGAATGGAGACTTGAGATTTGACTACTGTGTGTCAATCCAAATAAGTACTTTTAACTTTGGATCTACTAATTTTCTCCATCTACAAAATAAAACTTTCTCAGACATAGTTGGTAGTGAACCCGTGTTTATGAAGAAAATCTGTTAATGAGGGACCACACCCAGCTAATTTTTTGTAATTTTTGTAGAGATGGGATTTTGCCGTGTTGCCCAGGTTTGTCCTGAACTCCTGGACTCAAGTGATCCTCCTGCCTTGGCCTCCCGAAGTGTTGGGATTACAGGCGTGAGCCACCATGCCCGACCAGCAAAAACACATTTTTGAAAAACTTCAATTTACCTTTAATTCACTCATTTCCTGAATGCTTTATCATTAATTTTTATTAATAATTTCTACATTCTTTGACAAAATTGTATTTGGTACATTTTATTTTTCCTTCTATGGAAAGGCAAGTGTGGCACTTTTTCAGAACCCATGGGAAATTAATGCCCTCCACTTAAACATCAGAAATGTATATATTATATCATATAGAAAAAGATGTTTCCTACTACGTCAAATATTAGCAACTTAAGAGTTGTAACAACAGATGCTTATTTTATTTTATTTTTTTGAGACAGAGTTTCGTTCTTGTTGCCCAGGCTAGAGTATAATGGCACAATCTCTGCTCACCTCAACTTCTGCCTCCTGGGTTCAATCAATTCTCCTGCCTCGGCATCCTGAGTAGCTGGGATTACAGGGATGCGCCACCACGCCTGGCTAATTTTGTATTTTTAGTAGAGACAGGGTTTCTCCATGTTGGTCAGGCTGGTCTCGAACTCCCAACCTCAGGTGATCCACCCATCTCGGCCTCCCAAAATGTTGGGATTACAGGCGTGAGCCACCGTGCTCGGCCCAGATTCTTATTTTAATAAGGCAATATAGAGAAAAGAGTACATGGGTGCCATTTTATTTTTAATTTTTATGAGGGTTGGGGTCTCCTATGTTCCCCAGCTGTCCTCGTAATTCTGGGGTCAAGCGATCCTCCCATCTCAGCCTCCTGAGTAGCTGGGTCTACAGACTTTCCCCCCAAGCCCCTCCCACCATGCTCAGCTCATGGGTGTCATTTTAAAATTGATTATTACTCAAAAGTGCGCCCTCAACATAGTTAGGCAATCCCACTAGATAACCTCGCCAGTTTGTTCTTCCACTTACCACAAACTATTTTAATTTTTTTCTCCCTTTTTGAAATCTGACCCTTTCCTTTCTTGTCTTTTGGTTCATAGAGAAAATAGACTTCATCATATAAGACCTATAATTTCTTACCACTGCATCTCCAAACCTGCTATCCTCGCTCACCCTATTCTACTCCTTTTTATAATGGAAGAGAGACATTCTTCCTCCTAGCTAAAGTCCTAACTGTGGGTCATATCCTGTCCTGCCTTTTTGTAAACCTTATGCTCCTGATAAGTTTATACCTCCTCTCTTTACTGAATTTGTGCTTTCACAATTGAAACATTTCAGATCTCTGTCGTACTTGAAAACTCTTTTGACTTCATATACTCATCTAGTAACTGACCTATCTCTCCTTTATGGATTAACTAGTTTTATTACACTATTGTCAGCTAGCTGCAGTGGCTCAAGTCTGTAATCCCAGTTACTTGGGAGGTTGAGGTGGGAGGATTGCTTGAGCCCAGGAGTTTGAGATCAGCTTGGGTAACAAAGCAAGACCCTGTCTCAAAAAAAAAAAAAAAAAAAAAAAAAATTAGCTTAGTCTGTAGTCCCAGCTACTTGGCAGACTGAGGTGGGAGGATCACTTGAGCCCAGGAGTTTGAGGCTGCAGTGAGCTATGGTTGCGCCACTGCACTCCAGCCTGGGCAACAGTGAAACCCTGTCTTTTAAAATAAAAACAAAAAACCAAGCATTTTCCTCCATCTCCCACTTTTCATTCACTCTTTAACCTGTTCTATTTCCACTGCTCTCTGAATGCTAATAACCTCCATGTTGCAAAATTCTTTCCCATTTTAGTTCTCATGTGCTTTTTTTCTCTGCATCATTTTGCATGGTTGGTTTTTCCTACTTTTTTTGAGAAGTTAATCCTTTGGCTTCTCTGATAGACCTTTCTTTCATGCTTTTCCTATTACTCTCTGGCCCATTATTCTCTGTTACTATTAAGTATTAAAGTGGCTTCATTTGGGCTCTTTTCTACACATCTCACCTCAAGCTGTTTTATTTATTCCCATCTAAATCTCTAGATTAGATCTTTCTTCTGTTGAGGTTTAGATTCATATATCTAATAACCTACTTGACCCCTCCGCTTGTTTGAATCACAGGTGCCTCAGACATAAGATGCTAGCAACTGAACTCAACACCTTCCTCTAAACCTATCACTACCAACCACCCACTCACTGAAAACCTGGGCATCATTCTTTTCTTTTCTTTTTTTTTTTTTTTTTGAGACGGAGTCTCACTCTGTTGCCCAGGCTGGAGTGCAATAGCGCGGTCTTGGCTCACTGCAACCTCTGCCTCCCAGGTTCAGGCAATTCTCCTGCCTTAGCCTCTTGAGTAGTTGGGACTACAGGCATGTGCCACCACACCTGGCTAATTTTTGTATTTTTAGTAAGGACAGGGTTTCACCGTGTTGGCCAGGCTGGTCTTGAACTGCTGACCTCGTGATCTGCCTGCCTTGGCCTCCCAAAGTGCTGGGATTACAGGCGTGAGCCACCACACCTGGCCGAGAACGTTTTTTAGGCGGGTTCTATCTGTTAGCATTTACTGTACTAAAACTAAAACTGAGCAGTTTAAAACATTCATTTAAAGGGATATCTAATGTGTTTATTATTAACATAAATAATGTTTTATGAAAAATGTAACCTTAGTTTTCCAAAACAAAAATGTTTAGGGCAAGAGTAACATTATTTTACATTATTGCATCTCAGTGAAAAATAAATGGCAACAAAATTCTTATATCTGCTTCTGCAGTTAATCTGTTCATTTTGTTTTGGTTGAAGTATATGAAGGAAATCTGTCCTCACACAGTTGTGTAGTGGAAAAAGGGGGACTATTGTAATAGGCTGTGCACATAATTGTGGATGATTTTCTTTGATACAACAACAAAACTTGGTAGATGGTAGTTTCTTAAAGGTTAGTTACAGTGTGGACTCTGAAACTATATCAATAAATATTTTATACTCCATTACTTTAAAATACATTGCATAGGCCATTTGGAAAATATTTTTCACTGAGTTATGCAGACCTTCTGAATGTTGACACATTTCATTATACAATGTGAAAAAATTGCAATCACTAATATTAACACAGATCTCACTAGAAGAATTTTCAAGTATTGCAAAGCTTGCAAGTTCACATTGATGGATTCAAGTTTTCCAAGATCCCAGTTTTTGCTTGAAAGCTTGAATTTTATTATTGGCAACAAATATTACCAGTTATTTTCCTTGAAGTATTAGGCTTACTTTATTCATTTTTAGGAAAATGTCTGCCAAATGCTCAAGTCTAAATAATCTTAGTTTACCTATCAGTTGTTTTTGAAGTAATAATGGTGTTCCATGAACAATTGGCTTATTCAGCTTGCAAATAAACTGCACAAGTGCTTTTTCCTAACAGGAGCCATCATACTTAGTATGTAGCAGAAGTACTGTATGTGTACTTCCATTTTGTCGTATACAATATTAAAAGACATTTTCTCAAGGGTCAAGATTTAATAGAATTAATAAATTTTCCTGCTTCATCAAGAACATTTTAAAGTGAAACCGGCTTTTTTAAACCTTTTTCTTTTTTTTTCTGTGGATGGTTGGCAGTAAAGAACACAATGAGTACTAGTATCGTCTGTGACATTGCCTTGATTACCTCTAAGAGGCTATTGTAATTTTATTTACCTTTGTTTTTGTACCTTCAATTCAAATGTCAACTCAGGAAAGAAAGCAAATAACATTAGTAGTATTATAAAAATAATTTAGACCTCGTGGACCCCCTGTAAAGGTCTTAGGAATCCTCAGGGGTCTGCAGAACACACTAGACAACATTTGGGATAGATGATTGGTTCAGTAGACTTAATACCTTCCTTTTGTGCTAATGGGAGTCTGAATTTTAAATATCATTGTATACTACTATGTATATTGAGCATCCCTGACTAATGTAGTTGCCATTAAAATAAAAAATGTAAAGTTTCTTATGGAGAAAGTCTTGGCCGGGCGTGGTGGCTCATGCCTGTAATCCCAGCACTTTGGGAGGCCAAGGTGAGTGGGTCACCTGAGGTCAGGAGTTCGAGACCAGCCTGGCCAACATGGTGAAATCCCGTCTCTACTAAAAATACAAAAATTAGCTGGGCGTGGTGGCACATGCCTGTAATCCCAGCTACTTGGGAGACTGAGGCAGGAGAATCACTGGAACCTGGGAGGCAGAGGTTGCAGTGAGCTGAGATGGTACCATTGCACTCCAGCCTGGGTGATAGAGCGAGACTCTGTCTCAAAAAAAAAAAAAAAAAAAAAGCCTCTTCTTATATTGCATACTGTGCTAATTATTTTGGTTCTTAATATTTGGGTCTTACTGCTCTGTACAATTCACCTTTCACTAGTACTGATTTTGAAACTGATTTGCTGCTAAAAGTTTCATAAATCTGTTATCTTCAAATTTCATACCAAAAATTTAGTAATTTGTTGATATGAATTTATTTGATTCATAGGCGGTTTTAAAATTAAATGATTTTTAGGAAGTAGTGAGAAATAATATTTTTAATTTTAAAATGATATAACAATCATTCATTTCTAATTTGAGTATGTTCCAAATTAGATGTGAAGAAATCTCTTGTTATTATCCATGGCATGTATCACTTTGGTACTAATATATTTACATCTTCTTCTTCTTCTTCTTCTTTTTTTTTTTTTTTTTTTTTTGAGACAGGGTCTCGCTCTGTTGCCCAGGTTCTGGAGTGCAGTGGCACGATTACTGTTCACTACAGCCTTGAAATCCTGGGCTCAGGTCATCCTCCCACCTCAGCCTCCCAAATAGCTGGAATTACAGGTGTGCCACCGTGCCCAGCTAATTTTTTGGGTATTTTTTATAGAGACAGGGTTTTGGCATGTGGTCCAGTCTGGTCTTGAACTCCTGAGCTCAAGCAATCCTCCTGACTCGGCCTCCCAACGTAGCAATCCTCCTGACTCGGCCTCCCAACATGTGAGCCTCCCAGGTGTGAGCCACCAGGTCTGGCCCAACATCTTAAAAAATAAGAATAACCCAACTGAAGTGGGAGAAAAGGACAAAAAACAGAGGGTACACTTTTTGTTTTAGTTGTTTCTCTGGCATTTTCCCCCTTTTATTATATACATTTTATGTTTTCCATGAAAAAAGGCTTTGCATTTATCTTTTCCTCTGTTAAATAATATCTCTTTTAAAAGGTTTGAGAAGCCTATTTTTTTTCAGTTCCATCTTCCCTTAAAATTAATAATAATCAAATTTTGCTTGTTTTTTTTAAAGACAGGGTCTCTCTCTGTTGCTCAGGCTGTAGTACAGTGGTGCGATCTCAGCTCACTGCAGCCTCAACCTCCTGGGCTCAAGCAATCCTCCCACCTCACCTCCCAAGTAGCTGGGACTACAGGTGTGCACCATCACGCTTGGCTAATTTTTGTTATTTTTTTGTTAAGGACAGGGTTTCACCATGTTTTCCAGGCTGGTCTTGAACTCCTGGGGTCAGGGGATCTGCCTACCTTGACCTCCCAAAGAGTTAAGATTACCGGCGTGAGCCACCATGCCTGGTCCTCAGAGTTTGCTTTGAATAGTGGGAAGACAAACTGGTGATAACTCTTATTCTTTTAGAATAATCAGATAATACCATAAAGATCCCAAAGAAAACTGGCAAAATTGTATAGGCTCCCAAGTTGGAACCACAGGAGTTCCAAAAGGAATGCACAGTAAAATGAAATATATTTATAATTATATGTATTGTGCTTCTTAGTATGACAGAGTATATTAGTTTGTCACATACTCAGTTATTCTGCGACTTTTTACACGTATTATGTGTCAGACTGTTTTGTCAATCAGATACAGTTTCTACCCTCAAGTGATTTTATAGTTGGCCTCCTCCATTAATCAAATAACTCAAACTATAATAAATTACATCTAGGGAAGGTACATGTGACATGAAAGTATACATCAGGTGCTGCCACCTAGCTTGGTGTGTCATAGAAGTAATGTTGGAGTTGAGATCTGAAGGGTGAATATATGTTAACCGAGAACATTTGGGGGAAGGGAAAACAGTGTCTCTGTGGAGGGGAGAGCAGCATGTGTACAGGCTCAAAGGTAAGAGTGAAGGCAGAGTGATTTTGAACAAGTTACACACTTGTGTACTTCAGAGTAAACAGAGTCATCTGTGAAGAGGTAGGTAGGTACCAGATAAGGATTTTGATCTTTTTTTTTGTCTGAGGCTGATGAGAAGGCATTGAAAGTTTTAAGCAAGGCTGGGCGCAGTGGCTCCTGCCTGTAATCCCAGCACTTTGGGAGGCCAAGGTGGGCCCATCGCTTGAGGTCAGGAATTTGAGACCAGTCTGGCCAACATGGTGAAACCCCGTCTCTACTAAAAATACAAACATTAGCCAGACATGGTGGTGCTTGCCTGTAGTCCCAGCCACTCAGGAGGCTGAGGCAGGAGAATCACTTGAACCTGGGAGGCGGAGGTTGCAGCGAGCTGAGAGCACGCCACTGCACTCCAGCCTGGGCAACAGAGTGAGACTCTGCCTCAAGAAAAAAAAAAAAAAAGAAAAGAGAAAGAAAGTTTTCAGCAATGGGATGATATAATTTTTACTTTTTATGAAGTTTACTCTTGTTTAGAGTGGAGAACAGATTGGAAGGAGGATTGACTACAGATTGGAAGGAGTTCAGAACAGATTGGAGGGTGGCTAGTCTAGAGGTGATGGTAGCAATTGGTGATGGTTTTTCTAAAATCTTTTTTTTTTTTTTGAGACGGAGTCTCACTCTGTCGCCCAGACTGGAGTGCAGTGGTGTGATCTCAGCTCACTGCAACCTCTACCTCCCAGGTTCAAGCAAGTCTCTCTGCCTCAGCCTCAGTAGCTGGGATTACAGGTACCCACCACCGTGCCTGGCTACTTTTTGTATTTTTTTGTAGAGACGGGGTTTCACCATGTTGGCCAGGCTGGTATTGAACTCCTGACCTCAGGTGCTCTGCCTGCCTCGGCCTCCCAAAGTGCTGGGATTACAGGCATGAGCCACTGTGCTTGTCCATTTTTTCTAAAATCTTCAGTGCCTGAACTCATCATGGTAGACTGTGACTATTATTTTTCTTTTCTAAAAAGAGGAGTATTTGAGGCTATTGGGATTTGTTGAACTGAAATAGAGAAAGATTCATTCAACAAATAGTTAATTGCCTACTCTATGGAAGACTGTCTGTTAGGTATTATGATGTGGTGGTATGATGTCTATATTATTATTATTATTTTTGAGACAGAGTTTCGCTCTTGTTGTCCAGGATGGAGTGCAATGGCACGATCTTGGTTCACTGCAACCTCCACCTCCCGGGTTCAAGTGATTTTCCTGTCTCAGCCTCCCAAGTAGCTGGGATTACAGGCACATGCCACCATACCCAGCTAGTATTTGTAGCTTTAGTAGAGATGGGGTTTCATCATATTGGTCAGGCTGGTCTCGAACTCCTGACCTCAGGTGATCCGCCCGCCTCAGCCTCCCAAAGTGCTGCGATTATAGGTGTGAGCCATCATGCCCTGCTTTGTGTCTATATTATTTATAAGCTATGTAGAAATCACTGAAAAGCCTTAAATCTAAGAAAAAGAAAATTGGTCTATAGTATGTATAGTTAAATGAGGAAATGTTCTGTATGGAAGAAAAATAATTGTTATTTTTGAAAGGGTTTTGATTTTAGTTTGGGCAGTCAGAAGTTTGCTTATGGAAAGAGAATATGTCAAGCAGCTTTTTTTTTTTTTAAAGCATTTAGGTAATATGTTCCTATAAAAGGGTCAATACAGTTGTATTAAAAGTCAAACCTAAAATGTCTCTTCTTCTTCTCCCCATACTGCTATTATCCTCTCCCCTCAAACTGTATGCTTGTTTTCTGCCTTTCCAGTTTTTGTACAAAGGATGTGCTTTGGGAAGATTCATCTTACATTGGTACGGGATGGATTGGAGAAGGGAGAGACTGGATGGACAGTGACCAGTTAGAGGACTGTCACATTTGTCTCACTGTAAAGAGTATTTCATGAATTGAGATAGCTGTAGTAAGATTGAAAAGGAAGATAAGAATCAGCAAGCCTTGGTGAAGGAGATATGGGTGGCTGCGGGAAAAGGAGAACCCAAAGAAGGCTTATTTAACCGGTATCTATTTTCCCCTAGCATAAAGCTAATGCGCCTACAGAAGGTAATTTGCAGTCACAGAAGTGAATCTATAGACCCCCTCTTTTTCAGCTGTTAGTACACAGTTGGTTTCTGACACTTTCCAGCTTTTACTCCTCCACAATTGAATTGATTGGCAGAGCAGTGGGTTGGAGAATAGGAATAAAGCTTGACTGCTAGCTGGCTGCGTGGGCAGAACAGGGAAGGGAAGAGGGAAGAGGAGAGGAAAGGGATTCCAGTTTCTCTGGCTATATACTGTTGTGGCATGAGGTGCATGTCTTTTGATGTTAATTTTGATGTTCTATCATAACCTTCTGCATTACAGATTGTTGGTATTTTTATATGTGTAGTCTTTATAAATTTCAAATACATATGACGTGGGTTGAAAATGATCTCTTTTTGAAAGGAACTTTTAGAGAGAATTCTAAGGAACAGTAGTGTTTGGGGGTTCTCAGGCAAAGTTTCTCCTAAAGAATGAGTTTAGCCGAGTCATTAATTTAAAGAGTTGAGGGGAAGGGGGATTGGGAGGCAAGGGATATATATAGGTAGTAGGAACAGAAAGATAGCAAGGCATGTTTGGGAGAGCTGTGAGTAGTGTCAAGTGCCAGGGAAGGTGGAGGAGATGAAGTCTTAGTCAAAAACATACTTGAACTGCTGTCACTAAACTGTAGAAGATCGGATCAGTGTTTCCCAGATTTGAAAATAGAAACCGTGTTTTAAATTTAACACTGGTAAGATGAAATTGTGCTTTTGCTATGTCCTGACATATTCTGTTCATTTGTCTAGACACGTTTGGCATAATCAACAGAAACCACTGGATGAGTGGTTAAATATAAGATAAATGAGTTATAGGTCTGAATCAATCACTTTTGTATGAGCTAATTGTCATAACTTGGGGACTGCTTGTATGAGTGGCTTTATTGTTAGTGTTTATTAATGTCTTGTGGTATATAGAGCTATTTTTTTTTTCAACTCAATTGGGTATTTCTTCCACCCATCCTACCTCTCCTACCTTGCCCCACTACCACAAAGAAGAAGAAGAAAGGCAGCATGGTACTATCTCTATGAAAATCCTGCCACTCTCATTTTTGCTTTTTGGGTGAGGAGGTACGGTGCTGCAAGGTGGGAAGAATGTGTGATATATTAATATTTACATCACTGAGGAGAATTGCAATACATTCCTTTTATAGTCACATGGAAGTTTTAGGAAAAGCTTTGCTTCTACATATATATATATATATATATATATATATATTTTTTTTTTTTTTTTTTTTTTTTTTTTTTTTTGAGACGGAGTCTTGCTATGTCATAAAGGCTGGAGTGTGGTGGCATGATCTCAGCTCACTACAACCTCCGCCTCCAAGGTTCAAGCGATTCTCCTGCCTCAGCCTCCCAAGTATCTGGGACTACAGGTGCATGCCACCACACCCCGGCTAATTTTGTATTTTTTAGTGGAGACAGGGTTTCACTGTGTTGGCCAGGCTGGTCTTGAACTCCTGACCTCAGGTGATCTGCCCACCTCATCCTTCCAGAGTGCTGGGATTACAGGTGTAAGCCACCATGCTGGACCCCACCAAGATATTTTGACCTATGGATACTATAAATCATATAATCTTTTTTCCTTTATCTTTGTGGATTCATGCAAAAGCCAGAGCCAAACTTGTGGCTCTAATTTATTATTTATTTATTTACTTTTTAAGATGGAGTCTTGCTCTGTCGCCCAGGCTGGAGTGCAGTGGCTAGATCTTGGTTCACTGCAGCCTCCTCCTCCCGGGTTCAAGCAGTTCTCCTGCCTCAGCTTCCCGAGTAGCTGGGACTATAGGTGCACACCACCATGCCCGGCTAATTTTTATATTTTTAGTAGAGGTGAGGTTTCACCATGTTGGCCAGGATGGTTTGATCTCCTGACCTTGTGATCCACCCTCCTCGGCCTCCTAAAGTGCTGGGATTACAGGCGTGAGCCACTGCGCCTAGCCTCTTGTGGCTCTAATTTATTATGTAGTACTCTGTGGTCTGTATATTAATGTCTTGCCTTTATCTTTTATATTATATGGTAAAACCCTGATTTTTGTATTTTGAATTTTCTTGTTTAATTGTACACATTTTTGTACTGGTATATCAATAGCTAATGGCCTCTCCCCAGACCAATGAAATTGGCATCTTTTTAGGGGGAGAGGGTTAGATTGGGTCTCAGGCTCTGGAATTTTTTAAAAAGCTCACCAGATAGTGCTGGTGTCCAGCTAGAATTTTCTTTTTGGATTCCACACTAAAAGCTTAGGCCATAAAAGCAAAAATAAATAAATGGAATGACGTCAAACTGAAAAGCTTCTTCAAAACAAAGGAAACAATCAACAAAATGTAACAACCTATGGTCTGGGAAAACATATTTGCAAACCATTTATCTGATAAGGGATTAATATCTAAAATTCATGAAGAACTCATATAATTCAATAATAGAAAAATAATCTGATTAGAAAATGGGCAAAAGACTTGAACAGATGTTTTTTCAAAGAAGACATAAGGATGGCTGACAGGTATATGAAAAGGTACTCAACAGCATTAGCCATGCAGAAATGCAGATCAAAACCACTGTGGGCGTCACCTCACACCCCTTAGGGTGGCTGTCATAAAAAAGTGAAGTGATAACAAATGTTGGCGAGGGTGTGGAGAAAATGGACCCCTTGTACACTGTTGGTGGGAGTGTGGATTGGTACAGCCATGATGGAAAATAGTATGGAGGTTGCTAAAGAAATGAAAAATAGAAGTACTATATGACCCAGCAATTCCTTATCGGGCATATACCTAAAGGAAGTGAGATCACCTTATAAAGATATCTGCACTCCCATGTTCATTGCAGTGTTATTTACATTAGCCAAGCTGTGGAAACAACCTGAATGTCCACTGATAGATGAATGGATAAAGAACATGTGATATGCATATATAATGGAATATTATTCAGCCTTAAAATGCAGATACTGCCATTTGCCACAACATGGATGACCTGGAGGCAGTATGCTGAGTGAAATAAGCCAGACACAGGAAGACAAATATTGCATGATCTCATATGTGGAATCTTAAAAAAAATAAAAAAAAAGAGTCAAATATACAGAGTGAATAAAAGAGTGGGTTACCAGGAGCAAGTGGGTGGGGAATGGGAAATGTAGGTGAGGGGTAAGAAAATAGCAAGTATGTAGGATGAAAGAGCCTAGAGATCTAATGTGTAACATGTAGCTAATAAGAGGACTGTAGCTAATAAAATTGTACTATATTTGGAATTCCTGCTAAATGAATAGATTTTTAGCTGTCCTTGCCACAAAAACAAACCAAAAAAAAAAAAAAAAGGTAACTATGTGGGTTGATATATATGTTAATTTGCTTCACTGCAGTAACCATTTTGCTTTCTATATGAATCCCATAACATCATGTTGTATGCTTTAAATATATACAATAAAATTTATTTAAAAAATGAAATAAAATATATGGTTGATATAAAAAGAATAAAAGCTCACCAGGTAGTGCTGATGTCCACCTAGAGTTGAGAATCACTTTTCTAGAGCAAGAGTGGGCAGGTGTTTCCTGTAAAGGGCCAGATAGTAAATATTTTAGGCTTTGCATGCCATATGGTCTGACACAATTACTCAACTCTGCTATTGTAGTAAGAAAACCATAGATGATATGTAAGGAATGGATGTGGCTATGTTTTAGTAAAATGTTATTTGCAAAAATGGGGAGAAGTATTTGGCCTGAGCAGGGACATAGTTTCTTGATCTTTGTTATACAGCCTGAATTTTAATTACTATGCTAGAATCTAATGGTAGTGGTTGATGATGGACCAAAACTGTATTGGTGTGGCCCATATACTGAGGTGAATGCCTTTTTAAAAATGCTTTTGTATCCTGTTAATTGGTGTTTAGATTTCTAAGTGATTAAATTACCTATTTGCCTGGGATCTGATGTGATAATTTATTAATAAATTATTATTTTTTGTCTCTTGTTTCTGTGTGAACAGAATATCCCTTTGTTCACATCTCAGATTTTTTGGAATAGCAGTAGCATAGAAAATTCAATTGATTACAGTAGAGATTAATTGATACTTACAGTTTTGTAAGTTTTATACTCTTCCAGAATAGATTAAGAAATTAGGATACACGTAATTTGTCAGGTAGTGTCATACTGGTCCTGATTTTTGATTTGGAAAATGTGATTAATGAATCACTAGGCTGGAGATAGCTAAGACTATTCTGTGAAACTGTGTTGTAAGCTGGTTTAAGTGAGTGTCTTAGTCTGTTTGTGTTGCTACAAAGGAATACTTCAGGCTGGGTAATTTATTTGACTTGTGGTTCTGCAGACCGTATAAGAAGCATGGTGCCAACATCTGCTTCTGATGAGTGCTTCAAGTTGCTTCTACTTGTAGCTGAAGGGAAGGGAGCTGACATTTGCAGAGATCACTTGGCAAGAAGCAAGGTGGGGAGGTGCTAGACCCTTTTAAACAACCAGCCCTTTGGAAGTAGTAGAGCAAGAATTTACCTGAGGACCCCAAGCCATTCATGAGGGATCCTCCCCCATAACCCAGACACCTCCCATTAGGATCCACCTCCAGCATTGGGGATCATATTTCAACATGAGGTTTGAGGGGACAAACATCTAAACTACAGCAGTGAGGAAATACAATCGATGGAAGGACAAGGTACTTTTGCTAGTATTCATAGAATCTTGAATTTGTTTTTTTTGTTTTTGTTTTTGTTTTTTTTGATACAGGATCTCTCTATGTCACCCCGGCTGGAGTGCAGTCGTGTGATCATAGCTCACTGTGGTCCCAAAGTCCTGGGTTCCAGCAGTTCCCTTGCCTTAGCCTTCCAAGTTGTTGGGACTACAGGCACGTGCTACCATTTTTGCCATCTTTACCATCTTTAAAGTGCAAACTTTAAAGATTTATTTATTTTTATTTTTTCTGTAGAGACATGGTTTTGCTGTGTTGCTGTGTCTGCTCTCAAACTCCTGGCCTCAGGTAATCCTCCTACCTTGACCTCCCAACGCATTGGGATTACAGGTGTGAGCCACCAAGCCTGGCATGTTTTTTTTTTTTTTTAAACAGAAGTACTTCTTTTTCTCAAGTCAGTTAAGGGTGGTGCTGATTGTGACAGTGTTAACTACCACCCTACCTAGTAGTTTGTTAAAAGATGCATTATACTGCTTAAGTAATTTCCTAGTAAAGTTACCTTTTTTTCCCCTTATTTTTGTTTTTGAGACAGGGTCCTGCTCTGTCGCCCAGGCTGGAGTGCAGTGGCATGATCTCGGCTCACTGCAGCCTCAACCTCCTGGGCTCAAGCAGTCCTCCCACCTCAGCCTCCCCAGTAGCTAGGACTATAGGCTCATGCCACCATGCCTGGCTAATTTTTATATTTTTGTAGAGATGAGGTTTTGCCATGTTCTCCAGGCTAGTCTCGAACTCCTTAGCTCAAGCAATCCACTTTCCTCAGCTTCCCAAAGTGCTGGGATTACAGGTGTCAGCCACCATACCTGGCTAGTTAAATTTATTTGGGCATGAATTAAAGATGTGGTTTTGTCACTTCAGTGAAGGATAACCTAGAAACGTGTTAAATGTTTAATTTTTGTTTCTTCCATTTATAGAACCCTATGTGTAGAACATCAATTGTTTCATAGATCAAAAACATGCTCAGTTATCCTGAGAACATTTACTTTCTCAGTCTCCGCTCTTTACCCTCCCAGTGAATTAAAATTCATGCGGTATGCAGAGTAGTTAATGATGACTTGGAGTGGTTCATCATAGAGGCCACATTAGAATTATACTTTGTTCATTTTTAGAATTATAAATGGAGGCAGTGTGGCATAGTGGCAGACCGTGGTCTTTGGGAGACGTAGCGGTTCTATTCTTCCTAGCAGTGTTATCTTGGGCAAGTTATTTAACCACTACAAATTTCTTTTTCCTCATTGTTTGCTAGGCTAAGTGGGATATTTCACTTAAAGATGTCTTTCTTGTTTATGTGTCACAGAATACATATTGCAACAGAATCCTTGTCTCCTTTTTTGTGGCCTCTGATTTCCACAATCTAGTTTATAAAACTGCAGCTGAAGTGATGTTTCTAAAGCCTGAAACTAGTCATATTTTTTCTTCCTAAAAATTCTTTAGTGTTTCCCCACTAGACTTACAATGAAATCCACATTCCCTAAAATGCTCTCAAGGGCCTATAGTATTTCTGGAGCCTTGTGGTATATTCCCCCATTGGGTCTACTGTCGTAGGCTTACTCACCTTTAAACAGATACTGTTCATTTCATTCTGCTTGGAACCCTGTCCTCTGCTCCTTCCTCTTCCCTTTCCCTAAACTGATTCTGATGTTTAGAACATTAGGTAAAATGAAGTTCCCATACCTCAGGTGCATGTGAAAGATTAAGAGTTGGCCGGGTGCGGTGGCTCATGCCTGTAATCCCAGCACTTCGGGAGGCTGAGGTGGGTGGATCACGAGGTCAGGAGTTCCAGACCAGCTTGGCCAAGATGGTGAAACCCTGTCTCTACTAAAAATACAAAAATTAGCTGGGTGTGGTGGCGGTCACCTGTAATCCTAGCTACTCAGGAGGCTGAGGCATTAGAATCGCTTGAACGCAGGAGATGGAGGTTGCAGTGAGCTGAGATTGTGCTACTGTACTCTAGCCTGGGTGACAGAGCAAGACTCTCTCTCAAAAAAAAAAAAAGTAATAAGATTAAGAGTTGTGTAAAGATCAGTATCAGTGAGCTTTCATTAGTGCCTTCATCTGTGAAACCAAGATACCTGCTTAGGTTACTATGTGAAAATGCTTTGAAAACTAAGCTGGGTGTGGTGGCTCATGCCTCTAATCTCAGCACTTTGGGAGGCCAAGGCAGGTGGATCACTTGAGGCCTGGAATTTGAGACCAGCCTGGGCAACATGAGGAAACCCTGTCTCTACTAAAGATACAAAAATTAGCTGGGTGTGGTGGCACCCACCTGTAATCCCAGCTACTGAAGAGGCCGAGGCATGTGAATTGCTTGAAACTGGGAGGCAGAATTGCAGTAAGCTGAGATGGATTGCACCACTGCACTCTAGCCTGGGCAGCAGAGTGAGACTCTGTTTCAAAAACAAAAACACCAGAAAAAGAAAATTAAATACTAATTATATGTAACTGTTAACAGTATTGCCGTCAAGTATTTGTAAGAAGACATCATTTCCTAATGTTTGAAGTTAAAGATTATTCTAATTGTGAATAGAATTGTGTCCCCCTGCCATCCTTATGTTGAAGCCTCAAACCCGTCTCCCCCACCATGTGACTGTGTTGGAGCTAGGGCCTTTAAGGAGGTGAATATGGTTAAATGAGGTCATAAGGCTGGAGCCCTGATCCCATAGAGCTAGGGTACTTATAAAAGAGGAAATGACAACAGAGATTGGTCTCTCTCTGCCATGTGAGGACACAGCGAGAAGGTGGCTGTCTGCAAGCCAAGAAGAAATCCCTTGCTAGAACCAGAACCTACTGGAACCTTGATTGTGGACTTCCTGGCCTTCAGAACTGTGAGAAAATACATTTCTCTTGTTGAAGCCATGCAGTCTGTGGTATTTTGTTAATGGCAGCCCAAGCCGACTGTATATTTAATACAGTTTAAAATATAATTGCCTTGTGGGAAAGGCAAACTAGAGTGATTTCTCAGGTAACATTTTAATGAGTAACATAACCAGCTATAAATTACTGGACTAGTTTAGAAAACAGCCTCAGTAATTTGAGAATTACTTTAGTAGATCTTTTGTCTGTGTAACTAGGGGGTATTATTATAAATTGTTACTTTCTGGTTCAGCCAAGACCCTTTTTATGAAAGTACTTTCTCCTCCCATATAAAAGTTAAATCATTTAGGGTGTATTTGGCTATAAGTAATACAACTCAGTTAACTTAAACAGTAAGGAGCATTTATTATTTCATGTAACAAATTCCAAGGTAGGAATTTAGGGTTAGAGTTAGGGTTAATTCTTCAGCTCAGTATCATCAAGGATTCACATTCTTTACATTTTCACCCTCAGTTTTGGTGGGGTGGTAGGGAGGTACTATTAGCCTTATTCTTAGTTTCCTGGTATCTGCAAGATGGTTGCAACAGAAATGTTACGCGGCTATTGTGGATCATTTGGAAAATGTCACAAGAGGGAAAGGATGAAAACATAAATCACTCATAATCCAACTATTTACATGCCTATCTTCTCATTGTCTGGCATATTAGTTTGTACAGGTACTAATTATATCAGACAAAATTAGGTCACACTGTTTACACAAATACATGTTGTCGGTTTCCACTAAGATACTATCAAGAGGTCAGGCGTAGTGGCTCACGTCTGTAATCCCAGCACTTTGGGAGGCTGAGGCAGGTGGATTGCCTGAGGTCAGGAGTTCGAGACCAGGCTGGCTAACATGGTGAAACCCTGTCTCTACTAAAAATACAAAAAATAGCCAGGTGTGGTGGCGCACGCCTGTAGTCCCAGCTACTCGGGAGGCTGAGGCAGGAGAATCGCTTGAACCTGGGAGGTGGAGGTTGCATTGAGCTGAGATTGCGCCACTACACTGCAGCCTGGGTGACAGAGCAAGACTGTGTCTCAAAAAAACAAAAAACAAACAACAAAAAAAGATACTATCAAGAGAATTATCCATGTCATTAAAATTCTCAGTAAAAATAGGCTGGGCACAGTGGCTCATGCTTGTAATCCTAGCAGTTTAGGAGGCTGAGGCAGGAGGATTCTTTGAGTTCAGGAGTTCGAGACCAGCCTGGGCAACATGGTGAGACCCCAACTTTACAAAAAATGCAAAAAAAGTTAGCCAGACATGGTGGCATGCGCCTGTAGTGCCAGCTACTTGGGAGGATCCCTTGAGCCCAGGATTTCAAGGCTGCAGTGAGCCATAATTGAGCCACTGCACTCTAGCCTGGACCCAGTCTCAAAAAAAAAAAAAAAATATTAGTAAAAATATTTTTTTCCCTTCAAGTAATGGTTGTTGAAAAAGTTGGATACAGAAAAATAGAATATTAAAAATTACCCATATCTCACAACTCAGAAATAACCACTCATGTATCAATATATTTCCTTTTAGAACATTTGTGTGTGTGTGTGTGTGTGTATTTAAAATTAGGTATAGAATAATTTTTTTTTTTTCCTTTGGAGACAGGGTCTAACTCTTTCACCGAGGCTGAAATGCAGTGGTGTGATCATGGCTTACTGCAGCCTCAACCTTCTGGGCTTAAGTGATCCTTCCATCTTAGCCTCCCAAGTAGCTGGGACCACAGGTGTGCACCACCACACCCTGCTAATTTTTAAATTTTTTGTAGAGACGAGGTCTTGCTGTGCTGCTCAGGCTGGTCTTGAACTCCTGAACTCAAGTGATCCTCCCACTTGGGCCTCACAAATTGCTGGAATTACAGGTGTGTGCCATTGTGCCTGACTAATTTTAGTTTTTTGAGGAATCTTCATATTGTTCTTCATAATGACTGTACTAATTTACATTTCAACCAACAGGGTATGGGTATTCCCCTTTCTCCATGTCCTCTCTAGCATCTTTTATTGCCTGTCTTTTTGATATAAGCCATTTTAACTGGGGGTGAGATGATATTGCATTGTGGGTTTTTTTTTTTTTTTTTTTTTTTTTTTGAGGTAGAATCTTGCTCAGTTGCCCACATTGGAGTGCAGTGGCACTGCAGCCTCTGCCTCTCGGTTCAGGTGATTGTCATGCCTCAGCCTCTTGAGTAGCTGGGATTACAGGTGAGTGCCACCACACCTGACTAATTTTTGTATTTTTAGTAGAGATGGGATTTCACCATGTTGGCCAGGCTGTTCTCAAAGTCCTGACCTCAAGTGATTTGCCCGCCTCGGCCTCCCAAAGTGCTGGGATTACAGGCATGAGCTACTGTGCCCGGCTTAATTTTTGTATTTTTAGTAGAGACAGGGTTTCACTATGTTACCTAGGCTGGTCTCGAACTCCTGACCTCAGGTGATCCGCCTGCCTTGGCCTCCCAAAGTGCTGGGATTACAGGCGTGAGCCACCGTGCCTGGTCTGTTGCATTGTGGTTTTGATTTGTGTTTCTCTGATTAATGATGTTGAATATTTTTTCACATACCTGTTTGCCATTCGTATGTCTTCTTTTGTGTGTGTGTGTGTGTGTGTGTGTGTGTGTGTGTGTGTGTGTGTGTTTTGTATGTCTTGAGAAGTATCTGTCCAGATCTTTTGCCATTTTCCTTTTGGATTATTTGTTTTTTTGCCATTGCATTGTATGAGCTCCTTATATATTCTGGTTGTTGGTCCTGTGTCAGATGGATAGTTTGCAAATATTTTCTTCCATCTATGGGTTGTCGTTTTACTTTGTTGATTGTTTCCTTTCTTGTGCAGGAGCTTTTTAGCTTTATGTAATTCCATTTGACTTTGCTTTGTTGCCTGTGCTTTTTGAGGTTGTCATTTTTATTGACTAGATGATATTCCAGTATATTAATTTTTTTTCTTTTTTGTATTTTTGAGATGGAATCTCGCTCTGTCGCCCAGGCTGGAGTGCAGTGGCGTGGTCTCAGCTCACTGCAACCTCCACCTTCCGGGTTCAAGCGATTCTCCTGCCTCACCCTCCTGAGTAGCTGGGATTACAGGCGTGTACCACCACGCCCGGCTAATTTTTGTTTTTTTAGCAGAGCTGGGGTTTCACCATGTTGGCCAGGCTGGTCTCAAAACTCCTGACCTCAGGTGATCCACCCACTTTGGCCTTCCAAAGTGCTGGATTACAGGCATGAGCCACTGTGCCCGGCCCCAGTATATTAATTTTTTAATAATTTGTCATTGGCTATTTAGATCTCTTCTAGTTTTTTTGGTGTTGTAAATAAAGGTGGCATGAATATCCTTGAACATACAGATTTTTTGCATTTGGCCATTTATGTCTTTTGGGTGAATTTCTTGTAATGAAGTGTGTGTGTGTGTGTGTGTGTGTATAAATATTGTGATATACATTATCTGATTGTATTTTTTTTAGTAGTACGTGAGAGTATTTGCCCAAGCTATATTCTTGATCATCATGGCTCTTGCTATATAATTCCTTTTAAGAAGAATTAAAATTATATGAGAAGATAACTTGTTAACATGGAAGGAGTTAATGGAAGGAAGCAAATGTTTTGGACTAATAGAGCTATTTTCTATTAGTAATACTTAAGTATATAACAGATTATGTGTTGAAATGTAGTTCTTTCTAGAGCTGGGGTTTTTCAGGTTTTGCATTAAGACTGTTTTTGAAATGTAAGCCTTGTAGTATGGTGTAGGATGGTAAAAGAGTTTGGGGAAAGCGTCATTGTCTTAGGCTATAGCTGTGGTAAAACTTAAAATTTCAGAGGCTAATTATCTAGTTATTGGGAATACCCTGGGGATACAGATTGAATCGAAAAGGCTTAAAAATATTCTACATTATAGTTAAACTTGGAATTCTGTATACTGAGTAAGTATGCTAGCAGTTGATTGTTCTGTGTAGCTCTCCCGTTAAAGAAGAGAGTATGCCCCAACTGGCATTCCTGTCAGTCACAACTGTGTGACACCACAGGCAGCAGAGGCTTCCCTAGATGTTGCTGGGAATGAATGGGCTTCCAGACCTCTTAGTAGTTGCTTAAGTGGGAGGTGGTAGGGAGGGGCTGTGTTAAAGCTTATAATGAAAGGTCTCAACCTGAATTGTCATGCAAAAAATTTATTTTTTTTGCTGGATACTTGCCATAACCTGGTAGGATTTCTTTTTAGTTTTCACTTTTATTGGAATAGGCGTTCTGCTGGAGAAAATTAGATCCTTTTAGTGGTAGCTAGGCATTGCATATATGTATGCCCTAGTCCCCATGACTCTGTACTTAATAGATTATTTGTCAGTAATGAACCAGCATTTGGCCCATGTGCTCTTTTTTCCCTGATCCTCTCATCTCTCCCCACAGAGTGATTATGGATTCTTCCTGGAAGGTTTCTCAGGTCTCTAACCAACCAGCCCGTTTGTTGGCCTTCAGCAAAGTAGATGTTAGTTTTTGTGTACTTCATAGTGTATAAAATTATTCCTGCAACAGGTATTAAAACCTGAGATTTAAAATCCTTTCCATTGGTGTTAACATACATTATTTATTTATTTATTTTATTTTATTTTATTTTTTGAGATGGAGTCTCACTTTGTCACCCAGGCTGGAGTGCAGTGACGTGATCTCGGTTCACTGCAAGCTCCGCCTCCTGGGTTCACGCCATTCTTCTGCCTCAGCCTCCCAGGTAGTTGGGACTACAGGCGCCCGCCACCATTCCCAGCTAATTTTTTTGTATTTTTTAATAGAGATAGGGTTTCATTGTGTTAGCCAGGATGGTCTTGATCTCCTGACCTCGTGATCCGCCCGCCTTGGCCTCCCAAAGTGCTGGGATTACAGGAGTGAGCCACTGCGCCCGGCCAACATACTTTATTTTTTAAAAGGCCGTTAAATTGAGAAGTGTTTCTTATATACTGTATTTCATGAATTCTAGTAACTGCCCCTCCCCTACTTAGTATCTCTGAAATTGGGAAACACTTTACAAGTAATCATGTCCTTAAAAAGTCATCAGCCAGTCAGCGGTCATGGCATATTTGTCATTGTTTGTGCTTATGTGAATTTGGTTGTTTTTCCTTGTGGCTTAACTGGATTATTGCACCCGTAACCTTTTGAACAACAAACCATTTAAGGACCATTTGAGGATAGGATAGAAGCCAAGTTTTTGTTGTAAAACATTTTTTTGACATCTTCTGGTAAAATCAATAAATTAGCTTCATCAGCGTTTGCAGAATTGGTGTTGGCAGCTTGGAAGAAAATGATGGGAAGAAAACTCTGGAAATAGCTGTGCAACGTTATTTTAGATGTTCCATTATTTGTAAGGGGAAGTTCACAGCATCAGCTATTAATATATAGTATTCTTGACACAATGTTCAATCTGAATCTAATCATGAGGAAACAATCAGATGAATCCAGGTTGTAGGATTTTTTTTACAAGATACCTGGATTTAAAAAATAATTTCTATGTTTTGAAAGGAGAAAAGGGTCAGGATTGGGAGTGTGTTCTGTATTTAAGGATATGAAATAGAAATATGACTGTTAACAGCTATGAACAATCTTTGATTAGATCTTAGATCATATGGAATAAAATAAAACATACGTAAAGAGGTTTTTTTTTCCTTTGAGACAGAGTCTCGCTTTGTCGCCCAGGCTGGAGTGCAGTGGCACTATCTCGGCTCACTGCAAGCTCCGCCTCCTGGGTCCAAGTGATTCTTACGCCTCAGCCTCCCGAGTAGCTGGGATTACAGGTGCCTGCGACCACTCCTGGCTAATTTTTGTATTTTTAGTAGAGATGGGGTTTCACCATGCTGGCCAGTCTGGTCTTGAACTCCTGACCTTAAGCCATCCACCTGCCTGGGCCTCCCAAACTGCTGGGATTACAGATGTGAACCACCATGCCCAGCCACATGTTTTGTATTTTTTTTTTTTGGAAGTTGGAGAAATTTGGGTATAGGTTTGGATTAGAGATAAGTTAAAAGCTATAAAAGACAAATATGTTGTGACAGATGTGACATTTCTAGAAGGAATGGGAGGAGAGTTAAAGACATGGAAACAAAATGGTAGAAAACTTAAAAAAATGCACATGGGACCCTTGTTTTGTTATCTAAGTGGGGTTATTAGACTGTTATCAGTCCCAGCAACTCAGGAGGCTGAGGTGGGAGGATCAGTTGAACCCAGGAGATCAAGGCTGCAGTGAACTATGATCGTGCCACTGCATTCCAGCCTTGGGTACAGAGAAAGACACTGTCTTTAAAATTAAAAAAATGGGCAAAATATTTGAACATTTTATCAATGAAGAAATGGATGCTGCACAAGCACTTGAAAACATTATGATTTGATAGCAAAATGGAAATTAAAACCATAATGAGATACCACTATATACCTACTAGAATATTTAAAATTAAAAAGACTGACCATACCAAGTGTTGGCAAGGATGTGGAGCACTAGAATTTTCATAAGTTTCTAGTGAGAATGCCAAATAATGTTGTTTCTGTTTCTTTGTAAAATAGTTTGGTAGTTTTGTTTTTTTTTTTTTTTTTAAAGGAGACAGGGTCTTGTTCTGTTGCTCAGGCTTGGAGTGTAGTGGTGCAATCACAGCTCATTGCAGCCTCAACCTCCCTGGCCCAACTGATCCTCCCACCTCAAGCTCCCAAGTAGCTGGGACCACAGGCATAAGCCACCAGGCCTATCTGATTTTTTATTTTTGTAGAGACAGGGTGTCACTATGTTGCTCAGGCTGGTCTCGAACTCCTGAGCTTAAGCAGTCCTCTCGCCATGACCTCCCAAAATGCTGAGATTACAGTCATGAGCCCCCATGCCCAACTGGTAGTTTCTTACAATGTTAAATATACACTTAACTTACCATGTGACTCAGCAGTTGTATCTTTAGGTATTACCCAAAAGAAATGAAAACATACCTCCACACAAGACCTTCTACTCAAATATTCTTAGTAGCCCAGAACTGGAAACAACCCAAATGTCCATCAGCTGATAAATGGAGAAACAAATTAGGATACATCCATACAATAGAACACTACTTAGCGGTAACAAGGATGAATCTTAAGGGCATTCTGCTAAGTGGAAGAAGCCAGATACAGAAGACTGTAGCTTTCAATTCTATTTATATGAAACTCTAGAAAAGGCAAAACTGTTGTGACAGAAAGGAAGTCAGTGGTTTCCAGGGTCCGGAGGATGGGGAGGGAGTTATGAGGGAAATGTTCTTTATCATGGTGGTTATACTACTGTACCCATTTATCAAAGCACATTGAATTGTACACTGAAAATTTTTAAATTTTAATGTATGCATTTCGTACTTAATATTAATGCTGACCTCCCTTCCTCATCCAAGAAAAAAATGAGGTGATCCATAGCATCCTACAAAAGTCGCTAGTGACTTTTTGGTTTGTTTTTATCTTTTTAATATTGTTATGAAGTCTTAAATGTAAACATTTTGTGTGTTTCATTCCATTGAAGTTATGATCCTCATTGATCCTTACATTGAGTCCTTTTGACATGACCCTAGAAAATTCCTCGGTGGCTTTTTTGTTTTGTTGTTTATTTATTAAAATTGACATATAAAAATTGTGTATATTTATGATGTACAATATTTTTTGAAATGTGCATACATTGTGGAATGTCTAAGTTAAGCTAATTAACATACATTGCCTCACAAAGTTTCTTTTTGTGGTGAGAACCTTAAAATTTACTCTCAGCAATTTTCAAGTATACAATAAGTTATTATTAACTATAGTCACCAAATTGTAACCAGGTACCTTTTGATACACAGCCTGTTTTAGGTGCATCACTATACGGATTATAGGTGGTGCTCCATGGCTGCTAGACAGTCTTTATTCTTAGATCTTTTCATTGGACAGAGCTGGGATATTATGATGTGATAAATACATTTTAGGTTTAAACTGGTGCTTTTTTTTTTTTTTTGAGACAGAATCTCGCTCTGTCACCTAGGTTGGAGTGCAGTGGCGCGATCTGGGCTCACTGCAAGCTCCGTCTCCCAGGTTCACGCCATTCTCCTGCCTCAGCCTCCCGAGTAGCTGGGACTACAGGCGCCTGCCACTGCGCCCGGCTAATTTTTTGTATTTTTAGTAGAGATGGGGTTTCACCGTGTTAGCCAGGATGGTCTCGATCTCCTGAGCTCGTGATCCGCCCGCCTTGGCCTCCCAAAGTGCTGGGATTACAGGCGTGAGCCACCGCGCCCGGCTAAACTGGTGCTTTTAGTTTAAATCTAGAACTAAAGGATTCTTTCTTAACCTGGATTTTCTTATGTCAAAATCTATTTTGAACCATGCCCCAAATTTCAGTTCTCAGTGACATAATTAATGATTTGCTATATCCCACCCTATGCAAATAACAGTATCGGTAATAATTTCAGTATTAACACCAGCAATAAAGAGACTAAAAACAATTTCAGTTTTTCCTTCCCCTCTTTCAATTACTTTTATTCTAATGGTAAATCCTATTAAGAATGTACATTCGAATTACTGTGCTTTGAAGCCACTTGTAGAGTGGTTTCTCTCTGGTTTAGGCCACTAATTGGATGCACAGTTAGGCTCATTTGATTAATTTACCTTTACTTTGGGGTAATTCCTTTTTAAATTTAAATTTTATTTTATAATTGTGTGAATTATTTACAGGCATGCTTCTCTTTATTGTGCTTTGCTTTACTGCGCTTTGCAGACTGCGTGTTTTACAAATTGAAGGTTTCTGGCAACCTTGCATCGAGCAAGTGTTGGTGCCGTTTTTCTAAGGGCATGTGCTTACTTTGCATGTCTCTGTCATATTTTGGTAATTCTTAAAATATTTCAAACCTTTTTATTATTACTGTATCTGTTATGGTGATATTCGATGTTATTACTGTAATCGTTTTGGGGCACCACAAACTGCACTCATGTGAGATGGTGAACTTAGTAATTGTTGTATGTTCTGACTGTACCACCAACTGACCATTCCTTCTGTCTCTCCCTCTCTTTGGGCCTCCCTATTGCCTGAGATGCAACAATATTGAAATTGGGCCAATTCATAACCCTATGTTGGCCTCTAAGTGTTCAAGTGAAAGAATTGCGTGTTTCTCATTTAAAATAAAAAACTACTAATGGGAGCTTAGCGAGGAAGGCAAGTCAAAAGCTGAGATAGGCCAAACGTTAAGCCTCTTGCTGCAAACTTTAGCTAAGTTGTGAATGCAAAGGAAAAGTTCTTGAAGGACATTAAAAGGGCTAGTCCACTGAACACATGAATCATAAGAAAGAGAAAAGCTGGCCGGGTGCGGTGGCTCACGCCTGTAATCCCAGCACTTTGGGAGGCTGAGGTGGGTGGAATCACAAGGGACAGGAGTTCAAGACCAGCCTGGCCAGCATGGCAAAACCCTGTCTCTACTAAAAATACAAAAAATACCTGGGCATGGTGGCTTATGCCTGTAGTCCCAGCTACTTGGGAAGCTGAGGCAGGAGAATTGCTTGAACCCAGCAGGCAGAGTTTGCAGTGAGCCGAGATCACTCCATTGCACTCCAGCCTGAGTGACAGAGCAAGACTCCATCTCAAAAAAAAAAAAAACAAAAAACAGAAAGTGAAAAGCCTTATTGCTGATAGGGAGAAAGTTTTAGTGGTCTGGATAGAAGGTCAAACCAGGCTGGGCGTGGTGGCTCACACCTGTAATTCCCCTGCATTTTGGGAGGCGGAGGTGGATGGATCACAAGGTCAGGAGATCGAGACCATCCTGGCTAACATGGTGAAACCCTATCTCTACTAAAAATACAAATAATTATCCAGGTGTGGTGGCAGGCACCTATAGTGCCAGCTGCTTGGGAGGCTGAGGCAGGAGAATGGCATGAACCTGGGAGAAGGAGCTTGCGGTGAGCCGAGATCACGCCACTGCACTCCAGCCTGGGCGACAGAGTGAGACTCTGTCTCGAGATAAAAAAAAAGAAGGTCAAACCAGGCCGGGCACGGTGGCTCACGCCTGTAATCCTTGCACTTTGGGAGGCCGAGGCTGGTGGATCATGAGGTCAGGAGATCAAGACCAGCCTGGACAACATGATGAAATCCTGTCTCTACTAAAAATACAAAAAATTAGGCAGGCATGGTGGCTCGTGCCTGTAGTCCCAGCTACTTGGGAGGCTGAGGCAGGAGAATCTCTTGAACCTGGGAGGTGGAAGTTGCAGTAAGCCAAGATTGTGCCACTGCACTCCAGCCTGAGCAACAGAGCGAGACTCCGTCTCAAAAAAGAAAAAAAAAAAAAATCAAACTAGCCACAATATTCCCTTAAGCCAAAGCCTAATTCAGAACAAGGCCCTAACTGTTCAGTTCTGTGAAGGCTGAGAGAGGTGAGGTGAGAAAGCTATAGAAGAAAAGTTGGAAGCCAGCGGGTTCATGAGGTTTAAGGAAAGCAGCCATCTCTATAACGTGAAAGTGCAAGGTAAAGCAGCAAGTGCTGATGTAGAAGCTGCAGCAAGTTACCCAGAAGATCTAGCTAAGATTATCGAAGGTTGCTACACTTAATATCAGATTTTCCATGTAGACGAAACAGTCTTCTATTGGGAGAAGATGCCGTCTAGGGCTTTTACAGGGAGAGAGGAGAAGCCCATGCCTGGCCTTCAAAGGCTAGGCTGACTCTCTTGTTAGGGGCTAATGCAGCTGGTGACTTTAAGTTGAATCCAGTGCTCATTTGCCATGCTGAAAATCCTAAGGCCCTTTAGAATTATGCTGAATCTGCTCTGCTTGTGCTCTTTAACCAGAACAACCAAGCCTGGATGACAGCATATCTGTTTACAGCATGGTTTATGGAATCTTTTAAGCCAACTGTTGAGACCTGCTCGGATAAAAAGATTCCATTCAAAATATTACTGCTCATTGACAGTGCACCTAGTCATCTAAGATGGTGATGTATAAGGAGATTAATGTTGTTTTCATGCCTGCTAACACATACTTATTTTGCAGCCCCATAGAGTAATTTTGACTTTCCAATCTTACTATTTAAGAAATACATTTTGTAAGGCTATAGCTGCCTTAGATAGTGATTCCTCTGATGAACTTGGGAAAAGTAAATTGAAAACTTTCTGGAAAGGATTCACCATTCTGGATGCCATTAGGAACATTAGTAATTCATGGGAGGAGGTCAGAATATCAACATTAACAGGATTTTGGAAGAAGTTGATTCCAGCCCTCATGGATGATGCTGAGGGGTTCAAGACTTCAGTGGAGGAAGTAACTGCAGATATGGTGGGAACAGCAAGAGAACTAATGAGAATTAGAATTGGAGCCCGAAGAAGTGGCTGCAATCTCACAAGAAAACTTGAATGGATGAGTTGTTCCTTATAGGTGAACAAAGGAAATAGTTTCTTGAGATAGAATCTACTCCTGCTGAAGACGCTGTGAACCTTGTTGAAATGACAACAAAGGATTTGGAATATTACATAAATTTAGTTGATAAAGCATCGGTAGTGCTTGAAAGGATTGACTCATTAAAATTTTATTTACTTATTTATTTTTGAGACAGAGTTTTGCTCTTGTTGCCCAGGTTGGAGTACGGTGGCACGGTCTCAGCTCACTGCCACCTCTGGCTCCTGGGCTCAAGCGATTCTCCTGCCTCAGCCTCCCAAGTAGCTGGGATTACAGGCACATACCACCATGCCAAGCTATTTTTTGTATTTTTAGTAGAGACAGGGTTTCACCATGTTGACCAGGCTGATCTCGAACTCCTGACCTCAGGTAATCCTCCCGCCTCAGCCTCCCAAAGTGCTGGGATTACAGGCGTGAGCCATGGCACCCGGCCAAAAAAAATTTTTTTTTCAGAGACAGGGTCTCACTGTGTTGCCCAGGCTGTCCTCAAACTCTTGGGCTTAAGCAATTCTCCTGCCTCAGTCTCCCAACTGGCCAGGATTGCAGGTACAAGCCGCCACCACACCCAGGCTTGATTTCAGTTTTGAAAGAAGTTCTACTGAGGGTAAAATGCTATCAAATATCGCATGCCATAGAGAAATCTTGTTAAAACAAAAGTCAATAGATGCAGCAAATTTCATTGTTGTCTTATTTTAAGAAATTGCCCCAGCTACCCCAACCTTCAAAAATCCCACCCTGATCAGTCAGCAGCCATCAATATGGAGGCAAAGCCCTCCACCAGCACACAAATATTAGGACTCTCTGAAGGCTCTGAAGATGGTTAGCATTCTGTTTTAAGCAATAAAGTATTTTTAATTAAGGCATGTACCTAGTTTTTTTAGACATAGTACTATCGCACATTTAATAGACTACAGCATAATATAAACATAACTTTTATATATACACTGTCTCTAGCCAAAACCGCAGTATCTTTGCAGTGTGCCTGTATGTAGTTCCAAAGAGAAATCTGTGAAACAAGATATGCTTAAGGGATTCTATCTACTGTCCATGTTTTCTCTATCCTATTTATTACCTCTCCTCCTGTATGTGATTTTTTTTTTAATGCCAAGGTTTGTTTTTCCTTTAAAAAAACATGCATTTTCATATTTCCCTCTGTTAAGAAGTAGCATATTATACACATTTTTTCCCACATTTTTTTTTTCACCTTAGCAATATTCTGGAGATCATGGAGTCATGGTAACAGAGAAATTCCTTGAATTCCTTGTCCTTATTATGGCAGTATAATACTCTATTGTGTGGAGATATTATAGCTTATTCAAACAGTCTCCTATTGATAGTTATATGGGTTGTTTCCAGTCTTCTGCTATTATAGATAGTGCTGCAGTGAATAACTGTGTACATATGGTTTTGTATTTTTGCCAGTGATTTTTTGAGATACATTCCTAAAAGTGAGCTTACTGGGTCAGAAAGTAAATCTGTGTGTAATATTGCTGGATATCACTTACCAGTGCATCAGAGTTTTTTCTCACAGCTTTGCTGAGTGTCTTGTCAGACTTTTGTATATTTGTCATTTGGGTGAATGAGAAATAGTATCTCATATTGGTTTGCACTTGCATTTCTTTCCTATAATGAGTGAGGTTGAACATCTTTTCAGTGGTTAAGAGTGGTTCCATTGCTTTTTTGGTGAGCTTTCTGTTAGATCTCTGTTCCATTTTTTTTTTCTGTGTAGAACTGGAAGGGACGTGAGACCATTTTGTTTAGTCTCTGAGTTCATGACACTGATACCTGGAGAAATAAATGATTTTCCTGAAGTTGTAGGTAGCTAGGATAGCCTTTTTTTTTTTCATTTTTAGATTATATGTTAGTGATATTTACTCTTTGTGGTGTAAGTTGTTGATTCCCCTTCTTACCCACCTACAGTTTGTCACCTTTTAACCTTGCTCCTCTTTGAGGAGTTCTTGCCTTCTGAGTTATCTATAGGAGTTTGGGAAGAAGGGGTGGGTAAGGAATTGGAGCACATAAGATTCACAGTAGTTTTTGTGGGGCATGATAGGCTTGAATCATCATAGATAACAAGGAAGTTGGATTTCCGATGGTGGTTAGTGGACACAGGAATATAAGGCAGATTGGATTTAGTCCATTTCATTGTAAGTGGATTGGGAGCTTGAGGCTGACAGTAAAGTCCTTATGATGTAATGCAGTGAATTGGTGATGGAAAGGGTCTAGGCAAGGAGAACCAGTTGGTGCAGTGTGTCTCTGATACTGTGACTACAGTTAGTGGCCCCTTTAGTGGATGAGCTACTCAGGAGAGAGTGGTTCCCAGCTGGCACATAGGGATTTCTGCCATGGCTTAATTCAGTAGTATCCTGAGACTATCATATTGGTACAGTGAGTTTTTTTTTATTGAATTTCTCTAGTAAAATAATATAACTTTGCCTTTCTATAGAATATATATTTAATGAATGTTAATCTAAATAAGTATTTGTTGTTTTTGTTCTTATTTCAGGCTACAGACAAGAGAAAAGCTTTAGAGGAGACCAAAGCCTATACAACCCAATCTCTAGCTAGTGTTGCTTATCAAATAAATGCATTGGCCAACAATGTACTCCAGTTGCTGGATATCCAAGCCTCTCAGCTTCGGAGAATGGAGTCTTCCATCAATCATATCTCACAGGTAACAGCTTATAAAATGCTTTAAATTCAATTTAAAAAAAACTACAGCATATGCCAAAGAAGTAAATAGCCTGCATGTATGGATTTCTGACTCATCTTACTGGTGATAATCATTAACACTGTTTTAGTTTGGTAAACCTGCTGTTTTTCTTTTAGTCCTTTTTTTATCATGATAAGGTAAACATAACATAAAATTGACCATTTTAACCATTTTTAAGTGTATAATTCAGTAGCATTAAGTACATTCACATTGTACAACTGTCACCACTGTC
Organism: Homo sapiens; assembly: GCF_000001405.40. Classification (NCBI taxonomy): domain Eukaryota; kingdom Metazoa; phylum Chordata; class Mammalia; order Primates; family Hominidae; genus Homo; species Homo sapiens. The sequence goes on along the minus strand of NC_000010.11, from coordinate 26,822,866 downwards.
CTACTGTTAAGAGCTTTTCTGACGTAAAGTTATTTGTACATAAAGAACAGAATTTTTATAAGTTTTGACACACATGTATACCCATGTGACCATCAACACATTCAAGATAATGAACCATCCCCTTTCCCCCTGCCAAATTTCTTCATTCTCCTACGTAATCCCTCCCTCTTGTCCCTTGTCCTTAGGGTTTCTGTCCCTAGAGATTAGTTTACATTTTCTAAATTTTTATATAAATGGAATCATATAGTATTTACTAATTTTTTTTTTGGTCTGGCATGTTTTACTATGGATAATTATTTTGAGATTCATTCATGTTTTTGCATGTAAAAGTAGTTCACTCTTTTATTGCTGAGTAGTTTCTATTGTTACACATTTTGTTTATGTGTTCACATGTTGATGGAAATCTGGGTTGTTTTTAGGTTTTGGCTATTACAAATCCTATGAAAACATTTGTATGCAAATCTTTGTGTGGTCATATGCTTTTATTTCTTTTGGGTAAGTACCTCTGTGCAGAATGGAGAGGTCATGTGGTAGGTGTCTGTTTCACTTTAGAAGAACCTACCAAATTGTTTTTCAAAGTGGTTATACCACTTAGTCTTAGTTTGCTGAGTGTTCTTATCAGGAATGGGTGGTGAATTTTATCAAACGCTTCTTTGCATTTGTTGAAATGATCATATATATGTGTGTGTATGTATATATATATATGTCTATTAATATGGTGAATTACATTGGTTTGTGTGTGTATTAGGAATTTTTGTTTCTGTACTCTTGAGTGCTGTTGGGCTGTGGTTTTCTTGTAATGCCTTTGTCTGGTTTTGGTGTCAGTGTAATGCTGGTTTTATTGACTGTAATGGGCAGTATTCCATCTGGACCTGGAGTGTTCCTGGTGAAAAGGATTTTAACTACATATTTAATTTCCTTTGTGGATACAAGCCTATTCTGTTTATTTGTTTTTCCTTGAGTGAGCTTTTTATCTTTCTAGGAATTTAGCTATTTCACCTAAATTGACAGATTTATTTGCATAAAACATTTATAATAATCCTCCTGCTTTGTTTTTTTTTTTTTTTGAGACAAGAGTCTTGCTCTGTTGCCCAGGCTGGAGTGCAATGGCGTGATCTTGGCTCTCTGCATCCTTCGCCTCCTGGGTCCAAGCAATTCTCCTGCCTCAGCCTCCCAAGTAGCTAGAATTACAGGCGCTCGCCACCACGCCTGGCTAATTTTTTGTATTTTTAGTAGAGACGGGGTTTTGCCATGTTGGCCAGGCTGGTCTTGAATTCCTGATCTCAAGTGATCCACCCACCTTGGCCTCCCAAAGTGTTGGGATTACATGCTTGAGCGACAGCACCCTGCCTAATCTCTTATTTTAAAAATATCTGTAGAATCTATAATAATTTCACATTGCTCATTCTTCATATTGGTAATTGGTGTCATCTTTCTTTTTTAAACTAATCATTATGGCTAGTTTACCAACTTTATCGATATTAAAAACATCTTTGGCCTTATTAATTTTCTATGTTTTTGTTTTCTGTTGCATTGATTTCCATTCTGATCTTTATTATTTCTTTTTCTTTTCCTTACCTTGGGATTGATTTGCTCTTATTTTATACTTTTTTTTTTTTTTTTAGATGGAGTCTTGCTCTGATGCCCAGGCTGGTGTGCAGTGGCATGATCTCGGCTCACTGCAACCTCCATCTTTCAGGTTCAAGCCTTTCTTGTGCCTTACCTTTCTGAGTAGCTGGGATTACAGGTGCACCTCACCACGCCCAGTGAACTTTTTTGTATTTTTAGTAGAGGCAGGGTTTCACCATGTTGGCCAGGCTGGTCTCAAACTCCTGGGCTCAAGTGATCTGCCTGCCTTGGCCTCCCGAAGTGCTAGGATCGCAGGTGTGAGCCACCACACCCAGCCTTATTTTATACTTTATTAAGGTGAAAGCCAAGGTCATTTAATTTACTTGAGACCCTTAATCTTTTCTAACATAGGTGTTTAGGTCTGTAAATGTCCCTCTAAATAGTGTATTATTGGGAGGCCGAGGTGGGTGGATCATGAGGTCAGGAGTTCAAGACCAGCCTGACCAAGATGGTGAAACCCTGTCTCTACTAAAAATACAAAAATTAGCCGGGCGTGGTGGCGGGCACCTGTAATCCCAGCTACTCACTCAGGAGGCTGAGGCAAATTACTTCAACCTGGGAGGCGGAGGTTGCAGTGAGCCGAGATCGCGCCACTGTACTCCAGCCTGGGTGACAGAGCAAAACTCTATCTCAAAAAAAAAAAAAAAAAGTGCATTAGCTGTATCTCATACATTTAGATATGTTATGCTTTCATTTTCATTTAGCTGAATATAATTTCTAAGTTTGCTTTTTTATTTCTTTCTGACCCAGGGGTTATTGGAAATGTGTTGCTTAGTTTGCAAGTATTTTCAGGTTTTGCAAGGATATTTCTGCTGTTGATTTTTCTAATTTAATTTCTTACTGGTCAGAAAAATACACCTCATTTGATTTTTTTTTCATTAAGTAGCTTTCCCCCGCAGCTTTATTGAGTTATAATTGACACAAAAATCATATATATTTAAGATGTACAATGTGATGTTTTGATATACATATACATTGTGAAATGATTACCACTATCAAGCTGACTAGCATATCTATCACCTCACACAGCTACTTTTTTTGTGTGTGGCGAGAGCATTTAAGATTTCCTCTTTTAGCAAATTTCAAGTCTACAACCCTATATTATTAACTATAGTCATCATGCTGTACATTAGATCTCCAGAACTTATTCATCCTGCATAGCTGAAACTTTGTACCCTTTGAGCAACAGCTCCCCATTTCCCTTACCCCCTAGTCTCTGACAACTACCATTCTACTCTCTGCTTCAGTGAGCTTTGATTTTTTTAGATTCCACATCTGAAAAAGGGAGATCATTCAGGGTTTGTCTGTCTGCGCCTAGCTTATTTCACTTACTGTAAGGTCCTACAGGTTCATCTGTTGTGTCATGTTGCAAATAACAGAATTTTCTTTTTTAAGGCTGAATAATAGGAATTGTAGTCTGTTTAAATAAATGTATATGTATATCCCCCCCATATTTTCCTATTCATCCATTGATAGACACCTAGATTGATGCTGTGTCTTGGCTATTCTGAATAATACTTTATATGCTGTGAGTCCTTTCATATTTATTAAGAATTGTTATATATCCCAGAATATGCTCTGTCTTGGTAAATGTTTTGTGTGCATTTGAGAAGAATGTGTATTTTTCTCTGGTCAGGTGGAATGTCTATAAATCTCATTAAGTCAAGTTGGTTGATAATATTCAATTCTTCTGTATCTTTACTGATTCTATCTAATTGTTTTATCAATTATTAAGGAAGGTAAATTGAAATCTCCAACTATAATTCTGAATGTCTATTTTTCTTTGCATTTTAGTCTTTTTTCTGTTACGTATTTTGAAGTGATACTATATTAGGTACACAAATGCTTTGGCTTGTTAGGTCCACTTGATGAATAGACCCTTTATCTTTGTAAAGCCTCTTTTTATCTTGGGTAGTATTCTTCAGAAATCTGCTTTGTCTGATATGAATACAACCATTCCAGCTTTCCTTTTATCCTCTTTTTCTGCCTCCTTGTGTGTTAATGGAGTGAATTTTTTTTGGGGGGGGTGCTGATTTGGTGTAACACTTTGTTCTGCTTCTCTCTTTTATTATTTCATTCATGTTTGCCTTAGGGCTTCTGGTAAACATCTTTAAACTTTTTAATATCACTTGAAGGTAGACTATGCTATTACTTCAGGAGTATGTTTAAGACTTTGTAATAGTTGATTCCACTTCTCTCCTGTCTTAGGGCTGTTGGTGTCATGCACTTTCTTTTTTCTTTTATTGAGACGGAGTCTCGCTCTGTCACCCAGGCTGGAGTACAGTGGTGCGATCTCGGCTCACTGCAACCTCTGCCTCCCACGTGCAAGCAATTCTCTGTCTCAGCCTCCCGAGTGAGTAGCTGGGATTATGGGTGCCCGCCACCATGCCCGGCTAATTTTTGTATTTTTAGTAGAGACAGGGTTTCACCATCTTGGCCAGGTTGGTCTTGAACCCCTGACCTCGTGATCCACCCACCTCGGTCTCCCAGAGTACTGGGATTACAGATTACAGGTATAAGTCGCCACGCCTGGCTTGTGTCACGCATTTTCTTTTTGTGTATGTTTTAAACCCCACAATGCTTTGCTCTTTTTTTTTTTTTTTTTTGTGACGGGGTCTCGCTTTGTTGTCCAGGCTGGAGTGCAGTGGCGTGATCTTGCCTCACTGCAACCTTTGCCCCTGCCTTCCCCCACCCCACCTTCCCAGTTTCAAGTGATTCTTATGTCTCAGCCTACTGAGTAGCTAGGATTACAGGTGCATGCCAGCTAATTTTTGTATTTTTAGTAGAGACGGGGTTTCACCATGTTGGCCAGGTTGGTTTCAAACTCCTGACCTCAAGTGATCTGCCTGCCTTGGCCTCCTAAAGTGCTGGGATTACAGACATGAGCCACTGTGCCTAGCCATTATTTTTGTTTTGAAAAGCAACTAGCTTTGAATGAGATTTAATATGAGGAAATTAATTCCTTTATATTTACCCATAGTTATTATTTCTGATCAGAAAATATACATTATATGATTTGAGTCCTTTCAAATTTGTTAGGAATTTTTTTTTTTTTTTTTTTTTTTTTTTTTTTTTTTTTGAGATGGAGTCTTGCTCTGTCTCCCAAGCTGGAGTGCAGTGGCACCATCTTGGCTCACTGCAACCTCTGCCTCCTGGGTTCAAGCCATCCTCCTGCCTCAGCCTCCCGGGTAGCTGGGACTTCGGGCATGCGCCACCATGCTCAGCTATTTTTTTTTGTAGTTTTAGTAGAGATGGGATTTCACCATGCTGGCCAGGCTGGTCTCAAACTCCTGACCTCAAGTGATCTGCCTGCCTCGGCCTCCCAAAGTGCTGGGATTACAGACATGAGCCACCGTGCCCGGCCAGGAATTGTTTTATAGCCCAGAGTTTTGGTGGTTTTTATTCCCTTGGAATACTTTAGCATGAAGTGTTGCTCTATTCTGCTGGTGATGAGTTCTTTCAGCTTTTGTATATCTAAAAGAGATTTTTGCTTTTTATCCCTGTTTATTATTGTGGCAGAATATGCATAAGATAAAATTGATCATTCAACCATTTTTAAGTGTACAGTGGCATTAAGTACCTTGACATTGTTTTGTAATTATCACCACCATTCATCTCCAAAACTTCTTTCCTTTTTCCAAACTGAAACAATGTACCTGTTAAGCACTAACTCTCCATCCGCAAGTGATCCTCCCACCTCAGCTTCTTGAGTAGCTGGGACTACGGACATGTGCCATTGTGCCCAGCTTATTTTCATGTTTGGTGGTATCCTGTTGCCTTTTTAGATTTTAGGACAAAATTGATATAGATTGGAACTTTGCTAAAATAATTTTTTTTGTAGAACAGAATCTAGTGTAGAGTGATTCATGCTGGTTCTTGAGGACTTGCACAATGTCTGGCAAATGACTGGTTTGCAGTGTTTACTGAATTAAAATAAATCTCTTGGCCGGACATGGTGGCCTGTAATCCCAGCACTTTGGGAGGCTGAGGTGAGTGGATCATTTGAGGTCAGGAGTTTGAGACCAGCCTGGCCAACATGGTGAAACCCCGTCTCTACTAAAAATACAAAAATTAGGCGGGCGTGCTAGCAGGCACCTGTAATCCCACCTACTCAGGAGGCTAAGGCAGGAGAATCGCCTCAACTCGGGAGGCAGAAGTTGCAGTGAGCTGAGATCCCACCAGTGTACCTCAGCCTGGGCGACAGAGTAAGACTCCGTCACACACACACACACACACACACACACACACACAAAGTCTTTGCAAAATTACTTAGGAAAAATATAATAGAACCTAGTTTTTAGTTGATTCTTATACATGGATTATAACCAGAGGATCACTGTACATTTTATGTATAGGCAGTGATTATTTTGCATGGTTATTGGAGATTATAAAAAATGGTGATGCATGCTCAAGGTATACAAAACAATCTTACTAGTCAATGGGTAAAATTATGGTTGTTCTGTGATCTGTAAAATTTTTTGTCAAAACATTAAAATCTCTCTTTTTGTTATAAATGAATAGAGAAATGAAAAAAAAGTTATGCTAATGTTTAGTATACCATAATGTAAAACATTCGAGGTATTGAGAATTAAAGGGTTTTATTTCTTAAGAAAGTAGTTTGAATAGTGCTTGCTACCTTCTCACTGTGTAAGTTGTTATGAAGCACACATTTTTTTCTGTGCCTTGGCAAATTGTCATTCTCCTTTCTCTGGGTGGATCAGCTCCTCTCAACATTTTATCCTTTGGATTTTAAATGTTGTGAAATATCTTCTAGAGTTTCTTTAACATAAAGTTTTTATGGGTATCATTTTATCTGTAGTATCTTCTTCCCTTTCTTCTCAGCCACTTTGTTCATTTATGTTAATACATTTGCCTTCATGATATTCTTCTGGCTGCATATCTGTAGTCTCCTGAATGGCAGCAATGTTAGCATTCCTGTATGCATTATTTCTGTTTTAATCCCATTTACATTCAATTCGAATTTCACCTCTATCTAGCATTATCACTTTTCATGTATTTGCTGCAGTTTCATCTTTGTTGGCCAGTTCTCTCTTTGATACCCAGTTTTGTAAAATGTCACAATGGCTTATCATTTAGGGGACAAGGAAGCAGCACAACTATGTACTTTGTAGTCTGTGGATAAACTTAATATCAGATGTACAGAGACCATTCACCAATAAACTTTGAAACAAAGACACGATTGGTAACCAGTAATGATGCTCATCTGTTACTTATGTGGACTTCAGACCTAGCAGCGAAGTTTCTGCTTTGTGCGATTATTTATAGTTCTTGTGGTAACTGAAATTTATTTATTTTTATGTTTTTATGAGACAGAATCCTGTTCTGTTGCTCAGGCTGGAGTGCAGTGGCACAGTCATAGTTCACTGCAGCTTTGAACTCCTGGGCTCAAATGATCCTCCCGCCTCAGCCTCCTGAGTAGCTGGGACCACAGATGCACACCACCATACCCAGCTAATTTTTTTGGGTGGTGAGGTAGAGATGGGATCTTGCTGTGTTGCCCAGGCTGGTCTTAAATTCCTTGCTTCAAGTGATCTTTCCACCTTGGCCTTCCAAAGTGCTGGCACTACAGGTGTGAACCACTGCACCTGAATGTAACTGAAATTTAAATTGTGTAGTTGGAGGACTGGTGTTAACTAAAATATGGTAACTGAAATTCATGCGTATCAGAACTGTGCAAAACAACTGCCTATATTTTGTTTTTTCAGTAACAAAACATTTTCAAATTATTTTTCTTCTTTATTTAATTATGAATATTCTCTGTGTTCTGCTGAGCTTACTGAATTCAATTCTCATTCTTTGGAAGATGTCTTAATTCATACAGATGTAGTTATTTCAGTAGATTTAAAAATAAAGCTGTTAATACTATCAATTGACTTACTGAATCATAAAAAAATTAAGGTGACTAGGTAAATGAAGCTTTTGTAATTCTGTAAATTACATTGAATTACTTGGAACTCTTAAATGCAGCTGAAATCTAATTGGCTAAATTTACATAAAAACAGGCTTTTGGGGGGGGCATTTATTCTTAATTGGGGAATTAAAAAGAGTATTTCCTTGCTCTTCCAAATTGCTATTCTTAAAACATTGTTTAAGTAAATGCATTGTAGTGAAAGAAATTTTTTTTTAAATCTCTCAGAGCTTTATGAGGGATTTACATCTGTCATACCTTGGCTGTTGAGTGGTGTGTTTTTAGTTAAAATTCTGCTTTATAATCTCTTAATACAGCATAGATTATGTGCCAATTAGGACATAATCTCAAAATTTAGAATTCAGAGCTTGTTTGAGTTTTCAGTTTCAAAAAATTTTTAAACTAAAACAAACAAAAATCATCTCCAATTCTATCAGGACTTGGATAAACTAAACCTTAATTATTTCAGGAAAGAGTCCCTTTCCTTTCAGTGTGGAGCTTTTAACTTTCTGTTTGTGTGTTGACATGTTTTAGATTTATAAAGTTTTCTATTTTAACAATTTTATCCCCCATTTTTCCTGTCTTAGATTAAGTTACCAAATATTAGTAGCTTTCCTTGGTGAAGTAATTACTGATAAGTCCTTTCTGTAACCAATATTCACTTCTTATTTTGTAAATTTTTAAAAGATTCTTATAGTGATATTTCTTATGACACAGTAGTCATCTAAAGGTGCCAGTCACTTTTCCTGGAAAATATAGGAAGTAATACTAGGAGAAAGTGTGCAACTGTTAAATTCTTTCACATCACCAACTTTTTCACAATTAAAGTATTTGCTTTGTAGAGTGCTTAGCAATGTCCATTATGATTTCTTTTTTCCATTGGCAATTTTGGGCTTCCCTCACATCATGGAAGTTAGAACTGGAAGGGACATGAGATCATTTGGTTTATTCTCTGATGTTATAGTTTGTGACACTGATGCCCAAAAAAATAAATGATTTGCCTGAAGTCGTAGGTAGCTAGTATAACATTAGAAATCAAAAGATGGGCATCTTGACTCATAGATGATCCACTGATTTTCTCTTCTGTACTACAATGCCTCCAATTTGTAATCAGAGTCTTCAAAATTTAGGAATTGGATGAATTGCCCCATCCAGTCTATTTCTACAGTGGGCTCACAAAACCTTATATAACAAACCTTCAAAGTAACTGCATCTTTTAGGAGACTGTTTAGTTTTATATAGGCAAAAACCTAGTTACTGTGGGCACTGGGGAGGTAGGGCGGGTACCTAGAATGGAAACACTAACTGAGTCAGTGCTCTGGTTTCTCAGATGTTTTGTTAGGAACCTTTTACATCTTAAATTATTGAGGATCTACGTGGGCTTTGGATTCATTGGGTAGATCTTCCAGTATTTATCATATCAGATATTCAAACAAATTTAAAAAGTATTTAACTCATTTAACAATAAAAGAAATCCACTGTTAGTACAAATAACATTTTAATGAAAAAAACTGTTATCCAAAACAAATAAATTTATGAGAAGAGTGGCATTGTTTTACATTTCTGAAAGTGTCTTTAAAATGTTTGGTAAGACGATCACTGGGTTCTCATGTCTGCTTCTTCATTCACTCTGTTGTGATTTGTTGTTTGGGTTGAAGTATGTGAAGAAATTTTGCTTCACAAAAATATGTAGTTAGAAAAGACAGGATCTTGGGAACTTCAGGAGTCTTTAGATCAGTCAGAGAACTATTGCTTTATGTGGTTATTACAGTTTAGTTCCTATAGATTATGTATTGCGAATATTATATGCAGGCCATCATGCTCCCATTTTAAAAGAATCACCCAATTTGATAATACATCCCCACCTGTAGTTTCTTTTGGCTCTCCGTCATACATTTTTTGTTTCATCCTTACTGACTGACTACTTGGTGATATTTTTGGTGCCATTATCCCCATTATGAAGGGGCTTCTTCAGATTCCTAATGGACTGTTGGTATTTATCTTAGATTTCCTCAGCCAGTTTCTTAAAGGTGTTTCATGATTTTTTTTTTTTTGGCGGGGGGATGGAATCTTGCTCTGTGGCCCAGGCTGGAGTGCAGTGTCGTGATCTTGACCCATTGCAACCTCCGCCTCCTGGATTCAAGTGATTCTCCTGCCTCAGCCTCCCAAGTAGCTAGGATTACAGGTGTGCACCACCACACCTAGGTCATTTTTGTATTTTTCTTAGAGACGGGGTTTCACCATGTTGACCAGGCTGGTCTTGAACTCCTGACCTCAAGTGATCCACCTGCCTTGGCCTCCCAAAGTGCTGAGATTACAGGCATGAGCCACCACGTCTGGCCATTTCATGAATTTTAACATCAAGCATGGTACTCTTCTTTGGCACTTACTGGCTGAGTTGTGTGTCCCCCCGCCAACAAATTTATATTTTGAAGTCATAACTCCCAGTCCCTCAGAGTGTGACTGTATTTGGAGATGGGGTCTTTGAAGAGGTAATTAAGTTAAAATGAGGTTACAGAATAGGCCCTAGTCCAGTATGACTGGTATTCTTGAAAGAAGAGGGTGAAGACGCAAAGAGAAGATGGCCATCTGTAAGTCAAGGAGAAAGGCCCTGAGAAGAATTCAGTCCTGGTAACATGTTGATCTTGGACTTGTAGCTTCCTGAGTCGTGAGAAAGTAAATTTCCTAGCCACTTACCTGTGGTACTTTGTTATGGCAGTCCTAGCAAACTAATATAGCCCTCTTATGTTGTCATTAGCACTATCACTTTTATACTTTTTTCCAGCTATTATGGATATAAACTTTCACCAGAACCTTCAATATTGACAGAAAGATATAATGTAGATTGATAAGTGTCATTTGTCATTCAAAATCAGAAAAGCATGACATGTACAGTCCTTGCCCAGTGGCTAAGGAGCATTCATTAGCACTCACTTGATATGGCTGATTTACTGTGAGAAAAGTATGTTAATGGTACTAGTCAGTACTCTGGTGGGTTTGTATGCACATCTAGTATTTCTAAGATGAACCATGCTATGCTGTATTGAGTAATGCCCCCAAAAGATATCCCTAATCCCTGAGAATGTGGATGTTACCTTCTGGCAGAAGGGGCTTTTTGCAAGTATAAATTAAAGATCTTGAGATGGGAAGATTATCCTGGATTATGCAGTGGGCCATAAATGTAATCACAGATGTCCTGATAAGAGGGAGGCAGAGGAGGATTTGACATAGAAGAGCAGAAGGTGGTGTGGAAACAGGAGCAGAGATTAGAATGATGTGGCGATAAGTCAAGGAATGCTGGTAGTCACCATAATCTCGAAGAGGCAAGTGAACACCCCCTCCTGAGCCTTCTCAGGGAGCCTGTCCCTGCTCACTCTTGGATTTGATCCTGTAAGATTTTGTTCAGATTTCTGGCCACCAGAACTGTTAAGAGGATAAATTTCTGCTAAAAACTTTATACAAATCTTTGCATAAATTTATACAAATTTATACAAATCTTTGCATAAATTTATACAAATCTTTGCATAAATTTATACAAATTTATACAAATCTTTGCATAAATTTATACAAATTTATACAAATCTTTGTCAGAGATTGGTTCTTCATGAAATAGATTAAAATTGGAATTTTAAAAGGATGTTATAAAATTGTATAATATTCTTAACATCATAAGGAAAACACGAAAAATTTCTCAAGTTTCCTGCCAAAGTCCTATTATGAAATAGTATTTTTTATCTTCAGCTTTACTGTTTTAAGACTGATACCTAACCAAAACAGTTGCTAATTTTCCTGTTGTAAATATTGAGGACCAATAGTAAAATGATTTAGAGCAAATTTCCTAACTCCCCTTCTTTGGAAGGAGGACACCTTTTATTATTTCAGATTAATTAAGCATGCTTGCTTTAATTATAGTTATTAACACGGTAAATTTATAGAGGAGCAAGCTATAGTAGAGATACACTAATATAGAATATAGATTCTTCTCTGAATGTAAATACATGCTACAGAACACATACATTCTTATTTGGGGGCTAGAGTGACAAAGCCTTATCTTGGCACTAAATTTTAGCTCAGTATTATCTAAAATAAAATTTTCTTAATTATTACATTGATAAACATTTGTTTCAAAATTATTCTACAGGGATTCTTAATAGCACCTAGCAGAGAGCCTGGTACTACTATGAGCTTACTTATAACCTTAGTTATAGTAAGTTACTTCATGTTAATTGCAGAAATTTATGAATTTTAATATATTTTAGATATCTGAAATTTTTGAAATTAAATAAAAGATACTCTAAAATATACCAGTGATTTCTGATAGCATTAGGTTTTCTTCCTTTGTATTTTCTTTCCTTCTCCTTCCTCCTCTCTCCCTCTTCCCCTTTTTCTTTCTTTCCCTACCCCCTTACTTTTTTCCTTCCTTTAACATTTCCTGCCAAGGAAACACATTTTGGCTAAAATATAATTTGTATCAGTTAATTTTTTTTTTTTTAAAAGAACAGGTGTACTAAACTCTCCCAGACTATTAGTTGTTGGTGTGGTAACCAGACCTTCATGCCATCAGACGAGTTAATCTAGTGCAGGGGTCCGTAAACTGTGATCCATGAGCCACATCTAGTCCTTCCCCCTCCATTTTTATAAATAAAGTTTTATTGGAACATAGCTGTGTTCCTTTGTTTACATATTGTTACGGCTGCTTTTGCTGACACATGGCAAAGTTGAGTCGTTACGACAGAAGCCATATGGCCTGCAAAGTCTTAAAGATGTACTCTCTGATTGTGTCCAGAAAAAGTTTGCCGATCCCTGAGGTGTTATAAAAACATTTACTTCAAAAAATTTAAAAAGTGTTCATGGGATTTAACACCGGTTTCTCTATTTATAGTAAGTAACATTTTTTTTTAAGATAATTTTTCTGGAGGTGGATTTGCTGAAATTCCTTAAGGAGCCAGAAATTTTGAAGAGTGGGGCTGGTGCAGATTGCATGATGATACAAGTTGTACATGTTTATGGCTTCATTCCTACCATATCCCCAGCATATAGGGTTAGCTTGCGTAAGATATGATGGAAGAAGTTCTGTTAGGGGTTTGGTATTCTGACACCAGTGGGGTACTGCAGTACTGTTCTGACACTGATCACACAGAGTTAGTGCAGACCACACAAGGGAAGGGCTCAGTTCCAGAAGTCTGCCTTCATTTCAGGTGCTAGTGGCAAGTAGGGTCCCCATTCTACCCATACTTATGGCCAACTAGCTACAAATCTGGGGAGTTTCCCACAACCCCTCTCAGGGTTGATAATTTACTGGAATGATTCAAAGATTTCAGGGAAACACTACCCATATGATTACGATTTTATTTAATGGATACAGATCAGGACCAGCCAAATGAAGAGACACACAGGGCAAGGTCTGGGAGTTTCCAAACATAGAGCTTCCATGCCCTCTTCTTGTGGAATCAGGGCATGCTACCCTCCTTGCTCATCAGCGTGTTCACCATCCAGGGAGCTCCACCAGGCAAGCTCCACCAGGCTTCAGTGTCTAGAGTTTTATCAGGGCTAGTGCTGTTTTCTCACAGTTTTTGGTTTATGCAGAAAGAAAAGTAACATTAATTAGTGTCCATATGTATTATAAGTTAATGAATTGTTGTCAGGTAAGGCTTATATATTGATTCTAATATTTCCCCCCTTTTTTATGTGAAAATGAAAGTTTATAGTAATATTTTTGTTTTATTTTTATTTTATTTATTTATTTATTTGGACATAGGGTCTCGCTCTGTCACCTAGATTGGTGTGCAATGGTGTGATCATAGCTCACTGTATCCTCAAACTCCCTGGCTCAAGGGATCCGCCCACCCAGCCTCCCGAGTAGCTAGGACTGCAGATGCATGCCACCGTGCTTGGCTGGTTTTTTCATCTTTTTGTAGAGATGGGGTCTCACTATGTTTCCCAGGGTGGTCTCGAACTCTTGGGTTCAAGTGATCCTTCTATCTTGGTGTCCCAAAGTGTAGGGATTACTGTGAGGACTAGTAATTTTTTTTTTTTTTTTGAGATAAGTCTCACTCTGTCGCCCAGTCTGGAGTGCAGTGGCACAATCTCGGCTCACTGCAACCTCCGCCTCCCGGGTTCAAGTGATTCTCGTGCCTCAGCCTCCCGAGTAGCTAGGATTAAAGGCGCCCACCACCATGCTCGGCTAATTTTTGTATTTTTGGTAGAGACGAGGTTTCACCATGTTGGCCAGGCTGGTCTCAAACTCCTGACCTCAGGTGATCCGCCTGCCTCGGCCTCCCAAAGTGCTGGGATTACAGGCGTGAGCCACCGTGCCCGGCCAGTTGTTTTTTTTAAATGTCCTTATTGGCCAATAAAATTGGCAGCAATACTTTGTACTTCTCTTTCTGTGTCTGTCTGTCTCCCCGTCCTTTATTACCTTTCCCCCTTCTCCCCTACTCCTTTGCTTTGTCTGTCTGCCTCCCCTCCCTGTCCCCTCCCCCTTTCTTCTGGAATCTTTTAAAAACAATTTATTAATCTGTGAAATCCATAGTTAGAATAACCCAGACTGTTCCATCTCCCAGTTACCTTTTTTGTTGTTGTTGTTGAGACGGGGTCTCATTTTGTCACCCAGGCTGGAGTGCAGTGGCATGATCTCGGCTCACTGCAACCTCTGCCTCCTGCGTTCAAGCGATTCTCCTGCCTCAGCCTCCTGAGTAGCTGAGATTACAGGCACGTGCCACCATGCCCGGCTAATTTTTTGTATTTTTTGCAGAAATGGGGTCTCACCATGTTGGCCAGGCTGGTCTTGAACTCCTGACCTCAGGTGATCTACCTGCCTCCGCCTCCCAAAGTGCTGGGACCCAGTTATGTTCTTTTAACACATGCATACACACCAGCCCGCCATCCCACCCCTGAGTGAACAAAGAATGAAACTTGAACCATCACCCTTATGGGGTCAGAATATTATTTATTTTTAGGATAGAGAATAGGGGCAATGCTATGGATTTAGTTTCTGTTCCAGGAGTAAACCAACCAAACATTCTTCCTGTGGTAATAACAGAATAGTTCCTATCAAATGAGTCTTCTTACAGATAACTTAAACTCTGAACAAAATATAAAAAACAAAGAGTACCTGAAGAACAACTAATAGCAGACCGAAACTACAGATAAGAGATTGTTATTATACACTTTTAAAAATGAAATAGCCCTGGTTGGTTTGCTACTTTTTTGTGTTTTTTTGAACAGAGTCTCGTGACGCCCAGGCTGGAGTGCAATGGTGCGATCTCAGCTCACTGCAACCTCTGCCTCCTGGGTTCAAGCAATTCTTCTGCCCCAGCCTCCCGAGTAGCTGGGACTACAGTCATGCACCACCACGCCCAGCTAATTTTTGTATTTTTAATAGAGGCGGGGTTTCACCATTTTGGCCAGGCTGGCCTCCAACTCCTGACCTCAAGTGATCCATCCACCTTGGCCTCCCAAAGTGCTGGGATTACAAACGTGAGCCACCATGCCCGGCTGGGTTTGCTATTTTTGTAGCTAGTTTTGCACCATGCTAGACAGCTAAAACTCAGTTAGGAAACTGCATATAGCTTGTGACCCAGAGGGCAGAGTTCATGGTGACCACAACAGCTGGAAAGTGAGTGGAAAGAGAGACCTGAAGGGAAAGAGCCCCAAATTTTGTGTTAAAACTTTGCC
The DNA here is from genome assembly GCF_000001405.40 of Homo sapiens. NCBI lineage: Eukaryota > Metazoa > Chordata > Mammalia > Primates > Hominidae > Homo > Homo sapiens. Next base: position 26,807,631 of record NC_000010.11, on the reverse strand, counting down.
TGTATTACAGGCTGAGCTGTGTGTGGAGCGAACTGCATGCAACTCAGCCAAGGATAAAAGAACTGAACAAAGATTTCAGCTGCTGCCCATCTTGGAGGAGAAAGTTTGCGATTTAAGTCAAGCTAAGTTTAGTATCAACTTTTTTTTTTGAGGCCGGGTCTCACTCTTGTCGCCCAAGCTGGAATGCAGTGGTGTGATTATGGTTCACTGCAGCCTTGTCTTCCTAGGCTCAGGTGAAGCCTCCTCCTCCCACCTCAGCCTCCCAAGTAGCTGGGACTACAGGCATGCACCACCACACCTGGCTAATTTTTCGTATTTTTTGTAGAGATGGGGTTTCACCATGTTGCCCAGACCTGTGTCGAATTCCCGGGCTCAAGCGATCCACCACCTTCTGCCTCCAAAAGTGCTGGGATTACAGGCGTGAGCCACTGTGCCTGGCCTACTGTAAACATTTTTTGTTTGTTTTTTCTTTTCTACTTCTTTATCTTTTTAATTTTTCTGCCCTTGAAAATCAAAACATTTTTTAAAGGACTATAGCAGAATCTAGAGTTTCTGTAAGGTATCATTTACCACATATAAAATGTAATCTAAAATTACCATACTTAGGAAGAACCATGAAAACATGGCCAATATTCAAGAAAAAAAGATAATCAATTGAGATAAAACTTGCAATTACATGCATGTTGGACAAATGATGATTTCTTATGTGTGACAACTTGTGGATTCAGGGACTTAAAACTTTTTGTAGTCAAAGGGAATTTTAGGATACTGATTCTAGTCTAATTCATTGTTTTTCTCATGTATCTAAGGTCTAACTGGCACTTACCAGTTTGTTAGCCTCTTGCACTGATATTACTCATTTTCTTTCCTTCTTGGTGTGCTGCTTCCCCTGTAAGGTGTTAACTTGTTTGGTGTATATGATTCAAGGACCAGGAGATAGAAACCATTCTAACTATCTTAAATATAAATTTACTCTCCACAAATAAGTTCCAGAACTCAAAAACTGATCTGCTGGGGAAGCTATAACCACTGATGGTGCCACAGGAATTACTGAGTTTAAGAACGTTATGCAAGGGTTTCAGGCCATGGCTTAGAAAGCTGCTGCCATTGTTGCTGCCTCAACTGCCTCTTGACACCCACAAACCTGGTGACTGGGCATTGAACTTGGAGTCCAGCTGTTGTTTCCAGTGCGGTTGCCTGTAAACATCCAAACAGTTGGAGAATGGACACTGGAGCATCAATTTGGAAAAAAACCTTATTTCTTGACTTACTTTGCCAATAGGAAATGTAAAGTGGTAATAAGAGATCTCCACTTCACTTTCAGTTTCCAAATCCCATGAAAGTATTTTATTGATAGATCAGAAATTGTATCCAGAAGCCTGGTGGTGAGAACAACTGGACAATGTTGATTTTAGCTTTTTAGCTTCTGCAGTGCAAGCAGATATTCTTGGGGCAAGGATCAGGAGGGTAGAATGAAGATTGAATGAGCTGGTTTTACAGCATGGCTTGAAGGAATAACAGTTGAATTGGGTCTTAAAGGAAGCCTGTTCATTTATCATGTTGATACGGAGTATAGATGCATTCCAGTCTGAGGTAATGGCATTAGAGAAAGACATGCATGGTTTTTTCAGGGTGATTAGAATGTAGGGTATGATTTCTGCAATGAGGAAAGTACCTGGAGATCAATTTGCAAAAACCTAAAGTTCTAAATTATAGCTTATTTTCCTTTGATTTGGTTTCATTGCTGAGGCTAATTGTGTTGTGCTAGGGGAGTAGCTGGTATCCTTTGGCTTCTTCTCTGCTTCTTGTATCTGCTGGGTGCTGGAATTACACAGCTCCTGAGTCAGAGCAATATGCTTAGCAGAAATAAGCATCAGTCTTCCTGAACCATCAGATGGCAGACTGACGTGATATGCCCTGAATCAAAGGAAAGGCAGTATCTTTTGGAAATTGGAGACTCTGTTCTTTGCTTTTAGGGTAAACAGCTGGCAATCCTGCTTCTGTTCAATATGCTTTTTGGAGAAATGAATCACCTAAGCCTGCATTCTGCCTCAAATAATCTGTATTTGTGGGGTTAAGGAAGCAAATCTTCAGTCCCTCCCTGTTGATCACAAAGTGTGGGTGAAACCATTTCTTTGTTGTGTCCTAAAATATGACAACGGAGTGTTCTCATTAACCTTAGAATAAAAACTACCTTTTTTTTTTTTTTTTAAATAAAAAGTGACTTTGGAACTGTCCTTGAGCTTGAGTATAAACAGCTAGTTTGGGAGTCTCCTTCCAAATTTCATGTTCTTTTGGTTGTCTGTAAGCCGTTCACTCACCAGGCTACTGCTCAGACCTCTGAAGTCTGAGTCTTCACAGTAGCCTAATCTTGCTTTAAAGTCTGGAAATGGATTTTTACTTCCTATAGTTCAGATACCATAGCATGGCATAAAAGTCTCATTGATGTGGTCTCTTCAACTCTCCTATTTCTGCCATGCCCAGCTTCTTGAAGTGTTGCAGACACAGCTGTAAATTTGTGCGTCTTTGTTTTTCCAATTATGTGTTTGTCTTACCTGGAATTCAGTTTGTCCTGTTTCTGTTCTGCCTAATAGGAACACCGTCTGAGGTCTTCACTAATCAGCTCAGGATAGAGTTACTGGCCCTCTCTTTGTTTTATACCTTCTAACTTATTCCTTCTTTTACATTGATTTTTGGGTATATGTTTGTGTTCCTTACCTTACTCTTTAAAGATAAGGACCATGTTTTATTCATCTCTGTATCTTTATTACATAGTAACTGGCATTTACATAGTTTGATAAGGATATGGAAAGAATAAGACAGTGTGGTGTATTTTGGAGTCATAAAGACCTGTGTTTGAAGCCATGTTCTGTCACTGTGTGATTTTTCCTACCTACCTTTTTGAGTTTAGTTATCTCATATGCAGAATTTGGACAATAGTGCTAACCTTGGAGATTAAATAAGGAATTGCTTATAAAGCATTTACCTTTACATAGTGTTGGCATTATTAGTCATCATATCTGTCATCCCTTTTTTCTCTTATATTCAATCTCTCTTGTGTTCCCACTTCGAATAAACATTTAACATGTGTATGTCTTCCCATCTTAAGTTTTCCTAACCATGCCTTTTGATATATTGCCTTTCTCTGTTGTCAGTTTACAACCAAGTTCTTGAATCTGCTGTTTCCTGGCAGCTTCTTCCTTCAAACATATGTATGCCTCAATCCATTGTGATTTTTTTTTTTTTTTTTAAATAGAGCCTTGCTCTGTCACCCAGGCTGGAGTGCAGTGGTGCGATCTAAGCTCACTGCAACCTCTGTCTCCCGGGTTCAAGAGATTCTTGTGCCTCAGCCTCCCAAGTAGCTGGGACTACAGACATGCACCACGACGACTGGCTAATTTTTGTAGTTTTAGTAAAGACAGGGTTTTGCCATGTTGGCCAAGCTGGTCTCAAAGTCCTGACCCCAGGTGATCTGCTTGCCTCAGCCTCCCAAAGTGCTGGGATTACAGACATGAGCCACCACACCCAGCCGATCTATTGTATTTGACTTTGTTTCCTTCCACTCCCTGGACATTGCTTTTGCAGAGTCATCAATTATATTTGTTCTTAATATAATAGAATTTTTTTTTTTTATTTCATCCTTTGTACTACATAGCAGAATTTTTTTTTACTTCATCCTTTGTACTACATACCAGGTTTGTAATTATGTTTATTTGTATGCGTACTTATTTAATGGCTATTCTTTCTTTTGAGGTTAAGTTTAATGATGACAGGAACCTTATCTGTTTTGTATATCACTGTATCCCTAGTATCTTCAATAGGGCCTGGCAAGGAGTTGATCCTCAAGTCTCTTAAATTTTCAGTGTGTCACTTTAGAAAATCTGTAGTTCTTTGCAAATAGGGCACGATGTCAATTTTATTTTTAGAAAGATTCTCCATTTTGAAGCAGAATGGATACACTCTAGTGTAAAATTTCAATTATCAATTATTTGGTTCAGAATGTTAAACAGATGACTTAATGTGATCACTAAACATTTTTGCCTGCCTGTTTCCTGAAAAAGTCAAAATTTGGGAAATTGAAAAGGATAACGTAGATTAGAATTTGTGTAATAATTTAGTATTACTGGTGTTTGCATTGTTCTCTACATTTCCACTCTGCCTTGCAATTCTTGTGAAATGACCAGGCAAGAGCTATTTAACCAAGAAATAGGAGAGCAAATGGACTTCAGCCATTAAAAAATCCCTGTACCTGTTACTTTTATTAAAAACCCACACCCATTTCTGTCAGATGAGGTCATGTCAATTCTTAAACTTTGCCTTTAGCCTAAAGGTAAAGGGAAGGGAAGCATGGTATAAAAGATTGATCTTATTTCCCCTTGCTGCTCTAGTTTTCTTCTTTTCCCTTTTTTTCCCTCATATTCTGTGCTTCAAACATCCTAATTTATTTACTCTTCTGGAAGTGTATGTTTGTAGTGCTAGTCCCTTTGCCTGGAATGTCTGTCTCCCCTATTTCTTCTGCCTAACTCTTGCTCATTGTTTAGGCTTCGTCTTAATTGTCTCTGCCTAATGGAAACCTTTTCCTTGCTCCCAGAACACTAGGTTTGATTTTTCCTAGTACTTCTATATATACTCCTGCATGACAGATAGCTTCTGTTTGATCTTCCTGATCTATGCTTTCCTTTTTCTCTCCTGTTCTGTGCCCGGTAGGCTTACTTGTATGGATTTTGTCAATCAGTATCTGTGACTTGGATCACAGTTCAGCTAGTGTAGAAAACAGGTAGATTGGAAGCAGTGAGAAAGGCCAATTCAGAATATTTATTTCCCTGGTTTCTTCGCTGTGAGGTTACCTTGGGTTGGCAGTGTCCGGACACAGGTACTGCCTCCTCCAGGTGGTCTTCTCTGTGTGACTTTCTGTTCCACATTGTTGTAATCTCTCCCACCCCTTGCCATTTGGATTTAGAAGTACTGCTCCTGCTGTTAGCGCTACTTCCTATATTTACCATGTTTTCCCCTTTCCCCTCATCACTCCATTGTGTTTACTTCCTTTGTATGTAAATGCTCTGTGAATGATTGTCATTGATTTATTGTATTAGTTTTTGATTGGAAGTCTAGCTAGTATATCCCCAACATGTATTATTTGTGATACTGCCTTCTCTCTCTCAAACAATTGCCTGTTTTTGCCTTTGCCCTCATTTTAGGTAAACAGGAGCCTCAGTCGGTGAAATTCTAAAGCACTCTACCCACTTTAGATAGGACAGTGCTGTTTTAGTTTATATTATATATTGAGAGTCTCTGTAAGACTTGATTTGAAATTAGGGTTGAATAATAAAAAAGGTTTGAAAATTAGTGACTACAAGGGAAAAAATCCTAAATTACTTTTAATGGCATTTAAAGGTTCTTTAAAGGTCTGGCATCTGGCGCCTGCCTTAATTTTTTGCCTTGTCCTAACTCTTCTTAGACTTTTAACTTCCAGGGATAACAAATGTTCTCTCCCATGTTAGTGTCTTGACATATGTTATTACAGACATGCATCACCTAGCTAATGCCCACTCTTCGTTTAGTTCTTATTAACCTAACTTTTTTAAAAGGGTGGTTTTCCCCTGTTTCTCCTTTCTGACCTGTTTCCTGTCAGCAAACATGCTATTAGGAGTCTCTGTTAACTATTTTTGTGGCATCCTATACTTTCCCTTCATAGCATTTATTATTTGAATTATATAGCTATTTGTCTGATTGTTCGGTATGTGCCTTCCATAGGAGGTCTATTATGGTCATTGCTCTATTCCCATTGTCTAGCATGCATGCATGCATTTATCCAACAAATAACAGGGAAGGATGTTAGAGTGGAAGGATAATCACATCATCTCTTTGGAGGAGTATGATGCAGAATTTAGGGCCATTAGAATTCTTTACTTCAGTTAATGAAAAATCAGTGTATCTTTTTAGAGAAATTTTATTGGATTGCAAGTTACAGGCATAGGACAAAAGAGCTTTTTATTTTGAACAGTTTGAGAATAACTTGCTGGTATGATGCTCTCATTGCCCCTAAATACTGTAGTGTGTATTTTCTTTTTTCCTTTTTTTTTTTGAGACAAGTTCTGGTCCTATCGCCTAGGCTGGACTGCAGTGGCGTGATCTTGGCTCACCGCAACCTCTGCGTCCCGGGCTCAAGTCATCCTGCCACCTCAGCCTCCTAAGTAGTTGGGACTGCAGGTGCATACCACCACGCCTGGCTAATTTTTGTATTTTTTGTAGAGACAGGGTTTTGCCATATTGCCCAGGCTGGTCTCAAACTTGTGAGCTCAAGTGATCCGCCTGCCTTGGCCTCCAAAGTGCTGGGATTATAGGTATGAGCCACCGTGCCCGGCCACGATGGTGTGTATTTTCTAGAAACAAATACATTTTACTGCATCACCGTATTACGCTCATCAAAGTCGGGTGATTACCACTGATACATTGCTACCATCTAATCAACAAATTCCATTCAAGTATGCCAGTTGTTCCAGTAGTTTCATAGGAAAGGATCCAGTTCAGAAACATTAAATGTCATGTCTCCTTCATCTTCCTCAGTCTGGCACAGTTCCTCAGTCTTCTCTTGACCTCATCTGACCTTGATCCTTTGTTTTTTGAGATGGAGTTTTGCTCTTGTTGCCCAGGCTGGAGTGCAATGGCACAATCTCGGCTCACCGCAGCCTCTGCCTCCTGGGTTCAAGTGATTCTCCCGCCTCAGCCTCCCCAGTAGCTGGGATTGCAGGCGTGTGCCACCATGTCTGGCTAATTTTGTATTTTTAGTAGAGATGGGGTTTCTCCATGTTGGTAAGGCTGGTCTCGAACTCCCGACCTCCCAAAGTGCTGGGATGACAGGCGTCAGCCACTGTGCCTGGCCCCTTGATTTTTTCTTTTTGAGGCAAGGTCCTGGTCTGTCACCCAGGCAGCAGTGTAATGGTCCTGTCATGGCTCGTTGCATCCTCCACCTCCTGGGCTCAAATGATCCTCCTGCCTTATTTTTTTGTTTTATTTTATAGAGATGAGTTCTCACTATGTTTCCCAGGCTGGTCTCAAACTGGAGGGTTCAACCATCCTCCCACCTTGGCCTACCAAAGTACTGGAATTATAGGTGTGAGCCACCGTGCGCGGCTGACCTTGATACTTTGGAAAATTTATAGCCAGTTGTTTTGTAGAATGTGTCTCCGTATGGGTATGTGTAATGCTTCCTTGTGATTAGATTCAGGAGTTTTGTTTTTGTTTTTGAGACACAGTCTCACTCTTTCCCCCAGGCTGGAGTGCAGTGGCGCGATCTTGGCCCACTGCAACCTCTGCCTCCAGGGTTCAAGCGATTCTCCTGCCTCAGCCTCTTGAGTAGCTGTGACTGTAGGCACACGCCACCATGCCCGGCTAATTTTTTGTATTTTTAGTAGAGACGGGGTTTCACCATGTTGGCCAGGCTGGTCTTGAACTCCTGACCTCAGGTGATACACCTAGGTTGGCCTCCCAAAGTGTTGGGATTACAGGCTTGAGCCACTGCGCCCGGCCCGATTCAGGTGATATATTAAGGATGACTTTTTGAAGGCAGTAGTTTCCTATTTAAAAGCTGCTCCCACTGTCTTAATTTTTTTTTTTTTTTTTTTTTACGTTTTTGTGGTTTATATTGTAAAATTGTTTTCCAAGTGTTTTTAGTTTTGTGTCTTTAGAATCTGTGATAATATGGAAATCTAGAGGAAGCCTGTAGAGAACTTGGCATGCCCATCAAGATGTGATGTCCCTAAAAATATTTTGAAAGAGAGCAGCAAAATGTACTGTCAGAGGAATTTTTTTCAATTAATTGGGAATAATTGATTTTGCTATAATTTGTCATTAAGATCATTTCTAATTGAAAAATTCTTTGGGTTTTGAATTGCAAATGGTACTTGAACTTCTAACGCATAAATAAGTATATTTAATTATGGCAGAACTTATTTCTAAAATAGCCTTCTTGGTTAAAACAAATTGTACACATTTCATCTCTCAGTTTTAGCTCTGAAATGATTTGAAAATCCAAACGAAGGCAGTCAGAATCACTGTTCTAAGCCTATTTTTAGATTTTTTCCCCTTCAGTTGGTTTCCTTTCTAGCCACCTGCAGTTTTATGTGCAGTTGCACGTGCTCATTTTTTCTAATTTCCCCCCTCCCCCGAAGCTTGGCAAGCAGCTTCTTTATTGCTTTTGGTTTGTTCTTTTTGAAGAGCACAGTGTAAATTATAAAGCCTTCATTGAGTATTTAAATGTATTTTAAAATATTTTTGAGAAAATGCAGCATAATTATGGAATACAGGACACTCTGCCTCTAAGAATCTTTTCTGATTATAGTTCTCGATATTATATTAATATACTATATATTAATATGCAGAATATATCTTTTTTATTCTTGCAGTTTTTTTCTGTTTTTAAAGATTTGTCTGGATGACAGAGCTTTGGGAGATGGAACTGGAAAAAAGCTAAAAAAATTGCCTCTTCTAAGAAATCATATAACTGGATTCACAAAAATACAGTGATACTTATTTTAATAGGAGTACTATTGAATTTACATTTAATGTAGTTAATGATATATTTGAATTCAAATGAAACAACATCATTTTGTGTTTTCTACTTATGTCATCTGTTCTGTCTCTTTTTTCTCCTTTCTTTCTTTTGGATTAACTTCCTTCGGAGATTTGTTACATGTGTACATGCTGACTCCTGCTTGTGGTGAATTTTTTTCCTTATGTGTTTTGTAAATTTGTGTTGTAAGCTTATTTTAAGATCTCATGTGTTGAGATCTCTGTGCCACTTAAGGGATATACCATTGATAAGCTAAGCTGAAGGTATATTCCCTGTTCTGCTAAGTGTTCTAGGATGCCGTCAGTCCAGGACTATTTATACTTTTTGAACCTGAAAACTTCATGGAAATGTGTATACTTTCTAGAACATTCCCCAACCCCACCTCAGTGTGTGCGCCTTAGTTTCCTATAGTTGCTGTAACAAATCACCGCAAATTTAGTGGCTTATAACATATCTTTATTATCTTACAGTTCTGGAGGTCAGAAGTTTGAAATGGGTTTCACTGAGCTAAAATTAATATGTGGATAGGGCTGTGTTCCTTCTAGAAGCACTAGGGGAGCATCTGTTCCCTTGCCTTTTTTCAGCTTCTAGAGGCCACCTGCACTTTTGGCGCATGACCCCTTCATCCATCTTTAAGTCACCAATGGCCAGTTGAGTCTTTTTCGTATGGCATCACTGATCAGTACTGACCCTCTGGCCTCCCTCTTTGGCTTGTAAGGACCCTCGTGATTTCATTTGATTCACCCCCCCCAATACTGGATAGCACCCCGTCTCAAGATTCTTAATCACATCTGCAAAGTCCCTTTTGCTATATCAGTTCTAACTTCCCACCTTCAGCAAGCCCAAAGGGTATTTTAATTTTGTCCCCATGTGGCATAAAAGTACAAGCTCCTTTGCTAGAGGCCAAAAAGCTACTACAGAGTAGCTGCAGCCTTGTTCATGTTTTCTGCTCTGAATTTTTGTCCTCTCTTTTTCCTAGTCTCCCTGGATTTTCTTTACTCTCTTTAGTTTTGGACTGTGAATTTTAAAAAGATGCTTTCATAGCATCTTTAAATCAAGCATTTTTAGGTAGTTTCTAGTGGGAGAGATTTCAGGTTATCTAATGTGCCATATTGCTCTAGTTGGCATTGCTTATATTAGTAAGGTAATAATGACTTTAACAAGACATAAAGTCTGTTACTTTGTTTTCCTATTATCCTTTAATTTAAAATGCTTTTAATGTCAATCAAAACCCCTCAGTGAATCTCATCTTTGAAAAGTCAGTTAATTGTGATTAAAACTCAGTTTCTTCATATGAACATTCCGTTCTACTCTGATATCGACAAGCCATGCTTTTTTTCTTTAATCTGAACAGCATGTCTTGGTTTACAGCTCTGACCCCACTATTCAGCCAGATCAGGTTTTTCCTACCATGCCTTGCCTTCCTTCTTGACTGTCTGCTGAGATTCTCCCTCATTTTTACATTTTCTGTGTTTCTGCTTATCTCATTTGAGCTAAAGGCATATAGATACTCTTCTGTACCAAGCTGTTATCTTTGGACTTCATTTTACAACTCCCTCCCTTCCTCCCTGTGATAATATGTGAATGTGATTAAAAACCAGTCACATACTACCTAAGGGATTACAATGACAAGCGGAATTCAGTGCAATCCCTTCCTATCCCTAGTCGTGCTTTCTAGAGCACTTATAGAGTGCATATTGTATACCAGGCTTTTTACATAAATGAACACCTATGAATTAATTCATTCTTATAACAACCTCATTTTACAGATGAAGAAATTGATACACAAAGAGCTTAGGCAACTTGTTCAGGATAATACATCTATTAAATGGCATCATTTGAACCAGGCAGTCTGGTTTTAGAATCTACTTGTTATCACTATGCTATACTGTCCTTAGTTTTAGACTAAAAATTACTTTCCTTTAGACTTAAAAAATAAATTTTACTGTGTATATTTGAGGTTTACAACATGACGTTATGGCAGGGGTCCCCAACCCCTGAGCTACTGGCCTGTACTAGTCCGTGGCTTGTCAGGAACCGGGCTGCATAGCAGGAGGTGAGCAGAGGGCCAGCGAACATTACTGCCTCCTGTCAGATTAGCTGTGGCATTAGATTCTCACAGGAGCGCAAACCCTATTGTGAACCTTATGTCCAAGGGACCTAAGTTGCATGCTCCTTATGAGAATCTAATGCCTGATGATCTGAGGTAGAACAGTTTAATCCCAAAACCATTCGCCTGTCTCCCCAGTGCGTGGAAAATTGTCTTCCACAAAACCGGTCCCTGGTGCCAAAAAGGGGACTGCTGTGTTATGGAATACATATAGACAGTAAATTAGTTACTATAGTGAAGCAGATAAACACATCTGTCATTTCACATAGTTACTTTTGTTAAGTGATGAGCACCTAAAATCTACTTATTTAATGAAAATCCTTAATACAGTCATGCTTGCTTAATGACAAGGAAATGTTCTGAGAAATGTATTCCTAGGCCATTTTGTTGTGTGAACATCATAGAGTGTACTTACGCAAACCTAGATAGTACAGCCTACTGTATACCTAGGCCCTATGGTACAGCCTGTTGCTCCTAGGCTACAAACCTGTACAGCATGTTACTGTCCTCAGTCCTGTAGGCAATTGGAACACAGTGGTATTTGTGTATCCAAGCATGTCTAAACATAGAAAAGGTACAATAAAAATACAGTATTATAATCTTATGGAACTATTGTTATTATGTGGTGTGATATATATGTGGTCCATTGTTGACCAAAATGTTATGTGACACATGACTGTACAATACAGTTTTATTAACTGTAGTCCTCGTGTTGTACATGGATCTCTAAACTTATTCTGAATATCTGCTATTTTGTATCTTTTGACCCACAGCTCCCTCTCCTTTCCCCCCAAAATAACCATGGTAACCACTGTTTCATTCTCTATTTCTGTGTATTTGAGCTCTTTTATTTTATTTTTTGAGACTGGGTCTCACTCCGTCACCCAGGCTGGAGTGCAGTGACACAATCATGGCTCATTGCAGCTTAGACCTACGAAGCTTTTGAGCTCTTTTATTTTATTTTTTGAGACTGGGTCTCACTCTGTCACCAGGCTGGAGTTTCTCCGTATTGCCTTGGTTATTTAGGATTTTTGTGGCTCTGTATGGATTTTAGGATTGTTTTTTCTATTTCAGTGGAGGATGCCATTAGAATTTTGATAGGGATTGGGTTAAATCTGTATATTGCTTTGGGTAGTATGGCTGTTTTAACAATATTAATTATTCCTATCTATGAACATGGGATATCTGTCCATTTATTTGTGTCTTCAGTTTCTTTCATCAGTGTATTATAGTTTTCAGTGTACAAATCTTTAACCTTCTCGGTTAAATTTACTCCTAAGTATTTTTTTTTGGATGCTATCATAAATGGAATTGTTTTCTTAATTTCCTTTTCATCTGGGTTATTGTGTGTAGAAATGTTACTGATTTTTGTATGTTGATTTTGTATTCTTTAACTTTACTGAATTCATTAGTTCTAGCAGTGTTTTTATCTTTTCTGTGGGATCTTTGGGGTTTTCTGTATTTAGGAACATGTCATTTGCAAATAGAGATAATTTTACTACTTCCTTTCTGATTTAAATGCCTGTTTATTTCTTTTTCTTGTTTGATGGCTCTTGCTAGTACTTCTAGTACTGTGTTAAATAAATTTTTTTATTTTAGAAGTCAACATATTTTAAAGGAAATAGTTCATTTCTTCTCCCTTCCAATATTGTCATTGAGATGTCTTATGTGTCACTGATTGCAGATCCTTTGTATATTCTTATCTTTTTCTCTCTGGAAACTTTTGGCATATTTAATCTCTACTGTGGTGCTTTGAAATTTCACAGTTATGTAACTTGGTATGGTGTTTTTGGTTTTTTTTTTTTTTTGAGACAGTCTCGCTCTGTCGCCCAGGCTGGAGTGCAGTGGTGCGATCTTGGCTCACTGCAATCTCCGCCTCCTTGGTTCAAGCAATTCTTGTACCTCAGCCTCCCGAGTAGCTGGGATTACAGGCGTGCGCCACCATGCCTGGCTAAGTTTTGTATTTTTAGTGGAGGCAGGATTTCGCCATGTTGGCCAGGCTGGTCTCAAACTCCTGGCCTCAAGCAATCCGCCCAACTCAGCCTCCCAAAGTGCTGGGATTACAGGCATGAGCCACCACTCCTGGCCCTAAGTAACAACTTCTAATGTCTAAGATTGCTAAGATGAGTTGTATTTATTATTGGCTATAAGCTTTTTCTAGTTTCATATCATCAGGTAAACTCAGTTAAAAACTTGAATAAGAACTGGGAAACAATAATAATAATAAAAAGCTAACATATATTGATTTTTCTACATGCCAGACACTGTTGAAAATCCATTCTATATATTGCTTCATTTAATCCTTACAGTAACTGTGTGAAGTTGATAACTGTTTTTTTGCTTGTTTTTACATCTCGTATGTATGGTAAGGAAACTGAGGGCATAGGATGGTTAAGTAACTTACCCATGTGCACACAGTTAGTAAATGGTACAACCACCTATTAAATCCACACAGTTTGGTTCCTGAACTCAACTCTTAGTCATTAGACTGTACTTCCTGACATATGTAGAGAATTTTATTTTACTTATTTTTTATTTATTGAGACATGGTCTTGTTTTGTCACCCAGTTTGGAATGTAGTGGCATGATCACTGTTTACTGCAGCTTCAACCTCCTTAAGCAATTCTCCTGCCTCCTGTGTAGCTGGAACTACAGGCGTGAGCCACCATGCCTGGCTAATGTATTTATTTTTATTATTTTTATTTTTATTTATTTTGGAGACAGGGTTGCTCAGGCTGGAGTACAGTGGCACGATCTTGGCTCAATGCAACCTCTGCATCCTGGGTTCAAGGGATTCTCCTGCCTTAGCCTCTCGAGTAGCTGGGACTACAGGCGCACATGTCATGCCCGGCTAATTTTTATATTTTTTGGTAGAGATGGCGTTTCACCATGTTGGCCAGGCTGGTCTTGAACTCCTGACCTCAAGTGATCCACCCACCTTGGCCTCCCAAAGTGGTGGGATTATAGGCGTGAACCACTGCACCCGGCCCTTGCCTGGCTAATTAAAAACAATTTATTTTTTGTAGACACAGGGTCTCACTATGTTGCCCAGGCTGGAGAATTTTAAATATATCATCTTTTTAAGAAGGGAGAGACACTCATGAAATATTAAAACAAATGTTAGTTGTTAGGTAAGAAGTAGTAGGTTGAAGAATTAAGTTCAAATTCATGACCTGGTGCTTAGAAGATCAACTGTGATCTAATGTTCTATTAAAAGCTCATATTTAGCTTAGATTCTAGTTTGGATAAAAAATGATTATCACTAAATTAGGCAAAAAAGTTTCCTTTTTGAGGTGGGTATGTAATTACCACATAGAGTATTTAGTAGTTTGTCTTATATAATTAAGCAGGCGAGGAGGAGACAGAAAAATGTCATGGGAAGTACTAAAAAATTAGACGTGGGCCAGAATGTTAGTGACAGATTCAGTTTTTCCCAGGCCAAAATATTTCAGAATAATTCTGATCCAAGTGGTTTTTGTTTTTCCACCAGAGTCTGATTTTGCAGCTCATCTTTTCTAAATAGATCTATTTTATGGTGTGTATATGGGTCATTCTGAATCAAGTTAACTTCGAAGTTGATTGGGACCTTGTTTCAAGCTTATTGAACAAAGATCTGTAACACAGAATTTTGGGCATAAGGCCATTTCCAGAGTCTGGTCCAAATAAGCAATAACAGACAAAGATTGTCTCTTTCTTGGCTGAAGGCTTCCTCTGTGCAGCTTGTCTCAGGACTCTCTTCTTCTGCCCTTTTTATACCCCTCTCCTTTCTCTATTCAGGGCAAAAATATTTTGATTTTCATTCTGTAGTTATTTTTTAGCAAACATTTATTGTGTTTTTACTTATGTACAAGGTTCTTTGCTTAAAACCTATAATGCCCTTCCTGTAGTAGCAGTGGCAGTTGTGAGGATGATAGTAGGCCTTCTGAGATGATATTGTAGAAAATCCATGGAACGTTAAGTAGTGTTGCTATGTCATACTTCTTTCCTGCCTGGCTTTCTGTCTTTTGATGATTAAGAAGGATTTTTCTGGAAGATCTTTAAAAGAAGCATATGTGTTATTTTTATTTCCTCCAGAGTGACAAGGGAGAGGAAAAAGAACAAAATGAAAACCTATTTCTATACAGCAGTTTAAAATAATCATATCTTAAAAGATAATTTTAAAATCTTGTCTGCTTATGGAGTTTGTCATTTTATTTCTACATTTTAGAAAATGTTTTCCTCTCTAAATATAATTGCTTTTAGAATATTTTAATGTTTCCTTTAGAACATTTGTTTACCACACAATTAATTTTATTTATTCAATTCCCAATCTACTTATTTTTATAAAAGCCTTGCTTGACCATTTAAAAAGAAGTTTTCAAATTTGGTCTCCTAATTTCCATAATCTTTTCTTCAACTCTTAATTAGAGTAGAGTTCAACTTACTTTTATTCATACTATTTTAGCTTTTCTCTCATCTCGGAGAAGGTGTTGTGTTTTCATGCCTCTTTTCCCTGGCTTATGCTGTCCCCTGTGCTTGGATTTTGACCTTTTTCCCCACTCTCCTTTTTTCTCTTTCACCTGCCAGTTATGGCTGGCAAAAATGAGGTTTCTTTCATGGAGTCTTTTGATGTTGCTTCAGGAATATTAATCATTCTTTTCTGTATGCTATTTGTGTGTAATTAAAGACAAAAATTACACTTATTCAAAAGAATAAATGTAATATATGTTATGCATATATAATAAATCAGACATCTCTGAATCCATCGTTAAAACTAAAAACTAGAAAATGACCAATTCTGTTTCTTTTCTCTGTATACTTCTCACCAACCACAAAAGGGATGTTTATCATTCCCTTGCACTAAACATTTTTTTAAATCGCATGTATGTGTATCACTAAACAATTATTGTTTAATTTTGCTTGTGTTTGGGCTTATAACAATGGATTCATCCTGTATGTAGTCTAGCATGGCTTGCTTTTTTTATTCAGCATTATAATTTCTAAGATTTATCCGTATTACATATACATAGTTCATTCATTAGTAGTTTGTTCATTCTCATTATATAGTGTATAATATTTCAAGTATAAATATGCCATTTATTTGCATTTAAATGTAAAGGATCTGGAATTAGTTTTTTCCTATGGTTTGAGGTAGGGATCCATTTTCAGTGTTTTTTTCTATATGGCAAAATAGTTGCTCTACTCAAATAAAACATTCTTCTTACTGTGCTATCACTGTAAGATACCAAGTTTCCTTATAAGCATGATTTTTTTTCTGAATTCTCTCTTCTGTTGTATTGGTCCATTTATTTAACCCTGTAAGAACCCTACTATCTTCTTTACTATGGCTTCGTATCTCAATAGGCAAGTTACCCTCCTCCCTTCTAGTTTTTCTTTTAGACCATGTCTTAGCCATTCTTTCCCCTTTGCCCTCCCATATAAATTTAGAACCTTTAAAATCTCTGTTGGCATTTTTATTGGAATGCATTGAAGCTGTAGATCAGTTTGGAAAGACTTGGCATCAAGGTAACATGGGATAGAAGGGGGACAATCGGGTGTATGTGTGGTTGTGAGTAGATGGGGGTGTGTTGTATCTGGCTTTGAAGACCATTTAAGTTTTTTTCCAGGTTTTTCTTTCAAACTCCTATCTCACTGTTTCCTTATTTCTTATTTATAACTTGAAGTAAAATATAATTGGATAGGGGAGAGAGCTTTTAGGGTTTTATTCAGGGTGTTCTAGTAATTTTTACTTTGAATATTTCTCTTGATTATGTTATGTTCCATATTGCCTTTAGTCTCTCTCACAACTCTTGATATGATTTTTGCTTGTCATAATGAGTCTGCCAAAAGAGTTTTCCACTTGTATTATATTCGCTCTGTTTTTTTTTTTTTTTTTTTTTTTGAGACGGAATCTTACTCTTACCTGGGCTGTAGTGCAGTGGTGTGATTGTGGCTCACTGCAGCCTTGACCTCTTGGGCTCAGGTGATCCTCCCACCTCAGACTCCTGAGTAGCTGGGACTGCAAGTGTGTGCCACCATGCCCAGCAAATTTTTTTGCATTTTTTGTAGAGATGGGGTTTCACCATGTTGCCTAGGCTAGTCTCGAATTCCTGGACTCAAATGATCCATCCTCCTTGGCCTCCCAAAGGGCTGGGATTATAGGTGTGAGTCACTGAGCACAGCCAGTATTAGCTCTGTATTATGCCTCTTGCATTACCCAAATTCAGAGGCCTTGTTTGCTTTTATTGGACTAACTAGAACTATGTCATTTTTACCAGCCCATTGCAGTACAGTTTCATTTTATGTGATAAAAATACAACATAAGTGGTCACTTCTGCAGCACGTACACTAAAATTGGAACAATACAGAGAGGATTAGCATGGCCCCTGTGCAAGGATGACATGCAAATTCATGAAGTGTTCCACATTTTTCTGACAAAGGTCTAATATCCAGCTTCTATAAGGAACTTAAAAGAAAAAAAAACAACCCCATTAAAAAGTGGGCAAAGGACTTGAACAGAGAACAGACACTTCTCAGAAGACATACATGTGCGGCCAACAATCATTTGAAAAAAAATTCAACATCACTGACCATTAAAGAAATGCAAATAAAAACCACAATGAGCTACCATCTCATACCAGTCAGAATGGCTATTATTAAAAATTCAAAAAAATAACAGATGCTGGCGAGGTTGTGGAGAAAAAGGAATGCTTTTACACTGCTGGTGGGAATGTAAATTAGTTCAACCATTGTGGAAGACAGTGTGGTGAATCCTCAAAGACCTAGAGACAGAAATACCATTTGACCCAGCAATCCCATTACTGGGTGTATACCCAAAGGAATATAAATTATTCTGTTATAAAGACACATGCACATGTATGTTCACTGTAGCACTATTCACAATAGCAAAGACGGAATCAATCTAAATGTCCCATCAGTGATAGACTGGATAAAGAAAATGTGTGGTACGTATACACCATGGAATACTATGCAGCCATCAAAAAAGAATGAGATCATGTCTTTTGCAGGGACATGGATGGAGCTGGAGGCCATTATCCTTAGCAAAGTAATGCAGGAACAGAAAACCAAATACTGCATGTTCTCACTTATATGTAGGAGCTAAATGATGAGAACATATGGACACATAGAGGGGAACAGTGCACACTGGGGCCTACTGGAGGGTGAAAGGTGGGAAGAGGGAGAGGACCAGGAAAAACCTAATGGATACTAGGCTTAATACCTGGGGGATGAAATAATCTGTACAACAAACACCCATGACACATGTTTACTTATGCAACAAACTAACACATCTTACATATGTACCCCTGAACTTAAAAGTTAAAAAAAACATAAAATATTAATAAAATACAGAAAATCCCTTTTAAAATGTGAAGATTTCCTTCACATTAAAAATTTTGTGAACCACTGCGTAATTTCAAAACTGAAAAGGGGATTAAACAGTTTCTTTTATTGTCATTTGATGTTTAGTCAGGAAACGGAAACACCATCATTTGTTATACGTCTTGAATTTTGTGAGCTTTGAATTATATAAAACATATGTAATTCAAATGTGTGTATGTATTCATGCTTTAAAAGGTGATTCCCCCTGTACATGTTCATTTTTTTGGTTACTTCCAAATTTGTTCCATGTATATTCTATTTTGATTTTGTCTCTTCTCCTTCAGGTGCTGATGCATCAAGCATGGTCTTCATTTATTGACAACTTGTCTTTGGGTTTTTATCTTTTCTCTAGTTAGTACTTTTGATACCCCTACCTCTAAGATCCACTTTCTTTTTTCTTTTTCCTTTTCCCTGGTGTCCTGGTGCTTGAGGATAGAACTGGCAGACGGGAAGCTGCATGGCTCCAAAGACATGCCAAGGGGGCCAGAGCTCTTCCCTTTGCCTCTGTACATAACAGGGAGTGGGACTACAAGTTCCTGCCAAGAAAATGAGGATCCACTTTTTTTTTTTTCTCAAATGAATTTTAGCATTTGTTTACGTTGGAATCAGTTGAGTTTTCAAACTGCTGGTATCTTTTTTTTTTTTTTTTTTTTTTTTGAGACGGAGTCTCGCTCTGTTGCCCAGGCTGGAGTGCAGTGGCGTGATCTTGGCTCACTGCAAGCTCTGCCTCCCAGGTTCATGCCATTCTCCTGCCTCAGCCTCCCGAGTAGCTGGGACTACAGGCGTCCGCCAACCACGCCCAGCTAATTTTTTGTATTTTTAGTAGAGACGGGGTTTCACTGTGTTAGCCAGGATAGTCTCGATCTCCTGACCTCGTGATCCGCCCACCTCGGCGTCCCAAAGTGCTGGGATTACAGGCGTGAGCCACTGCACCCGGCCTCAAACTGCTGGTATCTTAATGTTTATTAGACTGGCTTTGAGGAGTTCTTAAAAATTGTATTGCCAGTGGCAAAACTGGAGATTTGAACCTAAATCACATTCATCATATTTCAAATACATAATGTGTTACATTCATGTTTTCATATTAATATTTTAGAAATGCTTTATCTTAATTGCAGAGTTGTAGATTGGGTAGTTTGATAAATAAGATTCAGATTTATTATTTTTTAGTACTTTTTTGTATCAAGCAATGTTAGAGTTTCTAATATGCTATTCCCATTTTATATAAGCTGTGTTAGTCCGTTTTCACATTGCTGATAAAGACATACCTGAAACTGGGAAGAAAAAGAGGTTCAGTTGGGCTTATAGTTCCACATGGCTGGGGAGGCCTAAGAATCATGCCGGGAGGCAAAATGCCCTTCTTACACGACGGCAGCAAGAGAAAATGAGAAGGATGCAAAAGTGGAAACCCCTGATTAAACCATCAGATCTCGTGAGACTTATTCACTACCACGAGAACAGTATGAGGGAAACCGACCCCGTGATTAAAATTATCTCCCACTATGTCCCTCCCACAACACGTGAGAATTATGGGAGTACAATTCAAGATGAGATTTGGGTGGGGACACAGAGCCAAACCTTATCATAAGCAAAATGAAATTTTAGTTAATTAAAACTTGCATAAAATGTTATATCCAATAAGCAAAAGAGTTAGTATTCAAACATAATTTTCTAATTTCAAGATTGCACGCTTTTTTTTTTTTTTTAACCAGTGGGTCTAAGGATTGCTATAGGGTACTCTCCTGGGCCATCTAGTTCTTCTCAACTGGGGTTACTCTGATTTTGACTCTCATATATTAAGACTAAAAGCTTATTGTTTTTTAATGTCAGACTGCTGCTTTTGCTATGTAAAGTTGAAGAAAAATGTATGAAAGTAAGGAAATTCAAGTATGAGAAAGAATTAGTCTCGCTGAAAAAGCTAACTCTCGCTTGGTGAACATATGCATGCTGTTGTTATACAAATGTTCCAAACCTGTTCCCTTTTTTTTGCTCACCCTGCCATATGGAGGGTTGTGCTTTGCTGGACATGTTGTGTTTTGGACTTCTATGATTCAGAATTGAGAGAATGGAGAGGGAGTAGACCAGAGTAGAATTTTTCAAGTAATTTGAAATCGTGTCCTGAATAATTCTGCAGTGTGTGAGTGAAGTAGGAAGGGTGAAAAAAGGATGATTTTAAGGAGGAGAGTTGTGGATTCCATGATGTTTGAGAAAAATAGGGAAAGAACAAGACATTTTGAATTAATTTTTCCCTTGAGGACTGGGGACCATGTGGGATGCTCTTTTAATAGGGTTTAAACAGGTGAGATGTACACATTTTTCATTTTGTTTTCTCAAGTTTACTTCTTTTGTAAAGATCTCCATGGTTACACCATAGAGAGCAGACTGGAAAAAGGCCAGACTGGGTACAAGTGGACCAATTAGAAGACTGTTGCAATAGCCAAGGTGAGAGATGATAGTAGATTGAGTAGGATTAAAGTGTTAGAAACAGATTTCTGGTATTTAAAGGTAGATGTGACAGGATTTAGTAAAATTAAACATGAAGTAAATGCTAGATGTCTGACTTACATAAACCAATAGAGAATTGAAGTAGGAGCATTGAAATAGGATTGAGGAGCCTGTGTGTTTGATTTTGAACACGTTCACTTTAAGGTACCATTGAAATATCTGAGAGAATGTCAGTTTTATACACGAACCTATAGCTTAGAGGAGGGTTCTTGAATAGATAAAGAAAAGTTTGTGTGTATATATGGTAATTTAAGCCTGAATGTGGATGAGTTTGCCGAGGGGTCATAAAGAGGAAAATGAACTGGGAGACACTGTCTGTAACGTGACCTTAGAAAGGAGACAGAGAATGAGTGTTCGGGAGAGTTAGAAACAAACCTAGGTAAATACTGGTCCATCTTTTCCAACTCCCATTGAAATCTCAATATTTTCCCTTCTATGGAGTTAGGGATTCCTCAACTTAATTCTGTGCTGAGCAGAACTGAGCTAAAATTTGTACTAGTGCTGGACCTATTAGAAAAGGGAGGAGTTTAAAAGATGTGTAGAGAGGCGGGGCATGGTGGCTCATGCCTGTAATCCCAGCACTTTAGGAGGCCGAGGCGGGCAAATCACTTGAAGTCAAGTCAGGAGTTTGAGACCAGCCTGGCCAACATGGTGAAGCCCCGTCTCTACAAAACATACAAAAATAAGCCGGGTGTGGGGGCACATGCCTGTAGTCCCAGCTACTCGGGAGTCATGAGACATGAGAATCGCTTGAACCTGGGAGGCAGAGGGCGCAGTGAGCCGAGATCGCACCACTGAACTCCAGCCTAGGCGACAGAGCAAGACCCTGTCAAAAAAAAAAAAAGTGTAGAGAGGCATTCTACAAAAATGGGGCTCTTTACGTTTTGTAACATCAATGAATCAATGATTGTATCAGATAATCCTCAGAATTACTTGGGGATGGGGGTGGTCAGAATATGTGAATTGTTTCACTATAAAAACAGTTTTTTCAAGAATTGTGAAGAGTCAGATTTTGCCCTCCATGCAAGCTAAAATCTTTCCTAGATGCTGGTAGAAGACAGAAGACTTCTGGACCAGAGACATAGGACTTTATTACTGATGAGAATAACTGGAGGCAGAGTGTTAGCATTTGTGCCAGTTTGCCAAGCCCACTGCTCCACAGAGGAAGGTGAAAGGGGCCGAGTGATGGCATGTGGTGATGCCTCTCCTGTAATGCACTGCACTCTGTTACAGGAGAGGGACCACCAGTTTAGGGAACCCAAACTTTGATAATAGGTAGTAAGCCTTGTAAGCCTACCTGAACTTCACCCTGGAGGGAGATGACTTTTTTTTTTTTTTCCCAGACAGAGTCTGACTCTGTCGCCCAGGCTAGAGTGCAGTGGCTTGATCTTGGTTCACTGCAACCTCCATCTCCTGGGTTCAAGCGATTCTCATGCCTCAGCACCCCCGCAAGTAACTGAGACTACAGGCATGTGCCACCGTGCCCGGCTAATTTTTGTATTTCTAGTAAAGACGGAATTTCACCATGTTGGCCAGGCTGGTCTCTAACTCCTGACCTCAGGTGATCTGCCCTACTCGGCCTCCCAAAGTGCTGGGATTACAGGCATGAGCCACCACACCCAACTGGAGATGATATCTTTATTGTACTAGACAGCAAACAAACCTGCCTTTTACTCCTGAGGGAGACACTGTTTCTTGATCCCTCAAGACCATTCCTTATATAATACAAACATATGTAGCAAGTTGGTATGGAACAAAATGAGTCAGTCCCTCTACTCACAACAGGTACAGAAACATGAAAGACTCAAGTATAATTGCCTTCCAACAGTATTCACCCTTCATTTCTATACCTTCTTGGCTTCTGGTAAGATTTCTTTCCCATGATTATGCAACTTCATTTGTCACTCTGATTAATCTTACCGACAGAGGCTGGGACCAGATCCATTCAGTTTTTCTTATAACACATTTCATTACAGTTACTGTCAACAGGATAGCAGGATGAGGCCAGACTGCAATATTGACTTCAATTATGCTCCCCAGGGTCCAAGACCCAGCCAACAGAACAAATGCAATAAACCTTTAGGGTCTACCTAAGAGAGCCAGGTGGCTTTCTCTTTGTTTCTGTGCTGACTTTACTCTTGGCCCAAGGCATTAATCTAGTTACTGCAGAATATAGAGCACAGATTTGGCCTTGGTCTACAAAGAGGAAGCGTAGGGCTATTCTTCTATCTGTAACAATCCTGGATAGTGATTTTAGACCGTCCTGAATGCCTCTAGGCCCAAGGTGATGTCATTGATTGCTTCAGCTAAAGTCGGGAACAAATTTCAAATAAAGTTTTCTAATTGGATGACTCCCATTATAGTGATTTTTCCCTTGGTGTGCAAGTCATCACATTTTCTGAAGGGAGGCAATGCCCGACTTCCAAACAAGAAATACTCCCAAGGACTGTGTGTGCCTATAAAGAATGTGTTGTTTATATTGTCCTACTTCTCCCCGCTCCCCCCATTCCCCCCCACCTCCCCAGTTATGTGGGACCTACTTTTAAGTCAGACGGCACAGGCTGACAGTTTCTCCAATGTGGCCTCCCTGATGGCTGGTAAGCCTTAGGGTTCCAAGTACAGTATGAATACTTCTCTAGTACTGGTTTGTGGAGAGATGGCCTGAAGGCAGTCAGTCCAATCTGTCCTGTTTATTATCTGTGCCACCAACTCAATGGCATTCATCTGTCCCTTGAAATGACTGTCCCTTGAAAAGATGCCTAAAGTTATGGACAGGTGTTTCACGTGGGAGATTTGGGAGCTTGGACCATCCTCTGCTGCTTCTGAGAGACTGTGCAGTTAAGGAGAATGATGATTGAGTAGTGATCAAAGTTGTGTGGTGGGGTAGGGGCAGACCCAGTTGTCAGTTAAATTTGAGGTTTTGCACATTTGCAGAGAAATGTCCTTTGTGAGGGATGATTCTAAAAGACGGATCACTAATGTCCCCCCTTTTTCCTTACTTCCCCGCATCTAAGGTGTTTTCCCCACAGGTGCCAGACAGGGTTGTTGTACCCCTTTGACTGCCACAAAATCAGTGTGTCCCATTCCAGTAGCTAGCTTTACCTTTTTTCCAGTCATCTCTGACTCAAACCCAGACCTTTTGTCTGGAAGGGCCAGGTGCAAGAGTGACAAAGGGCCCTTTTATTAAACTTACAGAGACCCTTTTATGTCTCCTACTTTTGTCCACATGAGCCACTCTAGGGGAAGCAGTGTACTTAACTAAGTGGTCATTATTATTTAAGACCAAAGAAATCCAGCAAGAAAATCCAGATCGTCAATTCCAGGTGGCTGAACCTGAATTAAGTTTATACCAAAGACCTCCTTTTGGCTGGGTTGCCACCCAGAGAGTAGACCAATCAAGCCAGCCTGGGATTTCCATTAGAGGAAAGAAAGAAGCATCATGTTTAGGAATGGTCAGGGTGGAATCCCAAGTGGCCAGGAGATGTTCTCTTCCTGGAGACAGCCACATTCAGTGACCAAACTGCTGTACTCCTGTGTAGACCAGGAGGAGGTGACAGAGGTATACTCAGAAATCTTTTGAGTTGATTAAAATTTTTTTTAAAATTGTGGCAAAATACATATATGATCACCATCTTAACCATTTTAAGTGTGCAGTTCAGTGGTGTTAAGTATAGTTACAATGTTGAGCAACCAATAATCTCTAGGACTCTTTTTATCTTGTAGAAATTAAACCCTATACCCATTAAACAAGTGTCCTTTGAGCTTTCCTCCCCCAGGCAAACACTATCTCCATTTTCTGTCTTTATGAATTTGACTGCTCTAGTACCTCATATAAATGGAATCATACAATATTTGTCTTTTTGTGACTGGCGTATTTCACTCAATAATGTCCTCAAGGTTCATCCATATTGTAGCATGTGTCAGAAGTTCCTTCATTGTTAAGTCTAAATACTATTCTATTGTATGTATATATCACATTTTGTGCATCCATTGATCTGTTGATGGATTGTTGGGTTACTTTCATCTTTTGGCTGTTGTGAATAAAGCTGCTAGGTGACCCTGCTTTGAATTCTTTTGAGTATATACCTATAATTGGAATTGCTGGTTATGTGCTAATTCTGTTTTTAATTTTGTGAGGAATCACTATACTATGTTTCAGAGTGACTGCAAGTGCACAAGGGCTCCAGTTTCTCCACATCCTGATTTTTTTGATAGTAACCATCATTATGGATGTGAGGTTGTGTCACATTGTGGTTTTGATTTGCATTGCCCTAATGATAAGTGGTATTGAGTGTCTTTTCATGTGCTTATTGGCCATTTGCCTGTCTTTTTTTTTTTTTTTTGAGACAGAGTCTCACTCTGTCGCCAGGCTGGAGTGCAGTGGCATAATCTCAGCTCACTGCAGCCTCTGACTCCCTGGTTCAAGCGTTTCTCCTGCCTCAGCCTCCCGAGTAGCTGGGACTACAGGCACACACCACCATGCCCAGCTAATGTTTGTATTTTTGGTAGAGATGGGGTTTCACCATGTTGGCCAGGATGGTCTCCATCTCCTGACCTTGTGATCTGCCCGCCTCGGCCTCCCAAAGTGTTGGGATTACAGGCGTGAGCCACTGTGCCTGGCCTCTATTTGCCTGTCTTCTTTGGAGAAATGTCTAGTCAAGTCTTTTGCCCATTTTTGAGTCGGGTTTTTTTTTTTGTTGTTGTTGAGGTTTTTTGAGCTGATTTTTGATAAGGCTGTTGCAGTACTAAGCGATATAAGATGCTGTGGATGGTAGACTGTCACCTACCTTGACTAACAGCTCATTGTTGAGTGACTTTTGTGATAAAAGGTGTACCTATTGTCAGATTGCAAATGATGTGGAAAGTAAAAATAGGACACAGATTAGTGTCAAGGACCACGGTACTGTGGCTGGAGTCAGCTGATTGAACTGGAATAGCAGTACCAGACCCTGGAAAAGTGTCATCAGCAGTGAGACCCCACTGATAGCCTGAAGAAGGTTGTCTGATGCAACCAATCTGCCAGTAGCATGTGATGTGGTTCCTCTCACCATGAGACAAATGAGTCCTTTTCCAGGACTCATAAGTCTAGGATGAGGTGGCAGCCTCTGCATCAGGAACATAGAGTCTTTTACTTTGTATCCACTCTATGATGATAGATATGTTGCTGTGTCTGGTATGATGATGGATCCAGCAGCAGTGGTAGCAGTCTTAACCGTGCAGCTTGATCAGTGGCTTGATTATAATTGGTCTCATCAGACAATGGACCCTTACTGTAAACATCTATATTAGTGACCCAGATGGTTTGATCAGCAACTACAATTGATCTCCATGGTTTTTGGACAGTCTTAAATATGTCATTCTGTAGTTTTCCAAGTGGCTGACTAAATACCTAGGCAGTTGGTAATAGCCTGATAGTCAGTAAAAATATAACAAGGTTTTCAAGGGGAATATTGGCCAGATCTGTGAGAATGTCCTTGAGTTTTGCCCGTGGAACAAAGCAACCACACCCATTTTCAGTTCTGTATCATGGGCACTGGAGTTTACAGCCCACTAGGCACCACAGCGTCTCAGCTTAGTTGAATCATCAGTGAAACAGGCCCAGGCATTTAGGGAACCTCTGTGAATCAAGGGCCTCACTGAGCTAGCAGATTTGGTTTAGGTGGCAGAATGTAAGATCAGACTTTCTCAAAGGGAGAAGCTGCTGCTTTTTCATGTAAAGCTGAGATGCCCTAGGGGCCAGACTGGCTGCATTCTTGAATATTACCAGTTCCATGTGATGACAGAGGCTTGTTGGGCCTTTCCCACCTTATTAGTCATTGCATTTGAGTTGACTCATTCCCAAATGGGAATCTTTTCAAAAGAGGCATACCTAGTAGCTACGTCAGGGAGGCATTGAATCCAAACCCAAGAGTCACCTGAAGAGGTTGTTCCTCTTGCCAGAGGGTCTAGTCAGGAAAGTCATCTGTGCACAGACTTGTACTCAAACAGGTCATAAGGATTGTGGGGCCCCAAACCTACTAATGCCTTTCTACATGGGCTATTCGCAGTGAGCATAATCTCCCTGGAGCTTATGAGCCCTCACAGTTCAGGCCTGTAAAATATCAATACCACTATACACTCAGAAGTGGAAGCTACAAACAGTAGTACATTGAATGGTCCAAAGAGCCCCACCCAAAAGGTCACAGTAGCTTCCCTTCCCTACTTTGAACCCTACCCAGACCTCAGCAGTTGGAAGCTGGTAACTTATTCTTCCACAGGATGGGTATGAAGGTGCCTTGGGCTCCTGTATCCAACAGAGCCATAAAATGTTGAGTCTGTGCTCTCCCCAAAGTTATGTAGCCTACCCAGGTGTGTGTGGTCTTTAGTCTCCTTTGGGAACTTGGAGAACTTGGCCCCACTCCTAATCATCTTTCTTCATAAAGCAGCTGAGGTTGAGGGATGAGGGAGGCTGGGAGAGAGTAGCTTTGCACCAGTGAACAAGAGACATTTGCTTTCAGTTTTGAGTGGTGCTATAGCTGTGTGCTGATCAGTCCAATAAACCTGCAGTAATTTTGGTGCTACCAAAACCCTGTATTCTGTGCAAGATCGTTATTGCTTGAGCCCAGGAGTTCGAGACCAGCCTGGGCAACATCGTGAGACCTCGTCTCTACTAAATATTATATTTAAAAAATTAGCCTGGCATGGTGGGATACACCTGTTATCCCAGCTGCTCAGGAGGCTGAGGTCAGAGGATTGCTTGAGTGCAAGAATTTGAAGATTGCAGTGAGCCGTGATTGTTCCACTGCACTCCAGCCTGGGTGACAGAGCGAGACCTTGTCTTACACACACACAAAAGGTCATCATTATGGATGGTATCCATTTCTGTTTGGGAACACCTTGATCGAACAACTATAGCTTTGTTGCTTTCTGATGGGGGAAATGGGTTTTATACCCTTTGGCTGACGGGCTTGATCTGCACAATGGCATCATTTTTTAGAAGTCTGCCTTAATGTAGGCTCTTTACTGCTCCATTGTTAAGATAATGTCAAGATTATATCTCTTAAATTCTTGCTTGATTTCAATACTAGGGCTACTGGAGTTTTCTAAGGCTGCAGGACTGACAGCAAGAATTATCTAGATTCTTTGAGCTAGTTTCTGATTCTTCAGTGAATTACCTTGATCCGCATTTTAAACCCAATCTAGTACAGTAGGAGTCTGTAGACTGGTTGGTGTCCAAGGGAGTTTGTCTCAGGGAAATTTCCCTGAGAGTTTCAAAGGTTTCTTGTAGTGGACGGTTATACCACCAGAAAATGCTGAGGCCCTTTCCAGTTATCTTGAAAGGATTTAATGTTGACAAGGTAGACTGCGGTAGGAGCTGAGCACTAAGATAGCCAGCAAAATGCCATTCTTCTTTAACAACCATTACATGCCTGAGCAATGTAACTACATGCCCCTCCTCTTCCAAGCAAACTAGCCAAAGTTCTAAAGATTTGTTTGGCTCTGCCTACAATGGTTGCACCTTTTCTTACTTTCAAACTCAGTGTAGATGTATGTCTCTGTAACTGTCGTCCAAAGGAAACAGAACCTTATGTGCCCCTGTCTCCCTCTTCTAGACAAATCTTAGTCTGGAAGATTTCATGAAGCAGACCTGCTGAGGCTGACTGTCAGCTTGATAAGGAAGTCCTCCTATCTGCAGGAGTGTTGACAATAACCAAGGCATCATTCAGGCTGTTGTCTTTGAATCTGCCTACTTCCTGGTACTTATCCTGAAACTTCCTCTTCATTTCAGCCTCATTCACAGGCACTAAAGTGGAGGATCATTCATTGCCTGGTTGACCATACAATTTGGACAACATGTTGGTTAATGATTCTCGTGGACTTTTCTCAATTTCTACTAACTGGTCTTTCCTTCCATTTCTAGAAAGTTTTGTCCCCATCAGCATTCTTTTTCATTGCCAAAACTATAGAAAATTATGATGGTCCTGAGATTTATCCTTGTTAACTAATGAGTTAGCCTACCACAATTTCATGGGTTCTGTTGGAAGACATGAGACTCCTGGGTCAGAGACAAAGGACATCATTACTCATGGCAATAGTAGTAGCCAGAGTGTCGGCATTTGTGCTAGAAAACAGCCCCAGTTTCCATAGGGTACTGCAAAGAGCCAGGTGATGCCTGCATACACAGTTGTGTACATTAGAGAAAAAGTATTCTCAACTTAGGGGACCACATCTTTTATAATGGGCAGAAAACCTTTCTCCTGGAGGTCTACATTAACTTTATTATATTGGACAGTAAGCAAATCTGCCTTTGCTTTCTAAGGAGATGCTATATTTTCTAAGGCTGTTTACTCTATAAACATCCAGAACAAAGGGAGTTAGTGCATCTTCTCACAAGATGTACAGAAATGATAGATACTCATGGAGAGGTGTCTTTATCTACTTGGTTTGGAATTGGGATAGCATTTTTGATTAGAAGTTCTTTCTCGATTAAAAAGTTCTGATGAAATAAGATAGAATCATAATAGATCTGATTCAAGCGTAACATTGAGCTGTTCTTTTCCATGGGAGTACCTTTTTTTTTTTTTTTCTTTTTCCTACTTCAGTTCATATCCTGGCCTCGTCTCACCTAGACTGCCACAATTGCCCCTTAATTGGTTTCACTCTCTGCAGTCTTGTTCTTTCTGTCTTCAATACCTCTGCTAGTGGGATCTTCTTAAAATGCAGAGGTGATCATGTCACTCAATTTAAATTTGTCATCAGTTCCTTATTAAGCCAGATTTTAAGTTGTTGAGCAGTTGTATAATTATTTCTCATGTGCTGGTTACTATCCAGTTTTAAGTTGGCAACTAAATTAAAAAAATATTTTTAAAAAGTCTTGTAGACCAGTCCTAGGTAGGCTCTACCAAACAGGTGTCTAGGCTGCTTGCTGACAGTTTATATCTGCTCTTACCATTTTTCTCTCTTAAACCTTTGTCTGCAGGATGTTATTCTCTCTGCCTTTAATATTTTTCATATCTACCTCTTGACTCCTGTTTATCCTTTGTACAGAGTAGGTACAGAGTAGGTACCTACTCTGTAAAGCCATTAAATGAACCCTTTTCAACCTAGTTAGTTGTCTTGTTCTCAGCACCTTTATAGTAATTTTGAATGAACTGTGCATATGTCATTATAGCACTTGCCTCATTGTGTTGTAATTACTTTTTTGGGGGGTGTGTGGGGAGGTTCTGCATCACACTGAATAAATAAAGTGTCAGCTACTCATACCAGGACAACTTTCCCTTTCTACACATACCAAATCTCTCTCTTTTTTTTGAGACAGGGTCTCCCTCTGTTGCCCAGGCTGGAGTGCAGTGGCATAATTACAGCTCACTGCAGCCTCGACCTCCCCGGTTGAAGCAATCCTCTCACTTCATGTCCCCAGTAGCTGGGACCACAGGCACATGCCACCATGCCTGGCTGTTTTGTACTTTTTGTAGAGACAGGGTTTTGCCATGTTGCCCAGGCTGATCTTGAACTCCTGAACTCAAGCAATCCACCTGTCTTGGCCTAAAGTGCTGATATTACAGGCATGAGCCACCATGCCCGGCCCACATACCAAATTGTTAGGAAAGAAAACTGCTTTCCAGAGAATTGTTTTAGAATCAAATCCATTACATTAGTTGGTGCTTTAAACCACCACTAAATATTCTCTGCTTTTAGCCTAGTATAATTTAATAGTATTCACTGGAAAATAGACATATGGTGTACAGCCCTGTGGTCTGTCCTAAATATGGTCCAGTGTATATGGATAGCAAACATATTATGTCAAATAATATTTTCTTGTTTTGTTCAAATTAAAATATAGACTGTGGATATTCATAAGGAGAAAGTGGCACGAAGAGAGATTGGTATTTTGACAACAAATAAGAATACATCAAGAACTCACAAAATAATAGCACCTGCGAATATGGAGCGCCCTGTAAGGTATATTCGGAAACCTATCGATTACACAGTTCTGGATGATGTGGGCCATGGTGTCAAGGTAAGCATTTTATATTACATTAACAAGCTAATTTGCATATCCAGTAAATATTTTGGATAGGAAATATTGTCATAAAGATGATTTTAATAGATTCTCTTTAGCAGCTGGCATTATAATTTTCATACAATATTTAATATGAATTTTACTAAGGTTGGGGTGCAATTTTATCAGTTGAATAGGCTGTATTAAAAAGATATTAAAATTAGAAATGGTTATTAAGCCATAAATCCTAGACAAATATTACCCATTTGTGTTGTGAATTCTATGTCTTTCTTTCACTACTGAACATTTAAAAATAAAAGTCTACATGCTTTTCAAAATTACTTTAGAAAATAATTTATAAATACTTTTATCGTTTCATTTCTAAATATGTATATATATTTGTATACCTGTGTGTGTATCTATAATGCCAGCAACTTATTAAAAAATGAAAATTGTATGTAATTTTGTCTTAATGCCCCCCAATCTCCCCCACAAAAAAACCCCCAACAGATTTTCAGGAGAGATATGATGTGTTGCCTGTGTTCATTTCTAAGCATGGGAAATTAGCTGATCTTGAAGGATACCTGTAGTGTGTCAGCTTTTTGGTATTTATGGGTCATTTTGCAAGCATTTGGAATGACCAAAATTCTTTCGCTGTCTCTGCTCAGGATAAACTATTCCTTTGAAATTTGGTAGTTCCTTTCCAAGAGGACTATTTGATTTGGATTCTGGTCTTCAGAATATTTTATAAGTTTTTAAGGGGTCAGCTAGAATCTTGAAGCTTGTCCTAGCTGATTGATCTGACTGGTGCTGTTGCTAGATCTGTTACATTCTGGATTTTCTGGGGTTCCTGGTCGAGAGAGGAGTATAGCTGACAGCATTGACCTTTATTCTGCCCCTCTCTGAGACTATTGGAATCTCCTCTTCACTTTTTATGTCTGGAAATTGTATGTAAAATTGGAACACATTGCAAATGCAGAGGTGACTGCTTGTTTATTTCTTGTGTTTTTATCCAGGGATGTGGCTAGGATTGTATAAGAGCTGAAATTCAGTTTTAATTCAAGGTGCTTTAAACTAGACTGATCTCTGGGATTGGAGTTTCGAGAATCTGGGGAAAATGTCTTTTGTGTTACTATCCACCTTGGGATTTAAAGAAAAAGGATATATTCATGCATGCATGTATGTATACATACATACCTGTATATGTGCACACACATACTTGCACACGCACACACTCGCACTCACTTCTCCCCATTTTGCCTCACCTTGATTATTCTTCCTACCAAAGCAATACATATTTATTAAAAATTTTTTCTGTCATTGTCTTAGTAGTGAATATCCTCCATTACCTTATCCCTCAACGAGTAATTGTGTTTAACATTTCAAAACATAGTACTTAGCTGAGTATAAGATGAATCCAAATTTTACAAGGAAGTTTTGGGTGAGAAAATTTAACTATTTCATCGTATATGTGTAAGTGGGAGGTGTAAACAGCATAATATATGCTGAAAGTATATGAATGTGAATTTTGGAAATCTGCTTTCTAGCCATAATATGGATACATTAGACACAGGGTTGGGGGGCTTGGTTTTTTTTTTAGATTTTTTTATTGTGGTGAGATACACATAACATAAAATGACTAACTCTTTTTAGGTGTATAGTTCTGTGACATTAAGTACATTCACATTGTTGTGCAGGCTATTTTAAAATATATTTTTGGCGAGGGATGAAGGTGCATGGTCTGTGAGAAGAATATATTTTAGAAGCTGATTATTTGGCATATTTGTCTATAGTTTGTTTCTGTGACTGAAAAATACACACATACATACAATTACTTTTCCCCAGTAGTCTTAATGCTGCTTTATTTTCTTAGTTTTGTGTTCTCTCTAAAGGATCATTGTTGGCTTAAATATTTCCAGAGCATTGTAGAGATGTGTAAAGGTAGAAATTTTGGTAGTAGTTAATGAACACATGCCAGGCCAAAATTATTAGAAGGAAAAGTTTAAGTTTATTTTAAAATTAGTGTTTTGAGGATAGTGAGACATTGCTTACAGCTTTCGAATTATTTTTGTATCTTTTGCCCACTTTTCTATTTAGAAGTTTCTTTTCTTACTGACTTGTAAGAATCCTTTGTTTTCTGTTTGAAGAGAGTAGACCCTCATATATTGGCAAATATTTACTCATATTGCTGTTTGGCTTTTGACTTTGATGTTTTCTGGTATTTAAGAAATAAACATACAGAATTTTAAAAATTATATCTAAATATATTAATATTTTTCTTATCGCTACTAGGCTTCATGCTTACGATTGCCATACTCCAAGATTAATATTCCATTGCATTTTCTTATTTTGTGATGTAAATTTTAGTGTTTTGGTATTTGTATTTAAATATATCTGGGTTTTATTTAAATAGTATTTACTGTGTTAATGCATTTTATGCTATGAAATAAACGGTACATGTTAGTTTAATAGGAATTTAAAAATATGCAAAATATCCCAAAGTAAATCTGGTTCGATTTTTGGGAATAATAATAAGATATGTATAAGAGAATCCCAGCATAGAGAAACTACCAGAACCTATTCATAAAGGAGAATGAAAAGAAGATGATCTTTGTAAGTGAGCACAAGGTTTGAGAGGAAGCTAGAATAGAGAAGGCTTGAATACTTAGCAAAGAAATTTACATTTATTTTGATGAACACTAGTAATAATTAACAGCCTGGATCATAATTTACAAAGGACTTTTCATATGTAGTTGGCCCTTTGTATCTCTAAGTTTGCATCTGTGGATTTAGCCAACCTTGGATAAAAAAATTCCAGAAAGAAAAAGTAAAAAATACGAGGACAATACAAGAGTAAAAAATAATACAAATAAATACAATATAACTACTATTTACATACCATTTACCTTGTATTAGGTATTATAAGTAATTGAGAGATGATGTAAAGTATACTGGAGGGTAGTGTTAGTTATATGCGTATACTACACCAGTTTATATGAGGGATTTGAGCATCCTTGGATTTTGGTATCCATGGGGGTCCTGGAACCAAGCCTCCTTGATATACCAAGGGATGACTGGATTACTGTGTGTTTGTGTGCTTGTTTTTAAGCTTCAAAAGATTATGTGATCTAGGAGTTGTTAGATTTTATTATTGGTCTTAAAAGATAAGCTTAGATGTGTTACTTTTTTTGGAGTTTTAGTTTACAGTGATTCATGAATCGGGCAGCTTCAGACCACAGGAGACATGAAGCAGGTAGAAGTTCAAGAAAGCAAGACAAGCAAAATATTTGATTGGTTAGAAGTTAATTGTGGTTTCTGATTAGTAAAGTTCCTAGTTAGAGGTTAGTTGGAGGTTTCTGATTAAGTTTCTTTTAATTGTGTTTTGGTTTGCCTAAGTAGGAACCCAGAATGCTGGAGCCGTCTCAGCCTAATGGTCTCAGCCTAATGGCTTTCTGATTAATTTTTTTAAAACAGTGTAGAAACTAAAGCTTTATAATGTTTACATAGGAAGATTTTTTTTTAATTTTTATTTTATAAAGCAGAGGAGTGAGTTAAGAATCATTTCAAAGAAAGAATTGGCCTTGGCTGGGTGCAGTGGCTCATGCCTGTAATCTTGGCACTTTGGTAGGCTCAGGTGGGAGGATCACTTGAGGCCAGGAGTTCGAGACCAGCCTGGCCAACATGGTGAAACCCCGTCTCCTAAAAATACAAAATTTAGCCAAGCATGGTGGCACACAGTTTTAATCCCAGCTACTTGGGAGGCTGAGGCAGGAGACTCGCTTGAACCCGGGAGGCAGAGGTTGCAGTGAGCCAAGATTGAGCCACTGCACTCCATCCTGGGCAACAGAGCCAGCAAAAAAAAAAAAAGAATTAGCATTAGACATTTAGTGCCTATGACATACAAAACTATGATGTACTTAGAAGATAGGGAGGAATCAAAGGGAATTTCAAACAGATTCCAGGCAAATGGTAAAATTACTCATCCATAAAGGTAAATGTTAAGGAAACAAAGTGAGATTTTTTTAAAAAGAGACAGGGTCTCACTGAAGTGCAATAGCTCAATCACAGCTCACAACTTTCTAGGCTCAAGTGATCCTCCCTCCTCAGCCATCCAAGTAGCTGGGACTACAGGTGTGCGCCACTATGCCTGGCTAATTTTTTATTTTTTTTTTTCAAGAGAAGGGGTTTCGCCTTGTTGCCCAGGCTGGTCTCAAACTCTTGGGCTCAAGCAGTCCACCTGCCTTGGCCTCCCAAAGTGTTGGGAGTTACAGGTGTGAGCCACCGTGCCTAGCCTGAAATGAGATCTTAAGGAAATAAAAAAGTTTCATTTTGGATATATTTTGGGGATATTTAAATAAAAAATTTTATAGATTTCTAACAAAAATATTAGTATTTTGAGGTGTAAGATGTAGAGGTTATTTCCTACTAACACTTGCCAACATTGACACATCTGCATGTCTAATAACACTTAATAGAGGAGGCCGAACTTCATAAGAGGTTAAAGCTTATACCATTGCATAGTAGCACAGAGTTCAAGTAGAATTTTCATTCCCAATCTAATTCTTCTTTTATTCTTTCCATTTGGGACCAGCTTATACTTGAATGCTAATTTTTTTGTTTCTTATCCACTTGAAATGACAAATGAAGGAAGATATGTGGACATATTTAGAATATTTTCTTGGTTATTTTAGGATAGTATTTAGTATTATGTATATACATTATAAGATATACATTGCTATGTAAGTATATACTATACATGTATAGTATATATCATAATACAGATACTGAAGTATACATTAGTGTATTTTATCTTCAAGGATCCTAATAATGTTATACTCAAAATTTATTCTCTAGATGTGAAATGTCATGGTTAGGTAGGGTACCAGATGTTGTTTCCAGATAGAAGTAAGCAGTATCATTTTAAACAAATATTGAAGTGTACCAAATTTCTCGCACAGTTTCTATAAATGAGAATGTATCCAAAAGACACCAAATCTCTCCTTTGGATGATTTCCTTTGATACTGCCTTGTGGCCACCTGAAAAATGGTAGTTACTTGTTGAGAATGTCAGATGTTATTTAAAAAAAAAAAAAGCTTGAAGCCCCCAAATCTGTAAAAAATTAGACTCTAAAACCTGAAGATATTTTTTTTTAGTGGCATTGTACAAGTAGTGATGCTTTAGGACTACACATTGTTTCATGTTGTGTAGGCTAGTCAGCTTTAATAGAAGTAGCCTTTAGGATCAAAACAACTTTTCTTCAACTTTGAATTTTGACTTAACTGGCTCAGATGAAAACTTAGAACTAAAGCTACTTAGAACTTCCTATTAGTGTTGGCCTGCACAGGATTGGGGTTCAGAAGCTAGGAATGAGAGAGTTTTCCAGACCCTGTTTGTTTATTTCTTAGTTAGAATCTGGCTAAGTTATCACTGTGCATGATGAATTTGTTTTTAAACATCGAGATACTAGGTCCTTTTTTCATTTTTGGAAGCAATCTGTGGTTTTGAATTTTAATGTTTGCAGTTTATCACTTTTTAAACTATACTACCATTGAAGTAATGAATACTCATACTTGGACATTCATTATCCAGTAAAGTGTTAGGTCTCATGCACCGATATGTTAAAATAGCTTCACATCTAATGTGTTATGGTGTTTGTATTTAAATGAGCGTATTTTTAAAATCATCTGTTACTCGGTTGGATTAGTTCCATAGGACAAAATACTGACTTAAAAAATCATTGAGCCTGCATGAGATTGGAATAATTAAGTGGTGGTTTCCTTATGAATATAATTCTTTTGAAAAATACATGAAACACATGAGTATTTCCCCAGTACGTATGGATCTCTTTTTCTTTACAAAGTAGTTGAAACATGGCTGGAAAAAAGCTTATTAACATGAATTGAGTAACTGTAAATGTAAACCTGTCCTATCGGATATAACTTACCTAGCATTAATGTCTACTTTTTCCCCCCCTTTTTTTGCCAACGTAAAGTGGCTAAAAGCCAAGGTAAGAGCCATTACTTATCATTTGATCCACAGTATTTCCTCTGTATTGATAGAGGCTGCAGAGCCACTAAAATTTGAAAACTCTTCTTATGTCTGTCTGCTTTTCCCTGTAGGATTTATGTAGATTATTTAATACTCAAGTTCAGTTCAAATAAGCAACATTTAGCTTGGCTGTGTTAATATATCAATGATATATTGACATCTGTGTTTATATAGGAACATTAATTTTGCTAACATTTATTGCTTTGCTCATTTTTCGATAGTTGCCTTGCTTTCATTGACTTACAATTAGGAGGTTTCCCAGACATCATATGTGACTTTGTTACTGAATTGTTAGGATGAAGATGATTTTTCAGATGCGTATTTGAGCAAATTGACAAGTAAGATCTATAGTTTGTGTTCATGCACACATTTCAAAAATTTTAGGAAACCCAGTGTTTGAATGCAGATAAGTTTGATCTCAGTGAACATGTTTAACAATAAAATAAGATATTAAATCCAGTCATCTCACCTGTATTTGGCTACAATGTGATATAAATGGCATAAAATAATAGGAAGACCAAGTGCAAGTGGTTCCTTGACTTTTTAAACTGTAGTACCAAAGTCTTTATTCAAACTGTCTGGGAATCCTTAATTCACATTCTGATATTTAAAAAAAATAATACATGGTGTTAAAACACCAGGAGAACAATTTGATATAAAAATAAAAGCATTTCTTTCTACATTTTAGCATGGAAATAACCAGCCTGCAAGAACTGGCACACTGTCGAGAACAAATCCTCCTACTCAGAAACCGCCAAGTCCTCCCATGTCAGGCCGGGGAACACTGGGGTAAGAATTCAACTACATTTTGCAAAAGAATTCATATGCTAAAGGAAAAGATGTTTCTGTGACTTAAGTAAGTGTATGGGATCCATGCCACACTACCCTCTCTATGTGACGCTACCTTTTACAAATTCATTTTAATTCCTATTTTCCTGAACAGAATCCCAAATGAATCTGCCAGCTTTGTAATATTCTCTATAATCTGTACTAGGAAAGTTTTTATGTATGTATAAATGGCATGATTTATTTTTTTGTCATCTAATTTTTAAAAAATATAAATCTGACTTGTTTGTTTTAAATGGAATGATTAGAGTATTCCAAATGGTGCCTTTGCATGTGTTTACAGTATCTATATTGTAGAACTTTGACTAGTGGTCTACTTTTGTGTAGTATGGCTTAGTCCACAGCTCTTCTGTTTCGCCTATTGGTGTCTGAGACTTAGGGACTCTTTACTTTAGGAAAGTATGCACTTTACTTGTAACTATGCTTCTGCTGGTAATCTTAGGCCTCTTCACACTAGAGTAGCTCCATGGGAAGGCCAGTTGGGCAAGTAGAAAAGATAACAGTGGCTTCTTCCTTCCTAGTTCTCAGTGTACTAAATATAGCGAATACTTGTCAAAGCATTATATTTCTTTAAGGTTGTTTTTCTTAATACTGGAAATATTATATTGGATTTCTTATTTTTTGGCAGAGGGGTTGTTCAACAATCAGTCTTCTTTTAAGAAGGTCTTAGTTTTCATTTTTATTCATTAAACCCTCTGCCCCTGAAAAAAAAAATGAAGTTATTAAACAGAATAGTCGAAATCATTTATTGAGAAAGTAATGATTAGAATGTATATCTCCATTTATTGCCATATTGAGATGGGAA
Source organism: Homo sapiens (assembly GCF_000001405.40). Lineage (NCBI taxonomy): Eukaryota > Metazoa > Chordata > Mammalia > Primates > Hominidae > Homo > Homo sapiens. The sequence continues at coordinate 26,769,382 of NC_000010.11, read as the reverse complement.
TAAATTGCAGCTTCCTATGTAAATAAATTTAGCTTCCTGTTTAAAGAACAGTGGCTTATGGGTGACTGTACTGAGAAAAATGTACATTTTAAAGTTTGCTATTATTGAGCATTTAAAAAATTATAACCATAATTTTTAGAAATAAGGTTAGGACTTTAAATTACCCTTTCCTATGTTTTTCCTAGGAAAAGGTAACAAATTTTAGTTTTCATGTTAAAGTAACAAAATTCATATATCCCAGTGAAGAATATTTTTTAAAATTACAAACTTTGTCATATATATTTTTAAATCCTGGTATACATGGTCACAAAGGGAGACTCACATATTTTTGGGAAAAATACAATTTTATCTTTTTTATTCATTATTCCTTTCTCCACTATGCTCCTTTAGACGGAATACTCCTTATAAAACCCTGGAACCTGTTAAACCCCCAACAGTTCCTAATGACTATATGACCAGTCCTGCTAGGCTTGGAAGTCAGCATAGTCCAGGCAGGACAGCATCTTTAAATCAGAGACCAAGGACACACAGGTAAGCCTTTAGGTTGAGTATCTCAACATCTCTAAAGTGGGTGTAACTGACTGGCGACAAACTCCTATGGAGGTGCTGAGTAAAGGTGAGGTGCCACTCTAATGCTAATATAAAATGTAAAAGTTGGGGGAATAATATTATATATGTTCCTGTAAGTTTGTGTTATAACTTCTGTTTTGTTTTGTTTTTTTAACTTTTTAAAACATCTATTTGTACTATTAATGGATTGTTTGTATTTCCTCCTTTTGATAGAGGTACAGACTCTATCAGACTCTACGGGTTAAGACTAAAGAATTTTTTTCTTTTTTTTTTTGTGACGGAGTTTTGCTCTCGTTGCCCAGGCTGGAGTGTAGTGGTGCGATCTCGGCTCACTGCAACCTCTGCCTCCCAGGTTCAAGCGATTTTCCTGCCTCAGCCTCCCAAGTAGCTGGGATTACAGGCCTGAGCCACCACGCCTGGCTAATTTTGAGTTGAGACGGGGTTTCTGCATGTTGGTCAGGCTGGTTTCCAACTCCCAACCTCAGGTGATCCTCCTGCCTCGGCCTCCCAAAGTGCTGGGATTACAGGTGTGAGCCACTGTGCCCAGCCCTAAGAATGTTTTAAAATGCTCTTTTAAAAAAATTCAAGGCAAACCACTCAAATACTTTTGGAGAAAAGATTAAATATCATAGGAATTATACAACGTGATTTAAACTTTCAGAGATTGAAGGAAAGAAGATTAAGCTTAAATCTGAGGGAGATTTTTTTAAGAGAATCAGTATACTAGAATATGTTGTTATAATAATAATATTATTATTATCTTTTTGGAGATGGAGTCTAGCTCTGTCACCCAGGCTGGAGTGCAGTGACGCGATCTCGGCTCACTGCAACTTCTACCACCCAGGCTTAAGCAATTCTCCTGCCTCAGCTTCCAGAGTAGCTGGGATTACAGGTGCATGCCACCACGCCTGGCTAATTTTTGTATTTTAGTAGAGATGAGGTTTCACCATGTTGCCCAGGCTGGTCTCTAACTCCTGACCTCAGGTGATCCACCCACCTCGGCCTCCCAAAGTGTTGGGATTACAGGCATGATCCACCGCTCCTGGCCTTGTATTTATTATTTTTAAATGTCCTAAAAGTCAATTACCCGGTGGGTTTTTAAAAATTTAGTTACAGAGCATAACAAGCATTCAGAAAAGTATCCACTTCAGTAAGTATACAGCTTGATGAATGGACACACACTCATATAACCATCACCCAGATCAGAAAATGGAACATTACCAGCAACCCAGAAGCCCCTCATGCTCCTTCCTGGTTATCGCCTCGACCTTCTTCCCCCAAAATATAGCCACTTCAATTTTTGAGTGCTTTATAAAACCAGATAAATTTATTATATAACCAAATTTGTTTTATTCTTCAGTTTTCTCTCTCACTTAATAACGTGGGCAGGGAACCTCTCTTTTGCCTTCACTCTTAGGTTGGTAAATGAGAGATAACTTATCAAAATGATTTATGGGAATTCCACTAAATAGGGTATATCAAGATGCGAGATGCTAGGTAAGCGGTATTTATTACTATTGGTGCTGTTAGTAAACAAATTGTTAAGTTGATATCTGCAGTTACTGTATCAGGTCAAGTTCTTTGAGGAACAAAATTGTTCTCTTTGTTGTTATTGAACTCTTGGATCAAAGTATAGTTTTTCTCTATAGTGGAAGCATAGTTTAATCATATTCAACAAGCAGTTATTAAGTGTTGTTTCATTAGATACTAGGCATTTGTCAATAGGGCATAGTTCTTTTTTCAAGAGCTCATTCTGTTAGAACAGGGATCAGCAAACTTTTTCTATAAAGGGCCAGATTGTCAATATTTTAGGATTCGTGGGCCATATATATGGTTTCTGATGCAATTACTCAGATCTGTCATTGTAGCACAAAAGCAGCCATTGACAATACGTAAATGAATGTGGCTGTGTTCCAGTAAAACTTTATTTATAGCACTGACATTCTAATTTCATATAATTTTAATGTGTTACAAAATATTATTCCTCTTGATTTTTTTAACTATTAAAAAATATAAAAAACATTCTTAACTCACAGGTAGTAAAAATCAGGCAATGGACCAGTTTTAGCCCACAGGCCATAATTTGCCAACCCCTTGTTGGAAAAAAGACAGTAATTGAAGAGGAGCATAATAAGAGCATAAATATTCATATGTCTATGATGCAGTGGTAGCACAAAGCTAAGTATTGATCACCTGGCTTGAGGGAGTTAGGGAGGTCTTCACATCTAAGCTATGTCTGTTTTATAAATGACTTTTTTCTTTTTCTTCCATTAACATATGATAATCTAATTATAGAATGATCATATTGCAGAAGAAAATAAAAATCTTATCCAGGCATTGCAAATCTTTGCCCTTTGAATTTCTGGGCTTATTGAGCAAATTATGTAGATTTTAAAACATAATATGGAGCCTAAGGCTGCATGTGCACAAATATATGTTTTTACACATGTACACACATTACTATAAACAACTGGATGGCACAAGATCTTATACCTTACTAGAAACAACTAGAGGGAGCCAGGTCCTAGAGCTAACAGGACAGTACATCCACAGGAAGTAGAATAGCGAGGAGTTGGTTAGAGTTTATCAGTAGCAACTATTCCAGAATGTCCACACTGAAACTTCACTATTGTCTTTCTTTGTCGTTATGCTTATTTTCCAGAAAATTTCCCTATGTTATCACCTTTCTTTGAGATGAGAGGAAGTTTCATATTAATTTTAGACTAGAACGGAGTACCCTTTTAATTTACTTCCACATCATTTGTACTTTCTCTTTTGTTGTATCTATTACATTACCTTTTCATGTCAGTTTTCCCATTATGAACTTCAGATGGTGTAGTTCATGACTGCATTGTTCACTGCTCTTCATAGCAGGTTTTGAATAAACAATTGTTGACTCGTACTATAAGATTTTGTTGGTGATAAATATTTCAACAGAGATGGTTTTAAGTACTGTGTTATCATTATATTGGTTCCAGATAGGTTGAGAAGTAGAGGAAACCATTTCAAATATTAGGATTAAGATTTGTGATGAATAACTTAAAAATTTCTTGTTACACACACACCCCCACCCACCTGCACCCACCAACCCTCCCATTGCCTACCACTTTCCCTCCCACTCTCCCTCCCACTCTCCCTCCCTCCCTCCCTCTCTCCTTTCCCTTCCTCCCTCCCTCCTTCCCTTCCCCTCTTCCTCAGGTTCTGCATCCCCAGAGTAAGGCAGTCTCGGGTTGAAAATACAGTATTCATGGGATGCAGAACCTGTAGATAAGGAAAACCAATGTTTCATGTCCACTGGTTCTGTAGGGCCAACTGCAGGACTTGAACATCCATGGGTTTTGGTATCCAAGGGGGCTCTTGAAACCAGTCCTCCAAGGATACTGAGGGATGACTATATGACATAAAAGGAGTATTTAGTGGCCTTGGGTGATTACAGTTTTTTTTTAAATATGTCTCTAGAATTGGTTTTTCACAGTTTTTTTTTTTCTTTTCAGTGGAAGTAGTGGAGGAAGTGGAAGTCGAGAAAACAGTGGTAGCAGTAGTATTGGCATTCCCATTGCTGTGCCTACACCTTCGCCACCCACTATTGGACCAGGTGTGTTATTTATTAATCTATGTTTAATACATGATAATATTTATGAGCTTTATTGTGGAAGGCTGAAATAAATTAGTCATATTGAGTAAAATTATTAATTAAATTTGTGATCGTTGCTAGAATAAAGGCTGATAACAAAGTTAACAATATTTTTAGATTGCTTTTCACAAAGTCTTTAGGATTTCACCAGCTGTTTCTCCTTATATATACTGCATATTAAGTAGTTTTGTTAAATAACTTTTTGTTGGCCATTTTGCTTTAGAAATATATTCATTCCTCAGTGTCCATGGGGGATTGGTTCCAAGGTCCCCTGCGGATACCAAAATGCATGGATGCTCAAGTCCTTTCTATAAACTGGTGTAGTATTTGCATATAACCTACACACATCCTCTCATATTCTTTAAATCATCTCTAGATTACTTGTAATACCTAATAAAATATTAAGTGCTACTTAAATAGTTATACTGTATTGTTTAGGGAATAGTGACAAGAAAAATAAGTCTGCACATGTTCAGGACAGATGTAGCCATCTATTTTTTTCCCTGAAATATTTTTGATCTATGGTTGATTGAATCCAGGGATGAGGAACCCATGGATATGGAGGGCTGACTGTATTTGCCTCGCATACTAGTCAAGAATGACATTTATTATTTCAAGAGCAAACCAGTATTGTACGATACTCCAGCTGGAGAATCAGTGTCTATAAAGGTGAATTATGTTTCTAAGAGTTTTAATGTTGCTTTACAGGCCAGTATCTACTCTGGTGTTTGCTTATTTTGTGACTTTACTACATTTATCTATGATATTCAATATATATTTCAGTAAAATGCAATAAATGTAAAATAAAATTAAGATAGGAAAGTTACTTTTAGAAAGCATGAAAATTTAAGAAATCCTTGGAGAGCATTGAATTAGCCCCTTGATTTTTAGTAAATGAAATGGAGACTTTTTATATTGTTAAAAATGTATATTTTTAAAGTATGATAATGAAAAATGTTAGGAAAGAAATTCTTAGCTTTTCAAGCATATTTTTGAAAAAGGAGAAAAAGCCACTTATAAACATAGGCATATTTGATAGTTAAGGCAGGTATAAACTCGGTAGCCTCTTTATGTACAAAATTCATACTCATTTGAGCATGCTTTACATGGGGGTATCTTTTTTCTTTTTCTTCCCGATACATTGTACTTTCTTGCTGTTTCAAAATGTTGAGTTTTCTTTTCTTGTACTCTGACCTGAATTATAAACTATTTTATTAGAAAACATTTCTGTCCCTCCTCCTTCTGGAGCTCCACCAGCACCACCTCTGGCACCACTTCTCCCAGTGAGCACTGTGATAGGTGAGATTGCATAGCCATTGGAGCCATTGAACTCACTTTACATAATTCATAATAAACTCCTCTGTGCTAGTAGAGTGCTGGCTTTTATAGTTATTAGGTTGCAGGTGATAATACAAAGTTTAAAGTATTAAATCTAATATCACTAACTTCTGGTGAAAGGCTTCTGCACTTATACAGTAAACAAATATAAAACAACTTTTTCTATAATATGAAATGCTTGGTTTATAACCAACTTAATGTGTTTTTAATTTGTTGTTTGTTTAGATTTTTCTAGTCTAATCCCCCCTGCCCCGCACAAGTGAAACTTAATTTGGAACTCTCTGGTATATACAACAGTCAAAGGATCAGGGTGAAGGTGGGGACAGGAGGAGAAAAATTGAAAGGCAAACGATATGTGTGGGATGGGGTACTCTGAGGCTTTCCTGTGGATCATAGTTTGAAAAACTCTGATATGGCCCAGTTTTTATGACATCTCAGGATGCCATGAAATAGTTTTCTCGATAAAATGCATTTAAATTGTTCACAAGTTGGGGATGACTGAACTGAGCATATAAGGAATTTTAAATATATTTTAAATGTCAATGTAAAAACCATTGAGTCTAGAAATACACAATCACAGTAATCTGGGTAGAAATGGATAATGAGGTGTTTCAAATAATGAGAGCTGAGTTTCAGGTTAAGTGAAATAAAGCTGTCTAACAACATCTTTTCCAAACATTTGCACATACCAAGGAAAAGGGAGAAAGGAGGTAGTAAAATGAAGACCCTAAGAATAGAAATTGTTGGTAGAAAATCTGTGAGAAAAAAATAGCCTCAACCCAATTAATAACCAGAAGAATTAAAATTAAAACCACAGTGAGATACTATTTTATATCCAGCAGACAGGTAAAAAGGTAGAAGTTAGCTAGTACCAGTGTTGGTGAGGATGTGTGTTGGTGAGGAAAGCAAATTGCTGGTGGGAGTTTATTAATGTATACACTCACTTCAGAAAGTAATTTATTGATACCTAGTCAAGTTGAACATGTACCTACCCTAGATTTATCAATTTCATTTCTACATATTTACCCTAGAGCACTAGTTCTCAAAATATGGTTAAGGGACCCCTGAGGATTACCAAGATCCTTTCATGAAGTTTTTGAGGTCAGAGCTCTATTCATTATTTGTCCTTTTCATTCTCATTCTGTTATAACTATACGGTAGAATTTTCTAGAAGCTGCATGAAGTATGATAAAGTCATTGCTTTGACTCCTAATGAAATGTGTACTTGTGTATTCATATGTTTTAAAGATATATCAGTTTCAGTATCTAATATGGTAATTATCTACAGCTATAACCCATGTCAACAAAAGGCTTTTGGGGTTGTCTAAGAGTGGACCCTAAGACCAAAAAGTGTGAAAACTGCTGTCCTAGAACAGTGGTTTTCAGAGTGTCATCCCCAGACAATCAGTATCTGAGAATTAGTTAGAAATACAGATTCTCAGGTCCCTTCTAGACCTGCTTCAATCGGGAAACTCTTGAGGATGGGAGTTTCTGCTGTTATAATACAGCAGTCTATATTATAACAAGCTGTAAGGCTGGGCACAGTGGCTCACGCCTCTAATCCTAGCACTTTGGGAGGCTGAGGCAGGCGGATTGCTTGATCCAGGAGTTCAAGACCAGCCTGGGCAACATAGCAAGACCTCATCTCTGCAAAAAATACAAAAAATTTAGCCGGGCATGGTGATGCATGCCTGTAGCCCCAGCTACTTGGGAGGCTGAGGTGGGAGGATGGCTTGAGCCTGGGAGGTGGAGGTTGCAGAGAGCTGAGATTGTGCCACTGCGCTCTAGCCTGGGTGACAGAGTGAGACCCCATCTTAAACAAAACACAAGGCTTCAAGAAGAAATACTGATCAATGATGAAGTTTGAGAACCACTGTCCTAGAGATTCAGGAATTATATTTAGGAATGTTCGTAGCAGTAGTATTGATAGCACAAATCTCAAACCAAAATGTCTAATAGTAGTAGAATGGATAAATAAATTATGATATATTTACATACAAATAAAATAGCAAAAATGAATGACATTGATATGCATAGCCACATGGATGAATTTTTGAAAATATTATCAAGGAAAAAGAGCAATTCAACAATATGTACAGATTGATTCCATTACAAAAGTTTATAAATTTGTAAAAACTGTGTGTATTGTTTAAGGTTATATATGTGTATGTGTGTGTGTATATATATATATATATATATATATATATATATATATATATATATGACAAAAACTATTTACAGAAGAAAGAGAATGTTTAACATACACCTTGTGGGGGTTGGAATCCAGGAGAGGAGCACACAGGAAGCCTCAGTGATCTTGTTAATATTCGATTTCTTGAGCTGTATATTATTTAAATTTTTTTATACACACATGTATGTGTATAATTCACATGTATAACATATAATTATGCATATAAGTCACACACTCTTTGGCATTATTTATTTTATGATAAAATGTTAAATTCTAAAATAGGCTCAGAATTGCTAAATGATTGGCTTTTGTTCTTGAATCACCAATAAAAATAACTCGATTTCTGTACACTTTTTTATACAAGCCGGAGAAATGTAAAATCCTTTTACAGAGATTTCTATTAAAAATGGTTGGCTGGGAGTGGTGACTCACACCTGTAATCCAGCATTTTGGGAGGCCAAGGTGGGAGGATTGCTTGAGCCCAGGACAAGACCACCCTGGGCAACATAGTGAGACTCTGTCTCTACAAAACATAAAAAATTAGATGGGTTTGGTGGCACTCTCCTATATCCCCAGCTACTCAGGAGGCTCTGGTAGGAGGATTGCTTGAGTCCAGGAGGTTGAGGCTTCAGTGAGCTGTGATCCCACCACTGCACTCCAGCCTGGGCGACAGTCAGACTCTTTACCCAAAATAAAAAAATAAATTAAAAAAAAAACAGTTAAAGGCTTACTCTTTTTTTTTTTTTTTTTTTTTTTTTTTTGAGATGGAGTCTTTCTCCGTCACTCAGGCTGGAATGCAGTGGTGCTGTCTTGGCTCACGCAACCTCCATCTCCCGGGTTCAAGTGATTCTCCTGTCTCAACCTCCCGAGTAGCTGGGATTACAGGCATATGCCTCCATGCCCAGCTAATTGTTGTATTTTTAGTAGACACGGGTTTTCGCCATGATGGCCAGGCTGGTCTCAAACTCCTGACCTCAGGTGATCCGCCTGCCTCGGCCTCCCAAAGTGCTGGGATTACAGGCATGAGCCACTGCACCTGGCCCTTAAAGGCTTATTTCTTGGCTCTCTGGAAAAACCTAGCTGTCCAAAATTACTTATTCACGAAGGCTTTTGAATAGACAATTATTTTTAAACTGTTTCTATTTAGAAAATGAGCATGTGGATGATTCAAATAATTGGTGACTGCCTATGACTTGGGAGTTCCAAAATGTTAGATCAGCACTTCTCTTAATGAACAACCTCTGCTGTATGGTTTTATCTGATACCTTGTGTGACCTCTAAGAAGGATTAGACAACTGAATGAAGATAAACTAGGACGCTGGCTTTTTACTTACTCTGTCATTGTTTGTTGTTTAGATGGGGCAAGGAAAATAATAATAATCCCAAAGTTAACTTTGGAAAGTATAGTTAACTTTAGAGGCTTTGAACTCTATTAACATTTTAAATATGAAACTTTTGAAATGTTGGGAAAGATGACACTTAATACAATGTTAAGTATTAATATTTTCATCAGTTTCGATATTAACTGATGAAAATATATGAGCATGCTAATTTTTTTTTTTTTTTTAAAAGCAGATTCTTTGGATGTACTATGAAAAAGAAGCCCTCCAGGCATGGAGAAAGAGAATAGATTTGCTAAACAAAACTACCTTAAAATGCCATATTTTATAGAGTCAAAAAATTTTCTGCTTCTGTCAGTTATAAAAATTTAATAGGGAAAATGTATGTTAATCTTAAAACTTTGGAGATCTACAACAAATCTGACATTACATGAAAGTGCTTTGAAACGAGAAATGGCACATTTCTTAAAAATGATTTTACTTAATATGTATTGATACTAATAACTGCTAATTCAATAAAAACTCAAAAATATTAGTAAATAAAAATTTATTGTTTAACTTGGATTTGGCTAGATAGAGACTTATCATTATAAGACTCTATCTAGCCAAATCAAAATTCTGAAAGTTTTGTCAGTGGAAAGGAAGAAATTTGTAACTCAGACATGAATCTACTTATATCTAAAGACTGATGCTTCCTACCTCACACCATCTTTTGGTACTTATTTTATTGGAAAGACAATTTACATATAAAAGCTATGTATTTGAAAATGCACAAAAAATTTATATATCATATTAGCAAAGTACCATTTGGGATTATGGTTTTTAAAAGCTTGAGAATATTACTTATTTACTTTTGCAGCTTTCCATGCAGCTGTTTTTTTTTCTCTCTGTTTTTGACTTTGGAGATAAAGTTACTGATTTTTATCTTTACTTTTCTCTTTATTTTGTGCCTTGGTCTTGAAAAAGTAATAAATATTTCTTACTGAGGCCCCCTCCTGCTTTGTTCTGCCATCTAAGGTGATTACAATGCTCAAGTCTCTTTGTTGGTTGCCTTTGACTAATGCTTTTCAGCAGCCCCGGGCTCAGCTCCTGGTTCCCAGTATGGCACAATGACCAGGCAGATATCTCGACACAACTCTACTACTTCTTCGACATCTTCTGGTGGATACAGACGAACTCCCTCTGTGACTGCTCAATTTTCTGCTCAGCCTCATGTTAATGGAGGTCCACTTTATTCTCAAAATTCAAGTAAGCTTGTGCTTTGCAGGCATACAGCAACAGTGGAGCTCCTTTTGAAGGAAATTATTTGAAACTGTTATTCTTGCCAGTGATAGACAACAATTGAAAACCATGATGTTTCATGTTTATTTTTGTTTTAGGATATTAGTCCTTGAATCATACCATTTTAAGAGTAATTGTTTACCACTTTCTCTTCCAAAATTTAGACTTACCAAGTATACTTAACTAAATTTATCGAGACGTGTCTATATTGAGTATACCAAAATTTAACTTTAATATGCGATTTTATTACATAAGTAGAACTAGAGAACAAAAACATTGCAGAAATAAACTGAATTTATTGGCATGTTTGAGACAGCGTAGTAATGGTAAAATTAAAGACACAAACATTGTCAAAGTTTTCCTTCAAATTAATATAATGAAATTGCTGGCTATCACTTTTAAGGTCATTAACGTGTTCAGAAATGAGTTCAAAACCGATTAAAACTGTTTGTGATGCCTGCTTAATTACTCTGTCTTTGAATAATTCTAATGGTGGGAATTTCTTTTGATTTCTTTCTGTTTACCTCAAATTGCACATCTCAACACTAATTGCAGTCAGTGTTTAAAAGCTGGTAAGAAAAGAAAATAGTTTTAGCATATAATGTTAGGAAGTTAGAATAGTGTAGGGTAGTCATTAATATCACTTTCCATATTAAGATGTTCAATGCAAAAAGGAAAAAAAACAAAATTAGAAATGAACCTGTTGTCCACTGTTTGCTTTTAGCTTAAAAAGTTGTGCCCACTGGGCATAGAATGAGACAAGCTTTCCTACATGGCTTTTGTGGCTCTTTCTAGAGCCACATGTTATTTTTGTTTATATAAAAACACTTAATACTCAGTGAATTCTCCATATTTACATAGGAGGTTGCTTTAAGTTCTTTTTATTTATAATGAATGACCTGTATATGTATTTTAAAGCAGAGCTAGGGGAAAGTTTTTTTTTTTTTTTTTTTTTTTTTTGAGACAGAGTTTCACTCTTGTCGCCCAGGCTGGAGTGCAGTGGCGCGATCTCGGTCCACTGCAACCTCACCCTCCCAGGATCAAGCGATTCTCCTGCCTCAGCCACCTGAGTAGCTGGGATTACAGGCGCCTGCCACTACACCTAGCCAATTTTTGTATTTTTAGAAGGGACAGCATTTCACCATGTTGGCCAGGCTGGTCTCGAACTCCTGATCTCAGGTGATCCACCCACCTCAGCCTCCCAAAGTGGTGGGATTACAGGCGTGAGCCACTGAAAGTTCTCATTAGTTTTTTGTTTAAATTTTAAACATAAATTATGTTATAGCAAAAATTCCTAAGAATTGAAAACCACTTTATCAGAAATATCAAAATTCACAAATAATCCCAAAATTTATATAGCTTTTTTTCCAGACTAAAATATTAAAGCTACTGAGAAGTGTTAAACTTCACTAAATAGGATTTTACCTAACATTTGGTATCAAAAGGTAGCCAGTGTCTGTCTAAATATTCCAGATTATCTAATAATTCACTTCACTTGTTTCATCAACTTTATTTTTTTCATATTCTGAATTTTTAGATCCCATCTTTTTGTGTATTATTTTTCTTTTCCCCACTTAGACATTTAATTTACTCTGCAAATAGGATTTTTGTGACTTTTTTATATAATACATAGTTTTATAGTTTTATTTTAGCAATGCTTGTGTGGATTATTTTCAAACCGTATACTTTAATTAATGACCACATTCTTTTGAATATTGGAAAGCAAATTTGGCCTCAGATTTTAAATAAATTATTATGTTTTGTCAAATTAATTATCCTTCAATCTGAGTTACTGTTGGTGTTGTAGTAGTAGTAGTAGTAGTACGTGAATGTTTTTAGTGTTTTGATGTGCACATTTTCCCTTCTGTCTAAATGTAGTAATGATTAGTATCTTCACAGCATAGCTTTTCTTTTTCATTACATACTAACCAGCATGGCTAGTTACTAAGAGTTGTTTCTAAACACTTTTTTAGGTTTGTGAGAGTTTTTTGTTTTTTAAGTCAAAACCTCTAACCTTTTATTTAGGAGCCTTCTATAGAGTATTAGAATGAAATAGGATTGCTTTCATAGTGAATTGAATGTTATCTTTAGCTATACAATGAATATTAATGCACATAATTGCTTTGTTACTTCTTTGAACACTGAACTTCTTTCAAATTTTTATGCTTACCAACAGAATTTGCATGTTGGATTAATTGAAACAACCTTTTGATTAATCCTTGGTAACCAATAAATTGTTTTTCTCTATCAATTTAGTGTTACTACTTGGTGACTACCGATAGACTAAATTTTGCTATCTAGTCCTACTGACTTTTTCTAAGCAATCTTTGGCAATTACTGTCTTGTTAAAGTGAGACAAAGTCACAAACATATGAATGTTTACTTCTAGTGTATGTTATAATTTTTAATACATGAGTATTTGGTATTAATTTCCTGTCAATTATGTCATCTCCACAAATGCATATGAATGTGTTTCAAGCTATCCAATGAGTTGTTAAAAATTACTTTAATGCAAAGAACTACGTATTTTAACTTATTGGAGATCAGGTTTCCTTTTTCAGAACAGTGATGAAAAGGTCACTTTTGAGATATCCCATGAAACTCTGACTGATTAACATGATATATTCCCTTGTAAATTTAGGACTGATATTTTTAAACATAAAATTGCCAACTTAAAAAAATAACAACCTTGTTTTACAAACAAGAGTTTTTCCTGGAGAGCTGTGTGTGAATTTAGATATATAATAAGAACTGTCTTTAAAGGAAACCTGTGATTAATATTTTTATTGATATATGAAATAAATAGCTATTATATATTTGTTTTATTTATTTGGGTCCTAATTTACAACATTACCTTAAAGCTAGACAAACCTGTTATAGCTATGGCAAAGACACAATATTCTGGAAACCTATGTAGGTATTTCATTGTTACCTATTTTAGAAGTCTTTCCTTAGAATTTGAAAATTTTATTTTACTAAAGTGAATGTGATGGTAAATTTAAATCCTCCCCAAACAATGTAACATTAGGATTGAATTAAGTATATTTGTTCTTTTATAAAATTAATTAATTGGCTAAGCACAACTTGGCCTTTAGGTTTGCTTGTGGGAAATGTACTCCAAGGTTCTGCAGGTTTTTGTTTTGTTTTTTGTTTTGTTTTGTTTCATTTGCAAACTGTTCTTTGCATACTTATGTTTGTGGTCCTTGTAACTGACTTCTGCTTTTTGTTTGTTTCCTTTTCTTTCCTTTATCTGTTTTACTTCCCCCATACTGTGTTGTTGCTACCAGTTTCTATTGCTCCACCCCCTCCCCCTATGCCTCAGTTGACTCCACAGATACCTCTCACAGGCTTCGTGGCCAGGGTGCAGGAAAACAGTAAGTTTGGAAAAACTGAGCTATGGAAGAGTAGAGGCTGTCTCCTTATAGCATGCATGGCTGACGATGAGTCATCGTTTTCCTTACTTTTATTGAGAAGCTAATCTTGAAAATAGGTGCAGACATGTTACTGAAACTGAAGAGCACGGTCTTCAGTTTTTTCTCTTTGTGTGCATGGTTACTGACCCATATAAATTTCAAAGCTGCAATTTTCTTATGTCTTTACATGATCCTAAAACAGGAGATCTGATCTTTACATATTCTTAAGGAAAGAATAATCAAACACAAAAATTCAAATTATATGGAAACTTTTAGCTTCTAACAGTTACTAGAATTAGAAGACATTTTTAATTCTAATAAATTTATCAAGAGATAGGTAGATATACTGTAAGATTAAATTTAATATGAAATTGGGGCAGATTTTCCCCCCTTAATTTCAAAATTTTAGGGAAAGCTTTGTAGCCTCAGATTTTTGTACATACATGATATTGAACCTACGTAAAGGTTCATTGTTAGGATAAGATTGAATGACCAGGAATAAGTAAATTACATTCATGCTATCCATTTCAGTGTGAGTGATAAGCAATTTAGCATCCTTTTCACATTTTGGCTACATCCAGGCCCACGAAGATTGTTCCTGAATATGAAAATCAGTTAACTTTTTTAGATCTTCTCTCGAATGAAGTTCAGGGATTTTTTTTTGTGGGGGGGGAGAAGTTATTTTGGATATATGGCTTTAATCAGGATAGACTAGTTTATATTACTGCCTGATTACTTTTGAAATTCCAGAAGATGTGTAATCCTAACTGCATGATCACAGTGAATCTTATATAAAGTGAAAAATACCACTATTACTGAATTATAATATGCTAGAAAAGCTGTTGATGGTAATGTGGTCTATTTTTAATTTACTTCATTTGGACCATCACCATGAAAATAAATCTCAGGATGGTTTGAACAAATGAATAACCCACTTGCCCAGCCTATCCTCCAAGAAAATATATTGTGGCAAATTCCATTCTTCAGCTTTTGCTGACCCTGTTGTGTTATTCTCCCCATTCCCTCCCTCCTGCCAGTCAAATATTTGTGTACCCGATGTTACGTGCCAGACTCCGGGAAGAATACCAGCAGTTTAAGACAAAAGCCCCTTCCTTCAGGAAATGTGTGATCCAATTGGCTTGTTATAAAATGTTGTTTTGTAATGTTGAAATTTCTGAGTGTAAGCCATCCTTACTGTTAATATGTGTTTGAAAACCCTAATGTGTGCAAACATTTAAAAAGATATGAATAATCAGCCTGGGCAACATGGCAAGACTGTCTGTACAAAAAAATAAAAAATTAGCCAGGTGTAGTGGCATGTGCCTGTAGTTCCAGCTACCAGGTAGGCTGAGGCTGGGGCATCATTTGAGTCCAGGACGTCAAGGCTGCAGTGAGCCATGATCACACTACTGCACTCCAGCCTAGACGTGCAAAAATAAATAGAGTGCAAAAATAAATAAATGCATGGATGGATGGATAGATAGATGTGAATCTTATTTTTAAAAATAAATGAGTAAGGGTAAACTGCTGGTCATTAATGCTGCAGAGTTTAAAAACAAGGCCAGTGTAAACTTTTGAACTGCCATATCAGTAAGAATTATTAGGAAATAATTTAAAATAGCCATAATGAACATCAGTTTTGTGGGTCCAAAGTGACTGACTAGCTATTTGGTAAATCTTTTCTTTATATAGAAATCCAGTATTAGTGTACATTATTCTAGGCATGTGTGGTCTTTGCTAAAGAGGCTCTTGGTACTATATTAGTTCTTTTTACCAAACATATGAACTTGGGTCAGTCAGTGATTCTCCTTGTGCCACAGATTCCCTAACTTTATTTGGTTTCTGTTTTCTTTGAAAGTGTGTTAGGAGGATTGGTGTTAAAATATGTATCAGTACTTTAAACGTTTTATGAAGTACAAATTTTATGTGTTCTCTTAAATACCCAGTTTCTTATGACACTCAAAGTGGGTGATAATGAATGCATGTAGCAGCCTATTAATAAGTATTTCAGTTTAAGATATGAGCCTCTAAAAAAGTCAGCAGTGTGTTTACATCTCTTTATGATTATGCAGAGAATTAGATTAACCAAGACTTCCTTCGCCATAATTTGAAGATAAGACATGTAGATTTACAGCAGTTGGACATAAAGACAATTTCGTGAAAACATTAAACTAATGTGATAAATCAAGAGTAAATGCAAGGTACCAACATACATAATTTACACATTAAGCCAAATTAAGGATATGAACTATGGCTGTTTGATGTCAGGAGGGGTCTGTACCCATTTTCCTCTCCTCAATAATATTAAAAAGTTTTATAGAGGAAGTTATGGGCAAAGATAAAATGGATCTAGGAATGAGGCAGAAAAATTAATTGTAGACCCGTTTGATAGGTGTTATAGTGAGCATTACCATATAGGGTTTGTTTTCTAATAGCCCTTTCATCCCTCGAGAGGATAAAATAGAAATCACAGCATTGAAGTGGTTATGGAAATAGGGTCATTATCTGCAAATATTTTAAACCTGGAGCCCTTGGTTGTATATTCAGCACATTATTCCAAGGAGGGTAGACTAAACGTTTAAACCTATATGACAGATAGATTATGGCTGATTTCTTTGATCACGTAAATAGCCCCAGAAATTGGCATTTGATTTAGTATGTTTGTATTATGAACTTCTCCCCTGCAGGAATTATGTAATTCCTGTATCAATTTGTATGAAAACATTTTCATATGTCTTTTGAACTTTTAAAGAAATTTATTGATCAGAAATTTAAGTTAAGCATTAATTGGGTTCCAGCTTTGAATTCTTTAAATTTTAGGAGCATTTTTACCTGATATTATACTAGTTCATTGAACAGAGCTCTAGCCTGACATTTTCCCATTTCCCTGTTTACACCTTTGACTGTGTAAAGCACACACATATATACTGACCACGACCATCTAGAGTTTGAGGTATGAGTCATTTTTATTGTTTTGTTTACTGTAAGTTCCTTTTTGTTTGTTTTTTTTAATTACATCTTCAACACTTTATGTTTAAATCTTAATTGTTGATGTATTCTTAGAAAATCGAATCTTTAGGATCTAGGCTTTCCCTCATCCCGTGCTTATGTTTTACTAGCAATAATGCAAAATTTTAGCTTGCTTTCTACATTAAAAAACTAATTATGAATATAAACCTTTTTAAAAATACTCAATTAGATTTTCTACTGGTTGGGGATTCTTTTTCCATTTTTTCAACTTGTAAAATGTAAATAACAGAGTAGAAAATCTGCACACAGAAGCAGACCTAATACTACCAACTTTACTTTTCTCTTCATCAAAACAAACAATAATCAACAAAGAAACAAAAATCTGTCCACAGGAGACTGAATTTTTAGGGAACCAAAGCTGTTTCAAGCCAAAATCAGGGGCATGAATGAGCAGAGTGAAGAGTGATCAAACCATTAACGTAATGTTACTCATATCATTACTGCAGTCCAAATGACAAAAGTGACATAGATTTATTTTAGATTGTTAACATTTGTCCCGATCTGAACCTTGGAATAAGGAAACTACTCCTATAATCCTTATAAAAAGAGACATTGTCTCCTAACACCCTGCATTCATTAATTTGTAGTACTTCCAGATACCCTTATTTTTAGCTCATTTTGTTATTTTTAAATGATTCTTGAGTAGCATAAACTTTAACACACCAAGCTTTTATTTCTAATCATTGCATGTTTTATTATAGTGCATGCTGTACTTAAGTTAGAGCTTTCTTAAATTCTGTTAACTTATAAGTTTCCATCTAGACTTATTTTTGATTCAAATCAATCATATGAATCTTTTTAGTTGCTGATAGTCCAACTCCACCGCCACCACCTCCACCAGATGACATTCCCATGTTTGATGACTCTCCACCTCCCCCACCACCACCACCAGTGGATTATGAAGATGAGGAGGCTGCAGTAGTTCAGTATAATGATCCATATGCAGATGGGGATCCTGCTTGGGCCCCCAAGAATTATATTGAGAAAGGTAAGGTACAGTCATTGAGTTGATGTGAAGGAAAATAACCTAATTGTAGAAATTTAGAACTATAAAGAACATCTAATCCAATGTTTCTCAGCCTTTTAAACTGCCTTACCAACCAAGATGATTTACTTAAACCTTACTTCCTAAGTTTTGTATTATTCCCAGTGTACAGGGGGATTCTTTCTTTGTATTTTAAATAAAAGTTGCAGTGTTAGATTTGCTTTCAAACTACATATGCGTTCAGCTGAAGATTAACTTGCTGGACGGCATTTTATAGATGAAACAGCTAAGGCACAAAAATGGAGTTATATGTAATTAGTAAAGATTTTAAAAGTTCTGTCAAGCTCTATTGATTACCTTTCATATCTAAATATGGACGGTCCCTGATTTATGATGGTTCACTTTAGGATCTTTTCAACTTTATGATGGTACAAAAATGATATGCATTCAGTATGCTTCTCAACTTATGATGGAGCTTTGTCTGGATAAACCTGTTATAAGTAAAAAAAATACAAGTTGAAAATGTACTTTCAATTTACAATATTTTCCACTAAACAGTGGGTTTATTGGGACATAACCCCATTGTATGTAAGTGGAGGAGCATCGGTCTTTAAAAATATATTAGTACTATCATGAGAAAAGCCTCAATTAAGGTTTCAATTAGGTGATTTTATAAAACACAAGAGAAATTATCAGGATTGTATTTCATGAAATTATGAACTACTCTAAAGTCTAATTTACCTATAGTACCCGATATTCACTATAATTATCTATTAAGAAATATAGGTGGGGAAGAAACAAATCCTGTTTCTAGTTTTTATTTTTTCATCCAGTTCTGTGCTATTTTAAAATCTGTATTTCTTTTTGCAGAAGTGGGAATCAATTAAAAATAAAATCTGTATTTCTATAGAGTTCTGAAAAATGCTTGTGATTTAGTTGAACACTTTTGGTTGCCTTTGAAATATATTTCCTTCTATTGACTTTACTGGGTTAACGGACTTTAAGCTAGTAGATGTAGCTCTTGAGACCAGCAGCATTCTTTCCTGCCCAAGTTTTGGATATGTGGCAAAAGTAAATTTGTTTTCCTTTTATATTTTTTTATTTTTTGAGATGGAGTCTTGCTCTGTCTCCCAGGCTGGAGTGCAGTGGTGCAATCTCGGCTCACTGCAACTTCCGCCTCCCAGGTTCCAGCAATTCTCCTGCCTCAGCCTCTTAAGTAGCTGGGATTACAGGTGCCCGCCACCACGCCCAGCTAACTTTTGTATTTTTAGTAGAGATGGGGTTTTGCCATGTTGGCCAGGCTGGTCTTGAACTCCTGACCTCAAGTGATCCGCCCATCTCAGCCTCCCTGTGCTGGGATTACCGGCATGAGCCGAGCGTGGCCTTATATTTTTAAACAGTAAGTAATTTACATATTGTTAAGAAAGTCTTGAATATTCTACTTGAGATTCCCATATACCTTCAAATAGAGAGCTGTTGTTACTTACGAGGATGATAAACTTGAGTGACCTTGAATTGTGTTTTTACCCATATTTTCTTACTTGGTGAAGCCAATTAACTGTGAAAATGGGACCATATTTATATAAGTTGACAAATTTGGAATGATATATTGGGTAATATATTTGATAGTAGAGGAGGATTAAAAAGTATATTCCCAAGAACTAGGGGTGAGCACACTTTGTTTGGTATAAAGCCAGATAGTAAATATTTTAAACTTTGCTGGCTATACAGTCTCTGTCACAACTACTCAGTCCTGCTATTGTAGCGTAAAAGCAGACATAGACAATACATGAGTAAGTAGATGTGGCCATATTGCAATAAACCTTTATTTACAAAAATTGCGTGGTTTGGATTTGTCCATGGGCCATTTTATACATTTTGGATTACTTTCTCTTTCCATAGCAGTTTGCAAAGGAAGTGAATATAGGCTAAGCATCCCTATCTGAAAGTCCCAAATTCAAAATGCTCCAAAATCCAAAATGAGTTCCAACATGATGCCGCAAGTGGAAAATTCCACACCTGACCTCACGTGATGGGTCACAATCAAAATGCAGGCACATGACACAGTTTATTCAGTGTTCCCAAGGGAAAAATAAAATTACCTTCAGACTATGTGTATAAGGTGTATGTGAAACAAAAATGAGTTTTGTGTTTAGACTTGGGTCCCATCTCCAAGATGTCTCATTACGCATATGTAAAATTCCAAAATCTGAAAATCCCAAATCCAAAGCAGTTCTGATCCCAGGCATTTCAGATAAGGGTTACTCAACCTGTATCTTGAACTGAAAAAATTACAGACACCACAGAATTGCAAAGTTCTCTAAGTATTAATTAAAATCCTTTAAAGTAAGTAAATATTCTTTAAAAAAAAATCTGGGGACAGTCCCTTAAATTAGCATGGGTCCTTGAATGAGTAGGATGTGATTTACCTTCCAGTAACTGTGTTTTTTCAAATTAGATAGCTTGGATTGTTACCTGGTTTACTGAATGGCTATGCAGCTTTCTTTGCCTGATAATTATTTTGAAAAGCCGGTGCTTTGCATATGATAGGCACTTGGTATTTGAATGAATTGAAACATCTAATAAATTCTAAAATTCAGAGAGCTTTCTTAAAGTGATTGACAGAACCTATTGATGTATTCAGTCTAATCAGATTGTCATTTGGCTCTAAGATTAAGCCAATGATTTAAGTACATGGTTGGCCACTGACCTACTTATATTGATAGATACAAAAATTAAGAAATCTTCATAAAAATAGTTTTGCTGTGCTATATATTTAATTGTCTTTGTCTTAAAATTCAAGTAAATTTTGGATATAGTGCACTCATGTGATATTTCAACTGTTTTTTCCATAGTTGTTGCAATATATGATTATACAAAAGACAAGGATGATGAGCTGTCATTTATGGAGGGTGCAATCATTTATGTTATAAAGAAGAATGATGATGGCTGGTATGAAGGAGTCTGCAATCGAGTGACTGGTCTGTTCCCTGGGAACTATGTTGAATCAATCATGCACTATACTGATTAATTTTTTTTTTTCTTTTGAAGTAGATTCTTATTACTCAGTCATACTGTGGGACTATTATGGTTAACAGAACTGTCTTAATATGTTTTAAAATGTGCCCATATTTTCAGAACATGCTGTTTTATTGGTAAATTGAATGTCTACCTGTAAGCATAAATCTTTGAGGCAGTTTATGTATTGCTGAATAGCAATTTATACAAGAAGCTGTCCATAACTGATTATGCTTATGTACTTACTTACACATTTTTAACTTTATGACCAGCCTAAATATTCTGGGGGAAGTGGGGTATAATATTTAACGAATCATGATTCAGATTGTACCATTACATGTTTCAGTGCAGCATGGTTACTAACGCTATGTCAGACTAATATTAAAATCAGAAAATTTAAATGCTGGTGCTGGTCAGACTTTTTTTGTTAGATTCTCTCATTTAAAAAAAATACTGTTTGTTTAAAGCATGCATAAAAATTTATGTATTGAAATATACTTAAAAATTCAAGATGCTTCCCATTTGTGTAATATTTACCTGGAGGACTCGTACTTAGGTGTCTTAACGTGAATTGAGTCTCCAAGGTCTCCATGTGAAACAAGCAAAAAGAGAATTATCTGTAATGTTGTAATTTGTACCTAAGTTTTTTAATGAGTGAAATTTGCATTATAAACTTTTTCCATTCATAAATACATAAGTGAACCAAAGGTTTTTGTCCTTTCCTTCACTGATTTGCTTTAAAAAAAATAAAAGATAATGATTTATTGCAGAATTATGATTCTATTTTCTCAATATGTTAACTTGGAAAAAAATTTTAGCCTTATCTTAATCTGTCCCAACAGCAATGTGACGGATTTTTGCAGATTCAAAATCTGCAATGGTTATTTACAAGTCAATCTACTGAATTCCTTTTTTAAATAATCTTTTGAAACTAAGAAAATGTGTCAAATTGTGTGCATTCATTCTGTAGGTAAAATTCTTAAGGATTGCCATGTCAGTCCTTCAGTTGTACAGTGAACTGTTGTACACTGGTTCAATGAAAGGAAGTTAAAAGTACCTTTTACATATTGTAAAAGTGGATACAGTTGATTTGTGAGTAGGCACTCTTTAATCCATTACCTGGCACTAGCAACATTAGAATTTTAAAATAAAATAATTGGGAAAGAAGGTGGGTCATGTATTAATCAGTGAACAGAGATTTACCTAACCAACAGACTTGGATTGTCTTTTGACATAATCAAAATGCAACACATGCACTTTGTGTGTCTCCTCTTAATTGAAGGGAGGGCTGAGGGATGTTTTCTCTTCTTGTCTTGTGTATAATTCTCTATTGCTTAGGATATTAAAGTAGAGCACTCAAGTGTGGGTTTCTGTGTTATTGAGGATTTGTTTGGAATTCAAATTACAGTTATGTACTGGATGCTACAGACTTATAACAGCATAGTGAATGGTAAGACTAGTGCAAAACAGTTATTTCTGAAAATTAAAGACCATTATTGCTACCAAATCAATGTGACTATTTCATATGCATTTTGCCTTTGTTAATTTTAAACAAACAAAGTATCATTAGTGATCAGCTAGCTACCTTCTACTTTCCATTTTTCAAGTGGATTGTTCTCTTAATTTGTATATAACCTGTTGTCTAAATTTTATGTACAGTCTTTTATAATAAACCATTCTCCTATATGAAATTTTGGATACTGTTAAAATATAACTCATGTGGACTTCAATGCAGACTTCACATTTTTCTGACCTTTACTCCTACGGTAAATCAAGACAAACCATTTGAATTTTAACATTGGTTATTTATTTGTGTAATGGCCTTACATGTGGATATTAACAGTGTAAACAATACCACATATAACCATCAAGATACCTTGATTATAATTTATAGGACTAGAATGACAGATTCAGGTGGTTTATTAATTACATTTAAAAAGTTTTCTGAAAAAACTTTTGCAATAAAAAAAAATAAATTGCCCATCAATAAGTTTGATATCTTTTAAAATGATTTTTGGTTATCTGCACATGAAGCAAACAAAGTGTATTCCACAAAATTCTTTAGGCACAGTCTGGTAAGATAGCTGCCAGAAAGAACAGAAAGAGTTGTCATTTATCTCTTGTGAGTACAATTTCTGAAAGCTGAATGAGGGCATCTCTTTCTGGGGATGGTCGAAGTTTACTGATCTCTCTTATTGCTTCATGGCAGTACTGCTGGGCGAGGTAGGTTGTTTGTTGCACACCATCACTCTATAAGATACAGAACAAAACAGAACAGATGCCTGTCACTGACTGAATCAGCGTTTTAACTTCCTGCTATAATAAATGAACACATAGTTTTGAGATCAGATGAGCTGAGGATTACAGTTAACAGTCAAACTACATCTCTAATGTTCTTTTCCCGACTCATAGTGCTAACTTCCTTTAGGCCTTTTTCTCATATTGAAGCAAATTTTTATTCTATTAGCATGCAAAGCAACTAGCTCATCAATATTACATAGTCATTCGTTTTCCCCTAATTTTTACTTATTAGAATTTCTCAGAAGTTCTATGTACAAAGTATCTTTATACAACATTTTTAAATGTAAAAAAAACACAAGTAAAACTTACTTAAAAAATAAAGAATAAAGACATAACAAAATGAAAGTACAGAGGGTTTATGATGAAAATCAGCTTCCTTTCTTCCAAAGGCACTCACTTTATCCAATAGTTTTTTTTTTCTTTTTTCTTTTTTTTTGAGACAGGGTCTCACTCTGTCACCCAAGCTAGAGTGCATGACATGATCTTGGCTCACTGCAACCTTCACCTCCCGGGCTCAAGCGATTGTCCTGCCTCAGCCTCCCAAGTAGCTGGGACTACAGGCGCGTGCCACCATGCCCGGCTAATTTTTGTATTTTTAGTAGAGATGGGGTTTTGTCATGTTGGCCAGGCTGGTCTCGAACTCCTGGCCTCAAGTGATCTGCCTGCCTTGGCCTCCCAAAGTGCTGGGATTACAGGTGTGAGCCACCGTGCCCAGCCTAGTTTTTATTTCTTGATTACCAATTTTAGTTATTACCTGTTACCTTTTTGTTAAGATGAGGGTTTAGCCCACCCACAATGTGCCGCCTCATCATCACACTGCTGTCTTTAGTTGTTTTGTTGATTACTTCTGTTAGGTAGCATCAACTTCAGATTTTATCTTCTATGAGCTCTTGTCCTTTCCTTTAACTATACTGTTTGTTAGACTATAGATATTTACATCCTATTCTATAACCATGTTTTAAAATATTGGTTCTTTCTAAAAGCCAAATACTAATAAAGTATCATTTCTATGATGTAAAAATATTTATTGCAGAATCAAGTCATATACTATAATTCTATTTCCTTCTCCATGGCTCATGATCCCTCTGACATTTATTTATTTTTTTTAAATTTTTTTTGAGATGGAATCTTGCTCTGTCGCCCAGGCTGGAATGCAGTGGCGTGATCTTGGCTCACTGCAACCTCTGCCTCCCAGGCTCAAGGGATTCTCGTGCCTCAGCCTCCTAAGTAGCTAGGATTATAGGCGTGCACTACCACGCCTGGCTAATGTTTGTATTTTTAGTAGAGACGGGGTTTCACCATGTTGGCCAGGCTGGTCTCAAACTCCTGACCTCAAGTGATCCACCCACCTTGGCCTCCCAAAATGCTGCGATTACAGGTGTGAGCCACTGCGCCCGGACCCCTCTGACATTTAGAAATGGAATATTCCTAACATTGTGGTTGAAATACATCTGATTTTCTATACCAGTTGCTCAAAACATGACATATTTTAGTTTGCTGTTCCTTTTTGTACAGAAGCCTGCCTTCTCTCAGTGTTTTCCACACGTTTTCCTGAAGTACATCTGCAAATAACCTACCCAGAAAGTGTTCATGGGGACTGAGCGCGGTGGCTCACGCCTGTATTCCCAGCACTTTGGGAGGCCGAGGCGGGCGGATCACGACGTCAAGATCGAGACCATAATGGCCAACATGGTGAAACCCCGTCTCCACTAAAAATACAAAAATCAGCCGGGCGTGGTGGCGGGTGCCTGTAGTCCCAGCTACTCGGGAGGCTGAGGCAGGAGAATCACTTGAACCCGGGAGGCGGAGGTTGCAGTGAGCCAAGATTGTGCCACTGCAACTTGAGCCTGGCAACAGAGCAAGACTCAGTCTAAGAAAAATACAATAAAATAAAATAATAAAATAAAAATAAAATAAAATAGTGTTTATGGGAAGTCAACATTTTAGTCCTGATGTGTGGTGACTTTCTTTTGCCTTCGGATTTAATGGATCCTAGGTTTAAAATGTTTCATCCTCACTTGGAAGACCTTCCTCCACTGCCTTCTAGTATCCAGTATCTTTGCTATTCATTGAGCCAGTTTTGACACCATTTTCTAGCATAAGTGACCACTTTTTTGTTTATTTTCTTCCTGAAATACTTGTTACATGATGGTACTGGTCCTTGTAGCTCTTGTTATTTTTCACTATTTCCCCCTTTCTGTTTTACACTTGGGAGGATTTCCACAATTTCACATTGCAGCCCTTCTTTGGAGTTTGTTCTTCAGTCATTTTCAGTTTCTTAGAACTTGCTCTTACTCATTTAAAAAGTATGATCCTGTACTGTTTTGTGAATGTGGTATCTTTTTGGATCCTCCTATTTACGTTTTTCCTGTTTTTTTTTCCCCCTGTTATTTTGGTCCCACTCTTTTGTTCAGCAAGCTTTAGTCAACTTATTTGTAACCCTGAGTTGTCTATTCATATTTAATGAGGGAATAGGCCTAGAAGCTCTGTGGGTGAACAGGGAGCTAGAATTTTGGAGAATTTGTTCAGAGAACATTCCCGTGGATTTTTGTTTCCTCTAAATGTGTTTCTGGCTAGGATTGCTGGAACTTTGCTATTTTCCATAGGTGCTACTATTAACTTCCCTCTTTTCAGTTCCACTTCCCACTCTAGCTTTCAATAATACCATTATTTCTGAAGCCAGAACCTCTCCCAGGGAATATTGACTTCTTTATCAGCTCCAGCTCCCTGCCATAGTTTTTAATAGTACGTTTAAACCATTCTCCAAAAAAGGCAGTAACCCGTAGTGAATAATGGGGCTTAACAGTATAGTCAGTTAAGAGAGAAAAATAACCTTTTAGGGGTTGGGGTTGCTTTTTAAATTTTTTAAGAATCTGGAAGGTAATTATTTGGAAGTCTTTCAGGTACTACACTAAGTACAGATCTCATGCCACACTTGCTTTGTAATGATTTTTTGCTCACTCCGACTCATCCAGTAGATCTGTTGGCTGCAAATGACAGTGAACTTGGAAATGGCTCATTCTCACAGGAGTCAGTCACCAAAACTCAAGTCATGCAGAGAGATCTGGCTTCCACAGAAAAGTTCTGAAGATACGTGGCAATATATTTAAAGCAAGCCACTAGCCCCTGAATGGGGTTAAATGGTTCTCCCTTTAAAAGAAAAACATTTATATAAATGTATAGTTTGCCTGTGTTGGTTTATTGTTTTCAATGATCATTTCTTTAGTCACACTTTTATAACAGGTAGGATGGACTAGGAAAGCCCAATTATGAGTAGACTATTGCAGCAGTCCAGCAGCAGCCCGGATGGGGTCATGGATGGGGACATGGATGAGGCTGGAGCCGAGGCTGGGTGACTGGGGGCCCAGTGATTCTGTTGATGGACACAGGGAAGGCTGGTTCCACACCACTGGGTTTCAACACTAACAGTTCACCACAATCACTTAGGTACCTTTTAAAAGATATTAATGTCTGTGCCTTACCTAAGACCAGTTAAAACAAAACATTTCGTAAGTAGTCTAGAAGAGAAATGAAAATAAAAAATCAGAAAAATGAGTTTTCCCTTCTCAGTTTTTGTCACATCAAGAGTTGACCAAACAGTCTTGTATCTATAATTTAATGTTTAGTTAATGTTACATTTTTGGATTAAAGGATTTTGCCACGTTGTTCCTGCTGCTGCCTTTTTTTTAAAAAAACAGTCTTACCTGTAGTACATACTGTCGAGCTCTGTCTACATCTCCAGGCAAACTGAACCGTCGCATGATCATAGCATTCATTTCTGGGAACTAACAAAAAAAGAGAGAAAATCTGAGAAAATCTATTTATTTCTCTTGGGAGAAACAAGTGTTCTAACACTAGTTTGTAACAATAGGAAATAACAAGAAACAACAAAAATGAAACTAAGTGTCTAGATGATGTGGGGGAGCAGTAAACTGTGGCAACAAAAGCTGAGCTAAGAGACATCCACCGTCTATGCCTAGGCACTGTGGTGGTGTATGGGAGGAGAAGACATTAGTCCTTGTTTATTCTGATGTTTTATCCTAGTCCAACACTGAGTTAAGAGAGGCAGGAGGAATAAAGTACATCTTTAAAACAACATGGTTCTGGCCAGGCGTGGTGGCACACGCCTGTAATCCCAGCACTCTGGGAGGCCGAGGTGGGCGGATCACCTGAGGTCAGGAGTTTGAGACTAGCCTGGCCAACATGGTGAAACTCCGTTTCTACTAAAAATACAAAAAATTAGCCGGGCATGATGGTGCACGCCTGTAATCCCAGCTACTCGGGAGGCTGAGGCAAGAGAATTGCTTGAACCTGGGGAGGTGGAGGTTGCAGTGAGCCGAGATTGCGCCATTGCACTCTACCTTGGACAACGAGTGAAACTCCGTCTCAAATAAAAAATAAAAAACAACATGGTTGTTAAACTTTAAATCGTATCAGGATCACCTGTACTGCTTGTGGGGCCTCTCCCCCAGTTTCTGATTGAGTAGGGATGGAGCCTTGGCATGCATTTCTAACAGATGCCACCATCTAACAGGTGACACCAGTATCTCTGGTCTCTGCCAACATTTTGAGAGTCACTGGCCTAGGATGAGGATGGGAATTAGGCATTCTACTCTAAGTTCTAAATTGATTACCAACTGAAAGCTACTGAGGTTTCTGAGCAGAGGGCATTATGTGCAGAGCTCTGCCTTAAGCAGTGTGTAGAGTGGATCTGAGCAGCGGTGCATGACATTGACTGCATACTGGGATCAGCTGGGGAGTGTTTTTTGTTTTTTTGTTGTTTTTCCCCCCCTCCTGTGATGGAGTCTTGCTCCATCACACAGGCTGGAGTGGTGCAGTGGCACGACCTCGGCTCACCACAACCTCTGCCTCCCGGGTTCAAGCAATTCTCTGCCTCAGCCTCCTGAGTAGCTGGGACTACAGGTGTGCGCCACCACACCCGGCTAATTTTGTACTGTTAGTAGAGACAGGGTTTTGCCATATTGGCCAGGCTGGTCTCAAACTCCTGACCTCAGGTGATCTGTCCACCTCAGCCTCCCCAAGTGCTGGGATTACAGGTGTGAGCCACCGCGCCTGGCCTGGGGAGGTATAAATACAGTTGCCTAGATCCTGTTCCCAGAGACTTTGGTTATACTGGCTTGGGGTTTAGCCTGGGCACCAAGATTTTCAACCTCCTCCCGCCCACCCTGGTATTTTTAATGTGCCGCCAAGGTTGAGAACCATGGAATTAAGAGTCAGAGGTAGACAGAACAAACAGGTTACTAGAGTAGGTTATAAAAAAGACCTGAATTAAGATGATAGCAAGAAGAGAGAGAAAAAATAGGTAAAAAAGGAACTGAAGGTAAAATCGATATTCTACAATACTTAGCAACTATTTAGAAGTGTCACCATTAACAGAATACAAAAGCCAGGACACCAAATCACTTCACTTCCTAGATCCGAACTCTAGTCTTGGTTTGGCTACCAGCTGCCACAGCCGAGTGACTTCCTTAGCCCCTGGGGTCTTAGGCTTCTCATCTTCATGACTGGAAGCCCTTGAGCTCTAACAGTCTATGGCTCCACGGAAGAGGTAAGATGTGTTTGATTTTGGCCACGTCAGTGCTTACAGCAGCTGCCAGTTTTTCCCTGGCAGTGAACCTGAAGGATGAAATAAGTTGTCCTGTAACCATGACCATGGTATTAGTAATCCTAGAAGAAAAAATAGGGCATACATAGAAAAGCCGCAGCCAAGTGATCACAGACAAAGAAATAATTTTTTCAGACCAAAATATGTGTCAGAACAAAGCTCTAAACATGTGGAGACTGCTAATGTGTTTACAGAATTTATAGAGCCAGCAACTGGTTAGTTCTTATGAAAACCAGTAATTTCCTTTAGTTACTGGGTCTTTTAAGAAGAAAACAAGCTACTAGAAATCAGGAAAGCCCAAATCAACTTCTACGGTAAAAAAGCCAAATCAAGTAGGTTTTAGTTTTGTTATGAGACTTGTTCTGTTGCCCAGGCTGGAGTGCAGTGGTGCAATCGTAGCTCACTGCAGCCTCAAACTCCTATAGGTTCAAGTGATCCTCTGCCTCAGCCTCCCGAGTAGCTGGGACTACAGGCACGCACCTGGCTAATTTTTTAATTTTTTTTTTTTTTTTTTGAGATGGAGTTTCGCTCTGTCATCCAGGCTGGAGTGCAGTGGCACGATCTTGGCTGACTGCAACCTCCGCCTCCCGGGTTCAAATGATTCCTCTGCCTCAGCCTCCCGAGTACTTGGGACTACAGGCGCAAGCCACCACGCCCAGCTAATTTTTTGTATTTTTAGTAGAGATGGAGTTTTACCGTAGCCAGGATGGTCTTGATCTCCTAACCTCGTGATCTGCCCACCTCGGCCTCCCAAAGTGCCTCCCAAAGTGGGATTACAGGCGTGAGCCACCGTGCCTGGCCAATTTTTAAATTTTTTATAGAGATGGGGTCTTGCCTTGTTGCCTAGGCTGGTGTCAAACTCCTGGCCTCAAGTGATCCTCTCGCCTGGGCCTCCCAGAGTGCTGGGATTATGGACGTGAGCCACTACACACAGCCTGTTTTAGTTTTTTAATACCACATACCAATACTGGATATCTAGAAGGTTTTATCGTTGACACTGATGTGATTCTCTCGTAGGCATCTGGTGACATTACCTTGTTTATGATGTATAAGCTTTTTCTACAGTACCAGCAAGTGTGGTAAGATATGCTGATTGGGTGTTTTCACTGATGCTTTTACTATAAAAAGCATTGAGAAAGCAAAATTTGAAAAAAATATTTGCATTGAGTGACTACATCCTTCCTTCCAAACATGTCATGTGTGCAATTTTAATATGCAAAATATCAAACTCTTCCCCGGGCACTCCCCAGTCCCCTTAATGTGTATGTGGAAAAGAAAAGAGAAACACAGCAGGAAGAACAGTTGCCTGCAGATTTAGTGACAAATAAAAATTCTGTTTGCTCAGGTGCTGTTTTTAAGAGTAGGAAAACCACCTGTGGATAAATCGGGTTGTAACTCTGTGAAACCCATCCATAAACTAAACTGCTAAGGTGATGAGTATGAGTCTACCCAAACGAAACTGGGTAACACTAAGGCACCAACTAGTCACCACGATAGCATAAGGCCTGTGCAGCTGGTGCAGGGGCTGGTGATGGCATTTGGAAACGTGGCTACAACTGACGTTTGGGTCTAGTGACTTATCAAATAAGGAAGAGAAGCAGAAGAAAGGAAAGATTTGGTTTTTTTAAAAAAGATATTTGAAAATTAAAAAAGTTTCACCAGAGAAAGTAAAACACTTCCATTTTGTTTCTGAAGCTTTCAAAATCCAATTAACATGAGGTTTTTATTCTTAAAGAGAATATGTACACATACGTACATGGGAGGACGCTGTCATCCCCTGGGACTTCTCCAGAAATCCCCAAAACTCTTTTTAAATCCTCTGAACCAACTGTTATCAGGAAACCCCTTAAGAGAGATGTTAAAAATAAAGGAATTCCAAAAGACAGGGAGTTTCTGTCAAGTGCTGGCTGGAGTAAACTCCAAGACAACCCACCACACCAAATTAAAAAGGAAAAGGTGGTTTCCCAAGAATGCTTGTCCTGGTCCAGTGTTCACAAATGGAAAAGTTCAAAGACCATCTCATCAGCAAACAAAACTCACCTACCAAAGGGAAAGGATTACAGACGTCTTAGAACTACTCCACCAAGTAGGTATGTTGTTTACAATAGCAAAGACATGACACAGAGATGATTCTTTGAGTATCGTCAGTGCCCAGGTGGGTTAGTTACCTGCTCTGTGGGAAGGCCTGTGTGGTATCATAGCTACTAACTTCTCAGCATTACCAGTGGCAATAACACTATGTATGATGTAATAAAATGAATACTGGTCTTAGACTTGTTCAGTTCCCTGCTGTGCCATTTACCAGATGTTTAATTTTGGCGAGGTTTGGGCATCAGTTTCTTACTTGCAGAATAAACACCATAATATCTACCACAAAGAGGAGTTGTGAGATTAGAGATAATGTATGAAAGAATCCTTTGTAAACTAAAAACACATTTTCATTAAGTGGAGATATTGCATATTCTTACGTTATTTTTGGAACTTGTTTTTACCTGAATTAATCTTAGTCCCATATATCTTTTGACACATTTCTTGCTAAGAATCTCTTGTTTTACAGTGTATTCCACAAAAGAGCCTAACCTTGCTGTTTTATTAGAAGGCAACTTATAAATACATACTTGGCTAACTTCTGGCCCATGTGCCACA
This sequence comes from Homo sapiens, assembly GCF_000001405.40. NCBI lineage: Eukaryota > Metazoa > Chordata > Mammalia > Primates > Hominidae > Homo > Homo sapiens. Next base: position 26,738,009 of record NC_000010.11, on the reverse strand, counting down.
AGACAGAAACATCAGTCTACTTTTGAAATGAGTCCTGTCCAGAGTCACTTCCTGCTTGGACTCCATTCTGTGTTCCCTTTTCTGAGGCTGCAATGTGCCTTTTCAACTCACTGCCTTATGGGCAGATGAGAACACTGCTGTCTGGTGAGCATGAGTAGGTGCCTCATGACTGGGATTTCCCAGCAAAGCACACATAAAACCATGGCTTCGGGTACAGTAATCTTTTTTTTTCCTTTTGCTTGCTTTTTTTAACCAGCCTTTTTTTTTTTTTTTTTTTTTTTTTTTTTGAGACGGAGTCTCACTCTGTCACCCAGGCTGGAGTGCAGTCTCGGCTCACTGCAACCTCTGCCTCCCAGGTTCAAGGATTCTCCTTCCTTGGCCTCCCGAGTAGCTGGGATTACAGGCATGCACCACCAGGCCCGGCTAATTTTTGTATTTTTAGTAGAGACGGGGTTTCCACCATATTGGTCAGGCTGGTCTTGAACTCCTGACCTCATAATCCAACTGCCTCAGCCTCCCAAAGTGCTGGGATTACAGGCATGAGCCACCGCCTAACCAGCATTTTTCAGTCTCTTGTAGATTACTGACAGATACTATGCAGAGGTCCATTTCCCCTTTCCCCCACTATATATGAAAGCAGAGATAGCCATTACTCCTTTGTGTGTGTAGGGGAAAGTAAGTTAGTTTCTTCTGAAATATATTCAGAGTGAAACACAGTCCGAAGAGGCCAGCCTCCTCTCACCCAGTCACCTTAAGGTTTAAGTAGGACTCAACCGGTAACTTAGTATCCTGGGGTTCATAACAAGTACTTAACAATTTGAAGATTTTTACAAATAGAGCAACCAAAACTTTCTCATAGACTTCTCCAGGGAAAAAGGCTTTTTCCTTTTATCCTGATAATCTGAGCCTAGGTAAAGGAATCTTTACCAAGCTAGCTGGATTTCAGCACACTCAGTCCATCTTGCTTTCCTTCACTCATGTTTACTAACAAGTATCTGAGAAGTAATGTTCGCAGTTATATAGGTTACTGGTAGCCAGTGCCTCATTTTTCTAATCCCCAGCATAACACCTACATGGCTCAAATGTTCCTCACTCTTGCCTTAATGTACAAAAGGAGGTTTTATAAATTTTTGTCAAAACTGGGCACATGTATTATACTCTTTGATTTTGGGCTGGCAAGTAAGCCTCATTGGGAGAGAGGACCTATTTACAGCATACCTTTCACTTCTTACCTCAGCCTCCAAAGTTTGAGAGGATGGAAGCCTTGTAATAATGAGGGTGGGTGTTCCTACCGAGTACCCCAACATCTCCATTCATAGCCTTAGCAAGCTGCCAAAGTAGCCTGGTCCAGCCACCCAGAACGTCAGCCTCCCCTGGGAAGAATCATGCTGCCAATGGCTATGCTAGATAGTGGGTGAAAGATGACCTTTCCTCTCTCCAATCAGAAACCCACCAAAAGCAAGGGCCGTGGTTTCTGTATCACAGTGGAATCACTGAATTTTATGGAGGACATGACTGACCTTTGTAAACGTGAAGACAGAATAGAGGCAAAATCTCTGAAAGACCAAAAGTTACTATAATTTTACACCAAAGAGCTAATGTTGAATTTCATGGCACGGTGATGAACATCTTACTGCTTTGCAACATAACAAATTAAATACTACTAAGATGAAAATCTATTAACGAGATGTTCCAACACCAGCTAATGTCTCACTTATTTCAAGTAACATTCAGTACAGCCACAAGCCATGTGGCAGGGTCTGGAGGAGGCTGTGAGAATGTCTGCTTTGTCAGTCGAGGGAACATCTTTGAAGCTTCCTAAGCCTTTCATTCACATTAAGGGGGACTCAGTCCCTCAATCCGGAGAAAGAAGGAACTATGTGGGTCTACTGCACTCCACTGACTTCCTGACATTTTGAGGCAATGGCCGAGGTTCTAAAGCCTCTCTCAGAGCAGCAGAGTCTCATTAAACTTCTAGAACCGGAGAATTTCTTATGCTTGGAGGCCCTTGATGCTTCCTATGCCTTTTAAGGGGCTCTGAGGACCACCAAAGTCCAGTCCTATAATCAAGACTTAGAAACCGTTCACTTTGCCAGTGGCCAAAATATATGGAAATAATCACGATGCTACCTCAAATGCCTATGGCACACCACAAGACACAAAGATCTCAAATAGGATCTTAGCTAATCCTCACAACCACCCTGGGAGAAAGGTGATCTTCTCAATTTCACAGATAAGGAAACAGTCTTAGCAAGGTGAAATGACCAGCCCCAACATCTCACTCAGCCAGGATCAAATGCAGACCTGTGATCTCTTATCTGAATGCCTTCCCATCTATTCCTTTATGCAATCTTCCCATCAGCTGTGCCGCGGGACATCAGTTCTGTGGGGCTATGCAGTGATGTGTCAAAGGGAGTTTGTAAAACCTACCTGCTGACAGGCAAACAGGACAGGACCAGTGGCTAACCCGAGCTTCAGATCAGCTGATGTTGGTTTGCCCATCTGGTCAGAACACGAGGTGAAGTCCAATACATCATCTATTAGCTGGCAAAAGGAAAAATGGGATGTAAGGAGCACCGCCATGCCAACACTGCTGCCATCGTTCTTACTATTTTGACGATTACACACTAGGGGAGAATGCTGACTGTATCACTACGCCACCATTCTTACAAATAAAAAGCATACTAACCTGAAAAGCTATTCCTACATTTTTTCCGTACTGATAGGCGATCTCATGCACCACTGGGTCGGGACATCCTAGAACAGAGACCTGAAACAGAAAGAGCATTCTGAGATAAGCTGCTTCCAGGCAGCAACAAAGCAGCTGACCCCTGGCTGAAGGAATTCCTTAAAATAGGAGGCAGCGGGGCTAGATTATACACACTCAGGAGATGCTGACATCAGAGGGACACCAAGCATGTACAAAACCGCATTTCCAGTCAAGAATTTCAGTCTCAGATTGTGTTGTTAAATTCTAAGAAAATTCTCCTTCTCCAACCCCTGCTTTCAGACAGGATAAGCAGCCTTTCCCACTGCTTAGGAAAAACTGAGCTACAACTGGACTAGTTCTGCTGGTAACATGCTAAGTAAACCTTCTTGACATGCAAAAGAAACGGACCCCCATCTGTGAAATACTGACTTCTAGCACTCGGCAAGCTAGCCCGATTACTGTTGGCTTTAATCATCTCTATCAATGTATCCCTCATTTCAGGAAGAGATACTAATGTAATCACACACAATTTTCCCATCTGTAGTCCTTTCTTTTCATCATCGTTGGGAATTTCACCTGTTTCTGAATGCAGTTATTTCTTGGTGTGTCCATAAAAATCATCTCAAGCCTCCTGCTTCAGACACAGATATCGCTCTTTCATTATCGGAAGGAACTTCACTGGTCCCACTGTTTCCACATTTCTCTCAAAAGAAGTAACTGTATAAAAACCCTTTTCCCTCCTTTCAATGGGGGAGAAATAAGACTTCTGAAAGTCTTTTTAAAACTCCAAAAAGCTAGCTGGCACCGGCCACTGAAGTGCATTTCCCAGTGCCCTGCTAAGCATGTTAAGCAGGCCCAGCCACATTTTCAGAAAACAAAGCCTGGGTAAAACCAACAAGGGGGAGGGGAGAGACGGTCTGTGTTCTACTGGAGGGGAAATGTCTCTGTTGACTCTCCATGAGAAAGCCAGCTGGAGCACTGCACAGTTGCCTTTCTGTAAGGCTCGCGGATGCTAGGAAACCCTGTCCCCTGACCTTCGGTCGTGCCTCTGTGGCTCTCCAGTCAGGGAGTGAACTTTGCTCAGGCGTCAGTGTGGTGCAGTGCTGCGGGCTCTGCTGTGAGACTGTGGGGCTGCATTTGTGCCCTCTACAAGACCTCGGCATGTTACTGAATCTCTCTTGCTCATCTGTACAATGTAGAAATCACAAGCACTTACCTTGTAGGGTTGCTGTGAGAAACAGACATGATGCTGCATTTAAGCCCTCAGTATACTGCCTGGCACCTGGTTAGAACTCAATGTGTGTTTGCTATTATTATCTCTTTTTAGAAATAGGGTCTCACTCTGTTGCCCAGGCTGGGGTACAGTGGTGCGATCATAGCTCACTGTAACCTTGAACTCCTGGGCTCAAGGGTTCCTTCCGCCTCAGTCTCCTGAGTAGCTGGGACTACAGGCACGCGCAACCACACCCAGCTAATTTTTAATTTTTTCATAGAGATGGAGTCTCACCATGTTGTCTAGGCTGGCCTCAAACTCCTGGGCTCGTGATCCTCCCACCTCCACCTCCCAAAGCGTTGAGATTATCAGGTGTGAGCCACCGCACCTGGCTGTTTGCTATTATTACAAATAATCCTCCTCCACCTCATCCACTGGAACCAGAAATAGGAGCCTTGGCAGTGTCCACGCACCTCTGCCAACTAAAGCCAGGTTGCCTAACGTCCTCAGCCTGAGAATGCTTTTTGACAACTTAATGAGGTCTGTTGACTATGTAGTGCTTGGCCATAAGTACATGGTAAAATTGCATGCACCATAAAGGGTCAGGTGGCCACTGAGTTGAGTGAACAGTAAGCTCATAACTGCTTTCAACAGCAACCACCTTCCCATGAGCAGGCACCGACCCCTGGGCTGTCAGGGAGGGCTCCTTTTTTCAACTGAAGAGTCTGGGAGACCATATGGGGGACAATTCAGAAACTTTCGAGAGAAGCTAAGATCAGCTTGGCTCAAAGGAGAGCATGGCAAGATTTGGGCAGCCTGGGATGTGCTGGGCTCAGGACAGAATGATACTGGGAATCAAGATATTTCCACGTAGAAATAACTGATAGTGAAGCAGTCTCCTGTAGTGAGATTAATGCTGTTTCCTCAACACAGAGCCACAGAGACTATAAGCTTTCTTCCTGAAAAGTGAAAGATTTTCTAAAAATCTATTTCTTTTTTTGGAGACGGAGTCTCTCTGTCACCCAGGCTAGAGTGCAGCGGCACGATCTGGGCTCACTGTAATCTCCACCTCCCAAGTTCAAGCGATTCTCCTGCCTCAACCTCCGTATGCCACCACGCCCAGCTAATTTTTGTATTTTTAGTAGAGACGGGGTTTCAGGCTGGTCTCGAACTCCTGACCTCAGGTGATCCGCCTGCCTCAGCCTCCCAAAGTGCTGGGATTACAGGCGTGAGCCACCGTGCCCGGCCTAAAAATCTGTTAGTGAACATTTTAATGGATTAAAATGTGTGGAGCACATATGATGAACACTTTGTATGATTTGAGTTAAACCTCACAATATCCCACAAATATGGATTATGTGGTTGGTGATGATAAAAGCTAACAATTTCTGAGCGTCCACTATGTGCTAGGCACTGTTCTGAGAGTTCTCACATCTTAAGTCACTTATGAAGTTCGAGAAACTGAGACACAGACGGTACCAGGCATTACATGGCTCCAACACGCTGGAACCTGAATTTCATCCACATGGTCTGGCTCCAGACACTGTTCTCTTCATCACTTCAACACAGGAGTGCTGCTTCTATGCTGGGCAACAAAATAGAACCTCCAAGAGGTCAAGGAATGTGTCCAAGTAAGCATAAAGCTGCAGTCTGTCTGCACTGTCCCCTCTGTGCCCACACATGCTGAACAGAGCTTATTTAGTGGGCAGCTTCTGCCTGACACATGGCGAAGGGACATTACTGCTCAGATTTCAACTATCCCAGATTTCCCTGGGGTAGCATAAAGACCATGCCAGAGAGTCCTGCTTCCCCATCCCAGGTCAGTACTGCCTAGATCTGTAGCAGGAAAACAGAAAACAACTGCCACAAATTGGACGCAACATAGCACAACATACAAGAAGGCAAAGAGGTGCACAGACTTGCGCTCAGCATCAGAGGGATGCCTCACATCTTTCCGGAAATGGGTGGAGCATGAAGAATGATTAAGTCAAAGAAAGTGGAGCTCGGCTGACTGTTTTGTTTGAAGCAGATGCTGCAGCCAGGCTGTGCTGTGCGTATGCACTTCTTTCTGGGGAAGGTTCACACCTTGCATCACATCCTTACAAGCCACGTCTCAACGAGACTGGGAAGGGCTGGGCGCAGTGGCTCACGCCTGTAATCCCAGCTACTTGGGAGGCTGAGGCAGGAGAATTGCTTGAACCTGGGAGGCGGAGGTTGCAGTGAGCCGAGATCGTGCCACTGCACTCCAGCCTGGGTGACAGAGTGAGACTCCGATAAATAAACAAATAAATAAATGGCCCTTAAGCATCTGAAAAATGTTCCACCTCACTCAGAAAGGAGAGATGTAAATTAAAACTCCACTGCAATACATTCTCCTCTACTGGACTGGCAAAAACTCAAGCGTGTAATGGCACATTTAGTTAGTAAGGCTGTGGGAAAAGAGGTTCCGAAAAGCTGCTGGTGGAAACACATACTGGTACAGACCCAACAGAGGGAAATCTGGTGGTGCCTAACAAAACCACATGTGCAATTACCCCTAAATTCACCCTGCAGGCACTCCTCTCACAACACAAAAATAGGTTTATGCACGATCAGCCCTTGCAGTAGTGTTTGTAATTGTAAAACTGGAAACCTAAATGCCCATGTATAGAAGATTGGCTGAATAAACCATGCTATGTCCACATAATGGGATCTGATACAGAGGCTTTTAAAAAAATTTTTAAATTATTTATTTATTAATTTTTTTGAGATGGAGTCTCACTTTGTCGCCCATGCTGGAGTGCAGTGACGTGATCTTGGCTCACTACAACCTCCACCTCCCGGGTTCAAGCTATTCTTGTGCCTCAGCCTCCCGAGTAGCTGGGATTACAGGCACCCACCACCATACCTGGCTAATTTTTGTACTTTTAGTAGAGATGGGGTTCCACCATGTTGGCCGGCCTGGCCTTGAACTCTGGTCTCAAGTGATCCGCCTGCTTTGGCCTCCCAAAGTGCTGGGATTACAGGTGTGTGCCACCACGCCCAGCTAATTTTTGTATTTTTAGTGGAGAAGGGGTTTCACCATGTTGGCCAGGCTGGTCTCGAACTCCTGACCTCGTGATTCGGCCGCCTCAGCCTCCCAAAGTGCTGGGATTACAAGCCCAGCCCTGATACAGTGGTTTTAAAAATGAGGAAGATCCTACAAACCAATGTGGAATCATTTTCCTAATAAATTGTTAACTGAAGAAATGCAAAAGGAAAGCAGAGTAGTCTAGGGTACTACTTCTTGCTGTGAGAAAGAAGGGAAGATAGCATACTTGTGTCTGCCTGTTTGTGCTAAACGAAACCCAGGAAGGAGGAACCAGAAGTGAACGAGACTGCTTACCTACAAGGGGGTAGGGGAAGAAAACAGGGCAAAAGGGAGAGTTACTGTATTGTATAGTTCTGACTTTTGGAGCTACATTAATGTCTTTTATTTTTTTTATTATTATTATTTTTTTAGACAGAGTCTCACTCTGTTGCCAGGCTGGAGTGCAGTGGTGTGATCACAGCTCACTGCAGCCTCGACCTCCCAGGGCTCAGGTGATCCTCCCACCTCAGCCTCCCAGGTAGCTGGGACTTCAGGTGTGCACTACCACACCCAGCTAATTTTTGTATTCCTTGTAGACAGAGGTTTCGCCATGTTGCCCAGGCTGGTCTCAAACTCCTGGGCTCAAGCAATCCATCTGCCTTGGCCTCCCAAAGTGCTAGGATTACAGGCATGAGACACTGTGCCCAGCCACGTTGTTTCAAACATTCAAAACAACAGCAACAATAACAAAACGCTCAAAACCAAAACACGAAATCAGCAAGAATGAGAGGGAATCCCTAAAGTGGAATAAAAATGAATCCAACTAGGCTGGGCGCGGTGGCTCACACCTGTAATCCCAGCACTTTGGGAGGCCGAGGTGGGCGGATCACGAGGTCAGGAGATCGAGACCATCCTGGCTAACACCATGAAACCCCATCTCTACTAAAAATACAAAAAATTAGCCGGGCGTGGTAGCGGGCACCTGTAGTCCCAGCTACTCGGGAGGCTGAGGCAGGAGAATGGCGTGAACCCGGGAGGCAGAGCTTGCAGTGAGCTGAGATAGTGCCACTGCACTCCGGCCTGGGCGAAAGAGCAAGACTCCGTCTCAAAAAAAAAAAAAAAAAAAAAAAAAAGGAACCAACTATTAACCCATTTATGCTGGAGGTTGCAAATTTGTTTTGTGAAAAATCAGACCTTGGTAATGACCTTGAGCAGTAGGATAGAAATAACTCCACAAGCTTAGCATTCCAATAATGGAACACTAGGCATAAATGGGTTAATATATTCCAAATAATAACACAACCACACTGATACGTAGAGAAAGGTAACTTTTGAACAGTGCTTTGATTCTATTATCCTCAGGCCCAAGACAAAAGGAATGATAAATACTGAATTCTAGCTACTGGGTTTGTTTTTCACAGAGATATGAGTCATGAATTTGTAAACTCCTATGGTATATTCTCAGATTGTGCAAATAAATACACCGCGGAGAAGAGGAGCCAGGTCTCTCACTGTTTGGGAAGGGGGTTACAAATATGGAAAGATGGAATCCTGGAATAAACCACAAATCCTGTGGTGTTAGATGGATTTGGAACTATCTGTTTGATACCTCGTGGTTTTGAATAAGTATGGATGGGTACAGAAAGATATACACGTATCTACCTACATTACATATAATACATACATGTATTTCCTAGCTCTGTCCATTGAGTGGGTCTAGAAACGATGACACCCAGTACTCAAATTCTGGTTTCTTAACACCATTTTCCACCAAAAGGAATGTGGGCTCCTTGGAGAACAGTGAATAACAGGGCTGAATATCTCCTGCCAGAAATGGGGTGCTGAAAAAATGATGGAGGACACAGAGCCAGGTTAAAGGGCCTCCCCTACTGGCCATACGTTGGATAATTGAGTATTAAAATAATGACAGTGTTATAATCTACAGAATAAAATAAGATGGCTGGGCACGGTGACTCACGCCTATAATCCCAGCACTTTGGGAGGCCGAGGTGGGCGATCACTTGAGGCCAGGAGTTTGAGACCAGCCTGGGCAAAATGGCAAAACCCCGTCTCTACTAAAAATACAAAAAAGTCATCCGGGTATGGTGGCAGCCGCATGTAATCCCAGCTACTCAGGAGGCTGAGGTGGGAGGATCACCTGAGCCCGGGAGGTGGAGGTTGCAGTGAGCTGAGATTGCACCACTGCACTCCAGCGTGGGTGACAGAGTGATACCCTGGCTCAAAAAAAAAAAAAAAAAAAAAAGATACAGAATAAAATAAGAATCCAAGAGCCCATACAGTTAAGAGCTTCCTTACAATGGAATACCAACTCTTCAGCTCTTTTGAGAATGAAATAATAATAACAAAAAAAATAGGATACCAACTTTCTTGTAGAAGAGTGATATAGAAGAAATGATGAAAATAGAAAAACAGCCATTTGACAACCATCAGAATAATATTTACATAATCTGAAAATACTTTGCCCAAAATAGGTTAAAATAGTAATTTTAGATTGAAGAAACCTGGCAGACAGTATCTTTTTTTTTTGAGATGGAGTTTCACTCTTGTTGCCCAGGCTTGAGTGCAATGGTGCAATCTCGGCTCACTGCAACCTCCGCCTCCCGGATTCAAGCAATTCTCCTGTATCAGCCTCCAGAGTAGCTGGGATTATAGGCGCCTGCCACTACGCCCGGCTAATTTTTGTATTTTTAGTAGAGACATGGTTTCACTATGTTGGCCACGCTTGTCAAACTCTTGACCTCAGGTGATCTACCTGCCTCGGCCTCCCAAAGTGCTGAGATTACAGGTGCCCGCCACCATGCCCAGCTAATTTTTTATAATTTTAGTAGAGATGGGGTTTTACCATGTTGGCCAGGCTGGTCTTGAACTCTTGACCTCAGGTAATCTGCCCACCTCGGCCTTCCAAAGTGCTGGGATTACAGGCGTGAGCCACTGTGCCCGGCCCGACAGTATCCTAATCAAGCGATCCAGGCATGCATCACCAGTAATGGGACAGACAAGACAGCACGCGCCTCCTGGTATGAGGAGCTGAGGACAGCACCGCTCTTGTGGTATTCCTGCCAAATATTCATAACCTGGATCGAATCTTGAGAAGTATCAGAGAAGCCCGACTGAGAGGCTCAACAACATAACTGGCCTGCACTCTTCCAAATACCAAGGTAATGAGAGGCAAAGAAAGACTGTTCTAGATGACAAGAGACTACAGAGTCATGACAGCAAAATGCAACGTGAAATCCTGGACTGGATGCTGGAACAGAAAAATATGTTTTCCCTTTCGTTATAACAGTTCACAACTGGCAAGATCTGAATGAGGCCTATAGATAGATATGAATATTGTAAAAAAAAAAGAGGCCAGGTGTGGCATGTGGTGGTGTGCACCTGTAATCCCAGCTACTCGGGAGGCTGAGGTGGGAGAATCACTTGAACCTGGGAGGTGGAGGTTGCAGTGAGCTGAGATCATGCCACTGCGCTCCAGCCTGGGCAACAGAGCGAGACTCCATCTCAAAAAAATGAATTAAAAAAAAAAAAAAAGAGTGTTCTGCTAATGTGACCCACAATATGCAATTCTGTAGTGGTACTCTGAGGCTTTGAAAATCAAGTAATAGGAAGAGAGCCCATTAATTCCAGGCCACAAGCAGCCCTGGAGAAAATAGAAATTCAGAAAAAAAAAAAAAAAGAGAGAGAGAGAGAGAGAAACAAGGCAGGATTACCATACCCAGCTCTGGGTTCAAGTCTCAACTCAGCTACTGTCTGGCTTAACAACAACTGGACAGGCCCTCTGACCTCTCAGGTCTCATTTCCACCAGATTTCCTGGGAAACAAGCCACTGTCTTTATTAGTAAACTACAAAATGTATTTTGCATGAGTACAAAATGTATTTTGCAAGTGAGTAAGTATGTAAATAAATAAGTCATCTTTTGATAATAACATGAATTCTGGTTTGTTTGTTTTTTTTTTGAGAGACTCTCGCTCTATTGCCCAGGCTGGAATGCAGTGGAGTGATCTTGGCTCACTGCAACCTCCACCTCCCGGGTTCAAGCGGTTCTCCTGCCTCAGCTTCCCAAGTAGCTGGCATTACAGGCGTGCACCACCACGCCCGGCTAATTTTTGTATTTTTAGTACAGACGGGGTTTTGCCATGTTGGCCAGGCTGGTCTTGAAATCCTGGACTAAAGTGATCCACTCGCCTCGGCCTCCTAAAGTGTTAGGATTACAGGTGTGAGCCACCGTGCCCGGCCTAAAATGGATTCTATTTTAATATCAGTCAATCACAAAACAATCCCCCTAGACAGCCCTCTCTTAGATTTTAATATTATTTTCACTAAAAAAAGGAAGGGAGATGAAGAAATGGTATCCTTAGTAGAATGCAGCTTGTAAGTTTCCCTCCAATTCTCAATACATTTTGCAATCCCATTAGTTCTTCTTCTGTAATAATTCTGCTCTTTCAGTTCTCCTCCTCCCCTCTTTTTGGTGTGTCTAATTTGCTTTGCATGCATTTATTTGGAGCTCGCATGGCTTTGCATTTTAAATACCAAGAGTACGTAAAAATAGCCATTTTGAATCCATAACACCTCTGGAATATTTCCACCCATAGGCACTTAAATATAGAAACTTTTATTCAAATAGCTCACACTATCATTTTGCTTTATTATTCTAAGAGCTGTGGAGTTTAGGAATAAACCACATGAAAAGGAGGTAGTGCTGGGACGATGCCAGCATGCCCCCTAGTGGGCAGCATGAAACATTTCATTTTTAATAAGGGTCCAGCCACGTTAACATGTTCACTGTTCGTTCAGCTGCTAATCTTTGAAGAATGAGGTGCATATCTTTATAAAAGAATTCCTGTGCATTATCTTTGGCTTCTTAAACAGAAAACAGTGACCACAAGGAAACCTCTCTATCATGACTCAGGTCCATTTCTTTGGACCCTTTGTAAGCTTCCATCACTGAGTGAATTTCTGTGCTAGCTCCAATTTGGTGCCGCCCCACCCCGTGCCTGCAGGATGTCTGCATGGTGCAGACAGTAAGTCTTGGTGTTTCCAATTCCAATAGTCTCACTACTACTAATGCTTCTAAGACTTTATTTTTTAAACATTATTTTTAAGTAGAGATGGGGATCTTGCTATGTTGCCTAGGTTGGTCTTGAACTTCTGGTCACAAGCAAACCTTCCGCCTCAGTCTCCCTAAATGCTGGGATTACAGGTGTGAGCCACCTTGCCTGACCATGCTAATGCTTCTAAGTTTGCAGTCTCAAATTGTGAAATTATCAATGAGCCTCACTTAACACATCCTCTTAAGGATAAATATTAGTAAGTAATATTAAGGCACCCTAATGTGTTAAGAGGATGGATCCTGACCTTCAGGGAGAGTTGGGCCATCAAGGGCATGATAATATGTAAAGGATTACTGTAAAAGTGTTAGAGCACCCACTTAAAATAGGCTATTCTCTTATTTAGCATCTCGTGTCTATACTTTCTTCCATCTCACTTTAAAAAAAAAACCCACATAATTTCTTGGAAATAAAAACATAATAGCCCTTTTAATAAAAAGACAAAAGTGGTCGAGACTGTGGCTAGCATGTTCTACATAATTCACATTCCTTAAAGTTTCTATTAGGTCTTTTTAGGAAGAAAAGATTGTCCTCATTCTTTTCTGCCTTGCAATTATACATTTCTTGACACTTTTCAAAACAGAGACACTAACAGCAAGAGACTTTTTCATCTGAGAGGTCTGAGCAAAAGCTCTCTTTACCTGTTAATTATGTTAGGAGTCTATCATGACAGCAATTGACATGCGACCCTTACAGGTCTTCCTTATTTTGTGGCTGTAATTACATGGGAATGTCATTTGTCCAGGTTTTGTCTCTGTGTATCTGTCAGGCTTAGAGATGGGCAGATAAACAATTCTATGGAGAGACTGCTTTTCATTCTTGGACTAACGATGAATACCACACATTTGTCTACGGATTAAAGGTATTACTCATTAAAAAAAAAATGTATACATGTGTATGCACAGCGGAGGGAGGGAGAAAGCAAGGGGAAAAACAGTTATGGCTTATACTCAATTTGTACTCTGAAGAAATAGGACTTGTTTATATTTCATGTAAAAATATTAGAAGGATTGGCCAGGTGCAATGTATTGGCCAGGTGCAATGGCTCATGCCTGTAATCCCAGTACTTTGCAGGGCCAAGGTGGGTGGATCACTTGAGGGCAGGAGTTTGAGACCAGCCCGGCCAACATGGCAAACCCCCATCCCTATGAAAAATACAAAAATTAGCTGGGTGTGATGGCGCACACCTGTGGTCCCAGCTACTAGGGAAGCTGAGGCAGGAGAATTGCCTGAACCTGGGAGGTGGAGGTTGTAGTGAGCCAAGATCACACCACTGCTTTGTAGCCTGGGCCACACAGCAAAAGACTCTGTCTCAAAAAAACACAAAAAACAAAAAAACAAAAAAAAGTTCATAGAATGCTAGTACAATCTAACAGATATCTTTTCCTGAGTAAATATTATATTAAAGAACAGAGCACTTCATTTCTAAAAGGTGAAGTGTCAGAAAGAGTGTGTGTGATATCAATCATTAGAGAAATTATGATAAATTGTTCAAAATGATACAGTTTGGCAATCAGATTGGGGAAGGTGCGGGAAAGCTTATTTTGATTGAATTCTTGGGAAGAAAAGATGAAAAGTCAACGCCTGCATACCAAAAGAAGATGGCAAAAATGAAAACACAGCAGAAGTCCTCTATTGTTTGGGGATGTCATTCTTTTCCTCATTAACCTCTTGGGATTTTTGGGTACTATTTTAAGATTCTTCACCGAAATATTTTCTAGGAAAATTAGCTCCCAAAAAAGAGCTATGAGGCTTTAACTTGAAGAAAGACAGAACGTACATACTGCTTTACAACTGTTGGCTATCAGGCTGGCGGTCTTCTTGAATGTCTTCTCAAGGTAGTGTGCAAATCTTTCATTCTCATTTTCTTTTGACCCGAGCTGAAGAAATTCACCTATAAAGAAGGAAAGGAGTCATTTGAGAGGTGGCTTTATTGCCTGGCTAAACACCAGGGTTGAATAACAAAGAAGAAAAATCAGAATCAACGTACCACGCACCAAATCTTCAATAACTTGGGTTAAAATAGATATAACAGTTGTATTTCCAATTCGTGCCAGAGCTATAGATGCTGCAGAAAGAATTAAATCTCCAGCAAGAACAGCCTAGAAAAAGACAGGGGGAAAACAGAACGTTCTGAAAAATCCATCAGAGCAGTAGAGCCAATGATGAAACTGACTGGAAGGGAGCTTCGTGGAAGTGGGGGCTCATCTTGGATGCAGGGTTTTTTACCTTCTTCTTCCTCAACAGGAGTCCGTAACAATCAGTTACAGATTTGGAACAGTGTTTGAACTGGACTGGCTCTCAGAGATGACCATGTCACTTCCCAGTTCGTAATAATCAGTTACAGATTTGGGACAGTGTTTGAACTGGACTGGCTCTCAGAGATGACCATGTCACTCTTCCCAGTTTCTAATAATCGGTTACAGATTTGGGACAGTACTTGAACTGTATTGGCTCTCAGAGATGACCATGTCCATCTCCCCAGTTGACACCTGAAGAAATCAATGCCTGGAGAGGGAGAGCAGCTTCACTCACCAGCCCCACCAAAATGCAGCTGCCTTCAGTTTCACTACACTGGATGTTCATTCTTCCTTTGTGCCTTTCCACTTACTGTTCCTTCTGCTCAAAAAGTTCTGCCCCCTTCTTCACTGAGTGGACTTATTTGCATAATTGGTTCAGATGCCACCTCTAAGAAGTTCCCCCCGATCCCTCAGTCTGGTCAGATGCCTCCCTTTTGTGCGTGTACAACACCCATGCATGCTGCGACCATCACACCTTGCGTACCAGTCAGTGATGCTCTAGTCTCTATGCTCCCAGGGCAGTGGGGAGGGTGGAGTGGAGTGGGAGCTCAGACTAGGAATCATCTCAGCTAGTACTGAGCACACCCCAGAGCATGGCACGATACATGTTATTTTCAATAAAAATTAAACCAAAGAATTTTGGCTCCAAGTGAAATGCTTTTTGTACTATGTGACACTGCCCCTCATTCCTAGACAAAAAAAAAAAAAAGTTTTTCCATTGAACACTAAGCAATCAACATATTTCCAGTCTTCTTTAGACTGTGATGGATGTCTACACTGTATTAGCAACTAGTTATAAACTACTGCATAAATAGTTGAATTATATGCTATAACCAAATACACCCTATATATCACATTAATTTGCATATTTAAAGATATATATTACATTCTTTTTTTTTTTTTTGAGAAAGAGTCTTGCTCTGTTGCCCAGGCTTGAGTACAGTGGCATGACCTCGGCTCACTGCAGACTCTTCCTCCTGGGTTCAAGCAATCCCCCCACCTCAGCCTCATGAGTAGCTGGGACTACAAGCGTACACCACCACGCCCAGGTATTTTTGTATTTTTACTAGAGATGGGGTTTCACCATGTTGGCCAGGCTGGTCTCGAACTCCTGGCCCCAAGTGATCCAACTGCCTCGGCCTCCCAAAGTGCTAGGATTACAGGCGTGAGCCACCACACCCAGCCGTAAGTGTTACATTCTGTAGTAATTAGTCATAAAGGCTAGAGTTCACAGAATTTTTAACATAACTATTTAGGTACTTATTGTCTTAGGTTCTTCAGTATCTAAACAGTGATGTTCATTGTGTTTACCAATTAATCACCACTTTATATAATATACATATTATGTAAGACATCCTGATGTAAGTATATGCCTATAAAGTCATTTTACAAATTATGATATATAGGTACCCACTTACATTCCCCGACCCAGCCCCTACATCATTAGCAGCTCAAGGCTCGGGATCCTTTGGCCTTTAGTTCCTTCTTCACCTGGCCGGGGAGATCCTAGAGACCAAAGGTCCAGCATATGACATGGAAGCCACAGGACTGTGACGGCCAGGGGTGGGAGTTAAAGGAAAGAAGTGCTAGGAAGCCCAGGCCAGGCCTAACAAGGGCTCACCGAGGGGGCACTGTGTGTGGGGGGTTTTGTACCGGTAACATAGCAGTTGTGGGTCAGAGGCAGAAACAGGTAGGAACTGGCAAGTAGCCCTGTGCTAAGCAGATGGCTGTCAGAACTGAAAGAGGCAGGTGAAGGCGGCACATGTGTCCTTGACCTGCCCTCAGAAAGAGGTCCCCAGTGGCAGAGGCAGACACACAGGGGCTAGCCAAGGCGGAGACCATCATTTGTTCTCTTGATCCTCTTCCCCCGCCCAAGGCTCCACATAAGGCTTTAGGACTGGCTATGCCTGAAAACAGATACAGCTGACGGCAGGGATGGGTCATAGAGTTACCCACATCCTCTCCAAATCTAAACGCCATCTGCTTTTTGGCCAACATTCTGATGTACAGAATTTAGTCAACAGGACGTAAAACCTTTTAATCTAAAATTTGAAATAAAAGGCATATAAATGAAATTGCAAGACTCGATTTCAAAACAGTCATTTATGTTCAAATAAAACCAGCATGTGAAGATAACAATAAACATATATATATGTATGTGTGTGTGTGTGTGTGTGTGTGTGTATACATATATCTCTTCTTTTAATAAGGAGAATTAAATAGGAATGAACCAGGAATACTATAAATCTATGAGAGAAAAGGAGGTGAGGGTGGGGTAGTTGTTTGCACAAACTTTTTTTTTTTTTTTTGAAATGGAGTCTCACTCTGTTGCCCAGGCTGGAGTGCAGTAGTGTGATATTGGCTCACTGCAACCTCCCTCTCCCAGGTTCAAGCGATTCTCCTGCCTAAGCCTCCTGAGTAGCTGAGATTACAGGTGTACGCTGGCTAATTTTTGTGTTTTTTTAGTGGTGACAGGGTTTTGCCTTGTTGGCCAGGCTGGTCTCGAACTCCTGACCTCAGGTGATCCACCCACCTCAGCCTCCCAAAGTGCTGGGATTACAGGCATGAGCCACTGCGCCTGGCCTGCACAAACTTTTTGTTTGTAGAGCACGTGTGTGGTGATGGCGATGGATGCCTGTGCATTTTCATTCTCATCTGTTCAACTTTATTCTCATCCTTCAACCCAGGATCTATGCATCCTCAAACCAAGTCCCTGTTTCCCATATTCCCAATGCTAATAATATAGAAATATGCTTTAATATATACATATATGAACCAAACCCAATTACAGAACTTCTATTTCAAAAGACAGAATTTTCATGGCAGAACAGTATCTCTCTGAGGTTTCTTTTTTCTTTTATTAGTTTTATTTGTTTGCTTTGGCATTTATATGCAGCACTCAATTATACAAATGTTTAAAAAATTAAACTGAATCTGGGTAATCTAAGCCCAAAAGTAAAACGTATGATTCCTCATGAAATACATTTTTTGGACACCCATGAAAATCCCTTTCCTTATAACCAAAGGAATTCTATTAGAAATACTAAGTTTATTTTTCCATGGTATTTTTTATTATTTATTTATCAAATATCTGTATTTGGACAAGACATGAATACTTTTTTGAAATTCAGAAGACCACATTACATTTGAGCAAGCATATTTTTAATGAGACAAATCTGAGAAACAAATGCGGTCCGAAAAGTGTGTGATTCAGTAAGAGAGATTTTAAAAAAACCAAAAAACCATACCTTCTTTTCACCCCAGATCTTATTAACTGTGTGTTTTCCTCTTCGAGAACTTGCATCGTCAATAACGTCATCGTGAACCAGACTAGCAGTGTGGATCATTTCTGCAATTAAGGCTATGGCGCGCTGGCTGGCTTGCACATGTCTAATTAACAGAAAGCAATGCTTTTTAACAGACGCCGCCTAGAACCTTCTCAGCAATCAGCTTGTGAAAACTGGACATCGGATCTAGGATAAAGAATGTTATTTCTCTAAGAGAAACGGTATAAAAACTCTGGCTTCACCACACAGCCATTTCTATACATTTACAAATGTATGAGAAACCCTGCCACAACTACATTTTATGAATTCCCCATTGAAGAAGTAGAAATTGTACCATTAGCCAAAAAAACAGTAAACGATCAGAAGTCTGGCTGATCTTATTGGGCTGAAGAATCATCTTTATAACAGTGTTCTTGGTCAGGTGTTTAAGTTTATAAGTTTACAATTAAATTTTGGGGTGGATAGGGAAGATAGGTGAGAAGCATTTTTTAAAAGTATTTTAAAGACTCAACTGTCTCAATGTTCAAGGCTTTTAATACTGTCTTTTTTGTTTTTGAGACAGGGTCTCGCTCTGTCACCCAGGCTGGAGTGCAGTGGTGCAATATTGGCTCACAACCTTCGCCTCCCAGGTTCAAGTGATTCTCCCACTTCAGCCTCCATGAGTAGCTGGGACTACAGGCATACACCACCACACCCAGCTAAATTTTATATTTTTAGTAGAGATGGGGTTTCACCATGTTGGCTAGGTTGGTCTCGAACTCCTGACCTCAAGTGATCCGCCTGCCTTGGCCTCCCAAAGTGTGGATTACAGGCGTAAGCCACCGCACCCCGCGTAGTAATGTCTTAAATTAAACGTTTAGTATGACAACCTCAGTAACCAACAGAAGATGTTTGTAAAACTTTCTTCCAACTCACATTTAACCTTCTCATTAGAAATTTAAACTTTTATTTCCCAAGTTTAACACAAACTATAGGATAAGTAGGCTCAAGAAGACAGGACACAGATATAAATTTTACAGTTCAGAGGGAATGTCCCCCATTTCATTTTAATCATTATTACCACCATCATCTATGGCAATTTTTAAAAACTAAATTTCAAGAAAATCAAACTGGCGAAATAACCATTTGGAACCTAAAACATATCCTCATTTAAACACACACTAACCAAATGTTGCACTTATTCCAAATGCTTATTTTCAAATACCATCAGGTTGTATCTTAGAGGGGAAAAAAGGGAGAGGGATTCTGAAATATGACTTTTTCTTTAAAAATCGAATCTGAACATCTGCACAAGGTAATGCTCATTCCAATTCCTCAGACCCGGCAGAAAGCAATGAAAAATGAAGTATAACTACATAAAAGGTGCTGTAATTTAACTATCGACACTAAATCAGCATGAGGAAAGCTTTTGATCTTGCTTTACATATAATTTTAAAATATGATGTCACGCTGGCTCCTCTTACCAGCAGCCTTAGAACTAAACCCTAGACCCTTTCAACTGCTCTCAGCCTGGAAATCATGTCTACAGTGCTACTCATTCCTTTTTTTTTTTTTTTTTTGAGATGGAATTTCACTCTTATTGCCCAGGCTGGAGTGCAATGGTGTGATCTCGGCTCACTACAACCTCTGCCTCCCGGGTTCAAGCCATTCTCCTGCCTTAGCCTCCCAAGTAGCTTGGATTACATGTGCACACCACCACATCCAGCTAATGTTTGTATTTTTAGTAGAGATGGGGTTTCACCATGTTGACCAGGCTGGTCTTGAATTCCTGACTTCAGGTGATCCACCCACCTCAGCTTCCCAAAGTGCTGGGATTACAGGTGTGAGCCACCACGCCTGGCCTCATTCTTTATTAATATTTCAGTTACAACTTCTTAATATGTCTAGATCACAACAAATTCTTCTAAGGGGGGAGTATTAAAACAAAAGCAGTGGAGGGTAGGGACAAATTAGCATATAAAAACCACTTCTGTAGTCTAGGCACAGTTACAGGTTCCTGCCTGTAATCCCAGCACTCTGGAAGGCTGAGGCGGGCGGATCACTTGAGGTCAGGAGTTCGAGACCAGCCTGGACAACAGGGTGAAACTCCAACTCTACTTAAAATACAAAGATTAGTCGGGCATGGTGGTGTGCATCTGTAATCCCAGCTACTTGAGAGGCTGATGCAGGAGAATCACTTGAGCCGGGAAGTGGAGGTTGCAGTGAGCCGAGATTATGCCACTGCACTCCAGCCTGGGTGACAGAGACTTCATTTCAAAAAAACACAAAAAAACCAAAAACCCCAATAAACTTCAGTAAATGAGAAAATAGAGGTTCAGGGTTCAGGTGAGTTTTAAGCCACCTGAATCCCTCAGTGAGATTCAGTTTTTATATTAGAATACTTAAATATTTTTCAGGTAAATTTACTAGGCCCTATCTTCTTTGAGTTGAATGCACAGGAAAAGATATAAACTTTTACAGTTTTTTTTTAATATAAGGCTTTTAGAATATTTTTGCAAGTGAATTTCAGTCTAATAAATTAGACACCTCCTACTAGTTAGCAGTAGACCTTACCTTAAAACAACAGGTAAGGTCTAGCCTTTCTCATGCATTCAGAAGTTGGGCACCACTTCCATTATGATAAATTACATCAGCAGACGGGGCTCCTGCTGAGAAGTTGCAATGAAATTGGCAGCACTCACCAAGATACTAGAGTTGTTTTGGTAATCTGAAGCTATTATTACAACAAAGATTTCTTAAAATATTTTGAAATTTCATAGACTATATATCCATCTAAAAATGTCATTTTGCGCCTGGCGCAGTGGCTCATGCCCATAATCCCAGCGCTTTGGGACGCCGAGGCGGGAGGATCACCTGAGGTCAGGAGTTCGAGACCAGCCTGGCCAACATGACGAAACCACGTCTCCACTAAAAATACAAAAACTAGCCAGGCATGGTAGTGGGTGCCTGTAATCCCAGCTACTTGGGAGGCTGAGGCAGGAGAATCACTTGAACCTGGGAGGTGGAGGTTGCAGTGAGCTGAGACTTGCACCACTGTACTCCAGCCTGGGGGGTAGAGCGAGACTCTGTCTCCGAATAAATAAATAAATAGAATAAAAAATGTCATTTTGCATGGCTAAATTGTTGACTGATGAAATCAGGATGAAACTGAAATGTTATTTGGTACTGTAACACAGCTTCTACGTAGAATATACATCATATTTCAGATGTTCCATAGTTTTACCTGATGTATTTTTTATCCAGTTCAGCTTTAGTGTGTGTCAGCTTACATCTGGGAAATGCTGCCACTGCTTATCCATAACATGAGGGTGGGACAGATGACCAAAATGCACAGATTACAGAAAAACCTCACACTGTCCTTAAGATGACATCTCCAAAATGCCAAACTGAATCAAGCCTTCAAAAAACTGGGCACCATTTCTATTTCCTACTGTGAAATAGTGGATCACATTTTCCCAGGATCTGGGAGAGGTGACAGGCAAGGTAGCATGGAAAATGAAGCCCTTGGTCTTGAGAGTTGGCTACGTCCTCTGTACTTCACACCTGCAAGAGTATGCTATGATTCAGCATGCCTGTCAGGACTTTTCTTTCCTCCTTCATTAGATTTAAAAAATTATCTTTTTTTTTTTTGAGATGGAGTCTTGCTCTTTCACCCAGGCTAGAGTGCAGGGGCGCAATCTTGACTCACTGCAACCTTCGCCTCCTTGTTTTAGTGATTCTTCTGCCTGAGCCTCCCAGGTAGCTGAGACTACAGGCGTGTGCCACCACGCCCAGATAATTTTTGTATTTTTAGTAGAGATGGGGTTTTGCCATGTTGGCAAGGCTGGTCTCAAACTCATGACCTCACATGATCCACCTGCCTTGGCCTCCCAGAGTGCTGAGATTACGTGAGCCACCGCACCCGGCCAAAAAAATTTTTTTAATAATGAAGAGTTTCAAACATACCTAAAAATAGATAGAATAATATAATGACCCTACCAGTGAATCCTTTACGAGGTTTACATGTGGTTTTACAAAATATATTTTCCCTGTTCATACTAATATAAAATGTGAAGTCTTAAATTGCAAGTAAACCCCCAGTGTGTAGGGAGGGATCTGTATCAAGGGCGCCTCCAATCTAAGGAATGGCAGAGTGCAGGGAGGAAGCCTGTGAGCTCCAACTTCTAGGCCATCCTCCCCAGCCACTGCTCATTCACCTTCTAAACCTAAAGAAACACGTAAGGCTCAGAATAAAGTCTGTCTCTCTTCAGTGGGAATTTTTTTAACTTGATCCTAACAGTCATAGATTTGTTAGCATTTTAATGTCAAGAGAAAATAATTGGTATCTAAAAGCAGCAACCCCTGAATATTTTCAGATTTAGCTGTGGATATAATGGATGTCTGCAAAGTTGCATCATAAATGATGCAGGGTTCACACTATTGCTTATTTGCTTGCCACTGAAGAAGAAATTACAAGAGCTTCTGAATCTTGGGATATGTGGAGAGAGACCCCTATGATGATACCTGGATCTACAACTTATCCAGGTTGCTCTGTGCAGAGCTTTCTCTATAGGGTCCAGGGTACTATGGACTAACCAGCATTCAGTTCTTTCAAATTGGGGATGGGTAAGGAAAGTGTAGGAGTGCCCAGGCGCGGTGGCTCATGCCTTTAATCTCAGCACTTTGGGAGGGGGAGACAGGCGGATCACTTGAGGTCAGGAGTTTAAGACTAGCCTGGCCAACATGATGAAACCCCGTCTCTACTAAAAATACAAACATTAGCTGGGCGTGATGGTGTGTGCCTGTAATCCCAGCTACTTGGGAGGCTGAGGCAGAAGAATCGCTTGAACCTGGGAGGCAGAGGTTGAAATGAGCTGAGATTGTGCCACTGCACTCCAGCCTGGGTGACAGAGCAAGACAAAAAAAAAAAAAAAAGTATAGGAGTTGATTCCTTTGCAGACAGAATCAGCCTCATCCTGGCATGGAGGGTGCTGAACAAGGTGCACACACCACGGTCACAAGCCCTGCAGCCCTCTTGCTCTCACTGAGGTTCTTATGCTTGACCTTGCACTCATGCATGAAATGATGACCATCTGCTCATCAAAATCTCCAGCTTAATGGGTGTCCCTTACTGTAGAATGTACTTCAAAGATCCGTTTTAACAGTGACTATGGACATATCCACAGAACCATCTCCTAGGTGAAAGACAAAACCATTTCCTTTGGTAGCAACCTTCTTGCCTATCCCATAAACAGCAGCAGCAGTGGCTGGCTCAGTGACACAGAACACACAGAAACCAGGAATGGCTCTACAGTTGTTAGTGGCCTGACCTTTGGAATCACTGGAGCCAGTCAGTGCTAAATGGCTGTTTTGTTACAGTCTTTTCAGGGATAGGCTTTGGTAATTTCCTTAGTTTTTTATAGTGCTATAAAAGTTACCTCCTCTGAATACAGGATTGTTATCACACCTGGACTCTCAACCTGTTATCTACTGTGAAAACTGTGTCTAATAATTTGACCCCCTAAACATCTAGTTCAGCTTTGAAAACTGGACTAATGTAATCCAATGCCATTGGCTATTTGCAAAATTGATATCAACAGATCTCTGTACAGCACAATTTGGGTAGTCTGTTATCCTGATTGCTGGCAATGATATTCACTTCTTAGAACTAAAAGAGTTTCACACAGGAATGGATGGTGCCAAGATCCAGGTGCCAGTGATAACAGTGTCTTCAATGAGGCAGCTGAGCAGGCTAGGTAGGTTTGGCTTGTCTGAGAAACATGCAGACACTATAACTGTGCTGCATTCAGTGAGTGAAGCAATTTTATAGAAATCTATCATAAAGCTCTTTTTCTTTTCTTTTTTTTTTTTTTTTGAGACAGAGTCTCCCCTAGGCTGGAGTGCAGTGGCGCAATCTCTGCTCACTGCAGCCTCCACCTCCTGGGTTCAAGCGATTCTCCTGCCCCAGCCTCCTGAGTAGCTGGGATTTATAGGTGTGTGTCACCACGACTGGCTAATTTTTATATTTTTTGTAGAGATGGGGTTTCACCATGTTGGCCAGGCTAGCCTCAAACTCCTGAACTCATGTGATCCACCCACCTTGGCCTCCCAAAGTGCTGGGATTACAGGCGTGAGCCACTGTGCCCAGCCCATAAAGCTCTTTTTTGATCTGGGTTCTTTAATAAAATGAGCTTGGGTTTTGCTGAGCTCTGTTGCAAGTTAGGTTCTGCAGGAGGCAGACTCTGAGATGAAGTTTAAAGGACAGGATGTTTATTCGGGATTATCCCTTGGGATTACTGACACCTGAGGGAGGGGGAGAGGATACAGGACTGGGTAGCAGGAGAAGCTGAGCTGGAATCAACAGCCTGAAACACCCTCTAGGGTGTGCAGGTAGAATGGCCCTTCATCTATCAGTCCCTGGATGTGGGCTGCCTCCCGAAGGGGCACAGCCTAAGGTGAGAGGACTCTTTGTAACCAAGGCAATCCTTGAAGAGGCTAAGAAATGAAGGCCAACAGGTACCAACCATACCTGGTACAGCAGCTGGGGCAGAGTCGTGCACTGACGGGGGATCTGGGGGCAAGTCTCAGGATCCACCACAACTCTGTGTTCTGGACATGTCAAGTCTGAGTCTACTGTTGTGTGGATTCCTACTTTCTCTACCCAGACACCATGGTTAGCAAGATTCAGAGAGAAAACAAACACGGGGTCCTGAGCTTTTCAGGGCCCTACTTCCCTTTGAGAATAAACTGTAAGCCATAGAAATCCTTCCCCAAAAAATCCAAATATACACAAAATTTTGCATACAATGTCAAGTTGTTTACAGACATCCCACAACTCCCGTGAACCTCAAGTTAAGAACTCCCCGTAATCTAGTAGGGAACATTTAATGGACAACTGAAAAGCTTAATAAAGGAAAATATAAAAATCAGTAAGTAGTAGTTTCTCCCTCGTGCTCTGTTTCTTAAGATATACCTTCTATCGTTTATTAAAATCCCCTCCAAAGTTTTGTTTTAAAAATCCCCCATGTTTTTTGTTTTGTTTGGTTTTTTTGAGACGGAGTCTTGCTCTGTTCCCAGGATGGAATGCAATGGCGTGATCTCGGCTCACTGCAACCTCTGCCTCCCGGGTTCAAGCGATTCTCTTGCCCCAGCCTCCGGAATAGCTGGGACGACAGGTGCGTGCCACCATGCCCAGCTAATTTTTTGTATTTTTAGTAGAGACAGGGTTTCACCGTGTTAGCCAGGATGGTCTTGATCTCCTGACCTCGTGACCCGCCTGCCTCAGCCTCCCAAAGTGCTGGGATTACAGGCGTGAGCCACTGTGCCCAGCAAAAATCCCCAATTTAATACATACCTCAGAAGCAAAAAAAAAAACAAAAAAACAAAAAAACACAGCATCTGATAAGCCTCCTAAGAGCCATTAAACTTTGATTGTCAAAGGTTTAAAACAGTATCCCTCCATTATGACATCACCAACAAGCAAGCCTGTCAGGTTCAATGTCAGGTTCACTGATCTGGGGCCACTGAGGCTGGAGGGGCTCTCTTGGCACTGAACATGGATGGTGCTGCTCCTGAATCTTTAGCTGCCATTTCCCCCTACTGTCCTAAGCCTTTCTCAGCAAAAGCAAAATCACAAATGGCCCAGCTCTCCAGAAGCCTCATCCCTTCTTCTTAAGTGGCATGGAAATAATACCTACATATTTAGTCCTTTAAGTGCCCGATCCAGAAGAGTCCACAGAAAGCAAGTATTGTCAGGAAGTTGGGGCTTGGAGAGCAGAATTGCTAGGGTACTGTACCACCCAAACCCACGCCACAACCGTGACTTGTCCCCATGCCGGACGCTGTCTCTGCACTGTGACTTTCCTAAGCCCTGCTCCAATCACTTATAGGGAGAATAAGGCTGCAGCTCTGACATTCCCTGGAGAGGGCAGTAGTGAACTTACTATTTAAACTAGCAATGGCTTTTGTTATATTCTCCTATGTTTTCTGCAACTAACAATTTATACAGTTTCCATAAGGCAGGCTGAAAAAACTTCAAATTGGCTGGGCGCGGTGGCTCACACCTGTAATCCCAGCACTTTGGGAGGCCAAGGCCGGTGAATCACCTGAGGCCAGGTGTTCGAGACCAGCCTGGCCAACATGGCGAAATCCTATCTCTACTAAAAACACAAAATTGGCTGGGCGTGGTAGCGTGCATCTGTAATCCCAGCTACTTGGGAGGCTGAGGCAGGAGAATTGCTTGAACCCAGGAGGTGGAAGTTGCAGTGAGCTGGGATTGTGCCATTGCACTCCAGCCTGGGCAACAGAGCGAGACTCCATCTCAAAAAAAAAAAAAAAAAAGAAAAAGAAAAAGAAAAACTTCCAATTATGGGGACAGTGGGTGATAGTACTTAAAGCAGTAAAAAAAAAAATTTCCTTCCCATGTTTATTTCTGAGAGCAATGAACTGTATTACATATTAAGAGAGAAATTAAAAATATAAACACATTCTCTAGACCAGTGATTCTCAACCAGGGGCGAATCTGCGCTGCGTGGGACCATGGGACACTTGGCAGTATCTGGAGGCATTTTTGATTGTTACCAACTCGGGGGCATCTAGTAGGTAGAGTCAGCGATGCTGCTAAACATCCTGTAATGCACATGGCAGCCCCCAGTGACCCCCAACAAAGAACAATGTGGCCCAAAATTTCAACAGTCCCGAGGCTGCGGAACTCTGCTCTGGACTGCAGGAGATGTTATTTCAAGTTTGGCTCAGAGGGAGCGTTTTTGCTGCTCTGCCTTCCGGTAAAGTGAAAGTGGTCCTGACAATGGTTAAAGGTCAATGCCAGAGATTTCACTGCTTGCTACAAATATACTGAGAGCTCTTTGAAAAGCCCAGCTAAAGTGGCAGCCAGACCTGGGCATGGCAATATGTACTGGACAAGGCAGGGCCAGCAGCAGGGCAGAGAAAGCTGTGGGCAGAGGAGAGGAGCCACTAAGAAGCAATATCTGACACTCATTCTTACAGCGTCATTAAATTCAGTGCTGACAAATCTTAGGCATTCCTTAAATATCTACTGAGAAGGGGAAATATAATACAAATGTTCAACACTAGGGAGATGTATTAGTACATCATGGTCTACTGGAATTTCCATCAATAGATTATATGATGTAATTGTGAAGACATTTCATTAATTTATTTTAAAAACTTTTTTTTTTTGAGACTGAGTCCATGCAACAGATAACTCAGACTTGACACGTCCAGAAAACAGAGTTGTGGTGGATTCTGAGACATGCCCCCAGATCCCCCGTCAGTGCATGACTCTGCCCCAGCTGCTGTATCAGGTATGGTTGGTACCTGTTGGCCTTCATTTCTTAGCCTCTTCAAGGATTGCCTTGGCTACAAAGAGTCCTCTCACCTTAGGCTGTGCCCCTTCGGGAGGCAGCCCACATCCAGGGACTGATAGATGAAGGGCCATTCTACCTGCACACCCTAGAGGGTGTTTCAGGCTGTTGATTCCAGCTCAGCTTCTCCTGCTACCCAGTCCTGTATCCTCTCCCCCTCCCTCAGGTGTCAGTAATCCCAGGGGATAATCCCGAATAAACATCCTGTCCTTTAAACTTCATCTCAGAGTCTGCCTCCTGGAGAACCTAACTTGCAACAGAGCTCAGCAAAACCCAAGCTCATTTTATTAAAGAACCCAGATCAAAAAAGAGCTTTATGGGCTGGGCACAGTGGCTCACGCCTGTAATCCCAGCACTTTGGGAGGCCAAGGTGGGTGGATCACATGAGTTCAGGAGTTTGAGACCAGCCTGGCCAACATGGTGAAACCCCATCTCTACTAAAAATACAAAAAAAAAAAAAAAATTAGCCGGGCATGGTGGCTCATACCTTGAGACCACATCCTGGCTAACACGGTGAAACCCTGTCTCTACTAAAAATACAAAAAATTAGCGGGGCACAGTGGCAGGCGCCTGTAGTCCCAGCTACTTGGGAGGCTGAGGCAGGAGAATGGTGTGAACCCAGGAGGCAGAGCTTCCAGTGAGCCGAGATCACACCACTGCACTCCAGCCTGGGCGACAGAGCAAGACTCCGTCTCAAAAAAAAAAAAGATGCCAGACTAGATTCCTGAGTGACTTTAGTGACTTAAAGTCAGAATCTAAACATCACAAAGTGAATTTTTAGGTACATGCTACTTTTTTTTTTTTAAGACAAGAGTCTCGCTCTGTCGCCCAGGCTGGAGTGCAATGGCGTGATCTCAGCTCACTGCAACCTCCGCCTCCCAGATTCAAACGATTCTCCTGCCTCAGCCTCCCAAGTAGCTGGGATTACAGGCACCTGCCACCACGCCCGGCTAATTTTTTTTGTATTTTTAGTAGAGACGGGGTCTCACCATGTTGGCCAGGCTGGTCTCAAACTCCTGATCTCACGATCCACCCGCCTCAGGCTCCCAGAATGCTGGGATTATAGGCATGAGCCACCATGCCCAGCCGGTATATGCTAATTCTTAAATGGGAAATGAAACAGTAAGTAACCCCGGGAAGAAAGACTTCCCAAATATAAAAACAAGAAAGGAATGAAAAAAAGAGCTCACCGGGAGTTGTTATGATGAATATTGCATGCTCGGGCCATTAGCGCCACAATAATTGGTCGAAAGGCTTTCCCTTTCCCATCAAAGTAGTACTCAGACATTTCCTTAAGTTCTGATGTTGATATAAGCAGTTCCTGAAATAAAGTTTCTCTGTGTCACAATGGCATCAAAAAACTGCACAGAAAGCCAACAGGATTTCTTTTTTTTTTTGAGACGGAGTTTCGCTCTTGTTGCCCAGACTGGAGTGCAATGGAACGATCTCAGCTCATTGTAACCTCCGCCTCCCGGGTTCATGCGATTCTCCTGCCTCAGCCCCGCAAGCAGCTGGGATTACAAGCACCCGCCACAATGCCTGGCTAATTTTTTGTATTTTTAGTAGAGACGGGATTTCACCACGTTGGCCAGGCTGGTCTTAAACTCCTGACATCAGGTGATCCACCCGCCTCGGCCTCCCAAAGTGTTGGGATTACAGGCGTGAGCCACCGTGCCTGGCCAGGATTTCTTCTACAAAACTTTGGTTTAATTTAAGTGTATTCATTTCAATTGAGAAATTCAACACTCCGTGGGCAAGGCTCCCACGCTGCAGGGCCATCCACCTGGCTGTCCTGCAGGCTAGAACATAAACAATGCGTGGATCAGCCCCAAGTGGCCTGAATGCTAGAACAGGTACTGCCACCTGCCCCGCTGACAGAATCAGACACCAGAAGACCCCAAGAGACAGCAGGAGGTGGAAGAAAGCACTAGGTGGCTAAGGGACTCTGGGCTCATTGACAGCCGGACAGCGAAAGGAACAGGGGCTGGTTCGCAGCTTGAAAGATGGAGGCGGGAAGAGAAAGATGGGGAAGGTGGAAGCCAGTGGCCGTCGGGAGCCTGTGAAGCAGGTCAGGCGGGTGGGGTGTGATGGGTAGGGTGGCAAAGTTGTTTTTTTAAATTTTTTATTTTAATTTTTTTAGAGACAAGGTCTTGCTCTGTCACCCAGGCCTCAGGGCAGTGGCACGATCATAACTCACTGCAGCCTCAAACTCCCAGGGGCAAAGCTGTTTACGAGGGGCAGGAAGATAGTAAGGCCACAGCCAAGGAGAAGAAACAGGGCTCAGTCCATCTGGCTTGGCCTTTATTTGGCAAAAGACATTTTGAGGGTTCATAGAGGCCCACGTAAGCGCATAGAGCCCATATAAGGCATGGGCTGCCGGATTACAAGGAGCCTACAACTGAACTGGGGAGAGAAACATTTTGCAAATATGAAACAATCAATGACGAATACAGTGGTAGCGTGAACAATGCTGTACATTAAATACATTGAAAGTTCAGGGAAGGAAGAGATCAGTGCAGGCTAGAAAAACTGAGTATTTCATGGAGGAGATGGGCTTTGATGTGGGATTAGAAGCCTAAACAGGGTTCTGATTCACAAAGAGGACAAGAGCCTTCCGGCTGACGGGTGTGTGTCGCTTGTATCTGCCACTCCAAGACTAAGTCAGAGTTTATCCCCTGGATGCAGTGGGAGTCAATGAACCTCAGCTCGGCACAGGTGAACACAACAAAGTGGGCCCATCGTTCATTCAGTAAATTACCGACTTAGTGCCAGGCACTGTAACAGACACAGAGGTCACAAAGGTAAAGTAAGACAAGCCTTGCCTACAAGGAGCTCAGGGTCTAGATGGGGAGAAGTAAAACGATCACTGCCGTTGACACAACACAGTGTGATGGGTGTGGTGCTGTCACCCAGGTAAGCTGTCACCTCGGAAGCTGAGACAGGGAGGAGAAGAGCACGAATGAAAGGACCAGGGGCATGGAATTGCCTGGCCTGGGGCAGTGGGGACTGACAAGAGGCAGACTAGAAGGACATAGAGGGGAAGGAGAGGGACAAGTCCTGGGTTCTTCCCAGGTTCCCAAGGAACAGGAAAACAGCAGAACAAACAACTCGTGGGGGAAAAGTAGAGTCTCAGCTGAGTTAAGCCTGAGACCGTCATGGCCGCCCCATGGCGTTCCCGGTGAGTAGTTAGCTACCTGGGTGTGGGAGATGTGATTCAACCTGGAGTAGTGATATTATTTGAGAGACGTAAGTATGGACACAGATATATAAGGAAGAGAGAGAGGAGGGGGCCCACGGAACCCCAGGGAATGGCAAAATTAAAGGAAGTGAGCTGGAGGTGATGAACCGAAGAAAAGCCTCAGGATAAGGAGGGGGAACAAAGTGCAGAGTGAAGGGAACCATGTTTCAAGGAGGGGTTACAGTCAATAGTGCCCAATGGTCAGAAAACCAGGAAGTGTCCGTTACAGTAGATAGCTAGTCAGGCATGAGCAGGGCAGGAGAGGGCTCCCCGACCCACAACAGGAAGGCGACCATCACGTGATGGTCAAGCAGTTGTTAACTGTGTCGCTAAAATACTAATTGGTCACAGCTGGTGCCAAGGGACGGCAGTCTCTCAATAGATACAAAAACCTGAAACTGGTGATCAGCTTCCCAATAAGATCTCGGGAGTTGGGTGAGTCGGCTCAACCATGCACACTAAGAGGCAAAATGGCAGAGCTTAATTGGTGTATGTCCTTCTAGGAAAACTGGGACTGGTATGGGAAGAATGCCTCACGTGAGCATGCGCAAAACTCCGGTAAACACACTGAGCATGCTCCCCTCCCCAACACTGGCGGGCCACTGCGCATGCGGGCAGCCCACCCCAAGGGAAGAATCCGGGGAGACGGGATGCAAGTCCCTGGAAGTATGCCAACATCTAAAACCCAAATTCCAAGGTCAAACCACACACTTTCTCTCAGGTCACCAGCTTGGCCCTCTTACAAGTGTACTTTACTTCCTTCCCTTCCTACTCTACACTTAATAATAAACTTTCTCTCCTGCTCTAAAACTTGCCTCCGTCTCTCCTTCTGCCTTAGGCCCCTCAGTCGAATTCTTTCTTCTGAGGAGGCAAGAATTGAGGTTGCTGCAGACCTGTACAAATTTGCTGCTGGTAACACATCCATTGGATTTAGCACAGGGAAGCTATCAGTGACCCAAGCAAAACCAGCTTCAGAGGAGAGGCTGGAAAGGGGGCCCCAGTGCAATAGTGGAGGGAACATGAAGGCACTGGAGGAAGGCAGAGGGCAGGGGATACTGTGAGGGAAGGGAGGGAGTGAAGCACTGGGTCAGTGGATGGGCCTTTTAAAAATGCAGGTGAAGAAACTGAACACCCAATGGATATGGAAGACCATGCCAATGAAAGTTTGCAGACAGAGGGAGAGGCCATGTCTGGGGGAGTTCCTAAGAAACTAGGGAGGTTGGCTAAGGGACTGCCCCTAGAGAGGGAAGGGACATGACTTCCACGGGTGGGAGGAGAGCAGGCAATCGCCAGAGAAGGCGCAGGCAAGCTGGCCAATTGCGACAGAGCAGGAGCTGAAGGAGTTCTTCCTCCACAGCCCCTACTGTCTGTGAAACAGGAAGTGGTGTCCTCTCAAAGTGCTAGGATTATAGGTGTGATCCACCGTGCCCAGCCAATTTTTTTCTAAAGACAGAAAAAATGTCTTGCTCTCTCACTCAGGCTGGAGTGCAATGGCGGGATCATGGCTCACTGCAGCCTCAAACTCCTGGGCTTAAGCAGTCCTCTTGCTTTGGCCTCCTAAATTGGTGGGATTACAGGCACGAGCCACGGTGCCCAACCACGTGAGGTTGGGAACTACTGAAAGTTTTCAGGAAAAAGAGTTGAATGAAGAAAGCCATATTTGGGGCAGACTGGCAATGACATTCAGAATTAGATAAGGAAGAGACAGCTGGAGTCACTGGGAGGTGGTGGGTTTTAAGAGGAAAGGTGGGATAACTCATTGGACAAGCATGAGCTACCTGGACCATTTTTTTCCTTCAGGTTCCCAACCCTGCCATAACCTCTTTCTGGACATAAATACATATTGCATTCTTCATATTGCCTGGCACTGGGTCATATGTATTCTTCTCAAGAAACATTTGAAACTTGACCATACGTCAATCAAGATTGCAAACTGCATTGTACAGATCTGAAAACCTGCACTGTTTTTTTGTAATCCCAGCACTTTGGGAGGCCAAGGTGGGTAGGTCACCTGAGGTCAGGAGTTCAAGACCAGCCTGGCCAACATAGCAAAACCCCGTCTTCACTAAAAATACAAAAATTACCCAGGTGTGATGGCGCATGCCTATAATCTCAGCTACTCAGGAGGCTGAGGCAGGAGAATTGCATGAACCTGGGAGGCAAGGGTTGCAGTGAGCTTAGATTGCACCGCTGCACTCAAGCCTGGGCAACAGAGTGAGACTCCAGCTCAAAAAATAATAATAATTATAAGAATAAAAAATAAAATAAAATTTTAGTAAGTTTTGGTAAGCTAAAACATTACATCACAGCAGAATAAAAAACTCACCTTTCTAATGTCCTCATACAGACCTTTCAAGTCTCTCCAACCGAGTTTGAAAGGATCGGTGTATTTTTCACCACTGTGTGTTTTACTGTCTGGGGTTGTGTGATGAAACCTGGGACATGCAAAAATGCACATGACTTCATTTTCAAGTAAGTTTTATATACATATATATTTAGTAGACTCAGATACGGAAAATTCAGCCCAAATATTTGCTAGAAATTAATCATGAATCTGAAAAGGTCATTATAATTTGGAAAAACATACAGAATTCTATTCTTGCTAAATGACAGATCAATAGATCACTTTTATAAATAGGGCCTTGAGAACCCACAAAATCAAAGAAAAACTAAACTATGTTCATTGTGCTCTGGGTTGAGCTCAAACTTTATTATATTCCTGTTTTTTGAATAGGCAGAGATCTACAATTTAGAATAGAAATTTACAGGCAATATAATTAATAATTTTAGGCCGGGTGCTTATGTCTGCAATCCCAGCACTTTGGGAACCTGAGGGTGGGAGGATAGCTTGAGGCCAGCAGTTCAAGACCAGCCTGGGCAACACAGTGAGCTCCCCATCGCTACAAAAAAAATTTTTTAAACAACAATAAATTTAAAAATGGATAATTTTAGTAGTTGCAGTATGGACTGTAAACTTACCGTGATATACGACATACATTTGGACAGGCAGATGTTAAATGCTTCACAAGATTAATATAGGGTATCTATAAAATAAAAATGTCAAGAAACTTGTAAGAATATTCCTGAAAAACTGTAACATTGGATGATAAAACCCCCATAATTATAATCTTTATCTTCTAATCACCCATTTACAGGTAGATTGCAAACTTTAGAGGAAGAATAATTTTAAAGTTTCCTTTTGTTATTACAAAATACTTGTCATTGCAGAAAACATAAATAAGAAAAAAGGAGAAAATAAAAACCATCTTCAGTCCATCCCTTCCCCCAAAGAAAGCCATTTCCATATTCATATCTATCTTTCCAGACCTGAAAATTAGTTTTAAAACAATTTCCTTCCATTTAACTAAGATTGGTCAGAGGAAAAAAGATTTCAATAGCAAGGAAGGAATTTATATTTATACAAACACTGTCTATTTTAAGTTCGTGTTCCTCAACATCCTTTGGAAATGGGAGAACAGAGTTTGAAAGCACACAAACCAGGGTGTTAAAAGTAGTTATTCTGGAATGAATCGGATTGTGGGGGTGTTTTGTTTTATTCCTTCTTTTGGTAGATATTTTCTGATTCTTCTCTAATGAACATGTATTGCTCTAGCCATATTTTTTTTTTTTTTTTTTTGTGAGACGGAGTCTCGTTCTGTCGTCCAGGCTGGAGTGCAGTGGCGCTATCTCGGCTCACTGCAGGCTCCGCCCCCCAGGGTTCACGCCATTCTCCTGTCTCAGCCTCCTGAGTAGCTGGGACTACAGGCGCCCACCACCTCGCCTGGCTAATTTTTTGTATTTTTAGTAGAGATGGGGTTTCACCGTGTTAGCCAGGATGGTCTCGATCTCCTGACCTCATGATCCGCCCGCCTTGGCCTCCCAAAGTGCTGGGATTACAGGCGTGAGCCACCGCGCCCGGCGCCATATTAAAATGACAATGAAAGTTGACTTTGCCAGACACCAGTCAAAGTAGTTGGCCTGAGTTTCATTCTTTCCCCCACAGCATTACATA
The DNA here is from genome assembly GCF_000001405.40 of Homo sapiens. NCBI lineage: Eukaryota > Metazoa > Chordata > Mammalia > Primates > Hominidae > Homo > Homo sapiens. The sequence goes on along the minus strand of NC_000010.11, from coordinate 26,703,708 downwards.
TTCATTAAACCAGTAAGAACTTTCATGATATCCCAGGCAATTACAGTGCAACAAGAAAACAAAGTGACAATCCTCCTTCATGCTTTATATGACAACCATTATATGACAACCTATGTCTTTCAGTCTACATGGGTAATTAATTCATATGAGTTCAGTATTTTATTATAATACTTATAAATAAGGGCATCTTAATGGAAGAGTAAAACTTCTTCAGTAAGAGACTTAATAATTATTATCAGGTCTCTAGTAATAGTTACTATTATTAGAAATCCTGAGCAAAAGTGATCCTCCTGCCACAGCCTCCCCAAGTGCTGGAATTACAGACGTGAGTCACTGCGCTTGACCAAATAACTATGATTAGTTATAATAACTAACTGAACTATTCTAACTGAATAACTTTTTAGTTATTCAGTTATAGACCCCTAATCTGGGTTGAAGGATTAAAATTACACAGCTAATTAATACAGGGGACGCTTTTTACCACCAAGTGGCCTAACAATTATTAGTAGCATGGACTTTGGAAGACAGATCTCGGTTCAAATCTCAACATTTGTGTTACCTTGTGATGTCTTTCTGATAATACCTACTCATGGAGAGAGGTGGAGATTAATTTAGAGAGCAGATGTAAAGCTCTTAGCTCAGAGCCTGGTACACAATATACATTTAATACAGTATCTATTCAATCAAGCTACTATTTTCTGCTTTAAAAGTACTTTAGAGCAGTTTTTCAAAGGGAGGTGAGAGGTGCTCAGAAAAGCAGTGAAGAATGAAAAGAGAGGGGCAACAGTCATTTTCTAATTCCGATTTTGTTTCTTACCTTTCCCTCACACACTCTCTGAAAGTCAACCTTGCCTCTCATGAATTTACTTTTATTTTATTTTTCCAGGCTGGAGTGCAGTGGTGCAATCATAGCTCACTGCAGCCTCAATCTCCTGGGCTCAAGCTATCTTCCCACCTCAGCCTACTGAGTAGCTGGGACTACAGGAACATGCCACAATGCGTAGCTGATTTTTAGAAACGAGGTGTATTAGTATGTTTTCACATTGCTATAAAGAAATACCCAAGACTGGGTAATTTATAAAAGAAAGAGGTGTAACTGACTCACAGTTCCAAACGGCTAGGGAGGCCTCAAGAAACTTACAATCATGGCAGAAGGAAAAGGGAAAGCAAGGCACCTTCTTCACTAGGCAGCAGGAAGGAGAATGAACACAGAAGGAACTACCAATCACTTATAAAACCATCAGATCTCATAAGAATTCGCTATAACAAGAACAGCATGGGGGAATCTGCCCCCAGGATCCAATTACCTCCACATAGGCCCTCCTTTGACACATGGGGATTAAAATTTGAGATGAGATTTGGGTAGAGACACAGAACCAACCATATCGTTCTGCCCCTTGCTCCTCCCAAATCTCATATCCTCATTTTTCAAAACCAATCATTCCTTCCGAACAGTCCCCAAAAGTCTTAACTCATTCTAGCATTAACTCAAAAGTCCAAGTCCAAAGTCTTACCTGAGACAAGTCAAGTCCCTTCCGCCTATGAACCTGTAAAATCAAAAACAAGTTACGTTACATCCAAGATACAATGGGAGTACAGGTATTGGTTAAATGTTCCCATTCCAAATGGTAGAAATTGGCCAAAACGAAGGGGCTTACAGGCCTCATGCAAGTCCAAACCCAGCAGGGCAGTCATTACTTAAAGCTCCAAAATGATCTTTGACTCCATGTCTCACATCTAGGTCACACTGATGCAAAGGGTGGGCTCCCAAGAACTTGGGTGGCTCTGACTCTGTGGCTTTGCAGGGTTCAACCCCCACTGCTATTCTCATGGGCTGGCATTGAGTGCCTGCAGCTTTTCCAGGTGCACGGTGGAAGCTGTTGGTGGACCTACCATTCTGGGGTCTAGAGCACGGTGGCCCTCCTTTCACAGCTCCATTAGGCAGTGCCCCAGCAGGGACTCCGTGTGGGGGCTGCAACCCCACATTTCCTTTCTGCACTGTCCTAACAGAGGTTCTCCATGAGGGTTCTCCCCCCTTCAGCAGACTTCTGCTTGGGCATTGAGGCATTTCCATACATCCTCTGAAATCTAGGCAGAAGTTCCCAAATTGTTGTCTTCTGTGCACCTTGCAGGCTCAGCAGCACATGGAAGCCACCAAGGCTTGGGGCTTATACCCTCTGAAGCAATGGCCCAAGCTGTACCTTGGCCCCTTTTAGCTACGGCTGGGAAGCAGGGCACCAAGTCCCAGGGCTGCTCTTGCACAGAGCAGCAGGGCCCTGGGCCCAGCCCATGAATCCATTTTTCCCTCCTAGGCCTCCTGGCCTGTGATGGGAGGGGCTGCAGAGAAGGTCTCTGACATGCTCTGGAGACATTTTCCCCATTCTCTTGGCTATTAACATTCGGCTCCTTGTTACTTATGCAAATGTCTGCAGCCAGCTTGAATTCCTCCCCAGAAAATTCTTTTCTATCACATCTTCAGGCTGCAAATTTTCCAAACGTTTATGCTCTGCTTCCCCTTTAAATTTAAGTTCCAATTTCAGATCATCTCTCTCAGGCTCAAAGTTCCACAGATCTCTAGGGTGGGGCAAAATGCCACCAGTCTCTTTGCTAAAGCATAGCAAGAGTGACCTTTGCCCAGTTCCCAGGAAGCTCCTCATCTCCATCTGAGACCACCTCAGCCTGGACTTCATCGTCCATATCACTTTCAGCATTTTGGTCAAAGCCATTCAACAAGACTCTAGGAATTTCCAAACTTTCCTACATCTTCCTTTCTTCTTCTGAGCCCTCCAAACTATTCCAACCTCTGCTTGTTACCCAGTTCCAAAGTAATTTCCACATTCTCAGGTATCTTATATCAATGCCAACTACTTTGGTACCAATTATCTGTATTGGTCCATTCTCACACTGCTATAAAGAAATTACCCATGACTGGGCAATCTATAATTATAGGAAAGAGGTTTAATTGACTCACAGTTCTGAATGGCTGGGGAGGCCTCAGAAACTTAGAATCATGGTGGAAGAAGGAGAAGGAGAAACAAGCACCTTCTTCACAAGGCGGCAGGAGACAGAATGAACACAGGAGGAACTACCAAACACTTATAAAACCAGCAGATCTTGTGAGAACTCCCTATCATGAGAACAGCATGGGGGAATCCACCCCCATGATCCAATTACCTCCACCTGGTCCCTCCCTTGACCCTCCCTGGTCCCCAAATATAATTGGGGATTACAATTCGAGATAGATGTGGGTGGGCACACAGAGCCAAACCATATCAGGAGGTCTCACTAAGTGGCCCAGGCTGGTCTCGAACTCCTGAGCTAAAGGGATTCTCCTGCCTCGGCCTCCCAAACTGTTGGGATTACAGGCGTGAGCCACCACGCTCAGCTAAAGAGAAAGTGCTGGGTAAGAATCAAATACATGGCCGTGTGCCAATCCTCAAGCGGGGTGGGGGGGAGGGGGGAATGGCTTGAGTCCAAGAGTTCAAGACCAACCTGGCCAACACAAAAAGTCCCCGTCTCTAAAAAAATAAATTAAAAAAAAAAATCAAAGATATATTGAGAAGTGATTTGGCACGATCACATGCACACTGGTTTTTATTGTATTACAATATTTGTTCACACTACTAGTGAAGTCAGAAGAATGTACAACCATTAGGAGGTAGTAGAGCTCTGGTGGAGAGCAAGACGTGGCTTAATTATTGCCGCTCTTTGTCCCTGTGGCTTAGTTATTGTAGTTCTGTGTCCCCAAGGACTATCAGGCCCTAAGAGACTTGAAGTAACCAAAATACACATGCCTGAGGCAGACACCAGAATGCTAACATATTAACATATAGTGAAAGGCATCACTGACACACACATCAGAAATACATGATCTTGGCATCATGAGTCCACAGAATTCCTCCTTGTCGTCATGCAGACGGGGAGGCCATAAAGCATATTCTCTCCAGAAAAGCACACTTTCCCTGGCTAAGGTTGCTTGGTGGGCAAGAAACTTTTTTAAAAAGAAGTGTCAGGCCAGGCGTGGTGGCTCACACCTGTAATCCCCGCACTTTGGGAGGCCGAGGAGGGGGTGGATCACTTGAGGTCAGGAGTTCCAGACCAGCCTGGGCAACATGGTGAAATGCCGTCTCTACTAAAAATACAAAAATTAGCTGGGGGTCGTGGTGTACGCCTGTAATCCCAGCTACTTGGGAGTCTGCAGCAGGAGAATCGCTTGAACCTGGGAGGTGGAGTTTGCAGTGAGCCGAGATTCCGCCACTGCACTCCAGCCTGGGCGACAGAGTGAGACTCTGTGTCAAAAAAAAAAAAAAAGAAGAAGAAGAAGAAGCATGTAGTGGCATAAGAGGGTGGATGCACCCATCTCTTCAAATACTGGCTTCTTCTGTGGAACTAGAAATATCTGAAGTCTGGAGAGAACAGTCCTGAAATGGATCACAGCAAAGCCTACCTTCCTCCTCTAAGCCTCTTCTCCCACATGCCCCTCACCCCCCATATTCTGTTCTCTTTACTCTCTAGCATTGTCTAGTTGCCCAGCTGCCACTTGGTCTCCAAACGTCTTTTTTGCTTTAGATTTTTTAGAGATAGGGTCTCACACTGTTGCCCAGGCTGGAGTGCACTGGCACTATCACAATAAACAGCTCACTGTAATCTTGAACTCCTGGGATCGAACAATCCTCCTCCCTCAGGCTCCTGAGTAGGTAGAACTACAGGCATGCACCACCCCACCTGGTGAATTTTTTCTATTTTTTATAGAGACAGAGTCTTGCTATGTTGCCTAGGCTGGTCCCAAACTCCTGGCCTCAACCGATTCTCCCACCTCAGCCTCCCAAAGTGCTGGGATTACAGGTGTGAGCCACTGTGCCTGGCCCAAGCCTTGTTTTGGATAATTTGTGATACGCATCTACTTTGGTACAAAGTAGATATTTATAAGTGTTATATATTTCATACTGGGAAATGATGTTTGATGAGAACACGGACACATAAAGTATACCAAATCTGAATTAAAAGAGTACTAAATTCAAATAAACTTAAGTAACAGTGAGTCCATAGATTTTGCACGGTTATGCTAATAGCATGGGCCTACCCCATGGCACACTGAGAATCATTACAAAGCGCAGAAGGGCTCACAGTGTCCATTTACAGGGGCTAAACTGACCAGAAAGGGAGAAAAAGGAGATCGGAACCCAAAGGCAGCAGAGGAGACCCTGAAAGAATGGGCTATCGCTGAGATTCTGACTTTAGATGACTCCAGGGTTTCTCTCCTCCTGACGGCCTCGGGCCTTTCTCCTTCCAGTGTCATTCCAGCCCCATCCAGGTGTGCTCTCCTCCCGAGGCCACTGCTGGACAACTAAGGTCCGGTCCACCCTAGCACCAGCCCTGCATTCTCCACAAGACCTTTTCGGACTATTCCGAGGCCGATTCGATCCTCCGTTTCTCGGAGAGAGCTCTGAGCACTTTGGCTCTAAAATTTCAGGCAAGATCTGTCTTCCTCTAACTCCAAAGTAAATAGCTGCAGTCGCTCTCCAGGCTTAACCTTGTCCATATAGCAGCGGTCAATCTGATCGCTCCTGCGCTTCCCCCAGGACACGGATCCCACCGCTTTCTCCACCCCCCAAAACGCTCCCGGGGTCCCCAGGACACCGCTTTCTGCAACCCCGTGTAGGGCGCCCCTACTTCAGTCCAACGCGCGGCTCCGTCCCACCGCGAGCACCCCTCAGCTCCGGAGTCCCACCCCGGAGCTACCCCGGAGCTACCCCGCGCGCCCCCGCGTCGCGACGCACGTGCTCCCCGCTCCCATTCATTCCGCCCACTGCTGTCATTGGAGCCGTGACCTCTGAGCCCCGCCGGGCGCGCGCCTCCCAACCTCACCTGCGCGCGGACTTCGGCAGCGGCGCTCGGCCCCAACGGTCCCGCACGGCCGGGGGAGCCGGGCCCGGGGCTCCGCGCCGCCGGCTTCCAGGAGCAGCCGCGCCGCCACCGCCACCAGCGCGAGGCCATGGTCGGAGTCTGAAAGTCGCGGCAGGGCGGCGGCTCCGCCTCTGGCCCGCGATCCTCCTCCCGGGACCCGGAGCCGGAAACCTGGCACAGGAAGCGCTTCGGCCAGGCCCGGGAGCGCGGTTCGCTCTTCCTCGCTTGCGGTCCGGCTGCCGGCGCGGACACTTCGGGTGTCTGCCCGTCTGCAGCCAACGGGGACTGCAGCCGCTCCCGGGAGGCGACGGGGCAGGGGCGTGCGGAGACCTGGTCTGGGGACCCCGAGCGTAACCTTCCCCGGGGCGAGCCTCCTATCCCCACCTCTTCCCGGAAGCTGTGCAGGGAGACTGGCCACGCCTGCAGTCATAGCAAAAATGTCCCTGTGGGGACCTTTTATTAGCAAGAAATACTACCGCGCGCCACCCTTGCAGCCACGAACTCTTTTGTTCTGCGTGTTTAGGCAGAAACATAACTCAGAGAATGGGGTTCCCGCTCCGCAGCCTAAGCCGGAGGCGACGGTTTCCGCTGCTGCTTCCCTTGGCAGTGACCTGACACGCCCTGGTCGGCTGCCTTTTGCAATCTGTTCTTGAAGGAAGTTCCAGCCCATCGCATCTTCCTAGAAACAAGTCCGACCACGATCAGGGTTGTTGTGAAATAGTAGCTAAATTAGCCGGGTCTCGTGACTTTTGGACTCTCCCCTCCAAACGCCTTATAGGTATAGTTTGGCAATCTTGCTCACACCTGGGTGTGAACCTGCGTGTACCCAGCCCGGGAGATATTGGAGTCTGTACAGGATTAGTACCCCTTATGGGTTAGAAAGGCCTTCTTTCCTTAGCTCTAAGGCCAGATCTACTGGTGCTAAGAGACAGCGTGTTCCGAACAGAAATTAAGTGATATAAACATTCAGCGCATGCACTCAAACACACAGAGCCAGTGAGATAGGGGGTAAGCATTAGAGATAGAGAAATGCAATTTAGTCCTCAAAAAATTCACTCTAATGAGGAAATAGACCAGCAAGTAGGTAATTGCAGTTCTCTGATTCATGTATTTTCTTGTTCTTGGGTTAAAGAATGCGGTAGCCTCATAGCTGGGTACATTAATTTCATATTTAATCGTGTGGATTTTTTATGGAATGAAGACATCATAGACTATATAAAGACATCTATGAAAATAAGCCAGTTTGATGGTGTTTTTTCCATCTTGAAGAATAGTATGTAAAAATATGCAAAGCTTTATGAGTAAAGATTGTTAATATGCACCTGTAGCTTATCTTGGTTTAGATTAGGTTTATATATTAAGAAACATTCATAAGGTGGAATTTGCCAAGTAGAGTGTAGCAGTAAGCACTTGGGTTGTACTTGATCCTATGACTAAGACATTATCATTTGCCCTTTTTTGTATATAAAGATAAGGAAACATATAGAGGAAATACCGTATGGTCAAATAAGTATCACACTCAAGCTCACCCAGTTGTCAAGTATGTCACTACACAATTTTGTCAGACCATGTTCGTTTAGAGATTGCTTGGCCACATTAAAACAGAAAACATTGCTCTTAAAAAGATGCTGTAGGTCGGGGGCACAGTGGCTCAGCCTGTAATCCCAGCACTGTGGGAGGCCGAGGCAGGTGGATCACTTGAGGTCAGGAGTTTGAGACCAGCCTGGCCAACATGGTGAAACCCGTCTCTACTAAATATTCAAAAATTAGTTGGGCATGGTGGTGCATGTTCTGTAATCCCAACCACTTAGGAGGCTGAGGCAAGAGAATCACTTGAACCTGGGAGGCAGAGGTTGCAGTGAGCCGAGATTGTGCCACTGCACTTCGGCCTAGGTGACAAAGTGAGACTCCGTCTTTAAAAAAAAGAAAAAGAAAAAAAGATGCCGTAGTATTGCAAGGCTAAGTAGGGACAGCAGCTGAAGTTCCTCAAGACTTCCAACGTTACTGTATAGCTAAACTCTTGAGAAAAAACAGTAAGCTACCAATTGGACATACGGAATTCACAAGTAGTTCTTTTGACCCCACTAGGCCAAGCATGAGTTGAGGAAGTTAAAAACACTATCTGAGTTATGCAGGTAAGTGCTAAAGAACAGACTTCTCTTGTGCAGTCTGAAAACAACTTTAGTCTATTTTGCTGCCCTTAGACAAATGAAAAGAGCCAGTACAGATGGATCAAAATGGCCTATGTGTAACTGAAAGCGATCAAGGTTGTCGTTTTGAGGTTGGAGTGTTAGGTACCCTCCAAGACATTTTCTTGCCATATTGATGATACTGTTTAAAACATAATATCTACAATAGGAACAGGTTTTATAGCCAAAGAGATTGTAAATATAGTACCAGGCCAGACACAGTGGGTCATGCCTGTTATCACAGCACTTTGGGAGGCCGAGGTGGCAGGATTGCTTGAGGTCGGGATGTCACGAACAGCCTAGGCGACATAAGCAAGACCCTGTCTCTACAAAAAATAAAATTAGCCAGGCGTGGTGGTGTGTGACTGTAGCCCTAGCTACTCAGGAGCCTGAGGCGGGGAAATTTGCTTGAGCCCAGAAGTTCGAGAGTTCGAGGCTGCAGTGAGTTGTGATCATGCCACTGCATTCCAGTGTGGATGAAAGAGTGGGACACTGTCTCCAAATAAATAAATAAATAATCCTATGTATTACTGTGTCTTGATTTACAGTACTGTGTAAAACATCTCATCCTGATTTTACTAAATAAATGATCAATGAATTATCCAAATTATCTTACTCTGGTAAGCACATTTATTGAGAGAAAAGGTTCAAACATTTGCAGTGAAAGATTAGTTTCACTAACCTTTTGTTTGTTGTTAGTTTTTGTGGATTTCATAGTCTTATGCAAAACGGAATTCAAAAGAATTTAAAGTTGCCAGTACTGATTTTCCTGAGATCTTAAGAGAAGGGGTTAGTATGCTTTTGGAATTTTCTCTGGGGTTTTTAGTCTATGACTCATTAGCTTGTTAAAGCATCACATGGGTGAGGGTTTAATATGCCTGAAATAGCCTTTTTTGTTCCATGGCTGGTGATCACATCTATTGACCAGCAGCTGTCTTGCCGGGACGTGCATCGAGTGGTACAAAATGATAACTACTAATGGAATGTGATATGCTGCCCCTGCCCTACCAATGTTAGAGCATCATAAAGGAGATTGTGTTAATTATATAATCTAGTTCATTCCACTCAGAGGCTCTCCCACAAAAGCAGAAAATATACTGTTGGTTCTTCCACTTATAATCATATTGTCCGATTTTCTGGTGTGAATGCTAAAATCTGCCACTTTTTGATTGAGTACACATTTAATCCCCCAGGATGCTACCTTATAATACATCATGGACTTAAGGGAACATATAAAGGGCTAAAAGTGGCCCATATGGCCCATATTAGCCTGCTTTTATTACTGATTTGAATAAGATAGAAACTTGCTGTTGTAACTGATACTTAGTTCACTTAAGCCTGGATGGAATAAATTGGTGTTACTCCAGACAGTGGAGCAAATTATCCTAATGCTACCTCTCTCCAGTGATTTGAAATGTTATTTTCACTGTATAGGAAATTCTTTTATAGCTTTTGGTTGTTTCTGCACTTTTTATTGAGTTCCACTGATCTTTACATCTATTTTTAGAATAGCAATAGTTTTTGTTATTGTATTCTTTTAATTTTTAATATAAGCAAACTTGTTTCTCTTAAAAAATTTATCGTTTATTTTTTCAGATTTGCACACTAAGATTGTCTATTTCTTCAAAAAAATCCTGCTAGGCTATTAATTGGATTCCTATTATGTTTATTAAATAATTTGGTGACACATTTTGACAATAAATCTGTATCCAGAAACAAGTTTTTTTGTCCCTTAGTCTTATAGTTTTATTAATACACCTACTGTCTTCTATTTTTTTTTGTTTTAATTGCTTTGGATTGGAAAAACAGATGACGATTTTAGGTGTTATTTATAAAATAAGAGTAAATATGTTTTGAGAATCTAAAGTGTGTTCAAAGCTTTCTTTTCCTCTACAGCTTTTAAAATATGGTAAATGTGTTTCAGTGTATGGACTTTATGAGACATAGTTTGTTTCTGCAGAGGCAATTTCTAAACTTTTAGCTTTGTGGGCGGGCAGCTATCATATGTGGGATCTACAGCAGTTTTGTGCATCTAGTAAGCCATGTATTGCCTGGTCTTAAGGTATTTATGTCTCTTGTCTACCTGTTTCCTTTAGCTAATTGTGTTTCCAAAGGGCAGAATGCATGTGATTGTGTGCCTAATGGATTTTGGTTCCATTGAATTAACTAGTACTATACTTGTAATTCTGTAATGCAGCTCACCTCCATTTAAAAATATATATTTGTTGGCTGGGCGCGGTGGCTCATGCCTGTAATCCCAGCACTTTGGGAGGCCGAGGTGAGCAGATCACCTGAGGTCAGGAGTTTGAGACCAGCCTGACCAACATGATGAAACCCCATCCTTACTAAAAATGCAAAATTAGCCGGGCATGGTGGCACATGCCTGTAATCCCAGCTACGTGGGAGGCTGAGGCAGGAGAATCACTTGAAACTGGGAGGCGGAGTTTGCAATGAGCCGTGATAACACCATTGCACTCCAGCGTGAGCAACAAGAGAGAAACTCCATCTCAAAAAGAATATATATATATATATAAATCTGATATGCCTTCCAAGAGTGAAGATCTTTGAAGACAGGGTATGTGTCTTCCTGTTTTAAACCTTTTCCATTTCCTAGGCTCTTGAACAGTTCCATGATATACTGACCTAAATGAATGTTGGCTAGATTGTGTTGAAATTACAAAGTAGCCTTTAAATAACAAAGCATGAAGAAAATAGTGACTTGAGTTTCTTGAAGAACCATAGACTTTCTAAGGGATATTAGTGCTGTATATGCAACAAATGAGAACATTAAGAAGGATGTTTATTTTATCAGCTATGTTGCCTGTTGATCCTGTTAAAGAAAATTATGTTCATAAAGTGGAAAACTGTATTTTATGTATCTTTTTCTGAACTCCTTTCAAATCAAGAGTACGTCTTATAGCAGTTTCAAAGGTTAGGCATTAGTTTTTCACAACACAAATACTTAACTCACTAAAATATTTGTTTAAAATAATTTTTTAGAGTTAATATTATTAGTCTAATTATAAATGACTGTGTTTAAAATTCAAATACTTGGAGATGTCATTCTTATAAATCACACTGATACTTACTCAGTTTCAACTTAAAGTTGTCTTACAAGAAAAATATGCTTTTGTGAAAAAGAGGAAAATGAGTTAAATTGTTATCTTACATATCCTTTATCTAATGGTCTCTAATTCTAAATTTTTCTCCCATGACATAAATGAATTTGGGCTAAAAATAGGACTTTTTTTGTAGTTTCTTAAATGAATTTGTCCTAGGAAAAATATTGTTTTACCATGCATCATAAGAAAGCCATAAAAATTTTAGAACCATCTAGTAGAACTAATTTTTCCCAAATAGCATAAACATAGACAGTATGGTACATCTCTTATGAAAAAAATTAATAATATATTTTCAGAAGAGGTTTATTCTTTGAATTTTCTTCCATTAAGTCTCATTCTTAAAAATTATTAGGCCGGGTGCCCTAGCTCCATCCTGTAATCGTAGCACTTTAGGAGGCCAAAGCGGGAGGATCACTTGAGCCCAGGAGGTTAAAGCTGCAGTGAGCCATGATTGTGCCTCTGCACTCCAGCCTGGGTAACTGAGTGAGCCTGTGTCTCAAAAAAAACAAAACAAAAAAAACCCCAAAAAAGTGAAAGATGACGTCGGTTTGTAAATTTGTTTTTCCTGCCTCAGGAAGTTCTAGAAAATATTTTGGACCTTGATTTATCTGTTTCAGAAACAGATGATTTTATCCACCTTGTAAGTGGCGAAAAGACAGTGTTTGGATCTGTTCCACTGGCTCACCGATATGGGGGCAACCAGGTCAGAGTAGCAACATCATAACTTCCCTTATGCAAATAGAATTATTTGATGGAAATGCTGTCCTACTGAAAAATTATTTTGCATTAAGTTTTAAATTAGTGCATTGGGAGTTCAACAAGATGTGTCTAAAGGAATATGCCATCAGAAGATGTTTATAGATTAGCTGATGTGATTTCTTGCTGTGCTAAAGCTAGAGTCTAATTCTTTGAATGGAATTGAGAATACTGGGGCAGCATAAATATAAAATTTCTGTGGATTATTGCTAGAGAACTCATTCAGTGCACTTTTGGCATTTTTGGCAAAATGAAGTAGTACAATGTGTCAATATAAAAGGACAAGCCGGGTGCAGTCGCTCACACCTATAATCCCAGCACTTTGGGAGGCTGAGGCAGGCAGATTGCTTGAGCCTAGGAGTTCAAGATCAGCCTGGGCAACATGGTGAAACCCTTCTCTACAAAAATTAGCCAGGCATGGTGACACGTGCCTGTGGTCCCAGCCAGTTGGGTGGCTAAAGAGGGAGGATCGCTTGAGACTGGGAGGCAGAGGTTGCAGTGAGCCAAAGTTGTGCCACCACACTGCAGCCAGGGTGACAGAGTGAGACCCTGTCTCAAAAAATAAATTAATATAAAACAGATAAAAAGAAGGACAAATAGATTATAATTATATCAAGATAGCCATAGAACAATGTACAACTACTAGAATGGGAGTAAATCAAGATTCCTTGGGGGTGTTATTTGTGCTGCAGAAATCAGGAAGGAATTAAGGAACATTCTGGAAATTAAGCAAGATGTTAAGCAAGAAATTAAGCAACAAATTCAGGGTATGGTATCTGACTAATTAAAAACAGAAACGGGAACATAGGACCAATTGTTGTGACTGTGACTTTCCTGTAAGCTAGATAAGATTAACACTCTCTGGTGGTTTGGGGGCTTTTTGGTGATGCTGGTTTGCTCAGGAACAAATTTTAAGACAAATAGTAAAGTATCGTAGGGTTGGTGTAGGATTAAATTAGGAAATACATGTAAAGTGCTTAACATGTTAACTATTACAATTATTATAGCATCAGGTTCTGGTTTGCTGGGTTAGTTATTTCCTTCCTTCTTCAAAGTCCTGTAGACTAAAAGACAAAGTAGTCAAGCCATTAGGAGGACTTTAAGGGTCACCTGTGACAAACTTGAACATCAATTTATTTTTCTTTTCATCTTTTAAGTTCAGGGGTACATGTACAGGATGTGCAGTTTTGTTACATAGGTAAACGTGTGCCATGGTGGTTTACTGCACAGATCATCCCATCACCCAGTTATTTATTTATTTATTTATTTAATGTATTTATTTTGAGATGGAGCTTTGCTCTGTCACCCATGCTGGAGTGCAGTGGCACGATCTCCGCTCGCTGCAACCTCTGCCTCCTGGGTTCAAGCGATCCTCCTGCTTTAGCCACCCAATTGGCTGGGACCACAGGCACTTGTCACCACGCCTGGCTAATTTTATAGAGACAGGGTTTCGCCATGTTGCCCAGGCTTATCTTGAACTCTCAAGTAGCTGGGATTACAGGTGCATGCCACAACGCCAGGCTAATTTTTTTTTTTTTTTTTTTGTATTTTCAGTAGAGACTGGGTTTCACCATATTGGGCAGGCTGATTTTGAACTCCTGACCTCAAGTGATCTGCCTGCCTTGGCCTCCCAAAGTGCTAGGATAATGGGCATGAGCCACTGAGCCCAGCCCCCATCACCCAGTTATTGAGCTCAGCATCCATTAGCTATTCTTGCTGATGCTCTCCTTCCCCCCAATCCCCCTACAGGTGCCCAGTGTGTGTTGTTCCCCCTGGCATATCCATGTGTTCTCAGTCAGCTGCAATTTATAACTGAGAAGATGCAGTGTTTGGTTTTCTGTTCCTGTGTTAGTTTGCTGAAGGTAATGGCTTCCAACTCCATCCATGTCCCTGCAAAGGACATGATCTTGTTCCTTTTTATGGCTGTCATGGGTCAGACCCTTGCCAATGTTCAGTGATTTACCAAGCACACATTTCATACTTATTATACTTTATGCATAATATGTGTCCTACTCCATTCAGGCTGCTATAACAAAATGCCTTGGACTGGGTAATTTATAAACAACAGAAGTTTATTGCTCCTAGTTCTGGAGTTCAGGAAGTCCAAGATCAAAGCACCCATAGATGTGGTATCTTTTGAGGGTTCTCTGCTTCATAGATGGCGCCTTCTCACTTCATCCTCACATGGCGGAAGCGAAGGCAGCTCTCTGGGGCCTCTTTCATAAGGACATGAACCCCATTCATGAGGACGGAGCCCTCATGACCTAGTCACCTCCTAAAGTCCCTATTTTCTAATACCATCACTTTGGTGACTGGGTATCAACATAGGAGTTTTAGGGGGATGAATACTGTCAGACCATAGCAGTGTGTTTTTATAAGATTTCCATTTAAAAAATTCCCCCCAAATATTCATGCTTAAAGAAATTATGGGTTATTTATTTCTACAGCATCTCTTTCTCTCTCTCTAATTTCATCTGGATGAAATGATACTATTACATGTGGGTCTATAACTGTGTAGGTCTTTTTGCTTTTGCTGATTGGATATGACATTCCAGTCACAGACTATTGGTATGACTGGTATAAATAACACTACTAACTTTTGTGGCTGTGACATGTATATTCAGTTTTTCTGAATTCCAAGCCACAATCTTAATGGTTTAAATTGTCTCCAGTATTACTTCTATTAGGACAATAGTAGAATTTTCATCTCTAGATCTTCACATATGCAGAGATACTTCCATTGTGCTTTTATCCTAACATTTGCCCAGGAGCCACTGTGGTACAGTGAGAATAGTGCTAGATAGGAAAAAAGAATATGTGAAACCTAGAGCTGGCCCTGCAGGAACTCACTTTGTGACTTGGGCAAGTCACTTAAACAATCTGCCCCTCATTTTTGCCATCTAAAATGAAGTTAGGCTGGGCAGGTGGCTCATGCCTGTAGTCCTAGCACTTTGGGAGGCCAAAGTGGGAGGATTACTTGAGCCCAGGAGTTTGAGATCAGGCTAGGCAACATAGGGAGACCCTGTCTCTACAAAAAAAAAAAAAAAAAAAAAATTAGAAAAATAATTAGCTAGACGTGGTAGTGCATACCTGTAGTCCCAGCTACTTGGGAGGCTGAGGTGGGAGGATCCCTTGAGCCTGGAGATCAAGGCTGCAGTGAGCTACGATCATGCCACTGCCCTCCAACCTGGTCGGGAGAGTAAGACTCTGTCTCAAAAAATAAAATAAAATAAAATAAAATAAAATAAAATGAGGTTAGACTAGAACCCCCTGTGTCTTTCAGTGTTAATATTGAGGAATGTGATTCAGTGGCTGTTCATGAAGTAAACATTTAGAATAATAGATTAAGCTTATATGCTTTTTCAAAGTGACTACATTTTATTGCTCAAAAAAAGACACATGAAAATAAATATCCAGATTAGTACTGTGGATGAGTCCTGTCTATATGAATGGTCCAGCCAACCCCAAAACTACTTATTGGCCATTTTCTGTGCCTGCCATTGGACCACACTTTAAGGGGTCCAGGAGTAATAAGTATTTCTTTAAGTAATTAATTAATTAATGTAGAGATGAGGTCTTGCTATATTGCCCAGGCTGGCCTTGAACTCCGGGCTCAAGCAGTCTTCCCGCCTTGGTCTCCCACAGTGTTGGGATTACAGGTATCAACCACCATGCCCAGCCTGGGAGTAATAAGTATGTCATAGTCCCTGGTCCCAAGAAAATCACAGTCTTTAAAGAAAAAATACTTAAACACATGGAACAAATAAACTATAAAAAATCAGAGGTCAGTTAAAGAGAGATGGATCAGGTTATCTTTATGGAGGAAGAGGAAATCGATCTTGAGTAGAAGGTTAGCTAAGATTTCAGTAGGGGGAGGACAGGGATTGGGTTGTGTGGCAGAGGGCAGAATAGCATCAACAAAGGCCCAGAGGTAGTGAGTGTGGGAGTCTATTGAAGGACAGCAGCCACAGGGCAGGGGCTATTACCCTGGTGTGGAATTCATCTTGACATCTAAACACCTGTAAGTACAGCATTCCTTATGAGAAAGAAACATGAGTTCTATTTACTGATTGTATTTATGTTAAAGACCTATGCAAAATAATTCATTCCCTTATTCAGGATCAAGTACAGGGAAAAGGTCACTATTGATGAGACAAGTGGGAAATCAAGAGTTTGGAGCCCCGCAGCTCGCTCTCTCAGCCTTTAGCTAGATTAGAGGCTTGCTGGCTGTAAAAGTGTGGTTCTGGACATTCTGATTCATTCTTTAAGGAATAAAGAAATACTCTTGATCCTTTATGGATGAAATTGGTTATTTTTCTGATAAATTCAGAGAATATATTATTTTTTATTAAAATAATTTTTAAGGAAAGATATTTTGCCGTATTCCTATAGCCTAATAGAGTTTTATGCTATAATAAATTTTTTTTTTTGAGATGGAATCTCACTCTTGTTGTCTAAGTTGGAGTGCAGTGGCGTGATCTCGGCTCACTGCAACCTCAGCCTTCCTGAGTTCAAGTGATTCTCCTGCCACAGCCTCATGAGTAGCTGGGATTACAGGCGCTCACCACCACACCCAGCTAATTTTTTTTTTTTTTTTTTTTTTTTGTATTTTTGGTAGAGATGGGATTTCACCATTTTGGCCAAGCTGGTCTCAAACTCCTGAACTTGTTATATATCTGCCTTGGCCTCCCAAAGTGCTGCGATTACAGGCGTGAGCCACTGCACCTGGCCAATAAATGTTTCTTTTTTTGTTTTGTTTTATTTATTTATTTATTTATTTATTTATTTGAGATGGAGTGTAGCTCTGTCGCCCAGGCTGGAGTGCAGTGGCGTGATCTTGGCTCACTGCAAGCTCCACCTCCAAGGTTCATGCCATTCTCCCTCCTCAGCCTCCTGAGTAGCTGGGTCCACAGGCACCCCCCCACCATGCCTGGCTAATTTTTTTTTTTTTTTTTTTTTTTTGTATTTTTAGTAGAGACGGGGTTTCACCATGTTAGCCAGGATGGTCTCAATCTCTTGACCTTGTGATCCGCCCGTCTCGGCCTCCCAAAGTGCTGGGATTACAGGCCTGAGCCACCACGCCTAGCCAAATGTTTCTCTTTAAGGTGCAGTAGTGCTGCATGCTGCAGGATCATGGTTCAGAACTGGATCATTAGAAATTTTGGCTCATTATGGTGAACTAGAGATACTGAGGTTAGAAAATTACATTTTTGTTTGTTTGCTTGTTTTATTTTGTAAGTCTATGATTGATTACCAAGAATTTAAGGAAATTGCATTTTTTAAGCTATGAAAGTGACTATTTTTCCCCAGCTTTACGCAGGTATAATTGACAAAAATTGTGTACATTTAAGATGTACAAGGTGATGTTTTGACATATGTATACGTTTTGAAATGATTACCACAATGAAGCTGATTAACGTATGCATTACCTCATATAGTTACTTTTTTGTGGTGAGAATACTTAAGATCTGCTCTCTTAGCAAATTTCAAAGGTACAAGGTGTTATTATCCACTATAGTCTATCCATTTGGTCTTCAGGACTTATTCATCTTATAACTGCAACTTCGTGTCCTTTGAACAACATCTCCCCATATCCCCTACCTCATTGACCCCTGGTCACCACCATTCCACTCTCTATTTCTATGAGTTGGACTTTTTTAGGTTTCCCGTATAAGTGAGATTATGCAGTATTTGTCTTTCTGTGTCTGGCTTATTTCACTTTAACATAATGTCCTTGAGCTTCATCCATGTTGTTGCAAATGGCAACATTTTCTTCTTTTTTAAGTCTGAATAAGAAATTACATTTAAAAAAATTGTACAAGACAGTTGGAAAAAATGCTTATTTATGTGCTGTGAAGTTAAGTATTTTCCATTTTCTTATAAATAAAATGCAATATTTCAAATAAATATTTGTAAAATTTCCTATTGTGCTAAGCACCATGTAGGTTTTTTAGGAGATTAATAAAAGAAGTATACAACCCAATAGTCCCGTTTCTCAAAAAACTTATAATGTAGGATGCACCCCAGTTACCAATGAGGTTCTCCATACCACTCACACACTAGGGAGGTGGGGGAAGTGACTCAAATTGCTCAATTCTGCAGCTTCTGGAAATCCAAAGCTCTCTTCCCAATTCCTGGGATTCCCCGGGTGTATCCTCTGTCTTGTGTCTCCTCTCTACCTGGACTCCAGCTTTGATATGTGTGATAGTACCTATTTCACACTGGGCTGACCCAGATGTGAAACTCAGCCCCATCGAAAGGATGAACACAAACAGCAAACCAAATGTACACAACGTCTTTAAGAACAGAGAGCATCTTGCTGAAGATTTCTGTGGGGAAGATGGAGGAGGGATTTTTTTTCAAAAGAGCAAAAGCAATAAATTCTTCCCCTTGGGTCATGCAGTGTGGCTTCCATCATTTTCCAAGATCTTGGTACCTGCTGGCATCTGTGCTTACAAAATCCCGTCTTCCTCAAGCCGACTTAGCAAGATGTTCCTTCAAACAAAAAGTCTTCTTTAGGAGGAGTTCTTTTTCCATTTGTTGAGTTAATACAGTTTTTAAAAGTTGGAAATACTTAAGAAAAAATGCCTTACACAAACTAGGATCATTTAGAATATGGATCCTATATTATAGTTTTCAGCATAGTAAATACAGATTTGGACCAGGAAGAATATGCAAAAACATGAAGGAAATGTATAAGAGCAAAGAAGTCATCGCACTTGTCACAGCTGCTCTGTCTCTTACCTCGGCAACATTTACTGAACTTCTGGTCATCCTGGCCGGTGGAGAGTTGTCTACTTTCACGAGGCATTATTTCTAACTACCATTTGCTTTCTGGGTCAGTTCTGCCTGGATTCACACCATGTCACTGAAATTGCTCCATCTAGTGGTCATGTTTCAGTTATAGTTCACGGATCTCTCTAGCATTTAATGCATATGATTAAGCACTTCATCCTTGACATACTTCCACTGGCTAATATGACATACTCTCATATACAGTGTGTGGTGTGTGTATATACATATGAGACATAGATAGATATTAGACAAATGCTAATCTACACTTACTATTTTAACTGGGTTTTAGTAATTTCCAAATCATATCTACAGCTGAAATTTGCTTCCAGATTTCCTCTTATTCGGTGCAGTCCATACTAGTGGTTAGGCAGGTAACTAGAATAGTTGGTTAAAATGGGAATAGAAAATATGATACATGTGCAGTTTATATATTTTATTTATTACATGTTTGCTGAATCCTGGTACAACTTTAAATATTTTAACCTCAGACATTTGCCAATTTTTTGTAACCTCATGTGTGAAGCCTTAAATGACCTACCACAAATAATCATTCTCTGCTCTGTTATCACTGTTCATTTTATATAATTCTGGTATTGCATTTATTATAATTTAACATCATGATTTCTTCATATGTTCTTCTTCCCTAGTAGAGCATGTACTCTTTGAGGTCTGGGTTCTGGGTCTTACCATTCTTTTTCCTAGCACTTGCCCAGGGCTTTACATGTAGTAGGTATAGCAGGTACTCAATGGATGTTTATTGAACTAATCAAATTTGAAACATAATAATGTAGAACCTCATATGATCTTAGAAACATATTTTGATTTTTGATTGGGATTGAAGAAATATTACTTTTTGGCTGTTTTGGTAGTAAAACCTTATTCTTCAAGTTTTAACATCTTGAGCCTGATCTAATGAATTCATAGATGTTGAGGGATTTAGGTACTTGGATATTGGATACTGTGTTCTGAGGGACACTGATGCTACGTCTTTTTTATCTCCAGGGGATTATTAGACTTCATCATACCGGAACATTATCCCTCGATGGATGTCAAAGAACCTAATAGATACGTGGTAAGTATTTATTTATTTGTTTGTTTATTTTTTTATAATCGCAACTTTTATTTTAGATTCTGGGGAAATATGCAGGTTTATTACGTGGGTATATTGCATAACCCTGAGGTTTGGGGTACGACTGATCCCCTCACCAAGGTATTGAGTAAAGTACCAAATCGTTTTTCAACCTTTCTCCTCCCCAGAGGTCACTAGTATCTATTAGTGCTATCTTTATGTCCAGGAGTACCTAATGTTTAGCTCACTCTTATAAGTGAGAATATGTAGTATTTGGTTTTCTGTTCCTGTATTAATTCATTTAGGATAATGGCCTACAGCTACACCTATGTTGCTGCAAAGGACATGGTTTCATTCTTTTTATGGCTGTATAGTATTCCATGATTTATATGTACCACATTTTCTTTATCCAATCCACAGTTGATAGGCACTAACTTGATTCCATGTCTTTGCTATTGTGAATAGTGCTGTGATGAACATATGAGGGCACGTGTGTTTTTGATAGAATGATTTGTTTTCTTTTGGATATATACCCAGTAATGGGATTGCCGGGTTGAACAGTAGTTATGTTTTGTTCTTGGAGAAATCTCCGAACTGCTTTCCACATGGCTGACCTAATTTACAATCCCACGTGGTAAGCATTTAAAGAGAAAAGACAATTCTCTGTTTTTTCTCGTTGGCCTGCCAACACTAGAGATTGAAGCTTAGAATTTAAAACACTAAAGCTAGCAAAGGAAGTGCAGAGCCATTTGAACATTTTGTTACAGGAAGTTAAGATGCACCACTTCTTAAACAAGGCATAGACATGGCAGTTATTTTGTTTAAAAGATGCCTAGAAAAAAAGAGCAGGTGTTCCTACATCCTGACAGTACACGTTATTTTTTGAGCAGCATTTATAACTTGGTCACATACATTCTTTCGTCACACATTAGATATGTCAATATTTCTATTGCAGCAGTTCTAAAGTAAATAAAATACATAATAGTAAAATGTGTTTTTCTATTCTTGTGGAAATTTTTTGATCTTCTTAAAGCTTTTCCATTATTTTAACAGTCACTGAGAAGGGAATTCCATTATTTTTCTTGGTGACACATTCGAAGTTTAATAACTCACATTGCTGAAACTTAACTCCCTTGTACTGAATTCTGTTGATTTTACGTTGGTTATTTGCCATGGAGAAGCTTGATCATGATACTGTATCTAAGTCTTTTATGTATTATTTCTGGATGAATAATTTTACTTTTCTCTATTTTTCTTACAACTACTAATTTCCACTCTTTTAGTCATCTTTTGACCCACCTTTGAAGTTTTCCTATATGCTTCCTGTGACTTATCGGAGGATCCTAAAAGAGCATACATTGCTAAAAACCTGAGAAATCTCTAAATTTCATTTTAGGATTTTTTTTCTATTGTTGTGTCTGAGACAGCACAACTTATTGTCTTGTGGAAGTCTGTTAGTTTTTGCTCGTGGTAAGTTATCTACTGATATTTCATTCATCTGATGAGAAAGTAGAATTTGTTGAAGTGGAAGGCTTCCTTTTTTGTAAATTTAAAAAATTCCTGTTGATGAGCTTCTTAGCATTTGTAATACAGAAGTTTCCCCCTTATCTGCATTCTCACTTTCCACAATTTCACTTCCCCGTGGTCAACCATGGTCTAAAAATATTAAATGCAAAATTCCAGAAATAAGCAATTCATAAGTTTAAAGTGCTCACTATTCTGAGTAGCATGATGAAGTCTTGCTCCGTCTCGTCTGGGATGTGAATTCTCTCTCTGTCCAGTTTATCCATGCTGGAGCCACTCCCTGGCCATGAGTCACTTCATCCCATGAGTCACTTGTAGCTGAGTAGTTCTATGGACCATTGCAGGACTCAGTGCTTGTGTTCAAGTTACCTTGATTTTAGTTAACAATGGTCCCAAAGTGCAAGAGTAGTGATGCTGGCATGTTTTTATAATTGTTCTATTTTATTATTATTGTTGTTAATCTGTTACTGTACCTAATTTATAAATTAAACTTTATCATAGGTATGTATAGGAAAAATCATAGTATATAGAGAGTTTGGTACTATCTGTGGTTTCAGTCATTCCCCTGGGGGTGTTGGTACACATCCTCTGCAGATAAGGGGGGGCTACTGTCTACAAGTTGGTTTTTAATGACAGAGAAAGATGTTTTTCATGTTTAAAATGGTTTTGAACAGATCAGGATGATGTTACCTGTAACATTATGCATGTGAGTATGTATCTCTTTAAAGCAATTTTTAAATTTTTAATAAATTACTACATGCTTATGGTAAATAATTTACAATATACAGAAGTGAGTAGAGTTTCATTCTCTAAGGTAATCACTGTTAACCATTTTATTATTAATTTTTCTGGACTTTTTTCTATGATGTACAAATGTCTCCAGCAATAAAAAGATGGCTACCCATTCTCCTACTGTCCTAAAAATGACTTGTATTTTTATTTTTTCCACTTTTCACAACCTCCTAAAATTAATCTTATTCCTCCACTAGTCTCAAGTCCATTTTAAGTAATATATATTTTTAAACAACTGCTAGGAACTGAGGAGAAATAAAAGAGGAAGTTCTATTTCTTGGCCTATTATTACTATAGTATTTGAAACCTGAGGGAAGGGATTATGAAACAAAAGGCTAAATGTAATTTTAAAATATAGTTGGAACATTGTAAGCTATTTGATGTTAACCTACTAAACTTTCAATTGATAACGTCATTTTGTTTCATCTCTAAAACACATGGCATTTCCATAACCTTTTCTATTCTGGATAATTTAATGAAGGTAAAAGAAAAATATTTTATAATCATGTTTTGGAATTTTTTTTGTTGTTTTAGGTGTTTGTAATACTGATAACTTCAGTTTGTTATCCATTACAATTGACTAAGGTCAATTGGCTTTATGGAAGCCTGTAATCCCGGTATGTACAATTTGCATATGTGTGCATACATACACACTTTATTTCACTAAAAATATCATCACAAGTTATCTCAGGTAAACTGTTATAGATAACACAGTGACGGGGTAGTAGAAAGAATTGGGTTCATTTATAAAATGGTCATTTTTATATGCCTACCAGATCTTCTGGGTGCCATTAAGTGATACAAAGATGAACTCTTCATGGTTTCTGTCCTCAGAGAATACATATTATAAGGGCCGGGCATGCTGGTGAGCACCTGTAATCCCAGCACTTTGGGAGGCCAAGGCAGGAGGACCTCTTTAGATTAGGAGTTCGAGGCTGCAGTGAGTTACAGTGGTGCCATTGCACTCCAGCCTAGGTGACCAAGTGAGATCCTGTCTTTAAAAAAAAATCCAAATTAAAATCCAATACATACTAGAGAAGATGGCATGAGGTATACCAGGAAACACGTTGTCAGACAGGTGAGATTTTGAGTTCAGCATCTGACCCTTAATAGCTCTGTGCCTTTGGAAAAGTTACTTAACCTCTCACTCCACTAATATATGAAATGGAGGTAACAGAAATCCAGTATTGGCACTGGAGAGATCAGAAGTGTTGCGGAGGACATGCTACTTGAGTAGGAGATTGAAGCCGTATGTGATAGACTGGAAATTCTTATAGGATAGAAAAAGATTTCTCCGTTAGACAAATGTTCATGTTTTAAAAGCTTTTAGTGTATTCTATTAACTTCAACTTAATGTCAGAAAGATTTTTATATAACAACTACAGATTCATATGTTCAACTATAAGCTTAAAAACAAAGAAAGAAGCTATTTATTATAATTATCCCCACTGTGGCTGGGGACAGTGGCTCATGCCTATAATTGCAGCACTTTTGGAGGCTGAGGCAGGAGGATCCCTTGAGGTCAGGAGTTCAAGACCAGCCTGGGCAACATAGGGAGACCCTTTCTCTACAGTTAATTAAAAAAATTAGCTGGGCATGGTGGTACATGCCTGTGGTCTCCCAGCTACTTGGGAGGCTGAGGCAGAAGGATCACTAGAGCCTGGGAGGTGGAGGTTACAGTGAGCTGGGATCATGCCACTGCATTCCAGCCTGGGTGACAAAGCAAAACTTTGTCTCAAAATAAATAAATAAATAAATAAATAAATAAAAATAATATTTTCCAACATAAAGCTATAATGTTTTATTTTAAATAGAGATTTGGTACAAAACACATCTGAGAATGAAAGAAGATATAAAATAGGAAATCAGGCCAATATTAGGATGTTTAATTTTAACAAGTTGTTACAAGCTCTAAACCCATTGCTGGACCCTAGGCAAAAGCAGCTGTGAGTAAATCCTTAATCTACTCATAAAATCTGTGTGAAAACATATTTGTATAATGATTATTTTTCTTGAAAACTAAGAAATTAACACCTAAAATACTCTCTTATTATTTAGTGCTGTATATTTTTTCTAGTTCAGTTTGGGCTTTTTTGTCCATGGCTACTGGGGTATAGTTTTTTTCTTGCTTACTGCTTTTTAGATGCTGTGAAATCTGTTTATTTCCTGTTGAATCCAAGAGTTATTTATCACTGTATTTCTTTTTTTAATCACTGTATTTCTTAATTTCTAAGTAGTTGGAATTATTTTGTCTGTGTTTTTATGACTAAAGAGTACGTTTGATAAAACTCTGCTATTCAAAATGTGTTAAGGTGTCTTTGTGGCCCAACATAAAACATTTTTGGATGTGTTTGGTGATTATATGTAAAAACATGTATTGTGTAGTGAGAAGTTTTAATATATCAAATTGAGTGTACTGATTACATTATTCAAGTCATTTATGAGCCTCTCAATTTTCTCTGTTAGATAAGTTAGATTCTTTTTTTTTTTTGAGACAGAATCTCACTCTGTCGCCCAGGCTGGAGTGCAATGGCGCAATCTTGACTCACTGCAACCTCCGCCTCCCAGGTTGAAGCGATTCTCCTGCCTCAGCCTCCCGAGTAGTTGGGATTACAGGCGCCCACAACCATCCCTGACTAATTCTTTTGTACTTTTGGTAGAGACAAGGTTTCACCATGTTTGCCAGGTGGGTCTCGACCTCCTGACCTCAGGTGATCCACCTGTCTCAGCCTCACAAAATGCTGGGATTACACAGATAATTTAGATTCTTAAGAGATGTGTATTAAAAGCTCCTACTTTAATTATATTTATATCCAAGTTTTTTTCTAATTGTTTGAAATTTACATATTTTGCTATGTATTATTGGTACATACAGATTTTCTACTTATATTTTCTTCAAAAAATAGCTTTTATCTTAACAATGATTCCATTTATTTTGATATATACTTATAACTGTTGATTTCAATTCACCTGACATTAATATTGCCATTCATGCTTTCTTTTGGTTGAGTTTACCTTGAATCTCACGTTAACTTTTACCTTTATCTACCTATCTTTATTTGTTTTAAAGTGTTCTTCCTGTAAAAACAATGTATAGTCAGATTTTGATTCAATGTGATAGTTTCTCTCTTAACAGAAGTACGTAGGCTGATCATATTTATTATAACAACTGATATATGTGATTTATTCCTTCTATCTGACATTGTGCTTCATCTTTATTTTACTGTTGGCCTCCCCCAGACTTTCTTATCTTTTTCTGATTTGAAATTCATTCTTCTCCCTGACACCCCACCCCGTGTTGATTTGGAAACTTGACTGAAAAACACTTCTGCAATTCCATTCAGTTATCTTCTTTTTTTGTCACTTTTATGGGAAAACCAGTTTTTAGATATTTTTCCTAAGATTCTATCTGTCCATTGCTTTCCCCTTCATCCCAATAAGATGAGACCTTTAGAATGTTTTTGTTTTGTATCTAGTTACGTAGCTGCTAGATTTTGCTAAGATAGTTTAATATTTTGAATTTTAGATTATTTGGTTTTCCCTTGAAGTGTATCTGTTCTGTTTAAAGTGTCTTTGTATTTGACACTCCCCCATCTCCCACTTGGAGTCATTTCTCTGCTTACTACCGTCCTTTTCTCATGGTTCCATCTTCAAGTCTCTGTCTTGATTACTTTCTTAAGTGTTTTGCCCAAACAGGGTAGATAGGTGATATATTCTGATATATTCTCTGAATCTTTGCATAACTGTTAGTGCAGTTTTTATTTTACTCCAACAGATGATTGATATTCATTTGCATGTAACATATCACCGTGCCTCTTTATCTTCCGCCTGAGCCATATTCTCCAGGCTAGCTTTTATCAGTAGTAAGATGATATTTTAATCTCTGTCTATCTACTGCATGGTCTCTTATTCTGAATTTGGACTGAAGAGAAAAAGGAACATGGTTGCCTTTATTATGCAGCAATAAATAATAAATAGAAAAATTTGCAATGTTTATAATTGCTCAAATTGAAATATCATAGGTATGTATATGAATAAGTGTGAATGATATTCTGAGTACATTAGCATTATATCAAATGTTAAATATTGATTGATTCTACTACTAGACATTGAGCTCCTGGAGGCCAGGGACCACATTTTAATCATTTCTGTGTCTCTAATGTATTTGCTAGAAGACAAAATATATTTCTCTTCCTACCTTTCCTCTCCTCCAACTCCTCCAATCTAAAATTGAGCCTGTTTTCAGTACAGCAGTACAACAAGATTCCGGATGGAAGTCAAGGCATAGAGTGATTTGATTAACCCTGGTAGCAAAAATATTGTTTCAGTACAGATAAAAATTTTACATTCCATCTGTGATTTTCTTAATTTAAAAATATATTGGTACTACAGTCACATAGTTCAAAATCAAAGTGATATAAAATGATATTCATTAAGCCATCTTGCTCCTACCCTTGTCTCCATCACTTTTGTACCTGCTTCTCCCTGCAGAGTTAATTCATTCAACAAATATTTATTGAGTACTTAGGTGCTCAGTGTGTGCCAGACACTGTTCTAAGTGCTAAGGGCACAGTGAAGAAAAAAAAAAACAGGAAAAATAATTGATTCTGCATGATGCTTACTTCTGGTAGGAGAGACAAGTTAACAAAACAAATAAGTTATATCGAGTATTAGGAGATAAGTGCTACAGAGGGAAAGAAAACAGGTGTGCACCTCCATGGCTGCCTAATTTTTTTAAAAATTTTTTGTAGAGATGAGGTCTTGCTATGCTGCCCAGCCTGGCCTCAAACTCCTGGGATCCAGCGATCCTCCCCGCTTTGCCTCCAAAGTACTGAGATTACAGGCATGAGCCATGTGCCCAGCCAAGATTTTTTTTTTTCTTTTGAGGCAAGGTCTGGCTCTGTTGCCCAGACTGGAGTGTAGCAGGTCACTGCAACCTCCACCTCCTAGGCTCAAGGGATCCTCCCACTTCAGCCTCCTGAGTAGCTGGGACTACGGGTGCATGCCACCACGCCTGGCTTAGTTTTGAATTTTGTTTTGTAGAAACAGGGTTTTGCCACATTACCCAGGCTGGTCTCAAATCCTGGGCTCAAGAGATCCAGCCACCTTGGCCTCCCAACGTGCTGGGATTACAGGCGAGAGCCACCACACTGGGCCAAGATGTTTTTTGGTTAATAAAAAAGAAGGTTTGGTATTGCCTAAAAAACTAAACACAGTGGTATTTTATACATTGTTTAGTCAAACAGTATTTTCTGTCTTCCTTTCAAACCAATGTGATTTTTTAATGTGTTTTTCTCATTATTTGTCTTGTGAAAGAATTCCCTCCTATTTGAAGAAAAGATATAGTTTGAGGAGACAAGTAGTTAATTTTGTCTTTTGTTTTATTCAGTGTTAGTAACATGAATGACTCAGATTCTGAAGGAAGAAAAAGAATGACAAGTAAGTAATCCTTTTGATGTTCTCAACTTTAAGGATTATCACATAAAAGCAATGGTTTTTGAAAACCAAAAGCGATGACTTATGGTTTTGAGGCTGAGTTGCTTTGTTTTAAACTAGGATTTTCCTTCCTTCCTTCCTTCCTTCCTTCCTTCCTTCCTTCCTTCCTTCCTTCCTTCCCTCCCTCCCTCCCTCCTTCCTTCCTTCCCTTCCTCCCTCCCTCCTTCCCTTCTTTCTCTCTCTCTCTCTCTTTCTTTCTTGAGACGGAGTCTTGCTCTGTCGCCCAGGCTGGAGTGCAGTGACGTGTTCTTGGCTCACTGCAAGCTCCGCCTCCCGTGTTCACGGCATTCTCCTGCTTCAGCCTCTGGAGTAGCCGTGACTACAGGCACCCGCCACCGCGCCCGGCCTTAACTAGGATTTTCTAGGTGGGTATATTTTAGTTGAGTTAAACTTTCTAATTTTAGCCAATGGCTTTAAGCTTGGAGTATGACTACTCTGCTTTCAGTAAATTTGCATAGTAATGTTAAAATACTATTAACTTAAAAGATGGTGGACCGAGAAGGAAGGTGGTGTGGCATATGGTGGAAAGAACATGGGTTTTGGAATCTGGCGGAAAATCTCACCTCTGCCAGTTTTTAGCTGTATGATCTGAAAGATATTTAACTCTCTGAATCTTCAAGTGCTTCGCTGTAGTAAAATGGGGATGTTTTGCAAGCATCTTATTTATTTATATATTTTTTTGAGACAGAGTTTCGCTCTTGTCACCCAGCCTGGAGTGCAATGGCGGGATGTTGGCTCACTGCAAACTCCGCCTCCCGGGCTCAATCGATTCTCCTGCCTCAGCTTCCTGAGTAGCTGGGATTACAGGCGCTTGCCACCAAGCCTGTCTAATTTTTGTATTATTATTAGAGATGGGGTTTCAC
Organism: Homo sapiens; assembly: GCF_000001405.40. Classification (NCBI taxonomy): domain Eukaryota; kingdom Metazoa; phylum Chordata; class Mammalia; order Primates; family Hominidae; genus Homo; species Homo sapiens. The sequence goes on along the minus strand of NC_000010.11, from coordinate 26,675,195 downwards.
CATGTTGGCTAGGCTGGTCTCAAACTGCTGACCTCAGGTGATCTGCCCGCCTCGGCCTCCCAAATTGCTGGGATTACAGGCATGAGCCACTGCGCCCGGCCTTGCAAGGATCTTATAATGTGAGCAATGTATGTACAAAGCATCTTGTTATAGCCTGGGCCATAATGCTCATACAGTAAATTAGAGCTGTAGAAATCAATCACTGGGCCGTAATACTCATACAGTAAATTAAAGCTGTAAAAATCAATCACTTCTATGTATTGATTTTCTTTTCCTTTTTTTTTTTTTTTTTGTTTTTTGAGAGAGTTTCACTCTGTTTTCCAGGTTGGAGTGCAGTGGTGAAATCACTTCACTGGGAGGGCCTTGACCTCCCAGGCCCAAGTGATCCTCTCATCTCAGCCTCTTGAGTAGCTGGGACTACAGGCATGTGCCACTATGCCTGGCTAATTTTTTTGTACTTTTAGTAGAGATGAGGTCTCACTATGTTGCCCAGGCTGGCCTCGAATTCCTAAGCTCAAGCCGTTCTTCTACTTCCATCTCCAAAATGTTGGGATTGCGAGTGTGAGCCACTATACCTAGCCTTAATTTTCAGTTTACTGTGTTGACTTCACACTTGGCTTGGAGAAGGGAAAAAACAGGGCTGGGCGTGGTGGCTCATGCCTATAATCCCAGCAATTTGGAGCCTGAGGCGGGAGGATTGCTTGAGCGCAGGGGTTCAAGACTAGCCTGGGCAACATGGGGGATGCCTCTCTCTATAAAAAATTTAAAAATTAGTTGGGAGTCGTGTCACGTGCCTGTAGTTCCAGCTACTCGGGAGGCTGAGGTGGGAAGATCACTTGGGCCTGGGAGGTCGAGGCTGCAGTGAACCATGATTGTGCCAGTGCACTCCAGTGTGGGCGACAGAGTGAGACCCTGTCTCCAAACAAAGAAACAAACAAACAAAAACAACAAAAAAGGAAGGTAATTCTTTTTGCAGTTCAGGTTCTAGCAAGATCAAAGAAGTTAAGGCAGAAGGATCTGAGCCTTTGAGTGCTTCTGCCTTAGGACTTGTATAGAGAGTATGTGTGTGTATCGGGGTGGCTGGTTTCTGTCCATGAAAGAAGGATGACACTAACATTCCACATTAGGTTAGGGAATGAAATTGCTTCTTGAACTCGGGACATTATTGTAGACATAAAAGCAAGTTTAGTTCTTACAGTGAAGTGGGTGAGCTCTTTGGCGTTCATTTCCTTGCCAGCCATTTATGCCCGTTTGGGCAATCATACAGAACTTCCAGGCCAGCTCAGAATGTGAATAGTCCCAGCAGCTGAGAGAAAGAAGTCTAAAATATTTTTAAATGCCATGTGGTGGCAGTCCTTAGTATTTGGATTTACTTGGTTAGGATAGATTGGATGAAATGGCAAAATGAAAGAAATGAAGTGGGTTCATGGCTGCAGCTTTGCTTCTGTGATTTTAGAGAAATAGTAAATGCTAAACTATGTGCTCTCAAAGAAGGGAAGAAATCAATTTCCATGAAGAACAATGGTATAATAAGAGTTTATAATGATAGTTCATTTACTTTTTAAACGTACACTTCCATATATTCTTATATATTTAATTGATCTGTAAATGGAAATATATAAAATATTGATTGCACATGTTTATGTAACAATGTATAGCCGGGATGTGGAGTTAAAGAATTATACAGACATGAAGAAATAAACATCTAAGCAGGAGACAGCTGAGTAAAGTCTGATCCTCGTTTCCCTCATGGAATCTTTTTATTTCCGTGTAGCTCCTTTCTCTGGAGCAACCAGCTGTGCTGGTCCAGAGTTAGACCAGCTATGCTTGAGTTCTGGTTGACCAAACATTTCCTAGATGACAGTAAGCCTGTCACTTGATGCCCCACTTCTTTCTTTCTCTCTGGTGTGTAATTTTTAACAGCTTTATTGACATATAATTTACACACCATAAAGTTCATTCAAGTATAGAATTTTTTTTTACTAAAGAAATTGTGCAATCACGGAAGTCCAATTTTAAAACATTTTTATCCACTTAACCTGTCCTAACTTTTATGCCCTCATTAATACTATACAGTGCATATGTATAATGGGTTGTTGCACAGACTCAATAAGATAGTGGTTGGCTGGCTCGCGCCTGTAATTCCAGCACTTTGGGAGGCTGAGGGGAGTGGATCACCAGGTCAGGAGTTTGAGACAAGCCTGACCAATGTGGTGAAACCCTGTCTCTACTAAAAATACAAAAATTAGCTGGGCGTGGTGGTGCGCGCCTGTAATCCCAGCTACTCAGGAGGTTGAGGCAGGAGAATCACTTGAACCCAGGAGGTGGAGGTTGCAGTGAGCTGAGACTGTGCCACTGCACTCCAGCCTGGGCAACAGAGCGAGACTCCATCTCAAAAAAATAAAAAAATAAAAAAAGATAGTGGTTGGCACATAGTAAGTACTCTATAAATACCAGCTATTGTATTATTATGGAGTGCATTAAATATCCTTGTCATATTGCAAACACTGGGATGGATATGTTTTTTAGAAACCAGAAGATTAAAATATATATATATATATTTATATACATACAACATACATATATATACCATATTTATATTTATTTACATAAAACTATATATATGTTTTACATAGTTCCAAAACATGTTTTAAAAACTCAGGAGTAGATTGGGGAAGATTTGCTATTAAAAATTTTTAGAAATGCTCTAGTTGCAAGCAATGGGAACATCAAAGATGAGTGTTTTACAGGTCTTAGAAATATTTTTTAAATGCTCAATATTTATTATTCTTACACCTCCAAATAACTCTAAGGAAGATCATAAACCACCAGTAGGCATTGGTCATTTCTTTTTCATGCTACACAGTGCCCATCCCAGAATAGTTAAAACTACATTTAAGAAATGCATCACGGCCGGGCATGGTGGCTCACGCCTGTAATCCCAGCAGTTTGGGAGGCTGAGGCAGGCGGATCAGCTGAGGTCAGGAGTTTGAGACCAGCCTGGTCAACATGGTGAAACCCCATCTCTACTAACAATAAAAAAATTAGCTGGGCTTGGTGGCAGGTGTCTGTAATCCCGGCTACTTGGGAGGCTGAGGCAGGAGAATTGCTTGAACCCGGGAGGTGGAGGTTTCAGTGAGCCGAGATCACGTCATTGCACCCAGCCTGGGCCACAAGAGTGAAACTTCATCTCAAAAAAAAAAGAAGAAGAAGAAGTAATGCATTTGATTTACTATGATACTCGGGACAGGCATTGTTGATTTTGTATTTCAAGAAGATGATGTTTTGTATGGTGTTTAGCTCTGTAACTATAAAGATTGATAGGGAAGTAGTCATTTCTATCGTTTCCTTTTCTTCTTCTTTTTTTTTTTTTGAGATGGAGCCTCGCCCTGTTTCCCAGGTTGGAGTGCAATGGTGGGATCTTGGCTCACTGCAACCTCCACCTGGTGGGTTCAAATGATTCTCCTGCCTCAGCCTCCCAAGTAGCTTGGATTACAGGCACCCATCACCACGCCCAGCTATTTTTTGTATTTTTAGTAGAGACGGGGTTTCTCCATGTTGGCCAGGCTGGTCTGGAACTCCCGATCTCGTGATCTGCCCGCCTTGGCCTCCCAAAGTGCTGGGATTACAGGCATGAGCCACTGTGCCTGGCCTACATTTCTATAGTTTCTTTGGAAAGAATAAGATCATCAGGCTCCTATGAGAAAACAGCTGATGTCCCAAAATGAAATATTTCCATGTATTTAAGTATGTTACCCTAGGTAGCTCTAGCATTGTGTGATTGGGTTCATATTGCAAAGGAGAATTTTTTAAGCCCTGAAATATCTGTATCTGCAATAAAATTAGGTTGGCTGTAATTCTTTTCCCAGCACTAAATTGAGTTATTTAGCAAACACATACCAAGTCCCTATTATGTGTATCTTTGCATAGTCAAATTGTTAAAGCTAAAGCCACAAAGATGAATTTGATTCCCACCATTAAAAAGCCTGTGATCAGGCCAGGTGCAGTGGCTCATGCCTGTAATCCCAGCACTTTGGGAGGCCAAGGCGGGAGGACACCTGAGGTCAGCAGCTGGAGACCAGCCTTACCAACATGGCGAAACCCTGCATCTACTGAAAATACAAAAATTAGCTGAGCTTGGTAGCGCGCACCTGTAGTCCCAGCTACTTAGGAGGCTGAGGCAGAAGAATCACTTGAACCCAGAAGGCGGAGGTTGCAGTGAGCCAAGATTACGCCACTGCACTCCAGCCTGGGCAAGAGAGAGAGACTCAGTCTCAAAAAAAAAAAAAAAAAAAAAGCCTATGATCAACTGGGCAAGGTGGCTCATGCCTGTAATTTCAGCACTTTGGGAGGCCGAGGCAGGCGGATCACATGAGGCCAGGAGTTTGAGACCAGCCTGGCCAACATGCCGAAATTCCATCTCTACTAAAAATACAAAAAAATTAGCTGGTCATGGTGGCACACACCTGTAATCCCAGCTACTAGGGAGGCTGAGGCACGAGAATCTCTTGAACCCAGGAGGTGGAGGTTGCAATGAGCCGAGGTCATGCCATTGCAATTCAATCTGACTGAGGGAGTGAGACTCTGTCTCAAAAAAAATTTTTTTTTCATTAATAAAGCCTATGACCTAGTGCATCAGTGATTAACATATTATGTGGAACTTTGGTTGAACTTTTGTTTGGACATAGTCTTCCTTAACCACTGCTTAAAATTTTATTGCCAAAAGACATACAAACAGAAAATTTCGAACTGGATAAAAATGTACAGAATTAGATAATGCCTCAAAGAATCTTATATACAGACCTAGAATGTGCTGATTTCCAAGTAGTTTATATTTTTACAATTTGATTCAAAGTGCTTAGACTTACACCTGCAATTCCTAATGTATTTCAACAGTATTTTATTGCCAAGTTTTTATATAGCGTTTGTCAAATTTGCCACAATTTTTAACTGGATGACTCTGTTCTTCTCTGCCTAAGTTGAGTCCATCCACAGTTTCCTTTGCATGTCTGTCACCCATTTGTATGCATTTGTATGAAGACTCTTTATATTTTTGTGTGTGTATACATTTTTATTTTAAAGGTGTTTGGTATGAATTTTTTTTTTTTTTTTTCTGAGACAGAGTCATACACTGTTGCCCAGGCTGGAGTGCAGTGGCGCGATCTTGGCTCACTGCAACCTCTGCCTCCTGGGCTCAAGCAATTCTCCTGTCTCCTCCTGAAGAGCTGGGATTACAGGCTCGTGCCACCATGCCCAGCTAATTTTTTTATTTTTAGTAGAGACAGGGTTTCTCCATGTTGGCCAGGCTGTTCTTGAACTCTCGACCTCAGGTTATCCGCCTGCCTCGGCCTCCCAAAGTGCTGGGATTACAGGCATGAGCCACTGCCCCTGGCCTGTATGAATTTTTTTAACTTGAAATATGCAAACATGGAAAGAATTTTAAAAGATCCCTCTTATTCCCATCACCCAAACACAATGACTATTCACTTTTTGATTCACTTTTGAGTAGACTTAAACCTCTATTTTCTGTGTCTATTGATTAGGGGAAAATGTAGTAGGATAATAATTATACTATGGTATACTTTTAGATTCTTCTTCTTTTCTTTTCTTCTTTCTTCCTTCCTTCCTTCCTTCCTTTCTCTCTCTCTCTCTTTCTTTCTTTCTTTTTTTTTTTTTTCAGAGACTCTCCGTTTCCCGGGCTGGAATGCAGTGGCATGATCATGGCTCACTGCAGCCTTGACCTCCTGGTCTCAAGCAATCCTTCGACCTTAGCCTCCCAAGTAGCTGGGACTATAGACAGGCATCACCGTGCCCAGCTACTTAAAAAAATTTTTTTTGCAGAGATGGGGTCGCACTATGTTGCCCAGTCTGGTCTTGAACTCCTGGGCTCAAGCAGTCCTCCTGCCTTGGTTTCCCAAAGTGCTGAGATTATAGGCATGAGCCACCAGGCCTGGCCAGATTATTTTTTCACTAAAAATAAGCCAGGTGCCGTGGCTCACTTGAGGTCAGGAGTTTGAGACCAGCCTGGCCAACATGGTGAAACCCCATCTCTGTGAAAAATACAAAAATTAGCCCGGCGTGGTGGTGCACATCTGTAATCCTAGCTACTCAGGAGGCTAAGGGACCAGAATCGCTTGAACCTGGGAGGAGGAGGTTGTAGTGAGCCAAGATTGTGCCACTGCACTCCAGCCTGAGTCACAGAGTGAGAAGCCATGTCAAAAAAAAAAAAAAGCGTTTTTTATTGCTACTTCATTCTTTTTTTTTTTTTTTTTTTGAGACAGAGTCTCGCTCTGTTGCCCAGGCTGGAGTGCAATGGTGCAATCTCAGCTCACCACAACCTCCGCCTCTCGGGTTCAAGTGATTCTCCTGCCTCAGCTTCCCGAGTAGCTGGGATTACAGGGTCCTGCCACCATGCCCGGCTAATTTTTGTATTTTTGTTAGCGACAGGGTTTCACCATGCTGTCCAGGCTGGTCTCGAACTCCCGACCTCAGGCGATCCGCCCGCCTCGGCCTCCCAAAGTGCTGGGATTACAGGCCTGAGCCACCATGCCCCCAGCCTCTTCATTCTTTATAATGTAACATTTTTAATGGCTGTATAATATTTATTTGAAAGTATACGTTTTACTTATTAAGTATCCATTTGTTTCTAGTTTTACCTTAATTTAAATAATGCTTTTTAATGTTTACATTTGTTTCCTTAGACTATGTTCCAGGAGAAGTAGAATTACTGCATCACAGGGCACTTCATTTTTAGATTACGTATCATGGCGGCAGACCTTCAATACCAAGGTGAGATGGAATATGTAGTCCATTCAAGTAATGGGAACTTCAGATGAGAGTCATGTAACTGGGGTCCGCAGTCCTCTCAGAATTTCTGTTGTACCATTCAGGACAGCATCTCCCCTCCCTGACCAGTTGATAAATCATCTTGCAAAAGGCTCATCTCAAATGAAGATGTAATTCCTGGAATTTTTTAAAATATGTCGTTTTTATAAGATTTTTAATAGGAAAAAATATATGGTTATTGTCAAAAATACAAATTTATAAAGGTTTTTAATTGCATGAGACCTTTCCTGTTTGCTCTCAGGCAGCATCAGCATTAAGCAGTTCTACTGCGTCAGACCTTAATTCTGTGCCTTAAAAGCAGCAACTGTTTTGTTTTGTTTCCTCCTCTCCACTTAGGCTGCAGGGCCCAATTCAGATGAATTAACTACATTGGCTTTATAAAATGCTTACTGAACTGAAAATGATGAAAGAAAAAACAAATTAGTGATGAAAGAAAAGAAAAATAAAACATAACATTCATGAAAATGCTCACAAAAGGTTTTTTCTGCACCAAAAGTTAATAAATGCTGTACATTGTTTATAAATAATTAAAATGGACTGATAGTGATAACGTGTTCTCTTTTGACCCTTCCAGCAAACTTCTTAAAGGTTTTCAAATATAGTGGTGATTTCATATGGCCTGTGTTGACTTCATTTATAGTTGTTGTTTGTAATTTATTAATTTGCTGTTTCCAGATGTGCTCTCTCCCGCCCCTTGTTTAAGCTGTTAACCCTAGGTATGTGCTGAGGAACTGGATGGCAGAATCTGCAGTGCAGAAAGCAGAAAGGAATGATTTCTCAGACCTAAGATGGTTGACTTCTCTCAGTTCATTTTTATTAATTAAAAATCTATTATATTTTGAAGACGCTTGTTTGCAGACATGCTAAATTATACCATTGCCAACACCAGCTTCCTAGATTTCTCCCTGCTTGGTCTCTCTTTGGTTTATCAGTTGAATTATTTTCTCATATTTTCTATTTATGCTTTATAAACATTTTTAAATATTTGTTTTAAAACACACACATATACATTATTTAACCCTTCAAGGGTCTGATTCTGCTGTTTATTGTTTGTGTTTTGGAATTGTGGATTTTAGTCTCTGTTTGAAATCTAGTGAAATGGAATTTGAGGGTATATGTCTCCAGAGGGCAGTAGCATTTGCTCCTTTCAGGCATGGATCCATGGTACTACCAACCTGGGTCCACTTTAATCCTGACAGCAATGAAGACGAATAAACTAGAGCTACATGTATTAGCATCAATGACTCTCACAATTAAAATGAAAATTTTTAGACATGGGGTCTCACTCTGTCACCCAGAGTGGAGGGCAGTGGCATAATCATAGCTCACTGCAGCCTCCACCTCCCAGGCTCAAGCGATCCTCCCCCATCAGCCTCTCAGAGACTACAGGCGAGCACCATCATACCTGGCTAATGTTTTTATTTATTGCAGAGACAGAGTCTCACTATGTTGCCCAGGTTGGTCTAGAACTCTCAGGCTCAAGGGATCCTCCTGCCTTGGCCTCCCAAAGTGCTGGGATTACAGGCGAAGCTACTGTGCCCAGCCAAATCTCACTTATAATGTTAAGCAAAACAAGCAAATGGCAAAGGAATTCACACAATGTGTTACTACTTGAATATAGTATAAAAATAAGCAGAATCCTATCAATATCATACAATATGGCTTCAACAGTATTGAAAGTATTTTATTGCTGAAGTTGAATGGAGGATACACAGGTGTCCATAATGTTATTCTGTATATGTTTTCTGCCTCAAATATTTCATCATTAGCTGTTTAAAAATGCATTGCACGTTATGTATTTTTTACAACAGGAATGGCCCTGGCTCTCATGCTGCCACTCTCCTGTCCCATGCCCGGAGGGTACGTTATTGATAGTCATGACCCTCTTTCTGTCTCAAACCGGTCATAGCCTCAGAACCATTCTCATCACAGCATGCCCTGACATCATCAGCCACTGATCAGAGTTGGCATGAGAGAGAAACCATTTTGCTCTTTCTAATTTGGAGCTTGTATTAGCTTTTTATCTCAGTAGTTTAATTAGCCTGACAATTCTAGGTTTTCATTTCAGAAAACATAATATTTTTAAATAGAATCTTTTTATGATATGAAGGAGAAACAAAGAGAAGGGAGATCCCTCAACATTTATCATTAGATAAATTTGTCTCCACAGGGGAAACTACACGGTGTTCAGTAAGCTGTTTTGTTGGCCTGTGTCTCCTTTCTTCTATATCTTTTATTCCCCCCCTTCTTTCCATCCCTTCCTCAAAATTATATATGAGTAATGAGGCAGCGCCCCTGGGGCAGGGTGGGTGGAGGTGTTTTCTTAGGGTCCAGTAAACATTCAGATTCAAACGACTATCACAGGCCACACACCTGGCCCCAGCCAGCTGAGAGAGACAGAGCACAGGAACAAAGCTTCCGGACAGGGCAGCACCAGGTTCTCCGTGTGCAGGGGAACTTGGAGCAGTCCACACCAGCAGTAAGGCACAGCAGCTTCACTCAGGTGCAAGGATCTGAGAGTCCCACTGTGACCGTGCAGGGCAGCCCTGTCTTAGAAGCTTCAGGCTCTGCAGAAAGCAGTGTCTCTTGTAAGAACTCCATAGGCATAATTTCCAGATCCTCACAAGAGACCTGCCTCATGGTAGGAGTCACCATGCTTAGGAAGGCCCAACGCATCCTATCAGGTATTTGCAGTTCTTCCAGTCCAGAAGTTACTTGTCCTTTGTGGGCAATGCTGTATGGTGATAGAGTTGACCTACCGCCTTATCAGGATACCAGGGAAACAGAACCAGAAAGGTAACTAAATGTCAACTTCTCATGCAGGAGAAGAACAACATTTTGTCAAACCTTTCTACATGCAATCCTTTACACATGGAACTGGTATTTATCTTCTTTCCTCAAACATTTCTTGAGAATCCATTCAATGCAAGTTGCTGATTAATTAGAGGGGCTCTTAAACTAGTAGGTAGGTGAGACCAATAGGTATACAGCCAACTTTAAAAAAAAGAAGTGTATAGAAAGTACCCAGGGAGAAGTGCTAAGATTGGCTCCAAAGCCCTGTATTTATGATGATGCAATCTTCATATTTAAAATACTAGTGACACAATAATATGTTCTACTTGAACTCCCACCTTTAATTTCTTAGTATAGATAATCACCCACCTTTTCTATGATAGCTAAGCATTTCCTTCGTAATACCCAAGAAATAGCAAAAGCACTGAAAATATACATTTTGATATCAGATTGATTGTGGAAACAGGTGTGTTTTTCAGTGCCTCAGTTTATTACCATGGGGCCAAATTCCCAGTAAGAAGCAGCATGAGCTGGAATTCATGGCCTTCATTTGGAAAGACTAAATCATTGACATCCTTTTATTTCTGTAAATATTTTAGAAAATTACAATTGCCTAAATGCTGTACAGGGATATTAAGATTAAAATATACATTTTCATTCACTTAGTTTAGTACAAAAAGTTAGAAAGTACTCTTAAGGAACTTTCTGTGGAATAATAGAAACTCCAAGTAACAACTAGAGTTGAGGTTTTCCATAAAGCATAAAATGTATAAACTTTTTTTTTGTTGATGTTGTTGTTGTTTTCTTTGAGAAGGAGTCTAGCTCTGTCACCCAGGCTGGAGTGCAGTGGCACAATCCCGGCTCACTGAAACCACTGCCTCCCAGGTTCAAGCGTTTCTCCTGCTTCAGCTTCCCGAGTAGCTGGGAGTACAGATGTGTGCCACAACGTCTGGCAAATTTGTGTAATTTTTGTTGAGACGGGGTTTCACCATGTTGGCCAGGCTGGTCTCCAACTCCTGACCTCCAGTGATCTGCCTGCCTCGGCCTCCCAAATTATAAACATTTTTAAACATTTTAAATTGACCTTGCCATTTAGAAATGGAGAAATTCATCAGGGTCCTGAGTAATTCTAATCTACATTTACCTGCTCGCATTGTTTACTAGGTGCATCTTCTCCAGCAAGTTCTTCAGCATCCTTTCCAGAAGCATTCGGCAGCCGAGAAAGCAGGCTACACCTTACCTACTCCTTCCTGGGCTAAAGATCTCAGACTTAGTTGCTTATCTTAATTTGGGGAAAATAAATTAAGGAGTTCTTCTATCATTAAGCACAACATAATATAATCTATTTAATAAATTCTGATCATCCACATTTTGATGGCAATCCCACATTTGAAAATAATGATTATATATGCAAATATTTTTAGCCAGTTAAATTGGAACTTATTCTTTGAAACATCATGATCATTTTTGTTCTAATCAGTAACTATAATGGAACAATAAGGTGTTTTTGATAAACCACATGAGTTATTTTCATTGATTATCTTATGACAGTTGTTATCAAAATGGATTATTACATATTTATCTAGTATTTGCTGTAAACTCAGCAGTTTGGAATACATCAGTAAGTATTTAGTTTTATTATGCTACTAGAGTTTTTTTCCGTATTATAGAATTTTCAAACATTTACTAAGGTAGATAAAATTTTAATAGTTTAATGAACCTGGTTTACCATTTAATCAGCTTATTAGTAATCAATACATGGCCAATTTCACTTCATTTACACCTCCACACACTTCCCTCATATTCCTTGTTATTGCCTTAATTGAGATATAATTTACATGTCCTCAATTATGTTTTGGAAAATGGAGACATTGTTTCCTCTACAAATATTTCTGTATGCCTCTCTAAATATTAATGACTTAAAACACAAACAGACCCTGACACCATATGACCTTAGGACAAATTAGCAATAACTTCCTAATGTATAAAATTAAATATCCAGTCAGTTTTCAAGGTTTCCCTATTGTCTTGTAAATTATTATCATCTTCTTTATTTTATAGTTATTTTAATTGGGATCCAAATAAGGACTATACATTAAAATTAGATGAAAATATGTCTTGTTTCCTTTGATATCTTTGAGTATATCACCTACGTGTGTCACCTACATCTTTTTTCACTTGCACTCTTTTGGTTTATTTTGTTTTGATTGAAGAAACCAGATTATTTATCCTGTAGTATTTTGACACTCTGCATTTTTCGGATTGCATTTCGTGGTATTTATTAAACCTGTGATATAATTTGAATGTATGCTCCAAATCTCATTGATATGGTTTGGCTCTATGTCCCCACCCAAATCTCATCTTGAATTTCGACCCCCATGTGTGGATGGAGGGACTTGGTGGGAGGTGATTGGATCATGGGGGCCATTCCCCCATGCTGTTCTTGTGATAGAGAGTTCTCAAAAGATCTGGTTGTTTGATAAGGGTCTGGCATTTCCCCTTTGCTCTGTCTCTCCTCCTGCCATGTAAGATGTGCCTTGCTTCTCCTTCACCCTCTGTTATGATTCTAAGTTTCCTGAGGCCTCTCCAGCCATGCATAACTGTGAGTCAATTAAACCTTCCTTTCTAAATTACCTAGTCTCAGGTAGTTTCTTTACAGCAATGTGAAATTGGACTAACGTACTCATGTTGAGATGTAATCCCCAATGTTGGAGGTGGGGCCTGGTGGGAGGTGTTTGGGTCATGGGGACAGATTCATCATAACTTGATGCTGTCCTCCTGATAGACTGGGTTCTTAGGAGATCTGTTGTTTGAAAGTGTGTGGCACCTCCCCTCACTTGCTCTCTTGCTCCCACCCTCTCCATGTGAGAAGCCTGCTCCTGCTATGCCTTCTGCCATGTCTGGAAGCCTCCTGAGGCCTCCTCAAAAGCTGAGCAGATGCCAGCACCACGTTCCCTGTAAAGCCTGCAGAACTCAGCCAATTAAACCTCTTTTCTTTATGAATTACCCAGCCTCCCATATTTTTTTATAGGAACAGAAAAACAGCCTAGCACAACACGTTTCTCTGCCCCCTGTATTTCTGTAACTATAGAGCTTCAGTCAGTTTCAGAAAGGATTTATTTGGCAAAAATACTTGAAATACAGAGCAAACATCTGCCTTGGTGAATTGCCACTATTTCTTCTGTAACTACATTTATGTTCTATTTGAATTTCACTGTTATCACTTTTTTTTCTGTTGCAGTTTTAGCCCTGTTGATTAATTTCCACTTTTGATTATTCCTTTTTGTAAAATGTCACGTGGGCTTCTCGCTGGGAGACAAGGAGGCAAGACAATAACATGCTTTGCTCTCTGTATGAACTCAGTAACAAATATGCAGTGATTGGCAACAACATACTTTGAAAGAAGTGATGGGTCACTGATCATGATTCATCTGTTATTTAGGCTGTGATTTGTGGACTGAAGAACTAACAAGAAGTTTATACTTTATATAATTACAGGTAAAATACCATGATAACTGAAATTAGAACCATGTTGGGGAACTCGTGTCATTTAATTCAATCATGCTTATTGGAACTAGGTAGAGGGGCGATGGCCTGTACCTCTTACCTTCCTGATGTTTTCTTTTTTATCTGCAATAAACATTTACATCATTCCTTGTATAGACTGTGAAATTGTCTATCAATTCTAGACATGTAGTCTAGAATCACTTTTTATACTACATTTTATAATTGAGCATCACTGGTATATAGTATATAGGACAGTTTTTGGTTTCTATAATTAAAGGTTGACTTTATTAAAGTATTAAGTAGATACACCATCTGAGAATTTAAAAGTCTGTCTTTTTCATTCAAATAGTTGTTCATCCTATTTTTTTTGTTGTTATATGTATTGGCTAGAGACTTCAGGATAATGTCGAATAATATTAATGATAATATTGACTTTAATGGTGTATTAGTCATGTCTCTTATTTTCTGAATTCGATGCTTTGACATCCAGGGCTTTGTTGTCCATGGAGGGACTGCCCCTCTCAGGATAAGCTAATTCCTGGACGTAAGCAACTTGCCTGCATGTATGTCTTCATATATAAACCAACCAATCCAGAGCTCATACCCCGTTCTTTATCCTTTCTTTATCACCCTCTATTCTTCTTTATCTATCTTTATCCTTCTTTATCACTCTCATGTCCCAGGCCACTATCCGCCTGCCCTAATTGCCTCAGGGCCAGGTAGCAGACAACTAGGGACAGCCTCTCCTCCCCAAGATACCACGAAATTATTCAAACTAGCCAATCCTAAGACTGGTTGCCCTGCCTTGCTTGTTCCTTCCTGTGGAAAGTACAGTAAAGAGTCTTGCTCGTGCTTTCCCCCGTCCCCTCTACCTCCTGACTGACCTTGATGTTTCCCTGTTTTGCCTCTTGTGGTGTGAGGTGCCTACAGCTCCTAGGGAACCCTGAGTAGCAAAATAAAGTACTTCCCTCATGACACTCATTTCTGTGTTCATGTGTCTTATCATACTGATTAAAACAAATCCTGGGTACCATAAAAATAAATGACATTTCTATTCATGCTTTGTTATTAAATATGCCTTTTGCTGTAGGTTTCTAATAACTTTTATCAATATAGAAACATCTTCCTCAATTGCTAGTTTCTTATGAAGTTTTAAATTTTTTTTAACAAGGAGTGGTGTTGAATTTTATCAAGAGCCTTTTTGATGTTTATTGAAATAGTTGTTTTTTCTCCTATGAATTTTTCTAATAGAAACTATACTGATTGAACAATAGGTTAAAATTAAAGTTTCATCAGACTCTCAAGATATAATAGCTGTGAAAGTCTAAATCACCATATGTAGGTTTTCATAGCAAATATCTGAGAACCTGCTCCACAAGTATTAATTCTCCTCACCTGCTTTAACAATATGAAAGGATGTGGAGTGGAGAACACTGCAGGGAGCTGTTGCCTTGCACTTTCCCCTACCTTACCTTTGATAGTCTTATGTATGGGGAGGAAAATAATGCACATCCTTAACCCTGGGTCTAGAGGAGGACTCTTCAGGAGGCCACCAGGATAACTGACCAAAAAACTCCTGGAACTAATAAGCAGTTATAGCAAGGATGCCGTATACAGGATTAGTATAGAAAAATCCATTGCAGTTGCTCTCCTGCACACAAACAGTGAGCAATTGGAATTTGAAATTAAAAACACAATGCCATTTATGTAAACATTCCCACCACCAGTGAAATAATTAGGTATAAATCTAACAAAATATATAAAAGATCTATGAGGAAAACTACAAAATTTTGATTAAAGAAATCAAAGAAGGACTAAATAAATAGAGAGATATTCCATGTCCATGGATAGGGAGGCCTAGCATTAACAAAATGTCAGTTCTTCCCAACTTTCTCTCTAGATTCAATGCAATCCCCATCAAAATCCCAGAAATATATCACTTGGATATTGACAAATTGATTCCAAAGTTTCTATGGAGAGGCTAAAACAAAAACAAAAACCAAAAAAAAACAAAAACAAAAACAAAAAAAACAAGAACAGATAACGCAGTATTAGAAAAGAAGAAAATCAGGGGGGTAACACTACCCAATTTCAAGATTTGCAAGAAAGCTACAGCAATGAAGACAGTGTGGTAGTGGCAAAAGAATAGATGAATAGACCAATGGAACAGAATAGAAAATCCCAAAATAGACCTATACAAATATTTGACAAAGGGGCAAAGGCAATACAATGAGGAAAAGATAGTCTTTTCAACAAATGGCACTGGAACAACTTAATATCCATAAGCAAAATCAAAAATCTAGACACAGATCTTACATCTTCCCCCAAATTTAGCTGAAAATGGATCATAGACCTAAATGTAACACACAAAATTATAAAATTTCTAGAATATAGGAGAAAAGCTAGATAACCTTGGGCATGGCAATGACTTTTTAAATACAACACCGCCAATGGCATGATCCATGAAAAAAGTAATTGATAAGCTGGACCTCATTCAAATTAAAAACTTCTGTGTAATGCACAGTCAAGAGAATTAGAAGACAAGCCACAGACTGGGGAAAAACATCTGTGAAAGACATATCTGATAAAGTACTGTTATCAAAATATACGAAGAACTCTTAAAGCAACAATAAGAAAAGGAATAACCCAGTTAAAAAATTGACAAAAGATCTGAACACACACTTCACCAAAGAAGATGTACAGATGGCTAATAAGCATATGTAAAAATTGCTCAACATCATATGTCATTAGGAAATAGCAAATTAAAACTGATACCACTACCTACCTATTCAAATGCTTAAATACAAAACACTGACAATACCAAACAATGACAAGGATGGGGAGCAATAAGAATTCTCATTTATTCTTGGAGGGAAAGCAAAATGAAATAGCCACTTTTTAGAAGACAGGTTGTCAGTTTCTTACACAGCTAAACACACTTTTTCCATATGATCCTGCAATTGCACTCCTATTTACCTAAGTGAGTTGAAAACTGATATTCACAGAAGTGTCTGCACACAAGTTTCCAGCAGCTTTATCCATAATTGCTAAAATTTGGTGGCAACTAAGATGTCCTGCAATAGGGGAATGAATAAATGAACTATGGTCCATCCAGACAATGGAATATTATTCAGTGATAAGAAGAAATGAAGCCAAGATCACGCCACTGCATTCCAACCTGGATGATAAGAGTGAGACCCCATCTCAAAAAAAAAAAGTTAAGAAGAAATGAATTATCAAGCCACGAAAAGATAATGGAGTGCTGTGGTTTGACTATGGATTGGCCCTTCCAAAACTCATGTTTAGGCTTGGTCCCCAAGGTGGCAGTGGTGGGAGGTGCTTTAAGAGTCATTAAGATGGATTAATTTCTTTCAGGTGCTACGGGGTTAGTTCTCATGGGAATGCATTAGTTCCCACGAGACTGGGTTGTTATAAGCAAGGTTGCCTCTCCTGGTTTGTCCCCCTTTTGCATGCAGCCACTTCTCCTTCCGCTTATCTGCCATGATATGATGCAGTCAGTGGGCCTTCCCCAGACACTGGCACCATGCTCTTTGGACTTCCCAGGCTCCAGAAGCATGATCCAAAGCATCTCTTTTTAAAATAAACTACCCAAGTATTCTGCTATAGGAACAGAAAATGAGACATGGAGGAACCATAAATGCATATTATTAAGGAAAAGAAATCAATTAGAAATGGCTACATATGGTGATTCTAACTATATATTTTGGAAATGGTATAATTATGGAGACAGTAAAAAAGACCAGTGGTTTCCAGGGTTTAAAGGGGAGGGAGAGATTAATAGGTGGAACACAGGATTTTTAGGACAGTGAAACTAATCTATATGATTCTATAATGGTGGATACATATCATTGTACATTTCTGAAAACCCATAGATTGTGCAACATCAAGAGTAAACCTGCAGTAAACTGTGGACTTTGGGTACTAATGATGTGTCAATGTAGGTTCCTCAATTGTTTCAGCACGATTTTGGTAGCATTTTGGTAGTGGAGGAGGCTGTGCATGTATGGGGACAGGGGACAAATGGGAACTCCCAATACTTTTTGCTCAATTTTGCTGTGAATCTAATATTGCTCTAAATCATGAAGTCTATTTCAAAAAACAGAAACCAAAAATGGATGGCTTTAACATAGATTAGATTGTGCTGAAGAAAAGAATTAGTGAATAGGAGTTAATGTCTGATTAATATAACCGGAATTGATAAAGAAATGGAAAATATACACAATTAAGAGATACGGAGGCTAGTGCTAGAAGATCTAACATATATTTCATTAGAATTTTAGAAGAAGCGAATAAGGAGAGGCAATGTTTGAAAACAATATAAATTACATTTTTCTGGAATAGTGAAAGACAGATATTCTAGATTCAGAAACCTCAGTAAAATATCAGGCAACTTAAGCAAAAAGAAACCCACAGTTATACCTACTGTGTGCACCAAAGACGAAGAAAAGGTCTTAAAATCATGCAGAGGGGAAACAAAGAGATGACCTAATAGAAATAATAATTTGACAGCTGACTTCTCAACAGCAACAGTGAAAGGGAGAAGACAGTGGGGACAATTTCCTCAAAAAGCTGAGAGTTTTTACTGTCAGTTGAAATTTTACACAAAGTTGAAACCATCTTTGAAGAATGAGGTAAAATAAAGATACTCTAGGAAAAAAAGTCAGCTATAACTCAACTACTAGGCAATTGTGTGTGTGTGTGTGTGTGTGTGTGTGTGTGTGTGTGTGTTTGAAACCAAAGTATTCCAAAGTCCATGTATTTCCTAGGTTAAAGTTGTTTAACTTGGGACTTTATTGAATATGGATATTATCATTATAACTAGCCATTAAAAGAAATAAAGATACTTTAGGAAAAAAAGAAGTTAGCCATAACTCAACTACTAGGCAATAATGTGTGTATGTGTGTGTGTGTGTGTTTGAAACCAAAGTGTGCCAAACTCCATGTGTTTCCTAGGTTAAAGTTGTTCAACTTGGGACATTATTGAGTATAGATATTATCATTATAACTAGCCATTAAAAGAATAGAAACAGTATATAACTTTTCAACAAGAAGCTTAAAAAGGGGAGTAAGAGAAAAATCCTAATCACGTGAAGCAGACAAGAAAGGAAGATAAAAACCCCAGAAAAATCCAGGGTAATAGGAAGTGCAAAATAAGATGTTAAAAACAAATACAAATATATAATCACAGTAAGAGTCATAAGAAGAGGCCATTCGTGGTGGCTCAGACCTGTAATTCCAACACTTTGGGAGGCCAGGGCAGAAGGACTGCTTGAGGCCAGGAGTTAGGAACCAGCCTAGATGACATGGTGAGACTCCTATCTCTACAAAAAAGAAGAATTAGCCAGGCAGATGGCATAAGCCTGTAGTACCAGCTACTCGGGAGCCTGAGGCAAGAGGATGGCTTGAGCCCAGAATGTTGAGGCTGCAGTGAGCTATGATCGCACCACTGCACTCCAGCCTGGGTGACAGAATGAGACACCGTCTCTAAAAACAAAAACAAAAACAAAAAGAAAGAAAGAAAGAAAATTAAAAATGTTAAAAGAATAAAATTGCAGTTAAAAGATAATAATTCCTGAACTAGATATAAACACAACAAAATCCGCCATATGTCATTAAAAGTGGCAAACATAGAACATAGAGAGTTTGAAAGTGCATGAATAGATTGGTCAGGCAAATACCTGAAAAAAGATGATACAGCTGCATGAGTACAAGACAAAAAGCAGAAAACATTGCATGGTGACAGATGGTTCAATTCACCAGGAAGTCACATACATAATTTTTGTTTACACTTAATAATTAACCATGTCAGAATATATAAGGCACAGTTCACCAGAACAATGAAAAGATATTGACAAATCTGCCCTCAGAAGATTTTAAAACATCCTTCTTAGTAATTGATGGATGCAACAGACCAGGTAACAGGCTGCAGGCAGAAGATTTGTGGAACATGCTTAACAAGCTTGTTCTAAGGAACATGTATAGTACATTGTACCCAAGCACACATAAACCACCAGTAAAAATGGATCAGACATCAAGCCATAAGTCTCAAGCACACTTCAAAGGCTCAATTATCATGGACTTGGATCATTTCAGTATCATACCAGCCAAGATTCCTATGATCAAACAAAATGTGGCTTAAATGTTCATTCTCCTCTTTGAGGACCTACTGTAAAATCTAAGTTCATATTCTATCATGTGGCGGGTTAAATCATATTTTCTGTAAACTCTTCCAAACCCTGTGGTTTTTGTTGCAGTTGGCCTATTACATGGGTCTTTGCCCCAGTGGCAGCATTATAAAAGAAATTATGGAGTTTTCATAAGCTGTGGTGTAGTATTACTGCCCTATATTATTAATTATACACTGTTCGTAATATATTATTATCCTTGCACTTCCTCTCTAACGTCCAATTTCACCCCAGCTTTTGCGCTCCCCTCACCTCCAGTATCTCACTAAAATTTTCATAAAGGAATAAAGTTTGCTGCATTTTCAGGGTCAATCTAAATAACCCCACTCAGGTATAGCTGGTACTTGTAAAGACCTCACAGCCAGACACCAAAGATTGTGTTCCACTTGAGTGAAAATCACAGGGTTGACGATTGTCATGAGAACCCTCTATTCATGGACTTGCCTGGTTCTATTTGTCAGCGTTTTCTTAACATGAGTGACTCCATTTTGATTCTGACAACTTTCATAGCTCTCTTCGCTGAACCTTTCCTGTATTGTCCCAGAGATCTGCATAAAGACCATTATGTAGTCAGGTATCAGAAAAGCTGTGTCTTTCACATGGACACAAAGAGGGGAACAACATACACTGGGGCCTGTTGTGGGGGATTGAGGGGAGGGAGAGCATCAGGACAAATAGCTAACACATGCTGGGCCTCGTATTTAGGTGATGGGTTGATAGGTTCAGCAAGCCACCATGGCACACGTTTACCTATGTAACAAATCTGCACATTCTGCATATGTATCCTGGAACTTAAAGTAAAACAAAATTTTAAAAATTTTTGTAAAAAGAAAAGCCGTATTATTACTGTATCTGACATCAAAAGAACATGATATACTAAAACTGGAGAGTTACTGTTCCTGAGATAAAATTTAATGTGAAGCAAATTTACCTTCTATCCTATTTCAAGCATATGCTTAAAAAAATTAAGAACACATTGCCAGTTTTAGTTAGTAAATATTTTGGTTTTAAAACTAAATTTGCTTCATTTTAAATTTCCATTTAGCCTGAAGGGGTGTCCAATCTTTTAGCTTCCCTGGGACACACATATGATGCACTAACACTAGCAATAGCTGATCAGCTAAAAAAAAAAAAATTGCAAAAAGATCTCATAATTTTTTAAAGAGAGAGTCTTGCCCTGTCGTCCAGGATTGAGTGCAGTAGCAAGATCTCAGCTCACTGCAGCCTCCACCTCCTGGGTTCAAAGGATTCTCCTCCTCAGCCTCTGGAGTTGCTGGGATTACAGGCATGCGTCACCGCACCTGGCTAATTTTTGTATTTTTAGTACAGATAGGGTTTTGCCATGTTGGCCAAGCTGGTCTCAAACTCCTGACCTCAAGTGATCTGCCAGCCTTGGCCTCCCAATAGTGCTGGGATTACAAGTGTGAGTCACCGCGCCCTACAAAGAGCTTATAATGTTTTAATATTTGTTGGGCAGCATTCAAAGTTGTCCTGGGCCACAGGAGCCCGTGGGTTGAGACAGCATGATCTACAGCTTACTTTTCCCCAAATATTAAAACATACCATTAATTACCTTCCTTAATTTTAAGAAAATAGCCTTTTAGCCCATCCGAAGCCAATTTGAAAGAGAAGAGATATAGGTAAAAAGAGCCTAGGATAAACTGGGCATTAAATGTATCCCTGAGGGAAAACATTCCAGATTGAAATATACATCAGTAAGATTGCTTTTACCTGGCCCTACATTCTTATTTACAGGGTACTTACAGCACTGTAATAATAGAGAATTCAAAAACTATCTGAATAACTATTTTTAAAATTACTGTTATTCAAGCATTAAAAAAGCAAAACCAGGCCGGTCGTGGTGGCTCATGCCTGTAATCCCAGCACTTTGGGAGGCCGAGGCGGGCGGATCACGAGCTCAGGAGATCGAGACCACATCCTGGCTAACACGGTGAAACCCCGTCTCTACTAAAAATAGAAAAAATTAGCCGGGCGTGGTGGCGGGCGCCTGTAGTCTCAGCTACTTGGGAGGCTGAGGCAGAAGAATGGCGTGAACCCAGGAGAAGGAGCTTGCAGTGAGCCGAGATCGCGCCACTGCACTCCAGCTTGGGCAACAGAGCAAGACTCCCTCTCAAAAAAAAAAAAAAAAAAAAGGCGAAACCAAAACAGCCTGTGTCCAGGGCTCCAAGCAATCAAGCAACAGGAATCTCAGAGAAAGAGATTGTCATGTTTTCTCGTTTTCCTCTATTTTCCTGAAAATTCTGAAGGTCGCAGAGGTAGAGCTGAAAATCTAAGGTCACCAAGACTTAAGAAGGCATGGGATGGTGAAAGCTAGTTTTAATTATAGTGTTGACCTCAAGATCGACTGACCCAATAATCCTTATAGAAATGCAGTAGGAAGAACGTTTAACTTTTATTCATTTGCTGCTTGTGAACATTGATGCTTCGTGCCTGTTGGGGGGGTGGGGCATAGGAGGCCTCTTGGCGACAGCGAGGGGAGGGAGCACGAAGTCCAGGGGGGTCTCCATGAAGTCCGGGGACGGCAGCGGGAGCTCTGGGTACTCCAGGGGCGGCATTGGTGGCTGTGGCGGCAGGAAGTAGTCGGGCGGGGCGGGGAAGACCACGCTGCCTGTGCCCTTGGCCTTGGGGGGTGTGGCGGGGCTGCCACTGGTGTCACAGGACCTCTGCACCGGAGGGGGTGGGGCAGGCTGGACTTGGGGCCTTGGGGGGCCGGGGGTGCTCCTGGCTCCTGGTGGTTCCCGAGGGCTGGCTTCTTATCCTGCAACCAAGCGACAGCAGCATTTATTATTTTAAAGTTTTTGAAATTTTAATTTATTGTTATTAATTAACGGGGACAGGGTCTCACTCTGTCACCCAGGCTGAGTGCATGGCACGATCTGGGCTCACCACAACCTCGACCTCCTGAGCGATCCTCCCGCCTCAGTCTCCTGAGTAGCATTCTTTATTCTTGACAAAAGAGCCCCAGTGGACAAGACCATGCCATAGATATGTGAGGTCTCTGTCTGCTGCCTGGGGGGCCCCCGTCCCTCAGTCACTGAGAACCCTGGTTGTTCATGAGCTCATCTTTGCTCTGGAATAGGGAAATGACTCTAATTGGCCTTTATTATTATTATTATTATTATTATTATTATTATTACTATTATTATTGAGAGAGAGTTTTGCTCTGTCGCCCAGGCTGGAGTGCAGTAGCGCCATCTTGGCTCTCTGCAACCTCTGCCTCCCGGGTTTAAGCGATTCTCCTGCCTCAGCCTCCCGAGTAGCTGGGACTACAGGTGCTGGCTACCACGTCCAGCTAAGTTTGTATTTTTAGTGGAGATGGGGTTTCACCATGTTGGTCAGGCTGGTCTTGAGCTCCTGACCTCATGATCTGCCCTGCCTCTGCCTCCCAAAGTGCTGGGATTACAGGCATGAGCCACCGCGCCTGGTCTTTTTTTTTTTTTTTTTTTTTGTGACGGGATCTCGCTGTGTCACCCACGCTGGAGTGCAGTGGTGCAAGCTCGACTCACTGCAACCTCTGCCTCTAGGGCTCAGTGATCCTCATGCCTCAGCCTCCCAAGTGGCTGGGATGACAAGCATGTGCCACCATGCCCAGCTAATTTTTGTATTTTTTGTAGGGATGGTTTTTTGCCATGTTGCCCAGGCTGGTCTCCAACTCCTGGGCTCAAGTGATCTGCCCACCTCGGCCTCCCAAAATGCTGGAATTACAGGTGTGAGCCGCCTCACCTGGACAGTTTACTTTTTCTCAACTGCATGAAAGTTGGCTGGTTCACCGGGTATAAAATGAGCCCTGTAGTCCCTATTATGACCTGTGTCTCAGATCGTGATGAGATCAAATGAGATACTTATATGAGTTCTGAAAAGAAAAATCACCAGCGTGCTACTGGTAGAAACCAGAATGCCAAATTTGGCTAAAGTCTAATAGAGACATAGCCCTTCCTCTGCCAATACTGGCATAGATAATAATAATTTGTATTTATATAATGAAACATCCCCAGGCAGCTGGATTGAATCCCTCTGTTTTAGTGATAATTATCATTCCAATTTACATTTCATCAGGGCTCCAGTTTATTTCTTCCTCTGCTTAATAGCCTGTTACCACTGAAGATTAAATTTGGAAGATTTTTTTTCTAACGAAGTGCCTTCTGACTTAGTTTCTATTTTATTTAGTTTATTTACTTAGCATGATAAGCTAATTAACTGGCAATGTACTTTTTCCTTTTTAAAAAATTTCTGAACAGGCAGCTTGGGTATTGATGTTCACATATAGTTAAGTGATTTCTATTCTGGGATTCTTTTATTTCTTTCAGCATTTTTAAATGCTTTCCTTCGATTGGCATTATGGAAATAATGAAAATAATAACAGCTGAAAGTACATTGCGTGAGAAGCGCAGGCTTGAGAAGATAATGAGAACATTAAAGAAATACAACTTTTACAGGCCTGCAGTGGTTGTCAAAATTATAAGAAGTTCAATAAATACCAAGATTTAGTTGTTTTCATGACTGACTGATGGACAACATGAAGGGGTGAAAGAAGTGAAAAACTGCTAAAGTGAAGCACCCTGCCTGTCCTAGCTGGGTGATATGCTATTGTCACAGTTATTTAAGGTTGTTTTGAATCACACATGAGAAATATTCAACAGAATTTATACAGTCAACTGAGAGGTTTTGAATTAGATTAGCAACTAAATCATGATTATTAGCTATGATTTTAAGATAGATTTAAGTGAATCCTCATTGATCTATTCGGTTGAAAAAATGTTATGGAGGATGTCATACCTATTGGCTATTATTTTACAATGTATTTTCTCCTCCATCACCCTGGGGATATACGTAGAACATTAATGGGGAAAATAGAAAATGCAATCCATTTTTATCTTTTTTTCTTTTTTTATGACAAGGTATTTATCTGTCACATAGGCTGGAGTGCAGTGGTGTGATCACAGCTCACTGCAGCCTTGAAATCCTGGGCTCAAGCAATTCAAACACCTCAGCCAGCCAAGTAGCTAGGACCACAGGTGCACGCCACCATACCTGGCTAATTTTTTGATTTCTAGTAGAGATGAGCCCTTGTTCTGTTGCCCAGGCTGGTCTGGAACTCCGGAGCTCAAGCAATTCTCCTGGGGGACGGCTGGGTGGAATGTATGCCAGCTGCTTGCTGGTTTTACCTTCCATGTTTCAGCATGTGCCTGGGCCTCTTCGAGAACAGCACTGACAGAATCTGCAGCCTGGGGCATCTGTCCATTGGGCTGGGTGGTGCCATTTATAGGTCCTGAGAGGGAGGAAGTGAGAAAAGATGAGTGAACAAGGAATTTTCAACATTCTAGAAAGTTAACCTGAAAATACAAAGCAGTTTACATCTATAAAGCAAAGAAAGATACTTCCTAGCTACTTCTTACAAAAAAATAAAAATAAAAACAAAGCAGAGAAAACAATTTACAGGCATGACGTGGTACACAAAACCTTATGAAAAAGCTGAGGTTCTGTGACAAAACTTTATGTGAGATTCAGCAAAAGATTCAGGAAGGTGAGTAGGGTATTTGATAAAGCCCACCAAGAAGGGTCTGGATTAACTGGGATTGTGGAGAGGAATAGTATGTTTTACTTTTGAAAAGCTTTTGATAATTGAAGAATAAACCTTGAAAATCAATTTTCTTTCAAAAAAATTCTCCATTGTTGATTTCCCAAAAATGTATTTATCTAGTTTCATACCGTGCTGAGTACAGGAACAACTTTTGAACATTGTCCTTAACAAAGAATATATTGGGCTGGGGGTGGTGGCTCACGCCTGTAATCCCCGCACATCGGGAGGCCGAGGTGGGCAGATTACGAGGCCAAGAGATTGAGACCATCCTGGCCAACATGGTGAAACCCTGTCTCTACTAAAAATACAGAAATTAGCTGGGCATGGTGGCACATGCCTGTAGTCCCAGCTACTCGGGAGGCTGAGGCAGGAATATCGCTTGAACCCGGCAGGTGGAGGTTGCAGTGAGCCAAGATCATGCCACTGCTCTCCAACCTGGTGACAGGGCGAGACTTAGTCTCAACAACAACAACAACAACAACAAAAACAGATAAAAAACAACAACAACAAAGAGTACATTGGACACAGAAACAATAGACAGAGATTTGGGCAAAATGTGCGGGTCCCTGAAATAATCTGGAATTAGATGTGCTTTTTTGTTTGTTTGTTTTCCCCAAAAGTCCTGGTATTATAATTTTATTTTCTTGCCTTTTAATTTGTCCTTTTGACACAAAGCTTGACTCATGGAAGGTCTGCAGTTGTTAGAGAATCAGATAGAGGAAGCTCTACGTTGATTTCTCGGCTCCTTAGAAAGGATCCCGCCAAGGATGGCCGCCTCTCCACACCCGGGCTGTTTCTCCTTCAAGTGAATTGCTGCCCAGCCCACACCAGAAGGTCTTCCACTCCTCTCCCTGTGAATGCAGAGATGCTTTAGCCATGCTCAGCACCACTGTCCTGTTTAATATTCACAAAATGCCTGTTTATTTCTTCAACTAGTTTTCTAGTAGTTTGAGAAACCCATTAATCTACATGACAACTCAAAGAATGACTTCAGGAAATTAGAAAAAAAAAACAACAAAAAAGGGGAAAGTTTGGCTGGGTTCTGGTGGCTGATTCCTGTAATCCCTGCCTGAGGGGAGGCCAAGACAGGCAGATCACTTGAGGTCAGGAGTTCGAGAACAGACTGGCCAATTTGGTGCAAGCCAGTCACTACTAAAAATACAAAAAATTTAGTCGGGCGTGGTGACCCACACCTCTAATCCCAGCTACTCAGGAGGCTGAAGCAGGAGGATCACATGAACTCAGGAAGCAAGGGTTGCAGCGAGCTGACATCGCGACGTAGCATTCCAGCCTGGGTGACAGAATAAGACTCAGTCTCAAAAAAAAAGAATGATACTCAGGGGAAAACCGCGGGAAGGGGGAGAAAGATAAGAGACTACAAATTGGATTCCATGTGTACTGCTTGGGTGATGGGTGCAACAAAATCTCACAAATCTCCACTAAAGGAGTTACTCAATAACTAAATACTACCTGTGCCAAAAATTTATGAAAAGAAAAATTAAATTTTTTTAATTGTGAAAATTGAGGGTCATACTTTCAAGTTACAAAGGCACATCTATTATGAGGCTTAATTATTCTAATGTTTAAAGAAATGAAGAGAACAACCAGAGTTTAAATAGAAAAGCTGTCAGATATTTCGTCTACAGCAATGAAATCTGTAGCACGCATTTTGTATTTTGAAACTTAGTTTTCAGCCAGCCTGGGGGAAGAAGAAGAGGAAACAGAACTGAGCATTGGGGTAGGTAGGAGGAAAGTAAGAAACCAGCTGGACACAGCAGGGAAAGAAGAAGGGGTGAGGACTCGAGGCAGAGCCAGTCCTCCTGCTTGGGGCCTGGGCATAGGAAAGCAAACTCCAGGCAGGAGGAAGGAGCCCCAGGCTGTGGATGCCTCTGGGGGAATTTTGGGTCAGCAATGGCCAGAGGAGCTCCTGAACTTAAGCAGTATCTGCCACCTCCCTACCTTTGGGTGTCTTCTGGTGTCCAATGTGCTGCTGTCAGGTCCCTCGCTGGCTCCCAAATTCGACTGGGCAGCCTCCAAAGCAGTGGAGTTGGTGCTACTGCTATCTCCACTTTGTGGATCTCAGAGCTGCAGGATGGCTTCTCCCACCACACCCTTAGCTGGCCCCATTTGTGGTTGGCATTGTGGGACAGCGTGTTCAGGGCAACTCTGCTCCTGTATATTGCGGGCTGCGTCTGCGCTGTCTGCACACTCATAGACGTCAGAGCCACAGGCTGGCTCTGCACAACCCTTGTGCCGGCCCTGACTGGGGCTGGCTTTGGTGCACATGCGACAGTTCAATGTGGTCCCCATGGGGCACTCCTGCTCTTCTTGGGCAGCTTGGGCCTTTGGTTGCCCCCAAGTGTGCAGAGCTCAACACCTATCGTCTCTTGCTGGCAAAAGCATTGCTAGCACAAGCAGTCCTGGGCCACGGGGTGGCACTGCGCTAGCAGCATGCACCCCATATCACCCCCATACTCTGAGCTGACTTGTCTGCTAAAAAATCCTGCCAACCTGTCCAGTTTATTTTAGAAAGGCCTGGATGCAACAAGCCTGAGAGCTGTGACTGGGGCAGGAGAGAGCACAGATTCATCCTCCTTCCACCACTGCCCAACAACTGAAGACCACCAACTGAGGACCACCACCTGAAGAGAAACAACTGAGGGTACCAACTGAGGGCACTAACCGAAGGCAACCAATGAGGGCACCCACTGAAGGCCACCAAGTGAAGGCCAGTTGCCCTGCCAACCAGACCGCATCCTGGTTCAGAGTAAACAATCAGGTCCAGAATCCCCTGCATGCATCCCTACAGACTTGGAACTTGAGAGCACAGACACATGGCTCACAAGGCCCCACCATGCCAGTGGCCCCGCCCCACCTTTCATTCATTGCTGCATGCTAGGAACCTTCAGGTTTCTCACTGTGAAGAAATTCCTAGGGATCATCACCTTACAATGAATGATGCTAAAATTACTGAAACCAAATCTGCTTCACGCAATGTCTGGGATTCATAAAACCCCCTTTCCCCCATAATCTCTGAAATATTAACAAACTAGAAATAAGAGAGATTTCTGCAGGTGCTTTCAGAAAAAAACTTTGCCATGAGCTAAGCCTACTCTATAATATCAAGTAATATTTCATATATACACATATATAACAAATCCACATATGTCCCATTTACATTTTTGAAAATAACACACATGTTCAATCAAATTGAGAAGACTAACAAGAAATTTTCTAACATTTAAACACTAAGTACATCAGATTTTTCTAATGATCACTTTGATAGAGCAATTTAGAATCTGTGGTTTCATAACACCAAGACACCAAGAGGATTATGTAAGAGAAAACCACAACATAATACAAAATTTTCAATGTGATCATCATTTCTACTTTCAACTAAAAATTACCCAGTGAATGCATTGTGAACTGCTTTGTGACTCTGGTGATCTATTTATTCTTTCTGATTATTGGTTTGATTGTCTAAGATATATGAGTATCACCAATCTTATGAACTCGCTCTAAAAATTAGATGAGAAAAAATAATCCTCCTTCTCCACATACTGAACACTTAAACAATTATAGGTATTGTGTCCAGATTTTTGCACACTCACCTTATAGAAGCCTCATAGAAACACTCTGTTTTAAGTTACAAGCATTTTGCCATGGTTTTTACACACTTACCTTATGGAAGCTTCATAGCAATCACATCTTATATAGATGAGAAAACTGAGGCTCTTCTCAAGTTAAGCAGTATCCGTTGCCACCCTACCTGGGGTATCTTCTGGTTGCCAATGTACTGCTGTCAGGTCTGTCACTGGATCCCAAATTCGACTGGGCAGGCTCCAAAGCAGTGGAGTCTGGTAGTACTGCCACCTCCACCTCGTGGATCGCAGAGCTGCAGGACGGCTTCACCCACCGCACCCTGAGATAGCCCCGCTTGTGGCTGGTATTGGGGGACAGCGTGTTCAGGGCTCCTCTGCTCCTGTATATCACAGCCTGCGCCTTCTCTGTCTGCACACTGGTAGACATCAGAGCCACAGGCTGGCTCTGCAGAACCCTTCTGCCAGCCCTGACTGGGGCTGACTTTGGTGCACTTGTGACAGTTCAGTGTGGTCCCCATGCGGCACCCCTGCTCTTCTCAGGCAGCTTGGACCTTCGCTTGCCCCCAAGTCTGCAGAGCTCAACAACTATTGCCTCTTCCTTGCAAAGGCATGTCTGGCACAGGCAGCCCTGGGCCATGGGGCGGCACTGTGCTAGCAACCTGCACCCTACACCCTGCCTCACCCCCATATCCTGAGCTGATTAGTCTGCTAAGAAAAACCTGCCAACATCTCTGGTTTATTTTAGGAGGGCCTGGGGGCAACAAGCCTGAGAGCTGTGACTGGGGGAGGAGAGAGCACAAACGGATTCATCCTCCTTCTGCCACTGCCCAACAATTGAAGACCACCAACTGAAGAGAAACAACTGAGGGTACCAACTGAGTGCACTAACCGAAGGCAACCAATGTGGGCATCCACTGAAGGCCACCAAGTGAAGGCCAGTTGCCCTGCCAACCAGACCACATCCTGGTTCAGAGGAAACAATCAGGTCCAGAATCCCCTGCATGCATCCCCACAATCCTGGAACTTGAGAGCACAGGCATATGGCTCACAAGGCCCTGCCCTGCCAGCAGCCCCGCCCCACCTTTCATTCATGCTGGCTGCTAGGACCTTTCAGGTTTCTCACTGTGATGAAGTTCCTAGGGATCATCACCTTACAATGAATGATGCTAAAATTACTGAAACCAAATCTGCCTCATGCAGTGTCTGAGATTCATAGAACCGCCATTTCTCCATAATCTCTGAAACATCAACAAACTAGAAATAAGAGAGATTTCTGCAGGTGCTTTCAGAAAAAACATTGCCATGAGCTAAGCCTACTCTCTAATTCAAGTTATATTTCATATGTATACATATATATCCCATTCACATATATTTGATTTACATTTTTGAAAATGACACACATGTTCAATCAAATTAGCAAGACTAACAGGAGAAATTTTCTAACATTTACACACTACATCACATTTTTCTAATGATCACTTTGACAAAGCAGCTTAGAATCTATGGTTTCAACAAAGCAAGAGGCTTACGTAACAGAAAACCACCACAAAATACAAGATTTTCAATGTGATCATCATTGCTACTGTTAACTAGAAATTACCCAGTAAATGCATTGTGAACTGCTTTGTGACTATGGTGATTTATCTAGTCTTTCTGATCATTGGTTTGATTGTCTAAGAAATAGGAGTATCCCTAATTTTATAAACTTGGTCTAAAAATTTGTGGTCTAAAAAGGAGAGAAAGATAATCCACTTTATCCACATATTGAACACTTACAAAATAGTAGACATTTTGTCCAGACTTTTACACACTTACCTTATAGAAGCCTCATAATAACCCTCTCTTTTAAATTACAAGCATTTTGCCATGGTTTTTACACACTTACCTTATGGAAGCCTTACAACAATCACATCTTCTATAGATGAGCAAACTGAGGCTCAGATGAGTTAAAAACACATTCACCATCACATCATAAAGAGTGATGGAAGTGGTATTCAAATCCAGTTTTCTCTAACGCCAAAAATGGTGCAATTTAAGGAGGACCAAATTATACCCAGAACATGGAGAGATGAGAACATGTGGATTCTCTTTTCTAACCCCTTGTGTGTGAATTTCAGTGGCTTGCACTGCCTCAGGACAATCCTAAACTCCCTCCCAGGTTTTCTTGCAGTGGTTCCCTTTTCCTTGAGGATGATGAGGAATCTGCATATTTAGACCACAAGCATCACCTTTTAACAGGTGTGGTGATCACGAAATGAAATTTGCTAGGCCATATGTTACTAAGTGTGAATTGTCCAGCTTCTCTGCAATAAATAAAGGGGCTATTCCATGTAAAAAATCACATCATCCACTAAATTTGTGCAGAAAGATTTGGAACTATGCTGCAGGAGCATCTTACTGACAGCTGTGCAGGAAGACCAGGCAAAACACACAAAGCAGGAGCAGCTCCCAAGGCCAGGTGTGGTGGTTCTTGCCTGTCATCCCAACAAAGCGGGAGGCCAACGTGAGTGAATCACTTGAGGCCAGGGGTTTGAGACCAGCCTGGGCAACACAGTGAGACCCTGTCTCTATGAGAAATCATTTTTTATTATTAGAATCAAGAAGAGTACCTCTAACCCTCAGCCATTACTTTAGGAGAGAGAGCTCTGCTCTACAACGAAAAATATGAAATTGGGAGTCCCAATGTGGCTACTTAAGTTTAAATACAAGAGCTGTCGCATATTTCCTCTACCGTAATGAAATCTGTAGCATACATTTTGTAATCTGAAGTCTTAGTTTTGACCAGCCTAAGAAAAGAAGAAGAGGGCCCAGAAGTGGGCATTTGGACAGGGCAAGGGAAAGTAACCAGCTGGATGCAACAGGGAAAGAACAATGGATGGGGAGTGGAATCAGAGCAAGTCCTCCTGCTTGGGGCCTGGGCCTAGGAAAGCAAACTAGAGGCAGGAGGGAGGAGCCCTAGGCTGTGGGTGCCTCTGGGGGGAACCATGGGTGAGCAACTGCCAAAGGAGCTCCTAAGGCCAAGCGGTATCTGTAGTCTCCCTACCTTTTGGCGTCTTCTGGTCGTCATGACTCCTGAATCAGACGGGGCAGGCTCCAAAGCAGTGGACTCTGGCGCTACTCCCACCACCACCTCGTGGATCGCAGAGCTGCAGGACTGCTCCAAACACCGCATCCTGAGCTGGCCCCGCTTGGGGTGGCATTAAGGGACAGCTTGTTCCGGGTGCCTCTGCTCCTCTGTGCTGGGGTCTGCGCCTCTGCTGGCCGCCGACTCATAGATGTCAGAGCCTCAGGACGGCTCTGCAGAAGCCCTGTGAGGGCCCTGAGTGGGGCTGGCCTTGGTGCACATGCGACAAGTCAGCGTGGTCCCCATGGGGCACCTCTGCTCTTCTCAGGTCGCTTGGTCCTTCCTTGCCCCGACACCTGCAGAGCTGAGCACCTGCCACCTCTCCTCAGGAAAGGCAACCGAATGCCACCAACTGAAAGCACCCACTGAAGGCACTAACTGAAGGCCGGTTGCCCTGCCAACCAGATCGCATCCTGCTTAGGAGGAACCAATCAGGCCTTGAGTTCCCTCCACGCACCGCCCTTCCGTTTATGACGTGGAAGTCCAAGCACTGGCTCACAAGGCCCCGCCCCCACAGCGACCCCGCCCCCACGGCAGCCCCGCCCCCACAGCGGCCCCATCCCCACAGCAGCCCGCCCCACCTTCCATTTATTAGTAGCTGGTAGCAACTTTCAGATTTCCTCACTGTGAATTATGAATATGAATTATGCGCAAATTACTGTACACTAATGTGCCTCATGCAGTATCTGACATTCAAACATCCCCTTGGCCCCGTTGTGACTGATTTTTTTTGGAAACTAGAAATAATACAGATTTCAGCAGGTGTTTTCAGAAGAAAACATTGCCATGAGCTGAGATTACTGTATGATGTCAAGTCTTATTTCATATATCAATACATATTCACATTCATAATCCAAAACGCACATATTCAATCAAATTAACAAGACTAACAGTGGAAATTTTCTAAAATTTATACACTAAGTGCATCACATTTTTCTAATGAACACTTTTATAGAGCAACTTAGACTCTATGGTTTCCACAAATGAAGAGGCTCGTGGAAGAGAAAACCACCACGTAATACAAGATTTTCAATGTGATCATCATTGCTACTTTTAAGTAGCAATTACCCAGTAAATATATTGTGAACTGCTTTGTGAGTATGGTGATTTATTTCAACTTGTTGGTCCTTTGATTATCTTAAAAATAGGAATAATGCCAATTGTATAAACTTGTTCTAAAAATAAAAGGAGAGAAAAATAATCCTCCACCTTCATATATTGTACAATTACAAAATTAAAGGCATTGTGTCCAGATTTTTACACACTTACCTTATTGAAGCCTCATAACAACCTGTCTTTTAAATTACAGGCATTATTCCCAGATTTTTACACACTAAACTAATACAAGCCTCATAAGAATCACTTCTTTTACAGATGAGCAAACTGAGGCTCAGAGGATTTAAAAACTCATTCACCATCACTTTGTAGTGAGTGTTGGAACTGGGATTCAAATCCAATTCTCTCTGACCCCAAAGGTGGTGCACCTTCATGAAGACCCAATTATACCCTCCACATGGAGGGATCAAGACATGTGGATTCCCTTGCTCTGCCTTCTTATGGGTGAATTTCAATGGCTTTCACGGCCTCAGAACAATCCTAAACTCCCTCCCTGGTTGCCTGCAGTGGACATCACTTCTTCTTTTTTATGATTAGGAATCTGCATCTTTGGACCACAAGCATCTATAAACAGTTGTTTTGATCAAGAAACAAAATTTTCTAGGCCTTAGGTTACTAACTGTGAATTGTCTAGCTTCTCTGCAGTAAACAAAAGGCTCTTCCATGTAAAAATATCACAGGATTGTGTAGAAAGGTTTGGAACCATACTGCAGGAGCATCTTACTGACAGCTGTGCAGGAAGATTAGCCAAAACACACAAAGCTAGAGCACCTCCAAAGGCCAGGTGTGGTAGTTCCTGCTTATCATGCCAGCAAAGTGGGAGGCCAAGATGGGTGGATCAGTTGAGGCCAGGAGTTTGAGACAAGCCTGGGCAACACAGTGAAACCCTGTCTGTACAAAAAATCATTTATTATTATTAGAATCAAGAAGATTACCTCTGACCCTCTGACATTGCTTTAGGAGAGAGGGCTCTGGTCTAGAACTCAAGATATGAAATTATGAGTCCCAGTGTGGCTACTTAAGTTTAAATACAACAGCTGTCAGACATTTCCTCTACAGCAATGAAATCTATAGCATACATTTTGTATCCTAAAAATGTGGTTTTCAGACAGCCTAGGGGAAGAAGTGGAGTGCCCAGAACTGGGCATTGGGGTAGGTAGGAGGAAAGAAACTGGCTGCACACAGCAGGGAAAAAAGAAGGGGTGGGGAGGTGAGGCAGAGCCAGTCCTCCTGCTTGAGGCCTGGGCTTAGGATAGCAAACTAGGGGCAGGAGGCAGGAGCCCCAGGCCTTGAATGCCTCTGGGGGAACTTTGGGCCAGCAGCAACCAGAGGAGTTCCTAAACTTAAGTGGTATCCGAAGCCTCCCTACCTTTGTGTGTCTTCTGGTGGCCAATGTGCTGCAGTCAGGAACCTCGCTGGCTCCCAAATTCGATTGGGCAGGCTCCAAAGCAGTGGGGTCCGGTGCTACTACCACCTCTACTTCGTGGATCTCAGAGCTGCAGGACGGCTTCTCCCTCCGCACTCTTAGCTGGATCCACTTGTAGCTGGCATTGGGGGACAGCGTGTTCAGGGTGCCTCTGCTCCTATATATCGCGGCCTGCACCTTCGCTGTCTGCATACTCGTAGACATCAGAACCTCAGGCTGGCTCTGCAGAACCCTTGTGCCGGCCCTGACTGGGGCTGGCTTTGGTGCACATGTGACAGTTCAGTGTGGTCCCCATGGGGCACCTCTGCTCTTCTCGGGCTGCTTGGGCCTTCGCTTGCCCCCAAGTCTACAGAGCTCAACACCTATCACCTCTTCCCGGCAAACGTATGGCTGGCACGGGCAGCCCTGGGCCATGGGGCGGCACTGCACTAGCAGCCCGCACCTTGCATCACCCCTGTACCCTGAGCTGACTTGTCTGCTAAAAAAAAAACTTGCCAACCTGTCTGGTTTATTTTAGAAGGGTCCGGATGCAACAAGCCTGAGAGCTGTGTCTGGGGGAGGAGAGAGCACAAATGGATTCATCCTCCTTCCACCACTGCCCAACAACTGAAGACCACCAACTGCGGACCACAGACTGAAGAGAAACAACTGAGGGTGCCAACTGAGGGCACTAACTGAAGGCAACCAATGAGGGCACCCACTGAAGGCCACCAAGTGAAGGCCAGTTGCCCTGCCAACCAGAATGCATCCTGGTTCAGAGGAAACAATCAGGTCCAGAATCCCCTGCATGCATCCCCAGAACCCTGGAACTTGAGAACACAGGCACATGGCTCACAAGGCCCCTCACTGCCAGTGGCCCTGCCCCCGCTTGCATTCATTGCTGGCTGCTAGGAACTTTCAGGTTTCTCACTGTGAAGAAGTTCCTAGGGATCATCACCTTACAATGAATGATACTAAAATTACTGAAACCAAAACTGCTTCATGCAGTGTCAGGGATTCATAGAATCCCCTTTCCCCCATAATCTCTGAAACATTAACAAACTAGAAATAAGAGAGATTTCTGCAGGTACTTTCACAAAAAAAACATTGCCATGAGCTAAGCCTACCCTATAATGTCAAGTCATATTTCACATATTCATATATATATTCAATGCACATACATTTGATTTACATTTTTGAAAACAACACACATGTTCTATCAAATTAACAAGACTAACAAGAAATTTTCTATAATTTACACACTAAGTATGTCACATTTTTCTAATGATCACTTTGATAGAGCAGCTTAGAATCTATCCTTTCAACAAAGCGAGAGCTTATGTAAGAGGAAACCACTACAAAATATGAGATTTTCAGTGTGACAATCATTGCTACTTTTAACTAGAAATTACCCAGTAAATGTATTGTGAACTGCTTTGTGACTATTGTGCTTTATTTAGTCTTTCTAATCCTTGGTTTGATTATCTCAAAAATATGAGATCTCCAATTTTATAAAATTGCCCTAAATATTAAATGAAAGGTAATCCTCCTTCTCCACATATTGAACATTTACAAAATTGTAGACATTGTGTCCAGATTTTTACACACTTGCCTTATAGAAGCCTCATAACAAACCTCTCTTTTAAATTACAAGCATTTTGCCATGGTTTTACACACTAACCTTATGGAAGCCTTATAACAGTCACATCTTCTATAGATGAGCAAACTGAGGCTCAGATGAGTTAAAAACACATTCACCATCACATCATAAAGAGTGATGGAACTGGTATTCAAATTCAGTTTTCTCTGAGGCCAAAAATAGTGCAGTTTAAGGAGGACCAAGTTATAACCAGAACTTGGAGGGATTAGGACATGTGGATTGTCTTTTCTATCCCCTTGTGTGTGAATTTCAATGGCCGGCACTGCCTCAGAACAATCCTAAACTCCCTCCCAGGTTGCCTTGCAATGGTTCCCTTTTTCTTGGGGATGATTAGGAATCTGCGTATTTAGACCACAAGCATCACCTTTTAACTTGTTGATCAAGAAATGAAATTTGCTAAGCTGTATGTTACCAAGTGTGAATTGTCCAGCTTCTCTGCGACAAAGTGGCTATTCCATGTAAAAAATGACAGCATCCACTGAATTATTGCAAAAAGATTTGGAACTATGCTGCAGGAGCATCTTACTGACAGCTGCGCAGGAAGACCAGCCAAAACACACAAAGCAGGAGCACCTATCAAGGCCTGGTGTGGTGGTTCTTGCCTGTCATCCCAACGAAGTGGGAGGCCAACGTGGGTGAATCACTTGAGGCCCGGGGTTTGAGACCAGCCTGGGCAACACAGTGAGACCCTGTCTCTACAAAACATCATTTCTTATTATTAGAATCAAGAAGAGTACATCTGACCCTCAGCCATTACTTTAGGAGAGAGAGCTCTGTTCTAGAACTCAAGATATGAAATTGGGAGTCCCAGTGTGGCTACTTACGTTTAAATACAAGAGCTGTCAGACATTTCGTCTACCGTAATGAAATCTTAGCATCCATTTTGTATTTTGAAAACTTTGTTTTTGGCCAACCTAGGAAAAGAAGAGGGCCCAGAGGTGGGCATTTGGACAGGGCAAGGGAAAGTAATCGGCTGGATGCAACAGGGAAAGAGGAAGGGGTGGGGAGTTGAGTCAGAGCAAGTCCTCCTGCTTGGGGCCGGGGATAGGAAAGCGAACTGTCTCCTCCCTACCTTTGGGTGTCTTCTGGTAGCCAATATGCTGTAAGTCACGGCTCCGGAATCAGACTGGGCAGGTTCCAAATCAGTGGAATCTGGCACTTCTCCCACCTCCAACTAATGGATCTCAGAGCTGCAGGACTGCTCCCAACACTGCACCCAGAGCAGGCCCCGCTTGGGGCTGGCATTGGACGACAGCGTGTTCCTGGCGTCTCTGTTCCTCTCTGCAGGGGCCTGCGCCTATGCTGGCTGCCCACTCATAGATGTTAGAGCCTCAGGAGGGCTCCGCAGAAGCCCTGCACAGGCCCTGCCTTGGGCTGGCTTTGGTGCACATGTGACAAGTCATCGTGGTCCCCATGGGGCACCTCTGCTCTTCTCGGGCTGCTTGGTCCTTCCTTGCCCCCACGCCTGCAGAGCTGAGCACCTGCCACCTCTCCCCGGGAAAGGCAACCAAATGCCACCAACGGAAGGCACCCACTGAAGGCACTAACTGAAGGCCGGTTGCCCTGCCAACTAGATCGCCTCCTGCTTAGGAGGAACCAATCAGGCCTTGAGTTCCCTCCACGTGCCGCCCTTCCATTTGTGATGGGGGAGTCCAGGCACTGGCTCACAAGGCCCCGCCCCCACAGCTGCCCTGCCCCACCTTTCATTCATTGATAGCTTCCAGCAACTTTCAGCTTTCCTCATTGTGAATTATGACTATGAGCTATTTTAAAATTACTGTAACCCAACGTGCTTCATGCACTCTCTGGGATCCAAAGGATCCTCTTTCCACCATGGCTTGTGAAGGTTTTCGAAACTGGAAAGAAGACAGATTTCTGCAGGTGCTTGAAAAAAACTTTGCCATGAGTTAAGTCTACTCTGTGATGTTAACATAAATATATCATGTATATATATATGTATATATACATACACACTTAATAATTATATATTCAATTTATATGTTTTTGGAAATAACACACATATTCATTCAAACTAGCAAGTATAATAGGGAAGTTTCCTAAAATTCCTACACTGAGTACATCATATTTTTTAATGATTTCGTTGATAGAGCAGCTTTCTAGATGCAGCCCTTTTCACGTGTGACTGGTATTTAACTTCTTTCATCAAACATGTCTTTAGAATCGACTCAAGGCAAGATGCAGTAGAGAAATGTAAGAATCAACTAGAGGAGCCGTTTACCTAGTAGGTGAGACTGATAGGTATACAAGCAACTTCAATAAAATGATATGTATTGAACGTACCTGGGGAGAAGTGCTAAGATGGGCTCCAAAAGCCCCGTATTCATGAAGATGCAATCTTTATATTTAAAATACTAGTGATACAATAAAATGTTCTACTTCACCTCTCACCTTTAATTTCATGGTATTGTCATCCACCCTCTCTATTCTGACTAAGCGTTTCCTTCATAAGCCCCAAGAAATAGCAAAATCACGGAAAATAAACATTTCAGTTCTCAGATTTATTGTTGAAAGAAGTGTGTCGTTGATGCCTCAGTTCATTACTATACAGCCAAATTCCCAGTGAGGAAGCAGCATGAGCTGGAATTCATGCCCTTCATTTGGAAAGATTGCAAATCACTGACATTCTTTTTTTTGCTAAATATTTTAGAAAATTAGAATTCTCTTCATGCTGTAAAGGGATCTTAAAATGATGGGGATATATTTGTACTCTCCATGACAGTGTACATATTCCTTCTCTTAGTTTAGTACAAAAATAGTACTTAAGGAATTTCTGTGGAATAATAGCAATTCTAAGTAACAACTAGAGTTGAGATTTTTCATAAAAGAAAATGTATGAACTTTTATTGTTGTTTGTTCGATTTGAGACAATCTAGCTTTGTTGCCCAGGCTGGAGTATAGTGTGGTGATCTCGGCTCGCTGCATCCTCCACATTCAGTTTCAAGCCATTCTCCTGCATCAAACTCCCAAGTAGCTGGGAGTACAGGCAGATGCCGCCATGCCCGGCTAATTTTTGTGTTTTTAATAAAGACAAGGTTTCGCAATGTTGGTCAGGCTGGTCTCCAACTCCTGACCTCCAGTGATCTGCCTGCCTCTGCTTCCCAAAGTATAAATATTTTTAAACATTTAAAATTGACCTTGCCATTTAGAAATGTAGAAAGTCATCAGGGTCCTGAGTAATTATAAGCTATATTTATCTGCCCACATTGCTTACCAGGTGCATCTTACCAGCAAGTTCTTCAGCATCCTTTTGAGAAGCATTCGACAGCCAAGAAAGCAGGCTATGCCTCACCTACTCCTTCCTGGGCTAAAGATCTCAGACTTGGTTGCTCATCTTAATTCGGGAAAAATAAATGAAGGAATTCTTCTATCATTACACACAACACAGAATAATCTGTTTAAGAAATTATTTTTGATCATCCACATTTTGATGCCAATCCCACATTTGGTAATAACGAATATATACACAAATTTTTTTAGCCAGTTAAATTGGAACATATTCTTTGAAACATCTTTATGATCATTTTTGTTCTACTCAGTAAGTTTAATGGAATAATAAGGTGTTTTTGATAAAGCACATGAATTATTCTCAATGATTACAAGATCTTATGACAGTTGTAATCAAAGGCACGGTGGCTCATGCTTGTAATCCCAGAAATTTGGGAGGATGAGGCCAGCAGATCACCTGAGGTGAGGAGTTCAAGACTAGCCTGGCCAACATGGTTAAACCCTTTCTCTACTAAAAATACAAAAAAAAAAAAAATTAGCTGGGCGTGATGGTGCAAGTCTGTAATCCCAGCTACTTGGGAGGCTGAAGCAGGAGAATAGCTTGAAACTGGGAGGCAGAGGTTGCAGTGAGAAAAAATCTTGCCATTGCACTCCAGCCTGGGCAACAAGAGTGAAACGCATCTAAAAAAGATGGATTATTAAATACTGATCTAGTATTTACTGTAAACTCAGCACTTTGGGGCATATCAGTGGGTATTTAGTTTTATTATGCTCTTAGAGGTTTTTTTCTATTATAGAATTTTCAAACAATTACTAAGGTAGAGAAAATTGTAATAGTTTAATGAACCTAATTTACCATTTAATCAGGTTACTAATGATCAATACATTACCAATTTTGCTTCACCTACACCTCCATACACTTCCTCAATATTCCTCATTATTGCCTTAATTGAGGTATAATATACATGTCCTCATTTTTTCGGACAATGGAGACATTGTTTCATTTCCTCTACAAATATTTCTGTACGCATCTTGAAATGTTAATGACTTAAAACACAAATAGTCTGTGACATATGAGCTTGAGACAAATGAGAAATAACTTTTTTTTTTATTTTTTATTTTTATTATACTTTTAAGTTTTAGGGTACATGTGCACAACATGAAGGTTTGTTACATATGTATACATGTGCCACGTTAGTGTGCTGCACTCATTAACTCATCATTTAACATTACATATATCTCCTAATGCTATCCCTCCCCCTCCCCCCACCCCACAACAGTCCCCAGAGTGTGATGTTCCCCTTCCTGCGTCCATGTGTTCTCATTGTTCAATTCCCACCTATGAGTGAGAACATGCGGTGTTTGGCTTTTTGTCCTTGTGATAGTTTGCTGAGAATGATGGTTTCCAGCTTCATCCATGTCCCTACAAAAGACATGAACTCATCCTTTTTTATGGCTGCATAGTATTCCATGGTGTATATGTGCCACATTTTCTTAATCCAGTCTATCACTGATGGACATTTGGGTTGGTTCCAAGTCTTTGCTATTGTGAATAGTGCCACAATAAACATACATATGCATGTGTCTTTGTAGCAGCATGATTTATAATCCTTTGGGTATATACCCAGTAATGGGATGGCTGGGTCAAATGGTATTTCTAGTTCTAGATCCCTGAGGAATCACCACACTGTCTTCCACAATGGTTGAACTAGTTTACAGTCCCACCATCAGTGTGAAAGTGTTCCTATTTCTCCACATCCTCTCCAGCACCTGTTGTTTCCTGACTTTTTAAAACAACCCCATCAACAAGTGGGCAAAGGATATGAACAGACACTTCTGAAAAGAAGACATTTATGCAGCCAAAAGACACATGAAAAAATGCTCATCATCACTGGCCATCATAGAAATGCAAATCAAAACCACAGTGAGATACCATCTCACAGCAGTTAGAAGAGCAATAACTCTTAATGTATCAAATCAAATATTCAGTCAGTTTTCAAGGTTTTCCTATTGTCTTATAAATTATTATCATCATCATTATCTTATATATTTATTATTTATTTAACTTTTGATATGGTATCTCACTCTGTCGCCCAGGCTGGAGTTCAGTGGCGCAATTTTGGCTTACTGCAATTTCCGCCTTCTGGGTTCAAGTAAATCTTTGCCTCAACCTCCCAAGTAGCTGGGATCACAGGCGCCCTCCACCATGCCCAGCTAATTTTTGTATTTTTAGTAAAGATAGGGTTTCACCATCTTGGCCAGGCTGGTCTTGAACTCCTGACCTCGTGATCCACCCACCTCGACCTCCCAAAGTGCTGGGATTACAGACATGAGTCACTGTGCCCAGCCTCTTATAGTTATTTTAATTGGGATCCGAATAAGCAGTATACATTAAAATTAGATGATAATATGTCTTAAGTTTCCTTTGATATGTTTGAGTATATCACTTCCATGTATCCCTACATCTTCTTTCACTTGCACTCTATTGGTTCCTTTAGTTTTGATTGAAGAAACCAGATTATTTATCCTGTGGTATTTCAACATTCTGCACTTTTCTGATTGCATTCTATGGTATTATTTATTGAACCTGTGATATAGTTTGGATGTTCCCTCCAAATCTCATTGATATGGTTTGGCTCTATGTCCCCACCCAGATCTCATCTTGAATTATGACCCCCATGTGTGGACGGAGGGACTTGGGGGGAGGTGATTAGATCATGGGGGCTGTTCCCCCATGCTGTTCTTGTGATAGTGAGAGAGTTCTCCTGACATATGGTAGTTTAATAAGTGTCAGGCATTTCCTCTTTGTTCTGTCTCTCTCCTGCTGCCATGTAAGATGTGCCTTGCTTTTCCTTCATCCTCTATGATGATTATAAGTTTCCTGAGGCCTCCGCAGCCATGCATAACTGTGAGTCAATTAAAACTTCCTTTATAAATTACCCAGTCTCAGGTAGTTTCTTTATAGCAGTGTGAAAGCATACTAATATACTCATGTTGAGATATAATCCCCTGTGTTGGAGGTGGGGCCTTGTGGGAGATGTTTGGGTCATGGGGACAGATCCCTCATAACTTGGTGCTGTCCCACTGATAGTGAGTGAGTTCTCAGGAGATCTGTTGTTTCAAAGTGTGTGACACCAAGTGTTCTCATTGTTCAATTGCCACCTATGAGTGAGAACATGCGGTGTTTGGCTTTTTGTCCTTGTGATAGTTTGCTGAGAATGATGGTTTCCAGCTTCATCCATGCCCCTACAAAGGACATGAGCTCATCCTTTTTTATGGCTGCATAGTATTCCATGGTGTATATGTGCCACATTTTCTTAATCCAGTCTATCACTGATGGACATTTGGGTTGGTTCCAAGTCTTTGCTATTGTGAATAGTGCCACAATAAACATACATGTGCATGTGTTTTTGTAGCAGCATGATTTATAATCCTTTGGGTATATACCCAGTAATGGGATGGCTGGGTCAAATGGTATTTCTAGTTCTAGATCCCTGAGGAATCGCCACACTGTCTTCCACAATGATTGAACTAGTTTACAGTCCCACCAACAGTGTAAAAGTTTTCCTATTTCTCCACATCCTCTCCAGCACCTGTTGTTTCCTGACTTTTTAATGATCACCATTCTAACTGGTGTGAGACGGTATCTCATTGTAGTTTTGATTTGCGTTTCTCTGATGGCCAGTGATGATGAGCATTTTGTCATGTGTCTGTTGGCTGCATAAATGTCTTCTTTTGAGAAGTGTCTGTTCATATCCTTCGCCCAC
This sequence comes from Homo sapiens, assembly GCF_000001405.40. NCBI lineage: Eukaryota > Metazoa > Chordata > Mammalia > Primates > Hominidae > Homo > Homo sapiens. The sequence continues at coordinate 26,632,321 of NC_000010.11, read as the reverse complement.
TTGTTGATGGGGTTGTTTGTTTTTTTCTTGTAAATTTGTCTGAGTTCTTTGTAGATTCTGGATATTAGCCCTTTGTCAGATGAATAGATTGCAAAAATGTTCTCCCATTCTGTAGGTTGCCTGTTCACTCTGATGGCAGTTTCTTTTGCTGTTCAGAAGCTCTTTGTTTAATTAGATCCCATTTGTCAATTTTGGTTTTTGTTGCCATTGCTTTTGGTGTTTTAGACATGAAGTCCTTGCCCATGCCTATGTCCTGAATGGTATTGCCTAGGTTTTCTTCTAGGGTTTTTATGGTTTTCGGTCTAACATTTAAGTCTTTAATCCATCTTGAATTAATTTTTGTATAAGGTGTAAGGAAGGGATCCAGTTTCAGCTTTCTACATATGGCTAGCCAGTTTTCCCAGCACCATTCGTTAAATAGGGAATCCTTTCGTCATGTCTTGCTTTTATCAGGTTTGTCAAAGATCAGATGGCTGTAGATGTGTGGTATTATTTCTGAGGGCTCTGTTCTGTTCCATTGGTCTATATCTCTGGAACATCACACACCGGGGCCTGTTGTGGGGTGGCAGGAGCAGAGAGGGATAGCATTAGGAGATATACCTAATGTAAAGGACAAGTTAATGGGTTTAGTACACCAACATGGTACATGTATACATATGTAACAAACCTGCATGTTGTGCACATGTACCCTAGAACTTAAAGTATAATAAAAAATACATATATATTATATATATATATATATATATATATATATATATATATATATATATATATATATAAAAGGTAATGCAAACAGTTGGAAACAATTCCAAGAAACATAAAACTATCTACTCTGCATGGTATAGATTAGGTCACCATTATAAAGTCTTTCATGAAAAATGTTTTACTGTAGTTTATTTATCTTTTTTTAATAGGAGGCAATGGGAAAATGATATTATGATATTCAAAATACCATTGTAAACAGCTTTGCTGGAGTGTCCCACTGTCTATTACAAATACACTGAAATTGGACTAAATAGGAAAATACTTTCAGCAGACTGTTTTTTATGTTCCAGTGTTGTACAAGTGTCAATAAAAATAATGTTTATTGGTTTAAGCAGGAACAGAAGTGTTTCATCTGTAAAGGTGTTGGCCAAGGCTTGTGCCGAGATCTGGCCGGATCATTTGTACGTCTCATGAAAGTGAAAACACTATTTCTTTCTGAAATAATAGGCAATAATGGCTCTATTAAACTAAGGAGCTCTCAGTTAGGTCAAATCTGTAATTATATTTGACCAAAAAATGTAGACCAAGACTTTAGTTTAAGATTTAATAGCAGTTTCTTATTTACAGAAATTAGTGTAAGTGTGCTCTTTGTCTGTGATAGTCACATACAGTTAGCTTTTCTCAGCTACATTTTCAGCATTCACCTGGGAGTTAGAAAGAAAAAACAAGTACACTCACGTGTTAAAATCAAGAGAGTCATTGACTAATTCTGTATCTTCTGGATAACACATTCAGCAATCTGATCATACCCAACTGCCAATGTCTGGTTCATAAGATTATGAAGCAGAAATTCCTAGATAGTTATTCTAGGAAGGCACCTGAAAGGACTGGAAATTGTTTTAATTCCTCAAAATGCTTTGTATAATCCTGGATTCTAGTTGAATTTTTTATTTTGTTGGGGGAAATTTTGAGTTGTTTTATTTTGAAATCCTCTCAAGGGTATCTTAAAGGGCTTTATAGAATAATTTTTGTAACAAGCCCTTAGACAAAAGAATTAAGAGCATTGGGATCATGAATGAAATTCAAGGCCAGCAATCAAAGCAAGTTATAGGCCAGGATTGGTGGCTCATGCCTGTAATCCAAGAACTTTGGGAGGCCGAGACAGGCAGATTGCTTGAGCCCAGGATTTCAAGACCACCCTCGCCAAAACGGTGAAACCCCATCTCCATGAAAAAATGCAAAAATTAGCCAGGTGTGATGGTGCATGCCTGTGGTCCCAGCTACTTGGGAGGCTGAGGCAGGAGGATTGCTTGAGCCCGGGGGGCGCAGGCTGCAGTCAGCCGACATTGCCCCACTGCACTACAGTCTGGATGACAGAGTGAGACTCTGTTTCAAAAAGAAAGCAATTTGTAAACTAACATTTTATAAAAAGTGAAAAGCAATAATTGTTGAAATATCTGTACCTTGGTTAAGGCTAAAACCAGAGTCTACCCCACCACCAAAAGAACAACAGAGATCTACCAATGCAAGTCACTAATTCATCAGATGAGCAATGCATGGGGATGCACCTGGTCCCATAAAGTTAGCAATTCTGATAGATCATATCAGAAAGTTCAAACTGAAAATTTTTTACTTATTTTGGTCTCTGGTTCAAATGGATGCTGTGAGTGTTGTGAAGCATTAAAGCAAGGCAATATTAATTTAATTAATACTTATGGAGCACTTGCTACATGTCAGCCTCTAAAAAGACAAAAAGAATTAAGACACAATATATGATCTAAAGGAGTTTACAGCCTAGGGAGAAAGACAAAAATGAACTAATGACTGATGAGATGAGGAAGGGCCATTCCAGGGGAGTTGGGGAGGTCACAGCCAGATATGCCTCAATGTACCAGATGGGGAAGGAAGAAACGCAATGCAGTGAGTGCTGAACATGCTTTCAAGGAGCTTGGCTGTGAGGGGAAAAGAGAGGACCATGCTACAGAGATAAGCAGAGTGGAAAAGGGCTTTTTTAAAATTCTGTTTGCTTTTAAGATTTTAAAGATATTTCTTCACATATCTAGGTTATGGGAAGGCACCGATAGAAGCAGAGGAGACAAGAAGAGGAAGAGAGGGAGAGGGAATGAATATTTGATGGAACATCCTGGGATAGGTGAAAGAGAGCTGAACAACTAGATAAGGTCTTAAATTTATGTCTTCTTTTGGCTTAAGAAATGTCAAAATCGAAATGTTTTACTTTGTGACCACTGTTTTCAAAATGTAATTCCAAAATAAACTCTTAAGAAACCTAAATATTTTGAATAAAATGAAGTTCATGTACCTCTAATTTAAATGCAAAACAATATAATATTACTTGAAGGAGACAAATGACATATGGGATGATAATAAATATGACTCTTTTAGATTTCGTAAAATAATTTAAAAAAAAAAGTGTGTGGCACCTCCCCCGCTTGCTCTCTAGTTCCAGTCTCTCCATATGAGAAGCCTGCTCCCACTTTGCCTTCTGCCATGAATGGAAGCCTCCTGAGACCTCCCCAGAAGCTGAGCAGGTGCCAGCACCATGCTTCCTGTTAAGCCTGCAGACCTGCGAGCCAATTAAACCTTTTTTCTTTATAAATTACCCAGCTTCAGGTATTTCTTTATAGCAACAGAAAAACAACCTAACACAACACGTGTCTGTGCTCCCTGTATTTCTGTAAATATAGAGCTTCAGTCAGATTCAGAATTGATTTATTTGTCAAAACTAATTGAAATACCAAGCAAACATCTGCCTCAGTTAGTGGCCACTATTTCTTCTATAACTACATTTATGTTCTACTTGAATTTCACTTTGTGTTATCCCTTTTCTTTCTTTCTTTTTTTTCTTTTTTTGCAGTTTCATGTTTTTTGACCACTTCCCTCTTTTGATTATTCATTTTTGTAAAATGTCATGTGGGCTTCTCACTAGGAGACAAGGAGGCAAGACAGTGACATGCTTTGCTCTCTTTATAAACTCAGTAACAAATATGCAGCGATTGGCAACCTCATACTTTGAAAGAGATGATGGGTCACTGATCATGATTGCATCTGTTATTTATGTTGTGATTTGTGGACTGAAGAGCTCACACAAAGTTTGTACTTTACAAAATTACTCACAGTTAAAATACCATGGTAACTGAATTTGGAACCATGTTGGGGAACTCACGTTATTTAATTAAATCATGGTTATTGGAACTAGGTGGAGCAGTGATGACCTGCACCTCTTTTTTCCTGATGTTTTCTTTTATATCTGCAATAAACATTTACAATTTTCCTCATATAGACTTTAAAATTGTCCATCAATTCTAAAAATATTTTAGTTCTTGTTGCTCTTCTGAATCACCCTTTATACTACATTTTACAAATGAGCTTCACTGATATATAGTACACAGGACAGTTTTTAGTTTCTCTACTTAATAGCTTTTAATGGATTGCTTGACTTGGTTTTTAAATTTTAAGTAGATACATCATCTGAGAATTTAAAAGTCTGTCTTTTCCATTCAGATATTTGTTTATGTTAGCGGTTTTGCTGTTGTGTGCATTGGCTAGAGACTCCAGGATAATGTTGAATAATATTAATTATAATACTGACTTTAACGGTGTATTAATCATGTCTCTTATTTTCTGAATTTGATGCTTTGACATCTGGGCCTTGTTGACCCTGGAGGGACTGACCCTCTCAGGATAAGCTAATTGCTGGATGTAATAAACAACTTGCCTGCACGTATGCCTTTCCTATATAATCCAACCAACCCAGAGTTTATACCCCCTTCTTTCTCATCTCTTCCTCACTCCTTATTCTTCTTTATCTCTGTTTGTATCTTTTGCAGTCTTTAATCTTGCTCATCACTCTCACATTTCTGGCTACTATTCTGCTTCCCTAATTTCATCAGGGCCAGATAGCAGCCTCTTCTTTCCAGCAGACAATGACATTATTCAAACTAGCCAATGCTAAGCCTGATTGCCCTGACTTGCTTGTTCCTTCACAGAGAACTGCAATAAAGATTCTTTCCCATGTTTTACCCGGTTCCCGCTGCCTCCTGACTGACCTTGATGTTCCCCTATCCTGCCCCTTGTGGTGTGCTGTGCCTACAGCTTCTAGGGAACTGTGAGTAGTAAAATAAACTGCTTCCCTCATGACAGTCATTTCTGTGTTCGTGTGTCTTACCATTACTGATTCAAACAAATCCTGGGTACTCTGAATGCAAATGACACCTCTGTTCATGCTTTATTATTGAATATGTCCTTTGCTGTAGGTTTCAGACACCTTTCATCAGTATAAAAACATCTTCCTCAGATGCTAGCGTCTTATGAAGTTTTAAATTCTGTTAACAAGGAGTGGTGTTGAATTTCATCAAGAGCCTTTTTGACATTTATTGAAATAATTATTTGTTTTTTCTCCTATGAGTTTTTCCAATAAAACTGATACTGATTGAACAATAGGTTAAAATTAAACTTTCATCAAAGACCGCCAGGATATAATAGCTGTGAAAATCCAAATCACCATACGTAGGTTTTCATAGCAAATACTTGAGAACCTGCTCCACAGCTGTTAATTCCCCTCATTTACCTTAACAATATGAAATGATCTAAAGTGGAGAAGACTGCAGGGAGCTGTTGCCTTGCACTCTCCCCACCTTGCCTTTGATAGTCCTACGTATGGAGAGGAAAATAATGCAAATGCTTAACCCTGGGTTTAGAGGGGGACTCTTCAGGAGGCCACCAAGACAACTGACCAAAAAACTCCTGGAACTAATAAGCAGTTACAGCAAGGATGTAGCATACAGGGTTAATATAGAAAAGTCAATTGCAATTGCTCTTTTACACACCAGCGATGAGCAATTGGAAGCTGAAGTTAAAAAGATACCATTTGTGTTCACATCCCTCCCTGCAAATGGAATACTCAAGCATAAATCTAACAAAATATATAAAAGATCTAAAAGGAAACCTACAAAATTTTGATTAAAGAAATCAGAGAAGGACTAAATAAATAGAGAAATATTCCATGTTCACGGATAGGAAGGCCTAGCATTTGCGAAATGTCAGTTCTTCCCAACTTGCTCTGCAGATTCCATGCAATCCCTATCAAAATCTCAACATTTTGTCTTGTGGATATTGACAAATTGAATCCAAAGTTTATATGGAGATGCCAAAAAAAAAAAAAAAGGAAACAAGGATAGCTAACACAATATTAGAAAAGGAGAAATTCAGGGACTAACACTACCCAATTTTAAGATTTACGAGAAATCTACGGCAATCCAGACAGTGTGGTATTGGCAAAGAATAGACAAATAAATCAGTGGAACAGAATAGAAAGCCCCAAAATAGACCTATACAAATATTTGTCAAAGGGGCAAAGGTAATAAAGAAAAGATAGTCTTTTCAACAGATAGTGCTGGCACAAGTGGATATCTACATGGAAAAACGAAAACAAAGAACCTAGACACAGATCTTACATCATTCAAAAAATTTTAACTTAAAATGGATCAGAGACCTAAGTAAACCATAAAACTTCTAGAAGATAACAGAGAAGAAAATCTAGATGACCTTGGGTATGGCAGTGAATTTTTAGATACAACACCACCAAAGGCATCATCTATGAAATAAATAATTGATAAGCTGGACTTCCTTCAAATTAAAACTCTTGTGAAGTACACAATCAAGAGAATGAAAGGACAAGCCACAGATGGGGAAAAACAGTTGCAAAAGACATATCTGATAAAATACTGTTATCCAAAATATACAAACCCTTAAAACCTAACAATAAGAAAATGAACAGTCCAATTAAACAATTGACAAAAGATCTGAATGGACACTTCACCAAAAAAGATACAGGTGGCTAATAAGCATATGAAAAAAATGCCCAACATCATATGTCATTAGGGAATAGCAAATTAAAAATGATACCACTACATACCTATTAGAATGGCTAAAATTCAAAACACTGGCAATACCAAATGCTGACAAGGATGTGGAACAATAAGAACACTCATTTATTGTTGGAGGGAGAGCAAAATGGAGCAGCCACTTAAGAAGGCGGTTTGGCAGTTTCTTGCAAAATTAAACACACTTTAACATATGATCCTGCAATTGCACTCCTGTTTGCCAAAATGAGTTGAAAACTGATATTTACACAAATCTCTGCACACATGTTTCTAGCTGCATTTTCCATAATTGCCAACATTTGGTGGCAACCAAGATGTCCTTCGCTAGGTGAATGAATAAATGAACTGTGGTACATTCAGACAATGGAATATTATTCAGTGATAAGAAGAAATGGGCTGTGTGCAGTGGCTCATGCCTGTAATCCCAGCACTTTGGGAGGCCGGAGCAGGTGGATTGCTTGCGCCTAGGGTTCATGACCAGCCTGGGCAACATGATGAAACCCTATCTCTACTAAAAACACATAAGTTAGGCAGAAATGGTAGGGCACATGTAATCCCAGCTACTGGAGAGGATGAGGCCAGAGAATCGCTTGAACCCAGGAGGTGAAGTTTGTCATGAGGTGAGATTGTGTCACTGTACTCCAGCCTGGACATCAGAAGGAGACACTGTCTCAAAAAAAGAAAAAAAAATGAGCTATCAAACTGTGAAAAGATAAAGATATGGAGTACTATGCTTTGAATATGGATTGGCCCTTCCAAAATTCATGTTTAGTCTTGGTTCCTAATGTGGTAGTGCTGGGAGGTGGTTTAAGAGGTGGTTAGGTCATTAAAATGGATTAATCTCTTTCAGGGTTAGTTCTCATGGGAATGGATTAGTTATCATGAGAGTGGGCTGTCATAATCAAGGTTACCTCTCCTGGTTGGTCGCTTTTTTGCATGCACCCACTTCTCATTCTGCTTATCCCCCATTTTGATTTGGAAACTTGACTGAAAAACACTTCTACAATTCCACTCACAGTTATCTTCTTTTTTTTGCCACTTTCATGGGAAAACAAGTTTTTAGCTATTTTCCCTCACTAAGATTCTATTTGTCTGTTGCTTTCCCCTTCATCCCAATAAGATGAGACCTTTAGAATGTTTTTATGTTTTGCATCTAGTTACGTAGCTGCTAGATTTTGCTAAGATAGTTTAATATTTTGAACTTTAGATTATTAGTTTTTCCCTTGAAGTGTATCTCTTCTGTTTAAAGTGTCTTTGCATTTGACACTCCCCCATCCCCCATTTGGAGACATTTCTCTGCTTACCACCATCCTTTTTTCATGGTTCCATCTTCAAGTCCCTGTCTTGATTACTTTCTTAAGTGTTTTGCCCAAACTGGGTAGATAGGTGATATATTCTCTGAATCTTTGCATAACTGTTAGTAGAGTTTTTATTTTACTCAACAGATGATTGATATTCATTTGCATGTAACACATCACCGTGCCTCTTTATCTTCCGCCTGAGCCATATTTTCCAGGCTAGCTTTTATCAGTAGTAAGCTGACATTCTAATGTCTGTCTATCTACCGTGTGGTTTCCTATTCTGAATTTAGACTGAAGAGAAAAAGGAACATGGCTGCCTTTTTATGCAGCAATAAATAATAAATAGAAAAACTTGCAATGTTTATAATTGCTCAAATTGAAATATCATATGTATGTTTATGAATAAGTGTGAATGATATTCTGAGTACATTAGTATTATATCAAATGTTAAATATTGATTGACCCAACTACTAGACATTGTGCTCCTGGAAGCCAGGGACCACATTTTAATCATTTCTGTGTCTCTAACATATTTGCTAGAAGACAAAATATATTTCTCTTCCTACCCTTCCTCTCCTCCAACTCCTCCAATCTAAAATTGAGCCTGTTTTCAGTACAGCAGTACAACAAGATTCCAGATGGAAGTCAAGGCAGAGTGATTTTATTAACCCCAGTAGCAAAAATACTGTTTCAATACAGATAAAAATTTTACATTCCATCTGTGGTTTTCTTCATTTAATTTAAAAATATATAGGTACTACAGTCACATAGTTCAAAATCAAAGTGATGTAAAATGATATTCATTAAGCCATCTTGCTCCCACCCTTGTCTCCATCAATTTCGTACCTGCTTTTCCCTGCAGAGTTCATTCATTCAACAAATATTTATTGAGTACTTAGGTGCTCAGTGTGTGCCAGACACTGTTCTAAGTGCTAAGGGCACAGCGATGAAAAACAAACAAACAAAAAAACAACAGGAAAAATAATTGTGCCCGCATGATGCTTACTTCTGGTAGGAGAGACAAATTAACAAAACAAATAAGTTATATCGAATATTAGGAGATAAGTGCTATGGAGGAAAAGAAAACAGGTGTGCACCACCGTGCCTGCCTAATTTTTTATTTTTTGTAGAGATGAGGTCTTGCTATGCTGCCCAGCCTGGCCTCAAACTCCTGTGATCCAGCGATCCTCCCCGCTTTGCCTCCAAAGTACTGAGATTACAGGCGTGAGACATGTGCCCAGCCAAGACTTGTTTTTTTTTTTTTCTTTTGAGACAAGGTCTGGCTCTATCGCCCAGACTGGAGTGCAGCGACTCACTGCAACCTCCGCCTCCTAGGCTCAAGGGATCCTCCCACTTCAGCCTCCTGAGTCGCTGGGACTACAGGTGCATGCCACCACAACTGGCTTATTTTTGAATTGTTTTTTGTAGAAACAGGGTGTTGTCACATTACCCAGGCTGGTCTCAAACTGCTGGGCTCAAGAGATCCAGCCACCTTGGCCTGCCATAGTGCTGGGATTACAGGCGAGAGCCACCACACTGGGCCAAGATTTTTTTAATTGGTTAAAAAAAAAGGTTTGGTATTGCCTAAAATAACTAAACAAGGTGGTATTTTATACATTGTTTAGTCAAACTGAGTATTTGCTGTCTTCTTTTCAAACACTGATTCAATATGATTTTTGAATGTGTTTTTTCGTTGTCTTCTGAAATAATTTCCTCCTTATTTGAAGAGAAATCGTCTGAGGAGACAGAAGCGACGCTTTGGCCACGCCTGGGGCGGCGGTTCGCTCCTCCCCGCGTGCGGCCAGGCTGCCAGCGCGGAGACCTCAGGCGCCTGCCCGTCCGCAGCCAGTGGGGACTGCGGCGGCTCCCGGGAGGCGGCGGGGCAGGGGCGCGCGGAGGCCAGGCCCGGGGACCCCGAGAGTGACCTTCCCAGGGGCTAGCCTCCTATCCGCCCCCCTTCCCAGAATCCGTGCAGGGAGACTGGCCAAGCCTGCAGTCACAGCAAAAATGTCCCAGTGGGGACCATTTATTAGCAAGAAATAGCACCGCGCGCCACCCTTGCAGCCACTAACTCTTGTTTTGCGTGTTTAGGTAGAAACATGACTCAGAGAATCGGGTTCCCGCTCCGCAGCCTAAGCCAGAGGCGAGGGTTTCCGCTTCTGCTTCCCTTGGCAGTGACCTGCTACGCCGTGGTCGGCTGCCTTTCACAACCTGTTCTTGAAGGAAGTTTCAGCCCATCCCATCTTCCTGGGAACAAGTCCCACCACGATCAGGGCTATTGTGAAATTAACTAACTTAGCCTGGTCTCTCGACTTTTGGACTCTCTCCTCCGAACACCTTATAGGTATAGTTTGGCAATCTTGCTCACACCTGGGTGTGAACCTGCGTGTACCCAGCCCGGGAGATATCAGAGTCTGTACAGGATTAGTACCCCTTATCGATTGGAAAGGCCTTCTTTCCTTAGCTCTAAGGCCAGATCTACGGGTGCTGTTCTGGTGCTGAGAGACAGCGTGTACCTAACAGAAATTAAGTGATATAGTTAAGCATTCGGCGCATGCACTCAAACACACAGAGTCAGTGAGATAGAGGGTAAGCATTAGAGATACAGAAATGCAGTTTAGTCCTCAAAAAATTCACTCTAGTGAGGAAATAGACAAACAAGTAGGTAATTACAGTTCTCTGATTCATGTATTTTCTCGTTCTTCTGAACCACACCTTGTGTTAAAGAATGCGGTAGCTTGATAGCTGGGTACATTAATTTTATATTTAATCGTGTGTTTTTTTAATGGAATAAAGACCTCATAGACTGTATAAAGACATCTATGAAAATAAGCCAGTTTGATGGTGTTTTTTCCATCTTGAAGAATAGTATGTAAAAATATGCAAAGACCTTTATGAGTGAAGATTGTTAATATGCACCTGTAGCTTATCTTGGTAGAGATTATGTTTATATATTAAGAAACATTCAACAGGTAGAATTTGCCAAGTAGAGTGTAGCAATAAGCACTCGGGTTGTACTTGACAATCCTAGGACTAAGACGTTATCATTTGCTCCTAAAAAAAAAAAAAGATAAGGAAACATATAGAGGAAATACTGTATTGTCAAGTAAGTATCACACTCAAGCTCACATAGTTTTGGCAAGTATGGCACTGCACAATTTTGTCAAACCATTTTCATTTAGAGATTGCTTGGCCACATTAAAACAGAAAACATTGCTCTTAAAAAGATGCTGTAGGCTCGGCACGGTAGCTCACCCCTGTCATCCCAGCATTTTGGGAGGCCGAGGCAGGTGGATCACTTGAGGTCAGGAGTTTGAGACCAGCCTGGCTAACATGGTGAAACCCTGTCTCCACTAAATATACAAAAATTAGCTGGGCGTGGTGGTGCATGTTCTGTAATTCCAGCTACTTGGGAGGCTGAGGCAGGAGAATCACTTGAACCTGAGAGGCAGAGGTTGCAGTGAGCCGAGATGGTGCCACTGTGCTCCAGCCTAGGTGACAAAGCGAGACTCTGTCTTTAAAAAAAAAGAAAAAAGATGCTGTAGTATTGCAAGGCTAAGTAGGGACAGCAGTTGAAGTTCCTCAAGACTTCCAACATTACTGTATAGCTAAACTCTTAAGAAAAAACAGTAAGCTACCAATTGGACATGCGGAATTCACAAGTAGTTCTTTTGACCCAACTAGGCCAAGCATGAGTTGAGGAAGTTAAAAACATTATATGAGTTGTGCAGGTAACTGCTAAAGAACGGACTTCTCTTGTGCAGTCTGAAAACAACTTTAGTCTATTTTGCTGCCCTTAGACAAATGAAAAGAGCCAGTACAGATGGATCAAAATGGCCTATGTGTAACTGAAAGCGATCAAGGCTGTCGTATTGATGTTGGAGTGTTAGCTACCCTAGAAGATATTTTCTTGCCATATTGATGACACTGTTTAAAACATAATGTCTACAATAGGACCAGGTTTTATAGCCAAAAAGATTTTAAATATAATACCGGGACAAACACAGTGGGTCACGCCTGTAATCCCAGAAATTTGGGAGGCTGAAGTGGGAGGATGGCTTGAGGCCAGATATCGAGACCAGCCTAGGCAACATAAGCAATACCCTGTCTCTACAAAAAATAAAATTAGCCAGGTGCGGTGGTGTGTGCCTGTAGCCCTAGCTACTCAGGAGGCTGAGGCGGGGAAGTTTGCTTGAGCCCAGAAGTTCGAGAGTTCGAGGCTGCAGTGAGTTGCGATCGTGCCACTGCACTCCAGTGTGGATGAAAGAGTGGGACACTGTCTCCAAATAAATAAATAAATAATCCTATGTATTACTGTGTCTTGATTTACAGTACTGTGTAAAACATCTCATCCTGATGTTACTAGATAAATGATCAATGAATTATCCAAATTATCTTACTCTGGTAAGCACATTTATTGAGAGAAAAGGTTCAAACATTTGCAGTGAAAGGTTAGTTTCACTAACCTTTATTTTTGTTAGTTTTTGTGGATTTCATAGTCTTATGCAAAACTGAATTCTAAAGAATTTAATTTTGCCAGTACTGATTTTCCTGAGATCTTAAGAGAAGGGGTTAGTATGCTTTTGGAATTTTCTCTGGGGTTTTTAGTCTATGACTTATTAGCTTGTTAAAGCATCACATGGGTGAGGGTTGAATATGCCTGAAATAGCCTTTTTTGTTCCATGGCTGGTGATCACATGTATTGACCAGCAGCTGTCTTGCCGGGACGCGCATCAAGCAGTACAAAATTATAACTACTTATGGAACGTGATATGCTGCCCTTGCCCTACCAATGTTAGAGCATCATAAAGGAGATTGTGTTAATTATATAATCTAGTTAATTCCACACAGAGGCTGTCCTACCAAAGCAGAAAGTATACTGTTGGTTCTTCCACTTATAATCATATTGTCTGGTTTTCTGGTGTGAATGCTAAAATCTGCCACTTTTTGATTGACTACACATTTATTCCCCCAGGATGCTACCTTATAATACATCATGGACTTAAGTGGACATCTAAAGGGTGAAATGCAGCCCATATTCGCCTGTTTTTAGTACTCATTTGAATAAAATAGACAATTGCTGTTGTAACTGATATTTAGTTCACTCAAGCCTGGATGGAATAAATTGGCGTTACTCCAGACAGTGGAGCAAATTGCCCTAATGCTACCTCTCTGCAGTGATTTGAAATATCGTTTTCACTACATAGGAAATTCTTTTATAGCTTTGGATTGTTTCTGTGCTTTTTACTGAGTTCCATTGATCTTTGCATCTATTTTTAGAATAGCAATATTTTTAGTTATTGTATTCTTCTAATTTTTAATAAAAGCAAACTTGTTTCTCTTACTTAAAAAAGTATCGTTTATTTTTTCAGATTTGCACACTAAGATTGTCTATTTTTTCAAAAAAAATCTGCTAGGCTATTAATTGGATTTCTATTATGCTTGTTAAATAATTTGGTGACACATTTTGACAATAGATCTCTATCCAGAAACAGGTTTTTTTGTCCCTTAGTCTTATAGTTTTATTAATACACCTACTCTCTTCTAATTTTTTTGTTTTAATTGCTTTGGATTGGAAAAACAGATTATGAGTTTAGGTGTTGTATATAAAATAAGAGTAAATATGTTCTGAGAGTCTAAAGTGTGTTCAAAGCTGTCTTTTCTTCTACAGCTTTTAAAATGCGGTACATGTGTTTTAGTGTATGGACTTTATGAGACATAGTTTGTCTCTGCAGAGGCAATTTCTAAACTTTTAGCTTTGTGGGCAGGCAGCTATCATATGTGGGATCTACAGCAGTTTTGTGCATCTAGTAAGCCATGTATTGTCTGGTCTTAAGGTATTTATGTCTCTTGTCTACCTGTTTCCTTTAGCAAATTGTGTTTCCAAAGGGCAGAATACATGTGATTATGTGCCTAATGGATTTTGGTTCCATTGAATTATCTAGTACTATACTTGTAATTCTGTAATGCAGCTCACCTCCATTTAAAAGTACATATTTTTGGGCCGGGTGCGGTGGCTCATGCCTGTAATCCCAACACTTTGGGAGGCTGAGGTGGGCGGATCACCTGAGGTCAGGAGTTTGAGACCAGCCTGACCAACATGGTGAAAGCCCATCTCTACTAAAAATACAAAATTATCCAGGCGTTGTGGCACATGCCTGTAATCCCAGCTACGTGGGAGGCTGAGGCAGGAGAATCACTTGAAACTGGGAGGCGGAGTTTGCAATGAGCTGTGATCACACCATTGCACTCCAGCCAGAGCAACAAGAGAGAAACTCCATCTCAAACAATAACAACAACAAAAAACAATATATATATGTGTGTGTGTATATATATATTATATATATATTTATAAATATATTGCAATCCGATTTGCTTTCCATGACTGAAGATCTTTGAAGACAGGATATGTGTCTTACTGTTTTAAGCTTTTTCCATTTCCTAGCCTCTTGAACAGTTCCATGTACTGACCTAAATCAATGTTGGCTAGATCGTGTTGAAATGACAAAGCACCCTTTAAATAACAAAGCATGAAGAAAATAGTGACTTGAGTTTCTTGAAGAACCATACACTTTCTAAGGGATATTAGTGCTGTATATGCAACAAATGAGAACACTAAGAAGGGTGTTTTATCAGCTATGTTTCCTGTTGATCCTGTGAAAGAAAATTATGTTCATAAAGTGGAAAACTGTATTTTTTCAACCTCCTTCTCAACTCCTTTCAAATCAAGAGTATGTCTTGTAGCAGTTTCAAAAGTTAGGCATTATTTTTTCACCACACAAATACTTAACTCACTAAAATATTTGTTTAAAATAATTTTTAGAGTTAATATTATTAGTCTAATTATACATGATTACCTGTGTTTAAAATTCAAATACATGGAGATGTCATTCTTAGAAATCACACTTTGAGGCCAGGTGCTGTCACTCATGCCTGTAATCCCAGCACTTTGGGAGGCCGAGGCAGGTGGATCACCTGAGGTCGGGAGTTCGTGACCAGCTTGACCAACATAGAGAAACCTCGTCTCTTTTGGACCTTGATTTATCTGTGTCAGAAGTAGATGATTTTTATCCTGCTTATAAGTGGCCAAAAGGTAGTGTTTGGATCCATTCCACTGGCTCACTGATATGGGGGCCACCAGGTAAGAGTAGCAACAGCACAACTTCCCTTATGCAAATAGAATTATTTGATGGAAATGCTGTCCTACTAAGGAAATTATTTTTGTGTTAAGTTTTAAATTAGTGCATTGGGAGTTCAACAAGATGTACCTAAAGGAATATGTCATCAGAAGATGTTTATAGATTAGCTGATGTGATTTCTTGCTGTGCTAAAGCTAGAACTTAATTCTTTGAATGGCATTGAGAATACTGGAGCAGCAAAAACAGAAAATTTCTGTGGATTATTGCTAGAGAACTCACTCAGTGCACTTTTGGCAAGAGATTTTGGCAAAATGAAGCAGTACAACGTGTGAATATAAAAGGACAAATAAGCCAGGTGCAGTGGCTCACGCCTATAATCTCAGCATTTTATGAGGCCGAGGCAGGCAGATCACTTGAGCCTAAGAGTTCAAGATCAGCCTGCGCAACATGCGAAACCTTGTCTCTACAAAAATTAGCCAGGCATGGTGACATGTGCTTGTGGTCCCAGCTATTTGGATGGCTAAAGCAGGAGGACTGCTTGAGCCTGGGAGGCAGAGGTTGCAGTGAGCCGAAGTTGTGCCACCACACTGCAGCCTGGGTGACAGAGTGAGACCCTGTCTCAATAAATAAATAAATAAATAAATAAATAAATCAGATAAAAAGAAGGATGAATAGATTATAATTATATCAACATAGCCATAGAACATTGTTGTATGACTACTAGAATGGGAGTAAATCAAGATTCCTTGGGGGTGTTATATGTGCTGCAGAAATCAGGAAGGAATTAAGGAACATTCTGGAAATAAAGCAAGATGTTAAAACAAGTTCAGGGTATGGTATCTGACTAATTAAAAAAAGAAACGGGAACATAAGACCAATTGTTGAATTTCTGTGACTTTCCTGTAAGCTAGATAAGATTAACACTCTCTGGTCGTTTGGGGGTTTTTTGGTAAGGCTGGTTTGGTCAGGAACAATTTTTAAGACAAATAGTAAAGTATCATAGGGTTGGTGTAGGATTGAATTAGGAAATACATGAAAAGTGCTTAACATGTGAACTATTACAATTATTATAACATCAGGTTCTGGTTTGCTGGGTTAGTTATTTCCTTTCTTCTTCAAAGTCCTGTAGACTAAGAGGCAAAGTAATCAAGCCATTAGGAGGACTTTAAGGGTCACCTGTGACAAACTTGAACATCAATTTCTTTTTCTTTTCATCTTTTATGTTCAGGGGTACATGTGCAGTATGTACCAGTTTGTTACATAGGTAAACATGTGCCATGGCGGTTTACTGCACAGATCATCCCATCACTCAGTTATTTATTTATTTATTAATTTATTTAATGTATTTATTTTGAGACGGAGCTTTGCTCTGTTGCCCAGGCTCTAGTGCAGTGGCTCGATCTCGGCTCACTGCAGCCTCCGCCTCCTGGGTTCAAGCGATCCTCCTGCCTCAGCCTGTCAAGTAGCTGGGATTACAGGCATGCACCACCTCACCTGGCTATTTTTTTTTTTTTATGTATTTTTAGTAGAGATGGGGTTTCACCATGTTGGCCAGGCTGGTTTTGAACTCCTGACCTCAAGTGATCTGTCCACTTCGGCCTCCCAAAGTGCTGGGATTATGTGTGAGAGCCACCGCACCCAGCCCCCATCACCTAGTTATCGAGCTCAGCATCTGTTAGCTATTCTTGCTGATGCTCTCCCTGCCCCCAACTCCCCTACAGTTGCCCAGTGTGTGTTGTTCCCCCCGGTGTGTCCATGTGTTCTCTCTCAGTCAGCTCCAGCTGAAAACTGAGAAGATGCGGTGTTTGGTTTTCCATTCCAGTGTTAGTTTGCTGAAGGTAATGGCTTCCAGCTCCATCCATGTCCCTGTAAAGGACATGATCTTATTCCTTTTTATGGCTGTACATATTGCATGGTGTATATACACCACATTTTCTTTACTCAGTATATAATTGATGGGTATTTAGGTTGATTCCATGACCTTCCTTGTAAATAGTGCTGCAATGAACATACACGTCTATCTCTCTTTACAATAGAATGATTTATATCCCTCTGGGTATATACCCAGTAATGGGGTTGCTGGATCAAATGGTATTTCTACCTCTAGGTTTTTGAGGAATCACCACACTGTCTTCCACAATGGTTGAGCTATTGACACTTTCACCAGCAGTGTAAAAGTGTTCCTTTTTCTCCACAACCTTGCCAGCATCTGTTGTTTTTTGACTGTTTAGTAATAGGCATTCTGATTGTCATGAGATGGTATCTTCTTGATTTGCATTTCTCTAATGATCAGTGATGTTGAGCTCTTTTTCATGTTTGTTGGCTGCATGTATGTCTTCTTTTGAGGAGTGTTGGTTCATATCCTTTGCCCACTTTTTAATGGGATTGTTTGTTTTTTTTCTTGTAAATTTCTTAAGTTCCTTATAGATTCTGGATATTAGACCTTTGTCAGATGGAAAGGTTGCAAAAATTTTTTCTCATTCTGTAAGTTGTTTCTTCACTCTAATGATAATTTCCTTTGCTGTACAGAAGCTCTTCAGTTTAATTAGACCCCATTTGTCAATTTTTGCTTTCATTGAAATTGCTTTTGGAGATTTTGTCATGAAATCTTTGCCCATGGCTATGTTTTGAATGGTATTGCCTATATTTTCTTCTAGGTGAACCTCAGTTTCTTGATCTGTAATGTGAGAGGGCTGATCCACGTCATTCCAGTTGTGAGAAGTGCTATGGCGAAGACATCTGCTTAATTTTATTTAACGCACCAATTTCCAAACATTTGACTGCAGGGTTTTGTTGTTTTGTTTAAGTCATTACTATTAACGTTTTGCTGAACTGTTTCTCAGTTTAGAAACTTCTGAACTAAATGACCCTTTTGGTCTTTTCTAGTGCCCAAATGCAGGGATTCCACGGTTCAAAAAGCCATCTCTCATCTGGATTAAATGCATTTGAAAGCATTTTATGCTGGTACTCACATGCACTGTTGAAGAACCAATACAAGCCTTAAACCCTGTAGAGTTGTTTTTTTTTGTTGTTTTTTGTTTTGTTTTTGAGATGGAGTCTCACTCTGTCACCCAGGCTGGAGAGCAATGGCGCAGTCTCGGCTCACTGCACCATCCACCTTCTGGGTTCAAGCAATTCTCCTGTCTCAGCCTCCCGAGTAGCTGGGACTACAGGCGTACCCCACCTTGTCTGGCCAATTTTTGTATTTTTAGTAGAGACGGGGTTTCACCATATTGGTCAGGCTGGTCTCAAACTCCTGACCTCAGATGATCCACCCACCTTAGGTGATCCACCCACCTTAGGTGATCCACCCGCTTCAGCCTCCCGAAGTGCTGGGATTATAGGTGTGAGCCACCGTGCCCTGCTTTTTTTTTTTTTTTTTTTTTTTTTTTGAGCTGGAGTCTCACTCTGTTGCCCAGGCTGGAGTGCGGTGGTAAGATCCCAGCTCACTGCAACCTCTGCCTCACAGGTTCCAGTGATTCTCCTGCCCCAGTCTCCTGAGTAGCTGGGACTACAGGCGCCTGCCACAAGGCCTGGCTCATTTTTGTCTTTTTAGTAGAGATGGGGTTTCTCCATGTTGGCCGGGCTGGTTTTGAAATCCTGACCTTAAGTGATCCGCCCGCCTCTGCCTCCCAAAGTGCTGGGATTTACAGGCATCAGCCACCGTGCCCGGCCCAGAGTTTTGTTAAGCTATTCTTTTGTGGGTTTTTTCTTAGTACATTATATAAAAGCTTTTAATCAGTTTCACATTTGTGCTTCTTCTTGATCTGAAATTGTGTTATAAATATTTATTTGTAAGGATGACTTTGCCATTTTGAATGAACAGTGCAGAAAACGGTTTGCCTTTTATTGGTGGAAAACTAGCTTTCTGATTCCCCTGATTTCACTCCTAGCAAGTATCATTCTTTCTATTCCCTTTTCATGGTGTGGAATAGACTTAAGGTATTGTGGACTCTAGAGCTTTCCAGAGCAACTCTCAGACTTGTGTTCTTATACTTATTCCATAGATAAAATTAATTACTGAGGGTCTGTTCCTGATTAAAATGAAAAGTTAAAATACTGGATAGATTTTTCTTAATTTCACGTTTTTATTCCAGAAATTAAGCATCATTTAACTATTTCACAGCTGTTTATAGACTCCTTATATATTCTGGGAGCTACAATAGTGAACCAGACCTGCCTTCTTCCATCAGATTGCTCATATTCTAAGAGAGGTGAGAGATGAATAAATGAATTCCAATAACATCAAGGTTGTGATAAGGATAAGTATAGGAGTCATGGGAAGTTACAGCATGTAGTAGTGTTCTCTAGAGGGACAGAACTAATAGGATACATATATATAAAGGGGAGTTTTTTAAGGTACTCCTTACACAATCACAAGGTCTCACAATAGGCCATCTGCTAGCTGAGGAGCAAGGAAGCCAGTCCAAGTCTCAAAGCTGAAGAACTTGGAGTCTGATATTCGAGGGCAGGAAGCACCCAGCACAGGAGAAAGACATAGGCTGGGAGCCTAAGCCAGTCTAGTCTCTCCACATTCTTCTGCCTGCTGTTATTCTGACTGGCAGCTGATTAGATTGTGCCAACCTAGACTGAGGGTGATTTCCCAGTTCACTGACTCAAATGTTAATTTCCTTTGGCAACACTCTCAAAGACACACCCAGGAGCAATACTTTGCATCCTCCAATCCAATCAAGTTGGCACTCTCAGTATAAACCACCACACAGCACCATCCTCCTAGTCCCAAAGAGTCAAAGAAGACTTTCTGGTGGAAATAATATCTATGCTGAGAATGGAGTGATGTCTAAGTTAGCAAATGATTGTTGGCAATCCAGTATTGTAATACTAACGACCGTCTTTTAGGCACCTGGGTTATGTTGGACATAGTACAAGGCACTTTGCACACATTACCATTCCTTCTTAAAACAACCGGGCAAAGGTTATCTCATTTTATAGAAATGAAAGGTCAGTCTCAATGAGATTAAGTAACTCAAACAAATTTGCACAGCTAGTAAGTTGCATAGTTGAAAGTTGAACAACCGTAAATATATTTTAACAGAAAATGTGGAAACATTTAACCATGCAAGTTCAAAAGCAATGTTTTTAGCTAGGTATAATGTCACAACTCACAGCTATAATACCAGTACTTTGGGGGACGGAGGTGGGAACATTCCTTGATGCCAGGATGAGTCTAGCCAGGTGACATAGCAAGGCCCTGTTTGCAAAAAAATTAAAAAATTAGCTGAGGTCATGGCACACGCCTGTAGTCCCAGCTACTTGGGAGGCTGAGGTGGGAGGATTGCTTGAGCCCAGGAGTTTGAGTTTGCAGTGAGCTGTGATCATACCATTGCACTTTAGCTTGGGCAATGGCATGATCACAGCTGCCTCAAAAAAAAAAAAAAAAAAAGCAATGTTTTTAGGTACAAATATGTTCCTGATTTTGTATTGCATACATATAGGCAGATTTTCTGCTAAGTGTTCCTAGTTCATATTCCTTAATTAAGTAGATCAATTTTAGAAGTTCTACACCTAATAAGTTTAAGTTTACTTATAAGCTGATGGAGGAATGAATTATGTTTCAAATTTATATTTTATTTTATTTTACTTTTTATTTTTTGAGACGGAGTCTCGCTCTGTCGCCCAGGCTGGAGTGCAGGCGCGATCTGGGCTCACTGCAAGCCCTGCCTCCTGGGTTCACGCCATTCTCCTGCCTCAGCCTCCCGAGTAGCTGGGACTACAGACACCCGCCACCACACCAGGTTAATTTTTTGTATTTTTAGTAGAGACGGGGTTTCACTGTGATAGCCAGGATGGTCTCAATCTCCTGACCTCGTGATCCACCCGCCTCAGCCTCCCAAAGTGCTGGGATTACAGGCGTGAGCCACCGCGCCAGGCCTAAATTTATATTTTATTAAGTGAATTTCACTTATGTTTTATTGATTGAATTTTTTCACCTTTATTCCAGTCGTTGAGTATTATAATTCCAAATATGTAATACCTCATTCTCCTCGTTGACCAAATGGCCTTGACTATAAGAATTACTGTAAATGCTGTAAAGATTAATAAACAATTTTCCTTTTTCCTCTTTAGTTTGGGATATGGGCAGATCAGCTTACAGATGGAAGAGCCCACCCTATTGGAATTTATAGGAACAGGTACCACATGCTTTCTTGTATAATAGCTTTTCTGCTAAATATTAACATGAATCTTCTAATATGTGTTTTTTTTTTGAAGGAGGGGTGAAAAGTGGGAGCTCCAATTAAAAGGTTCAGGAAGGACTCCATACTCCCGGCCTCTTTTATAAGGACACGAACCCCATTCATGAGGATGGAGGCTTCATTACCGACTCACCTCCTAAAGACCCTATTTTCTAATACCATCACTTTGGTGATTGGGTTTCAACACAGGAATTTTGGGGGGATGAAAATTGTCAGACTGTAGCAATATGTTTTTATAAGATTTTCATTTAAAAATTCCCCCAAAATATTCATGCTTAAAGGAATTATGGGTTATTTATTTTTACAGCATGTCTTTCTCTCTCTCTAATTTCATCTGGATGAAATGATACTATTACATGTGGGCTTATAACTTTGTAGGTCTTTTTGCTTTTGGTGATTGGATATGACATTCCAGTCACAGACTATTGGTATGACTGGTATAAATAAGACTACTAACTTTTGTGGCTGTGACATGTATATTCAGTTTATCTGAATTCCAAGCCACAATCTTAATGGTTTAAATGGTCTCAAGTATTACTTCTATTAGGACATTAGTAGAATTTTCATCTCTAGATCTTCACATATGCAGAGATATTTCCATTGTGCTTTTATCCTAACATTTGCCCAGGAGCCACTGTGGTACAGTGAGAATAGTGCTAGATAGGAAAAAAGAATATGTGAAACCTAGAGCTGGCCCTGCAGGAACTCACTTTGTGACTTGGGCAAGTCGCTTAAACAATCTGCCCCTCATTTTTGCCATCTAAAATGAGGTTAGGCTGGGCACGGTGGCTCATGCCTGTAAACCTAGCACTTTGGGAGGCCAAAGTGGGATGATTGCTTGAGCCCAGGAGTTTGATATCAGACTAGGCAACATAGGGAGACCGTGTCTCTACAAAAACAAAACAAAACAAAAAAACTAGAAAAATAATTAACTAGACTTGGTGGTGCACACCTGTAGTCCCAGCTACTCGGGAGGCTGAGGTGGGAGGATCGCTTGAGCCTGGAGATCAAGGCTGCAGTGAGCTATGATCATGCCACTGCCCTCCAATGACGGTGGAAGAGTGAGACTCTGTCTCAAAAAAATAAATAAAATAAAATAAAATGAGGTTAGACTAGAACCCCCTGTGTCTTTCAGTGTTAATATTGAGGAATGTGATTCAGTGGCTGTTCATGAAGTAAACATTTAGAATAATAGATTAAGCTCATGTGTTTTTTGAAAGTGACTGCATTTTATTGCTCAAAAAAAGACACATGAACATAAATATCCAGATTAATATTGTGAATGGGTCCTGACTGTATGAATAATCCAGTCAACCCAAAACTACTTATTGGCCCTTTTCTGTGACTACCATTGGGCTATACTTTAAAGGGTCCAGGAGTAATAAGTATTTCTTTAAGTAATTAATTAATTAATTTATGTAGAGATGAGGTCTTGCTATATTGATCAGGCTGGTCTTGAACTCTGGGCTCAAACAGTCTTCCCGCCTTGGTCTCCCACAATGTTGGGATTACAGGTGTGAACCACCATGCCCAGCCTGGGAGTAATAAGTATGCCATAGTCCCTGGTCCTAAGAAAATCACAGTCTTTGAAGAAAAAATATTTAACACATGGAACAAATGAACTATACAAAATCAGAGGTCAGTTAAAGAGAGATGGATCAGGTTAGCTTTATGGAGGAAGAGGAAATCGATCTTGAGTAGAAGGTTAGGTAGGATTTCAGAAGGGGGAGGACAGGGAGTGGGTTGTGTGGCAGAAGGGAGAAGAGAATCAACAAAGGCCCAGAGGTAGTGAGTGCAGGACTGTATTGAAGGACAGCAGCCACAGGGCAGGGGCTGTCACCCTGGTGTGGAATTCATCTTGACATCTAAACACCTGTAAGTACAGCATTCCTTATGAGAAAGAAACGTGAGTTGTATTTACTGATTGTATTTATGTTAAGGACATATGCAAAATAAATAATTCATTCCCTTATTCAGGATCAAGTACAGTGAAATAGTCACTATTGATGAGACAAGTGGGGAATCAAGAGTTTGGAGCCCCTCTCTCAGCCTTTAGCTAGATTAGAGGCTTGCTGGCTGTAAAAGTGTGATTCTGGACATTCTGTTTCATTCTTTAAGGAATAAAGAAATGCCCCTGATCCTTTATGGATGTAAATTAGTTATTTTTCTGATAATCTCAGGGACTATTTTATTTTTTATTAAAATAATTTTTTAAAATAAATGTTTCTCTTTTTTTTTTTTTGAGGTGGAGTCTCACTCTTGTTGCCTAGGTGGGAGTGCAGTGGCATGATCTAGGCTCACTGCAACCTCAGCCTTCCCAGATTCACGTGATTCTGCTGTCACAGCCTCCTGAGTAGCTGGGATTACAGGCGCCTGCCACCACACCCAGCTAATTTTTTTTTTTTTTTGTATTTTTGGTAGAGATGGGATTTCACCATGTTGGTCAGGCTGGTAGAGACGGGATTTCACCATGTTGGTCAGGCTGGTCTCAAACTCCTGACCTCGTGATCCACCCACCTCAGCCTCCCAAATTGCTGGGATTATAGGTGTGAGCCACCACGCCAGGCCAATAAATGTTTCTCTTTAAGGCGCAGTAGTGCTGTGTGCTGCAGAATCATGGTTCAGAGTTGGATCATTAGAAATTTTGGCTCATTTTAGTGAACTAGATTTACTGAGGTTAGAAAATTACATTTTTGTTTGTTGCTTGTTTTATTTTATAAGTCTATGATTGATGACCAAGAATTTAAGAAAATTACATTTTTTAAACTAT
The DNA here is from genome assembly GCF_000001405.40 of Homo sapiens. Lineage (NCBI taxonomy): Eukaryota > Metazoa > Chordata > Mammalia > Primates > Hominidae > Homo > Homo sapiens. The sequence goes on along the minus strand of NC_000010.11, from coordinate 26,608,288 downwards.
GAAAGTGACCATTTTCCCCCCGCTTTACTCAAGTATAATTGACATTAAAAATTGTTTACATTTAAGGTGTACAATGTGATGTTTTGATATATGTATATGTTTTGAAATGATTACCACAATGAAGCTAATTAACATATACATTACCTCACATAGTTACTTTTTTGTGGTGAGAATACTTAAGATCTGCTCTCTTAGCAAATTTCAAAGGTACAAGGTGTTATTATCAACCACAGTCTATCCATTTGGTCTTCAGGACTTATTCATCTTATAACTGCAACTTCGTGTCCTTTGAACAACATCTCCCCATTTCCCCTACCTCATCGACGCTGCTCACCACCATTACACTCTCTATTTCTATGAGTTTGACTTTTTTAGATTCCCCATATAAGTGAGATTATGCAGTATTTGTCTTTCTGTGTCTGGCTTATTTCACTTTAACATAATGTCCTTGAGCTTCATCCATGTTGTTGCAAATGGCAAGATTTTCTTCTTTTTTTAAGTCTGAATAAGAAATTACATTTTAAAAAATTGTACAAGACAGTTGGAAAAAATGCTTATTTATGTGCTGTGAAGTTGAGTATTTTCTGTTTTCTTATAAATAAAATACAATATTTCAAATAAATATTTGTAACATTTTCTATTGTGCTTAATGCCATGTAGGTTTTTTAGGAGATTAGAAAAAGAAGTATAAGACCCAACAGTCCCGTTTCTCAAAAAACTTATAATGTAGGATGCACCCCAGTTACGGATGAGGGCCTCCGTACCACTCATACACTGGGGAGGTACGGGAAGTGACTCAAATTGCTCAATTCTGTAGCCTCCAGAAATCCAAAACTCTCTTCCCAATTCCTGGGATTCCCCAGGTGTATCCTCTGTCTTGTGTCTCCCCTCTACCTGGACTCCAGCTTTGATATGTGTGATAGTACCTATTTCCTACTAGGCTGACCCAGATGTGAAACTCAGCCTCATCAAAAGGATGAACACAAACAGCAAACCAAATGCACACAACGTCTTTAAGAACAGAGAGCGTCTTGCTGAAGATTTCTGTAGGGAAGATGGAGGAGGAATTTTTTTTTTCAAAAGAGCAAAAGCAATCAATTCTTCCCCTTTCATACAGTGGGGCTTCCATCATTCTCCGAGATTTTGGTACCTGCTGGCATGTGTGCTTACAAAATCCCGTCTTCTTCAAGCAGACTTAGCAAGATGTTCCTTCAAACAAAAAAACCTTCTTTACGAGGAGTTCTGTTTCCATTTTAAAAGTTAATGTAGTTTTTAAAAGTTATTGGAAATACTTAAGAAAAAATGCCTTACACAAACTAGGATCATTTAGAATATGGATCCTATATTAAAGTTTTCAGCATAGTAAATACAGATTTGGACCAGGAAGAATATGCGAACAAAATGAAGGAAATGTATAAGAGCAAAGAAGTCATCGCACTTGTCACAGCTGCTCTGTCTCTTACCTCAGCAACATTTACTGAGCTTCTGGTCATCCTGGCCCGTGGAGAGTTGTCTACTTTCACGAGGCATTATTTCTTTTTTTTTTATTTTTTATTTTGTTATTATTACACTTTAAGTTTTAGGGTACATGTGCACAATGTGCAGGTTAGTTACATATGTACTCATAGGTGGGAATTGAACAAGGCATTATTTCTAACTACCCATTTGCTTTCTGGGTCAGTTCTGCCTGGATTCACACCATGTCACTGAAATTGCTCCATCTAGTGGTCATGTTTCAGTTATAGTTCACGGATCTCCCTAGCATTTAATGCATATGATTAAGCACTTCATCCTTGACATGCCTCCACTGGCTAATATGACATACTCTCATATACAGTGTATGGTGTGTGTATATACATATGAGACATAGATAGATATTAGACAAATGCTAATCTACACTTACTATTTTAACTGGGTTTTAGTGATTTCCAAATCATATCTACAGCTGAAATTTGCTTCCAGATTTCCTCTTATTCAGTGCAGTCCATGCTAGTGGTTAGGCAGGTAACTAGAATAGTTGGTTAAAATGAGAATAGAAAGTATGATACATTTGCACTTTATATATTTTATTTATTACATGTTTGCTGAATCCTGGTACAACTTTAAATATTTTAACCTCAGACATTTGCCAATTTTTTGTCACCTCATGTGTGAAGCCTTAAATGACCTACCACAAATAATCATTCTCTGCTCTGTTATCGCTATTCATTTTATATAATTCTGGTATTGCATTTATTATAATGTAACATCATGATTTCTTCATATGTTCTTCTTCCCTAGTAGAGCATGTACTCTTTGAGGTCTGGGTTCTGGGTCTTACCATTCTTTTTCCTAGCACTTGCCCAGGGCTTAGCATACAGTAGGTACAGCAGGTACCCAATGGATGTTTATTGAAGTAATCAAATTTGTAACATAAGGTAGAATCTCATATGATCTTAGAAACATATTTTCATTTTTGATTGATATTGAAGAAATATTGCTTTTTGGCTGTTTTGGCAGTAAAACCTTATTCTTCAAGTTTTAACATCTTGAGCCTGATCTAATGAATTCATAGATGTCGAGGGATTTAGGTACCTGGATATTGGATGCTGTGTTCTGAGGGACACCGATACTATGTCCTTTTTATCTCCAGGGGATTATTTGACTTCATCATAGAGCAACATTATCCCTCGATGGATGTCAAAGAACCTAATAGATACGTGGGAAATATTTATTTATTTGTTTTTTAATTTTATAATTGCAACTTTTATTTTAGATTCAGGGGAAATGTGGAGGTTTATTACATGGACATATTGCATAACCCTGAGGTTTGGGGTATGACTGATCCCCTCACCGAGGTAGTGAGCATAATACCCAATCGTTTTTCAACGCTTCCGCTCCCCAGAAGTCCCCAATGTCTATTGTTGCCATCTTTATGTCCATGAGTACCCAATGTTGAGCTCCCATTTATAAGTGAGAATATGCAGTATTTGGTTTTCGGTTGCTGTGTTAATTCATTTAGGATAATGGCCTACAGCTATATCTATGTTGCTTCAAAGGACATGATTTCATTCTTTTTTTTTAAATTTTTTTATGTTATTATTATTGTACTTTAAGTTTTAGGGTACATGTGCACAACGTGCAGGTTTCTTACTTATGTATACATGTGCCATGTTGGTGAAACTGGAAACCATCATTCTCAGCAAACTATCGCAAGGACAAAAAACCAAACACCGCATGTTCTCGCTCATAGGTGGGAATTGACCAATGAGAACACATGGACACAGGAAGGGGAACGTCACACACCGGGGACTGTTGTGGGGTGGGGGGAGGGAGGAGGGATAGCATTAGGAGATATACCTAATGCTAAATGACAAGTTAATGGGCGCAGCACACCAACATGATTTCATTCTTTTTTATGGCTGTATAGTATTCCATGATTTATATGTATCACATTTTCTTTATCCAACCCATAGTTGATAGTCACTGACTTGATTCCATGTCTTTGCTATTGTGAATAGTGCTGTGACGAACGTAGGTGTGTTGTTGATAGAATGATTTGTTTTCTTTTGGATATATACCCAGTAATGGGATTGCCGGGTTGAACAGTAGTTACGTTTTAAGTTCTTGGAGAATCTCCGAACTGCTTTCCACATGGCTGACCTAATTTACAACCCCACGTGGTAAGCATTTAAAGAGGAAAGGCAATTCTCTTGTTTTCTCTCGTTGGCCTGCCAACACTGGAGATTACTGCTTAGAATTTAAAACACTAAAGCTAGCAAAGGAAGTGCAGAACCATTAGAATATTTTGTTACAGGAAGTTAAGATGCACCACTTCTTAAACAAGGCATAGACAAGGCAGTTATTTTGCTTAAAAGATGCCTAGAAAAAAAGAACAGGTGTTCCTACATCCTGACAGTATATGTGATTTTTTTGAGCAGCATTTATAACTTGATCACATACATTCTTTCGTCACACATTACATATACCAATATTTCTATCATAGTAGTTCTAAAGTAAACATAATACATAATAGCAAAATATGTTTTTCTATTCTTGTGGAAATTTTTTGCTCTTCCTAAAGCTTTTCCATTATTTTAACTGTCACCGAGAAGGGAATTCCATTATTTTTCTTGGTGACACATTCGAAGTTTAATAACTCACATTGCTGAAAGTTAACTCCCTTGTGCTGAATTCTGTTGCTTTTACTTTGGTTATTGGCCATGGAGAAGCTTGACCATGATACTGTGTCTAAGCCTCTTATGTATTGTTTCTGGATGCATAATTTTACTTTTCTGGATTTTTCTTACCTGTACTAATTTCCACTCCTTTAGTCATCTTTTGACCCACCTTTGAAGTTTTCCTATATGCTTCTTGTGACTTATCAGAGGATCCTAAAAGAGCATACATTGCTAAAAACCCGAGAAATCTCTAAATTTCATTTTAGGATTTTTTTTTTCTATTGTGGTATCTGAGACAGCACAACTTATTGTCTTGTGGAAGTCTGTTAGTTTTTGCTTGTGGTAAGTTATCTACAGATATTTCATTCTTCTGATGAGAAAGTAGAATTTGTTGAAGTAGAAGGCTTCGTTTTTTGTGAATTTAAAAAATTCCTATTGAGCTTCTTAGCATTTGTAATACAGAAGTTTCTCCCTTATCTGCATTCTCTTTCCACAATTTCACTTCCCTGTGGTCAACCATGGTCTAAAAATATTAAATGCAAAATTCCAGAAATAAGCAATTCATAAGTTTAAAGTGCTCACTATTCTGAGTAGCATGATGAAGTCTTGCTCCGTCTCGTCTGGGATGTGAATTCTCTCTCTGTCCAGTTTATCCATGTTGGAGACACTCCCTGGCCATGAGTCACTTCATCCCATGAGTCACTTGTAGCTGAGTAGTTCTATGGACCATTGCAGGACTCAGTGCTTGTGTTCAAGTTACCTTGATTTTAGTTAACAATGGTCCCAAAGTGCAAGAGTAGTGATGCTGGCATGTTTTTATAATTGTTCTATTTTATTATTAGTTATTGTTGTTAATCTGCTACTGTACCTAATTTATAAATTAAACTTTATCATAGGTATGTATAGGAAAAATCATAGTATATAGAGAGTTTGGTACTATCTGTGGTTTCAGTCATTCCCCTGGGGGTGTTGGTACACATCCTCTGCAGATAAGGGGGGGCTACTGTCTACAAATTGGTTTTTAATGACAGAGAAAGATGTTTTCCATGTTTAAAATGGTTTTGAACAGATCAGGATGATGTTACCTGTAACATTATGTATATGAGTAAGTATCTCTTTAAAGCAATTTTTAAATTTTTAATAAATTACTATATGCTTATGGTAAATAATTTACAATACATAGAAGTGAGTAGAGCTTCATTTTCCAAGGTAATCACTGTTAACCATTTTATTATTAATTTTTCTGGACTTTTTTCTATGATGTACAAATGTCTCCAGCAATAAAAGGGGCTACCCATTCTCCTACTGTCCTAAAAATGACTCATATTTTTATTTTTTCCTCTTTTCACAATCTCCAAAAATTACTCTTATTCCTGCACTGGTCTCAATTCCATTTTATATAATATATATAGTTTTAAACAACTGCTAGGAATTGAGAATAAATAAAAGAGGAAGTTCTATTTTTTGGCCTTTTATTATTATAGTTTTTGAAATTTTTGGGAGGCGAGTATAAAACAAAAGTCTAAATGTAATTTTAAAATATAGTTTAACATTTTAAGCTATTTGATATTACCAGTTAGACTTTCAATTGATAATGTCATTTTGTTTCATCTCTAAAACATATGGCATTTCCATAACCTTTTCTATTCTGGATAATTTAATTAAGGTAAAAGAAAAATATTTTGTCATCATGTTTTGGAATTCTTGTTGTTGTTTTAGGTGTTTTTAATACTGATAACCTCAGTTTTTTATCCATTGCAATTCACTACGGTCCGTTTGCTTTTATGGAAGCCTGTAATTCCGGTATGTACAATTTGTGTATGTGTGCATACATACACACCTTATTTCATTAAAATATCATCACAAGTTATCTCAGGTAAACTGCTATAGATAACACAGTGACGGGGTAGTAGAAAGAATTGGGTTCGTTTATAAAATGGTCATTTCTATGTGCCTACCAGATCTTGTGGGTGCCATTAAGTGATACAACGATGAGCCCTTTATCGTCTCTGCCCTCAGAGAATACATATTATAAGGACCGGGCATGCTGGTTAGCGCCTGTAATCCCAGCACTTTGGGAGGCCAAGGCAGGAGGAACTCTTTAGATTAGGAGTTTGAGGCTGCAGTGAGTTACAGTGGTGCCATTGCCCTCCAGCCTGGGTGACCGAGCGGGACCCTGTCTTTAAAAAAAAAAATCCAAATCAAAATCCAGTAAATGCTGGAGAAGATGGCATGAGGTATACCAGGAAACATGTTGTCAAACAGGTGAGATTTTGAGTTTCGCATCTGACCCTTAATAGCTCTGTGCCTTTGGAAAGTTACTTAACCTCTCACTCCACTAATATATGAAATGGAGGTAACAGAAATCCAGTATTGGCACTGGAGAGATCAGAGGTGTTGCGGAGGACATGCTATTGAGTTGGAGATTGAAGTCATATGTGATAGACTGGAAATTCCTACAGGATAGAAATAGATTTCTCTATTAGACAAATGTTCATGTTTTAAAAGCTTTTAGTGTATTCTATTACCTTCAACTTAAATAATGCCAGAAAGATTTTTATCTAATAATTACAGATTCATATGTTTAAATATAAGCTTATAAACAAAGAAAGAAGCTATTTATTATAATTATCCTTGCTGTGGCTGGGGGCAGTGGCTCATGCCTGTAATTCCAGCACTTTTGGAGGCTGAGGCAGGAGGATCCCTTCAGGTCAGGAGTTCAAGACCAGCCTGAGCAACACAGGGAGACCCTGTCTCTACAGATAATTTAAAAAATTAGCTGGGCATGGTAGTACATGCCTGTGGTCTCCCAGCTACTTGGGAGGCTGAGGCGGGAGGATCACTAGAGCCTGGAAGATGGAGGTGACAGTGAGCTGGGATCATGCCACTGCATTCCAGCCTGGGTGACAGAGCAAGAACTTGTCTCAGAATAAATAAATAAATAAATAAATAAATAAATAAATATAATAATTTCCAATGTAAAGTAGGAAATCAGGCAATATTGGGATGTTTAATTTTAACAAGTTGTTACAAGCTCTAAACCCATTGCTGTACTCTAGGCAAAAGCAGCTGTGAGTAAATCCCCAACCTACTGATAAAATCTGTGTGAAAACATATTTGTATAATGATTTTTTGAAATTAAGAAACTAACATCTAAAAAACTATCTTATTATTTAGTGCTATATATTTTTCTGTAGTTCATTTTGGGCTTTTTCATCCTTGGAACTGGGATATGGTTTTTTCTTGCTTATTGCTTTTTAGATGCTGTGAAATCTGTTTATTTCCTGTTTATTCCAAGAGTTATTTACCTCTGTATTTCTTTTTTTAAATCACTGTATTTCTTAATTTCTAAGTAGTTGGAATTATTTTGTCTGTATTTTTATGACTAAATAATATGTTTGGTAAAACTCTCCTACTCAAAATGTATTAAGGTTTCCTTGTGGCCCAACATAAAACATTTTTGGACGTGTTTGGTGATTATAGGTAAAAATATGTATTGTGTAGTGAGAAGTTTTAAGATATGAAATTGAGTGTATTGATTACATTATTCAAGTCCTTTATGAGCCTCTCTATTTTCTGTCTGTTAGACAAGTTAGATTCTTTTTTAATTTTTATTTATTATTATTTTTTGAGATGGAGTCTTGCTCTATAACCCAGGCTGGAGTGCAGTGGCGCTATCTCGGCTCACTTCAACCTCCACCTCCTAGGTTCAAGCGATTCTCCTGCCTCAGCCTCCCGAGTAGCTGGGATTACAGGCACCCACCACGATGCCCAGCTAATTTTTTTTTATACTTTTGGTAGAGACGAGGTTTCACCATGTTGGCCAGGCTGGTCTCGAACTCCTGACCTCAGGTGATCTGCCTGTCTCGGCCTCACAAAGTGCTGGGATTACAGAGACAAGTGAGAATCTTAAGAGGTGTGTATTAAAAGTGCCTACTTTAATTATATTTTTATCCAAGTTTTTTTTCTAATTGTTTGAAAGTTACATATTTTGCTCTGTATTATTGGTACATACAGATTTTTTACTTCTATTTTCTTCAAAAAACAGGCTTTTATCTTAACAATGATTCCATTTATTTGGAAATATACTTATAACTATTGATTTCAATTCGCCTGACATTAATATTGCCATTCATGCTTTCTTTTTGTTGAGTTTTCCTCAAATCTCTTTACTTTTTACCTTTATCTACTTATCTTTATTATTTGTTTTAAAGTGTTCTTCTTGCAAAAAGAATGTATAAACAGATTTCGATTCAATGTGATAGTTTCTGTCCTAATAGAAGTATGTAGGCTGATCACATTTATTATAACAATTGATGTATGTGATTTATTCCTTCTGTCTTACATTGTACTTCATCTTTATTTAACTGTTGGCTTCACCCAGACTTTCTTATCTTTTTCTGATTTGAAATTCATTCTTCTCCCCGACACCCCGCCCCCTATTGATTTGGAAACTCAACTGAAAAAGACTGCTACAGTTCCTCTCATGGTTATCTTCTTTTTTTGCCATTTTCATGGGAAAACAAGTTTTTAGATATTTTTCCGCACTAAGATTCTATTTGTCCATTGCTTTCCCCTTCATCCCAATAAGATGAGACCTTCGAATATTTTCATGTTTTGCATCTAGTTACGTAGCTGCTAGATTTTGTTAAGATAGTTTAATATTTTGAACTTTAGATTATTAGTTTTTCCCTTGAAGTGTATCTGTTCTGTTTAAAGTGTCTTTGCCTTTGACACTCCCCCATCCCCCACTTGGAGTCATTTCTCTGCTCACCACCATCCTTTTCTCATGGTTCCATCTTCAAGTCCCTGTCTTGATTACTTTCTTAAGTGTTTTGCCCAAACAGGGTGGATAGGTGATATATTCTCTGAATCTTTGCATAACTGTTAGTACAGTTTTTATTTTACTCCAACAGATGATTGATATTCATTTGCATGTAACATATCATTGTGCCTCTTTACCACCTGAGCAATATTCTCCAGGCTAGCTTTTATCAGTAGTAAGCTGATATTTTAATCTCTGTCTATCTACTGCATGGTTTCTTATTCTGAATTTCAACTGAAAAGAAAAAGGAACATGGTTGCCTTTTTTATGCAGCAGTAAATAATACATAGAAAAATTTGCAATGTTTATAATTGCTCAAATTGAAATATCATATGTATGTATATGAATAAGTGTGAATGATATTCTGAGTACATTAATATTATATCAAATGTTAAATATTGATTGATTCAATTACTAGTCATTGAGCTCCTGGAGGCCAGGGACCACATTTTAATTATTTCTGTGTCTCTAACGTATTTGCTAGAAGACAAAATATATTTCTCTTCCTACCTTTCCTCTCCCCCAACTCCTCCAATCTAAAACTGAGCCTGTTTTCAGTGCAACAGTACAACAAGATTCCAGATGGAAGTCAAGCATAGAGTGATTTTATTAACCCCAGTAGCAAAAATATTGTTTTGATAAAGATAGAAATTTTACATTCCATCTATTGTTTCCTTAATTTAATTAAAAAATATATTGGTACTACAGTCACATAGTTCAGAGTCAAAGTGATATAAAATGATATTCATTAAGCCATCTTGCTCCTACCCTTGTCTCCATCACTTTTGTACCTGTTTTTCCCTGCAGAGTTTATTCATTCAACAAATATTTATTGAATATTTAGGTTCTCAGTATGTGCCAGACACTGTTCTAAGTGCTAAGGGCACAGCAATGAAAAATAACAGGAAAAATAATTGTGCCCCCATGAAGCTTACTTCTGGTAGGAGAGACAAATTAACAAAACAAATAAGTTATATTGAATATTAGGAGATAAGTGCTAAGGAGGAAAAGATAACGGGGTTAAAAAAAAGAAATGCATTTGATTTACTATGATACTCAGAACAGTGATTGTTGATTTTATATTTAAAGATGATGATGTTTTTGATGGTCTTTAGCTCTGTAACTATAAAGATTGGTAGGGAAGTAGTCATTTCTGTAGTTTTTTTTTTTTTTTTTTTTTTGAGACAGAATCTTGCCCTATCACCAGGCTGTAGTGCAATGGCATTATCTCAGCTCACTGCAGCCTCTGCCTCCTGGAGACTGAATGATTCTCCTGCCTCAGCCTGGGTAACTGGGAATACAGGCACCCACCACCACGCCTAGCTACTTTTTGTATTTTTAGTAGACACCGGGTTTCACCATGTTGGCCAGGCTGGTCTCGAACTCCTGACCTCGTGATCCGCCCACCTCAGCCTCTCAAAGTGCTGGGATTACAGGAGTGAACCACCGCACCTGGCCTCCACTTCTATGGTTTCTTTGGAAAGAATAAGGTCATCAGGCTCCTAAGAGAAAACAGCTGATGTCCTAAGATAGAATATTTCCATGTATTTAAGTATGTTACCCTAGATAGCTCTAGCATTGTGTGATTGGGTTTATATTGCAAAGGAGATTTTTTATAAGCCCTGAAATATCTGCATCTGCAATAAAATTAGGTTGGCTGGGCTGGGCACGGTGACTCACATCTGTAATCCCAGCACTTTGGGAGGCTGAGGCTGGCGGATCATGAGGTCAAGGGATCGTGAGGTCAAGAGATCAAGACCATCCTGGCCAACATGGTGAAACCCCGTCTCTACTAAAATACAAAAATTAGCTGGGTGTGGTGGCAGGTGCCTGTAGTCCCAGCTACTCAGGAGGCTGAGGAAGAAGAATTGCTTGAACCCTGGAGGTGGAGGTTGCAGTGAGCCGAGATCGTGCCATTGGACTCCTGCCTGGTGACAGAGTGAGAGACTCTGTCTCAGAAAAAAAAAAAAAAAAGGAAAAAAAATTAGGTTGGCTGTAATTCTTTCCCCAGCACTAAATTGAGTTATTTAGCAAACACATACCAAGTCCCTATTATGTGCCTTTTTGCATAGTCAAATTGTTAAAGCTAAAGCCACAAAGATGAATTTGATTCCCACCATTAAAAAGCCTATGATTAGGCCGGGCGCTGTGGCTCACACCTGTAATCCCAGCACTTTTGGGAGGCCAAGGCTGGCGGATCACCTGAGGTCACGAGTTCAAGACCAGCCTGGCCAGCATGCTGAAACCCCGCCTCTCCTGAAAATACAAAAATTAGCTGGGCATGGTGGTACGCCCCTGTAGTCCCAGCGACTCGGGAGGCTGAGGCAGGAGAATCACTTGAACTTGGGAAGCGGAGGTTACAGTGAGCTGAGATCACGCCACTGTACTCCAGCCTGGTTGACAGAGAGAGACCCTGTCTCAAAAAAATAGAAAATGCCTATGATCAGCTGGACAAGGTGGCTCATTCCTGTAATTTCAGCACTTTCGGAGGCCGAGGCAGGTGGATCACATGACATCAGGGGTTTGAGACCAGCCTAGCCAACATGGCCAAATTTCATCTCTACTAAAAATACAAAAAAATTAGCTGGTCATGGTGGCACACACCTGTAATCCCAGCTACTAGGGAGACTGAGGCACGAGAATCACTCGAACCCGGGAGGTGAAGGGTACACTGAGCCAAGGTCACGGCACTGCACTTCAGTCTGACTGAAGAAGAGAGACTCTGTCTCAAAAAAAAAAAATCAATAAAGCATATAATCTAGTGCATCAGTGATTATTATATTATATGGAACTTTGGTTGAAGTTTTGGACACAGTAAGAGTAATAAGAAGAGGCCGGACATGGTGGCTCATGCCTGTAATCCCAACACTTTGGGAGGCCAGGGCAGAAGGATTGCTTGAGGCCAGGAGTTAGGAAGCAGCCTAGACAACATGGTGAGACTCCTATCTCTACAAAAAATAAAAATTAGCAAGGCACGGTGGCATAAGCCTATAGTACCAGCTACTCGGGAGGCTGAGGCAAGAGGATGGCTTCAGCCTAGAATGTTGAGGCTGCAGTGAGCTATGATCCCACCACTGCACTCCAGCCGAGGTGACAGAATGAGACCCTGACTCTTAAAATAAAAAATAAAAAAAAAAGAAGAAAGAAAATTTAAAAAGTAAAAAGAATAAATTTGCAGTTAAAAGATAATAATCCCTGAACGAGATATAAACACAACAAAATCTGCCATATGTCATTTACAAGTGGCAAACATTGAACATAAAGTCATAGAGAGTTTGAAAGTGAATGAATAGATTTGTCAGGCAAATACCTGAAAAAAGATGGTATAGCTGCATGAGTACAAGATAAAAAGCAGAAAACATTGCATGGTGATAGACGGTTCAATTCGCCAGGAAGTCACATACATAGTTTTTGTTTACACTTAATAATAAACAGTGTCGGAATATATAAAGCTCAATTTGCCAGAACAATGAAAAGATATTGACAAATCTGCCCTCAGAAGATTTTAAAACATTCTTCTTAGTAATTGATGGATGCGACAGACCAGATAACAGGCTGCAGGCAGAAGATTTGTGCAACATACTTCACAAGCTTGTTCTAAGGAACATGTATACTACATTGTACCCAAGCACACATAAACCATCGGTAAAAATGGATCACACATCAAGCCATAAGTCTCAAACACACTTTAAAGGCTCAATTATCATGGACTTAGGTCATTTCAGTATCATAGCAGCCAAGATTCCTGTGATCAAACAAAATATGAGGCTTAAATATTCGTTCTCCTCTTTGAGGACCTACTGTAAAATCTTAGTTCATATTCTATCATGTGGCGGGTTAAATCGTGTTTCCTGTAAACGCTACCAAACCTTGTGGTTTTTGTTGCAGTTGGCCTATTACATGGGTCTTTGCCCCAGTGGCAGCATTATAAAAGAAATTATGGAGTTTTCATAAGCTGTGATATAGCATTACTGCCCTATATTATTAATTATATACTGTTCATAATATATTATTATCCTTGCACTTCCTCTCTAATGTCCAATTTCACCCCAGCTTTTACACTCCCCCCACCTCCACTATCTCACTAAAATTTTCATAAAGGAGCAAAGTTTGCTGCATTTTCAGGGTCAATCTAAATAATCCCACTCAGGTATAGGTAGTTCTTGTAAAGACCTCTCAGCCAGACACCAAAGATTGTGTTCCACTTGAGTGAAAATCACAGGGTTGACGATCTTCATGAGAACCCTCTATTCATGGACTTGCCTGGTTCTATTTGTCAGCGTTTTGTTAACATGAGTGACCCCATTTTGATTCTGACAACTTTCATAGCTCTCTTCGCTGAACCTTTCCTGTATTGTCCCAGAGATCTGCATAATGACCATTATGTAGTCAGGTATCAGAAAAGCTGTGTTTTTCACATGGACACAAGGAGAGGAACAACACACACTGGGACCTGTTGTGGGGGATTGAGGGGAGGGAGAGCATCAGGACAAATAGCTAACACATGCTGGGCTTAATATTTAGGTGATGGGTTGATAGGTTCAGCAAACCACCATGGCACACGTTTACCTATGTAACAAATCTGCACGTTCTGCACATGTATCCTGGAACTTAAAAGGAAAATAAAATTTTAAAAAAATTTAAAAAGAAAAGCCGTATTAATACTGTATCTTATATCAAAAGAACATAATATACTAAAACTGGAGAGTTACTGTTCCTGAGATAAAATTTAATGTAAAGCAAATTTACCTTCTATCCTATTTCAAGCATATGCTCAAAAAATTAAGAACACCTTGCCAGTTTTAATTACTAAATATTTTGGTTTTAAAACTAAATTCGCTTCATTTTAAATTTCCATTTAGCCTGCAGGGGTGTCCAATCTTTCGGTTTCCCTGGGAGCTATTTTCAATTATAGTATTGACATCCAGATCGACTGACCCAGTAATCTTTCTAGAAATACCGTAGGAAGAACGTTGAACTTTTATTCATTTATTTTATTCATTTGCGGCATCTGAACATTGATGCTTCGTGCCTCTTGTGGGGGTGGGGCATAGGAGGCCTCTTGGCGACAGCAGGGGGAGGGGGCACGAAGTCCTGGGGCGCCTCCATGAAGTCAGGGGGCGGCAGCAGGAGCTCTGGGTCGTCCAGGGGCCGTGGTGGTGACTGTGGCGGCTGCTGGGGCAGCAGGAAGTCGTCGGGCGGGCGGGGAAGCCCCAGCCGCCTGTGCCCTTGACTTTGAGGGGCGTGGCGGGGCTGCAGATGGTGTCCCAGGAACTCTGCACCAGAGGGGTTGGGGCAGGCTGAACTTGGGGCCCTGCGGGGCCGGGGTGCTCCTGGCTCCTGGTGGTTCCCGAGGGCTGGCTTCTTATACTGTAATCAAGCGACAGCAGCATTATTTTAAATTTTTTGAAATTTTAAATTTATTGTTATTAATTAACGGAGACAGGGTCTCACTCTGTCAGTGCAATGGCACAATCTGGGCTCACTGCAGCCTCGACCTCCTGAGCTGAAGCAATCCTCCCGCCTCGGTCTCCCGAGTAGCATTCTTTATTCTTGACAAAACAGCCCCAATGGACAGGACCATGCCATAGATATGTGAGTCTCTGTCTGCCCCCTGGGGAGCCTCCAACCTTCAGTTACTAAGACCCCTGGTTGTTCATGAGCTCATCTTTGCTCTGGAATAGGGAAATGACTCTAAATGACTATTATTATTATTATTATTATTATTATTATTATTATTTTTGAGACAGAGTCTTGCTCTGTCGCCCAGGCTGGAGTGCAGTGGTGCCATCTTGGCTTACTGCAACCTCTGCCTCCTGGGTTCAAGTGATTCTCCTGCCTCAGCCTCCCGAGTAGCTGGGACTACAGGCGCTGGCAACCACGTCCAGCTAAGTTTTGTATTTTTAGTGGAGATGGGGTTTCCACCGTGTTGGTCAGACTGGTCTCGAACTCCTGACTTCATGATCTGCCTGCCTCTGCCTCCCAAAGTGCTGGGATTACAGGCATGAGCCACTGCACCTGGTCTTTTTTTTTCTTTTGTTTTGTTTTTTTGAGACAGGTCTTTGTGTTACCCAGGCTGGAGTGCAGTGGTGCAAGCTCGATTCACTGCAACCTCTGCCTCTAGGGCTCAGCAATCCTCATGCCTCAGCCTCCCAAGTGGCTGGGATGACAAGCATGTGCCACCATGCCCAGCTAATTTTTGTATTTTTTGTAGAGATGGTTTTTTTGCCATGTTGCCCAGGCTGGTCTCCAACTCCTGGGCTCAAGTGATCTGCCCACCTCGGCCTCCCAAAGTGCTGAAATTACGGGTGTGAGCCACGTTATCTGGACAGTTTACCTTTTCTCAACTGCATGAAAGTTGGCTGGTTCACCGGGTATAAAATGAGCCCCGAAGTCTCTATTATGACCTGTGTCTCAGGTTGTGATGAGATCAAATGAGATACATAAATGAGTTCTGAAAAGAAAAATTACCAGTGTGCTATTGGTAGAAACCAGAATGCCAAATTTGGCTAAAGTCTAATAGAGACATAGCCCTTCCTCTGCCAATACTGGCATAGATAATAATAATTTGTATTTATATAATGAAACATCCCCAGGCAGCTGGATTGAATCCCTCTGTTTTAGTGATAATTGTCATTCCAATTTACATTTCATCAGGGTTCCAGTTTATTTCTTCCTATGCTTAATAGCCTGTTACCACTGAAGATTAAATTTGGAAGTTTTTTTTCTAATGAAGTGCCTTCTGATTTAGTTTCTATTTTATTTTGTTCATTTAGCATGATAAGCTAATTAACTGGTGATGTACTTTTTCCTTTTTAAAAAATTTCCGAACAGGCAGCTTGGGTACTGATGTTCACATATAGTTAAGTGATTTCTATTTTGGGTTTCTTTTATTTCTTTCAGCATTTTAAAATGCTTTCCTTCAATTGGCACTACAAAAATAATGAAAATAATAATAGCTGAAAGGGCATTGCATGAGAAGCGCAGGCATGAGAAGATAAAGAGAACATTAAAGAAATACAACTTTTACAGGCCTGCAGTGGTTGTCAAAATTATAAGAAGTTCAATAAATACAAAGATTTAGTTGTTTTCATAACTGACTGATGGACAACATGAAGGGGTGAAAGAAGTGAAAAATTGCTAAAGTGAAGCATCCTGCCTGTCCTAGCTGGGTGATATGCTATTGTCACAGTTATTTAAGGTTGTTTTGAATCACACATGAGAAATAGTCAAGAGAATTTATACAGTCAACTGAGAGGTTTTGAACTAGGTAAGTAACTAAATCATAATTATTAGCTATGATTTTAAGATAGATTTAAGTGAATCCTCATTGATCTATTTGGTTGAAAAAAATGTTATGGAGGATGTCATACCTATTGGCTATTATTTTAAAATGTATTTTCTCCTCCATCACCCTGGGGATGTATGTAGGACATTAATGGGGAAAATAGAAAATGCACATTTTTAGTGTAACCCTTTTTTATCTTTTTTTTCTTTTTTTAAGACAAAGTCTTTATCTATCATGTAGGCTGGAGTGCAGTGGTGTGATCACAGCTCACTGCAGCCTTGAAATCCTGGGCTCAAGCAATTCACACACCTCAGCCAGCCAAGTAGCTAGGACCACAGGTGCACGCCACCACAGCTGGCTAATTTTTTGACTTCTAGTAGAGATGAGCCCTTGTTCTGTTGCCCAGGCAGGTCTGGAACTCTGGAGCTCAAGCAATTCTCCTGTTTCGGCCTCCCAAAGTGCTGGGATTACAGGCGTGAGCCACCGTACCTAGCCTGTTTTCTCTTTTTAAAAGAGCAGTTATTGGAACAATGCGAATGGTTGAGAACATGGGTTTTGGGGGACGGCTGGATGGAATGTAGTCAGCTGCTTGCTGGTTTTACCTTCCATGTTTCAGCATGTGTTTGGGCCTTTTCCAGAACAGCACTGACAGAATGTGCAGCCTGGGGCATCTGTCCACTGGGCTTGGTGATGCCTTTTATAGGTCCTGAGAGGGAGGAAGTGAGAAAAGAAGAGTGAGCAAAGAATTTTCAACATTCTTGAAAGTTAATCTGAAAATACAAAGCAGTTTACATCTATAAAGCAAAGAAAGATACTTCCTGGCTACTTCTTACAAAAAAATAAATAAATAAATAAAAACAAAGCAAAGAGAGCAATTCACAGGCATGACGTGGTACACAAAACCGTATGAAAAATCTGAGGTTCTGTGACAAAACTTTATATGAGATTCAGCAAAAGATTCAGGAAGGTGAGTACGGTATTTGATAAAGCCCACTGAGGAGGGTCTGGATTAACTGGGATTGTGGAGAGGAATAGTATGTTTTACTTTTGAAAAGCTTTTGATAATTGAAGAATTAACCTTGAAAACCAATTTTCTTTCAAAAAAATTCTATTGTTGATTTCCCTAAAATGTATTTATCTAGTTTCATACCGTGCTGAGTACAGGAACAACTTTTGAACATTGTCCTTAATAAAGAGTATATTGAGCTGGGTGTGGTGGCTCAGGTCTGTAATCCCTGCACTTCAGGAAGGCAAGGTGAGCACATCACGAGGTCAAGGGATTGAGACCATCCTGGCCAACATGGTGAAACCCTGTCTCTACTAAAAATACAAAAATTAGCTGGGCATGATGGCGCATGCCTATAGTCCCAGCTACTCTGGAGGCTGAGGCGGGAGTATCGCTTGAACCCAGGAGGTGGAGGTTGCAGTGAGCCAAGATCACGCCACTGCTCTCCAGCCTGGCGACAGGGCAAGACTTAGTCTTAACAAAAACAACAACAACAAACAACAAAAAACAGATAAACAACAACAACAAAGAGTACATTGGACACAGAAACAATAGACAGAGATTTGGGCAAAATGTGCGGGTCCCTGAAATAATCTGGAATTAGATGTGTTTTTTGTTTTGTTTTGTTTTGGTTTCCCCAAAAGTCCTGGTATTATGATTTTATTTTCTTGCCTTTTAATTTGTCCTTTTGACACAAAGCTTGACTCATGGAAGGTCTGCAGTTGTTAGAGAATCAGATAGAGGAAGCTCTACGTTGATTTCTCGGCTCCTTAGAAAGGATCCCTCCAAGGACAGCCGCCTCTCCACACCCGGGCTGTTTCTCCTTCAAGTGAATTGCTGCCCAGCCCACACCAGAAGGTCTTCCGCTCCTCTCCCTGTGAATGCAGAGATGCTTTAGCCATGCTCAGCACCACTGTTCTGTTTAATATTCACAAACTGCCTGTTTATTTCTTCAACTAGTTTTCTAGTAGTTTGAGAAACCCATTAATCTACATGACAACTCAAAGAATGACTTCAGGAGATTAGAAAAAACCAAAACAAAACAAAAAGGCGGGGTGGGGGGAAGTTTGGCTGGGTTCTGGTGGCTCATTCTTATAATCCCAGCCCTAGGGGAGGCCAAGGCAGGCAGATCACTTGAGGTCAGGAGTTCGAGAACAGACTGGCCAATTTGGTGAAACCCAGTCACGACTAAAAATACAAAAAATTTAGTTGGGCGTCGTGACCCACGCCTCTAATCCCAGCTACTTGGGAGGCTGAAGCAGGAGGATCACATGAATTCGGGAAGCAAGGGTTGCAGCGAGCTGACGTCGCGACATAGCATTCCAGCCTGGGTGACAGAATAAGACTCAGTCTCAAAAAAAAGAATGATACTCGGGGGAAAACGGTGGGAAGGGGGAGAAAGATAAGAGACTACAAACTGGATTCCATGTGTACTGCTTGGGTGATGGGTGCAACAAAATCTCACAAATCTCCACTAAAGGAGTTACTCAATAACTAAATACTACCTGTTTGCCAAAAATTTATGAAAAGAAAAATTAAAAAATTTTTTTAAATTGTGAAAATTGAGGGTCATACTTTCAAGTTACAAAGGCACATCTATCATGAGGCTTAATTATTCTAATGTTTAAAGAAATGAAGAGAACAACCAGAGTTTAAATAGAAAAGCTGTCAGCATTTCATCTACAGCAATGAAATCTGTAGCATGCATTTTGTATTTTGAAACTTAGTTTTCAGCCAGCCTGGGGGAAGAAGAAGAGGAAACAGAACTGGGCATAGCATAGGTAGGAGGAAAGTAAGAAACCAGCTGGACACAGCAGGGAAAGAAGAAGGGGTGAGGACTCGAGGCAGAGCCAGTCCTCCTGCTTGGGGCCTGGGCATAGGAAAGCAAACTCCAGGCAGGAGGAAGGAGCCCCAGGCTGTGGATGCCTCTGGGGGGAACCTTGGGTGAGCAATGGCCAGAGGAGCTCCTGAACTTAAGCAGTATCTGCCGCCTCCCTACCTTTGGGTGTCTTCTGGTGGCCAATGTGCTGCTGTCAGGACTCTCACTGGCTCCCAAATTCGACTGGGCAGCCTCCAAAGCGGTGGAGTCCTGTGCTACTGCCACCTCCGCCTTGTGGATCACAGAGCTGCAGGACGGCTTCACCCACTACACCCTGAGCTGGCCCCGCTTGTGGCTGGCATTGGGGGACAGCGTGTTCTGGGCGCCTCTGCTCCTGTATATCGTGTCGTGTGTCTTTGCTGTCTGTACGCTGGTAGACATGAGAGCCACAGGCTGGTCCTGCAGAACCCTTGTGCCGGCCATGATTGGGGCTGGCTTTGGTGCACATGCAAGAGTTCAGTGTGGTCCCCATGGGACACCCCTGCTCTTCTCGGGCAGCTTGGGCCTTCACTTGCCCCCAAGTCTGCAGACCTCAACAACTCTCGCCTCTTGCTGGCAAGAGCATTGCCAGCACGGGCAGCCCTGGGCCATGGGGCGGCACTGTGCTAGCAGCCTGCACCCTGTGTCACCCCCGTACTCTGAGCTGACTTGTCTGCTAAAAAAAAACTGCCAACTTGTCCGGTTTATTTTAGAAGGGACTGGATGCAACAAGCCTGAGAGCTGTGGCCTGGGGAGGAGAGAGCACAGATTCATCCTCCTTCCACCACTGCCCAACAACTGAAAACCATGAACTGCAGACCACCAACTGAAGAGAAACAACTGAGGGTACCAACTGAGGGCACTAACCAAAGGCAACCAATGAGGGCACCCACTGAAAGCCACCAAGTGAAGGCCAGTTGCCCTGCCAACCAGAACACATCCGGGTTAGAGGAAACAATCAGGCCCAGAATCCTTTGCATGTGTCCCCCCCAACGTGGAATTCAGAGCTTAAGCACCAGGCTTACAAGGCCCCACCCTGCCAGTGGACCCGCCCCACCTTTCATTTATTGCTGGCTGCTAGGAGCTTTCATGTTGCTCAGTGTGATGAAGTTCCTAGGGATCATCACCTTACAATGAATGATGCTAAAATTACTGAACCCAAATCTGCCTCCTATATTCATAGAGCCCCTTTCCCCCATAACCTCTGAGATTTTTCAACCTGAAAAAAGACATATTTCTGCATGTGCTTTCAGAAAAACACATTGCCACGAGCTACGAGTAATAGAGGACACTTTCTGAAATGTATACACTAAGTATATCACAGTTTTCTAGTGATCACTTTGATACAACAAATTAGAATCTATGGCTTCAACAAACAAAGAGGCTTATGTAAGAGAAAAGCACCACATAATACAAGATTTTAAATGTGATCATCACTGCTACTTTTAAATGGCAATTATCCACTAAATGTATTGTGAACTGCTTTGTGAGCATGGTGACTCATTTAATCTTTGTGATTCTTGGTTTGATTATCTCAAAAATATGAGTAACACCATTTTAGAAACTTGCTCTAAAAATTAGAGAAAAATAATCCTTCTCTATATATTGAACACTAACAAAATTATAGGCATTCTGTCCAGATTTTTACACACTTACCTTATCGAAGCCTCATAACAACCCTATCTTTTAAATTAAAGGCATTTTGTCCACCCAAATTTTTACTCATTTACCTTACGGAAGCCTCATAAGAATCCCCTCTTTTATAGACAAGCAAAGTGAGGCTCTGAGGACTTGAAAACACATTCACCATCACGTCCTAATGAGTGTTGGAACTTGGATTCAAATCCAGTTCTCTCTGATGCCAAAGGTGGTGCAACTTAATGAAGACCAAGTAATACCCAGTACATGAAGGGATCAAACATGTGGATTCCCTTTCTCTATCCTCTTATGTGTGAATTTCAATGGCTTTCACAGCTTTAGAACAATCCTAAACTCCCTCCCAGGTTGTCTTGCCGTCATTCCCTTCTTCTTGGAAATGGGAATCTGCATATTTAGACCACAAGCATCTCCTTAGAAAAAGGGTTGTTGATCAACAAATGAAATTTTTGGCCAGGGATGGTGGCTCATGCCTGTAATCCCAGTACTTAGGGAAGCCAAGGTGAGTGGATCACCTGAGGTCAGGACTTTGAGATCAGCTTGACCAACATGGTGAAACCCCGTCTCTCTTAAAAATGACAAAATTAGTCGGGCCTGATGGCACATGCCTCTAATCCCAGCTACTCAGGAAGCTAAGGCAGTAGAATCGCTTGAACCCAGGAAGCAGAGTTTGCAGTGACCTAAATTACAGGTATTGTGTCCAGATTTTTACACATTTACCTTATAAAAGCCTCATAGAAACCCTCTCTTTTACATTACAAACATTTTGCCATGCTTTTTGCACACTTACCTTATGGAAGCCGCGTAACAATCACATCTTTTATAGATGAGAAAACTGAGGCTTTGGATGCCTCTTGGGGAACCTTAGGCCATCAGCAGCCAGAGGAGCTCCTGAACTTAAGTGGTATCTGTCGCCTCCCTACCTTTTGGCGTCTTCTGGTGTCCAGTGAGCTGCTGTCAGGACCCTCGCTGGCTCCCAAATTCAACTGGGCAGCCTCAAAAGCAGTGGAGTCCTGCACTACAGCCACCTCCACCTCGTGGATCTCAGAGCTGCAGGACAGCTTCACCCACCGCACCCTGAGCTGGCCCGGCTTGTGGCTGGCATTGGGGGACAGCATGTTCCAGGTGCCTCTGCTCCTGTATATCGCATCCTGCGTCTTCACTGTCTGTACGCTGGTAGACGTCAGAGCCACAGGCTGGCTCTGCAGAACCCTTGTGCCAGCCCTGATTGGAGCTGGCTTTGGTGCACATGCGACAGTTCAGTGTGGACCCCATGGGGTACCCCTGCTCTTCTTGGGCAGCTTGGGCCTTTGCTTGCCCCCAAGTCTGCAGAGCTGAACGCCTCTCGCCTCCTCTTGACAAAAGCATTGCTGGCACGGGCAGCTCTGGGCCATGGGGCGGCACTGCGCTAGCAGCCCTCACCCTGGGTTACCCCCGTACCATGAGCTGAATTGTCTGCTAAAAACCCCTGCCAACTTGTGTGGTTTATTTTGGAAGGGCCTGGAGGCAACAAGCCTGAGAGCTGTGACTGGGACAGAGAGAGCACAAATGGATTCATCCTCCTTCCACCACTGCCCAGCAACTGAAGACCACCAACTGAGGCCCACAACGGAAGAGCACCAACGAAGGGTACCAACTGAGGGCACTAACCAAAGGCAACCAATGAGGGCACCCACTGAAGGCCACCAAGTGAAGGCCAGTTATGCCAACCAGACCACATCCTGGTTCAGGGGAAACAATCAGGTCCAGAATCCCTTGCATGCCTCCCCATAAACTTGGAACTGGAGAGCACAGGCACATGGCTCACAAGGCCCCGCCCTGCCAGCGGCCCCACCCCACCTTTCATTCATTGCTGGCTGCTAGGACCTTTCAGGTTTCTCACTGTGATGAAGTGCCTAGGGATCGTCACCTTACAATGAATGATGCTAAAATTACTGAAACCAAATCTACCTCATGCAGTGTCTGACATTCATAGAACCCCCTTTTCCCCCATAATCTCTGAAACATTAAGAAATTAGAAATAAGAGTGATTTCTGCAGGTGCTTTCAGAAAAAAACATTGCCATGAGCTAAAACTACTCTATAATGTCGTCTTATTTCATATATACATATATATCTCCAATCCACATATGTTCCATTTACATTTTTGAAAATAACACACATGTTCAATCAAATTAACAAGACTAACAGAAGAACTTTTCTAAAATTTACACATGAAGTACATCACATTTTTCTAATGATCACTTTGATAGAGCAACTTAGAATCTGTGATTTCATAACACCAAGAGGATTATGTAAGAGAAAACCACCACATAATACAGAATTTTCAATGTGATCATCATTGCTACTTTTAACTAGAAATTACCCAGTGAATGCATTGGGAACTGCTTTGTGACTTTGGTGATCTATTTATTTTTTTCTGATCATTGGTTTGATTGTCAAAGATACATGAGTATCACCAATCTTATAAACTCATTTTAAAAATTAGATGAAAAAAATAATCCTCCTTCTCCATATACTGAACACTAAAAAATTTTAGGTATTATGACCAGATTTTTACACACTTACCTTATAGAAGCCTCATAGGAACCCTCTCTTTTAAGTTACAAGCATCTTGCCATGGTTTTTACTCACTTACCTTATGGAAGCTTCATAACAATCACATCTTTTATAGATGAGAAAACTGAGGCTTTGGATGTCTCTGGGGGAAACTTGGGCCAGCAACGGCCAGAGGATCTTCTGAACTTAAGCAGTATCCGTTGCCTCCCTATCTTTGGGCATCTTCTGGTTGCCAGTGTACTGTGGTCAGCTCCCTCGCAGGCTTCCAAATTCGACTGGGCAGGCTCCAAAGCAGTGGAGTCCAGCGTTACTGCCACCTACGCTTCGTAGATCCCACAGCTGCAGGACGGTTTCACCCACCACACCCTGAGCTAGCCCCGCTTGCGGCTGGCACTGGCGGACAGCGTGTTCAGGGTGCCTCTTCTCCTGTATATCGCAGCCTGTGCCTTCGCTGTCTGCACACTCGTAGATGTGAGAGCCACAGGCTGGCTCTGCAGAACCCCTTTGCCAGCCCTGACTGGGGCTGGCTTTGGTGCACATGCGACAGTTCAGTGTGGTCCACATGGGACATCTCTGCTCTTCTCAGGCAGCTGGGCCTTCACTTGCCACTATCACCTCTTCCTAGCAAAGGCATGGCTGCCACAGGCAGCCCTGAGCCATGGGTCGGTAATGCGCTAGTAGCTGACACCCTGCATCACCCCCATACCCTGAGCTGACAAGTCTGCTAAAAAAACCCTGCCGATCTATCTGGTTTATTTTAGAAGGGCCTGGATACAACAAGACTGAGAGCTGTGACTTGGGCAGGAGAAAGCACAAATGGATTCATCCTCCTTCCACCACTGCCCAACAACTGAAGCCCACCAACTGAAGAGCACCAACTGAAGAGCACCAACTGAGGACCACCAACTGAAGAGCACCAACTGAGGGTACCAACTGAAGAGCACCAAGTGAGGGTACTAACTGAAGGCAACCAATGAGGGCACCCACTGAAGGCCACCAAGAGAAGGCCAGTTGCCCTGCCAACCAGACCGCATCCTGGTTCAGAGGAAACAATCAGGTTCAGAATCCCCTGCATGCATCCCCACAAACTTGGAACTCGAGAGCACAAGCACGTGGCTCACAAGGCCCCGCCCTTTCAGAGGCCCTGCCCACCTTTCATTCATTGCTGCCTGCTAGGACCTTTCAGGTTTCTCACTGTGAAGAAGTTCCTAGGGATCATCACCTTACAATGAATAATGCTAAAATTACTGAAACCAAATCTGCCTCATGCAGTGTCTGGGATTCGTAGAATCACCTTTCCCCCATAATCTCTGAAACATTAACAAACTAAAAATAAGAGAGATTTCTGCAGGTGCTTTCAGAAAAAAACATTGCCATGAGCTAAGCCTACTCTAGAATGATGTCATATTTCATATATGCATATATATATATCCAAACCGCATATATTTGATTTACATTTTTCAAAATAACACATATGTTCAATCAAACTAACAAGAGTAACAGAAGAAATTTTCTAACATTTACACACTAAGTACATCATATTTTTCTAATGATGGCTTTAATAGAGCAACTTAGAATCTTTGGTTTCTCAAACACCAAGAGGATTATGGAAGAGAAAACCACAACATAATACAAAATTTTCAATGTGAAAATCATTGCTACTTTTAACTAGAAATTACCCAGTGAAGGCATTGTGAATTACTTTGTGACCTTGCTTATCTATTTATTCTTTCTGATCATTGGTTAGATTGTCTAAGAAATACAAGTATCGCCAATTTTATAAAATTGCTCTGAAAATTAGATGAGAAAAAATAATCCTCCTTTCCCATATACTGAACACTTAAAAAAATTATAGGTATTGTGTCCAGATTTTTACACACTTACCTTATAGAAGCCTGATAGAAACCCCCTCTTTTAAATTACAAGCATTTTGCCACGGTTTTTACACACTTACCTTATGGAAACCTCAGAACAATCACGTCTTTTATAGATGAGAAAACTGAGGCTTTGGATGCCTCTGGGGGAACCTTGGGCAAGCAATAGACAGAGGAGCTCCTGAACTTAAGCAGTATCTGTCACCTCCCTACCTTTGGGTGTCTTCTGGTGGCCAATGTGCTGCTGTCAGGTCCCTCGCTGGCTCCCAAATTGGACTGGGGAGGCTCCAAAGCAGTGGAGTTGGTGCTAGTGCCACCTCCACCTCAGGATTCTCAGATCTGCAGGACGGCTTCACCCACCACATCCTGAGATAGCCCTGCTTGTGGCTGGCATTGGGGGACAGGGTGTTCTGGGCTCCTCTGCTCCTGTATATCGTGGCCTACGTCTTTGCTGACTTCACAGTCGTAGACATCAGAGCCACAGGCTAGCTCTGCAGAACCCTTGCGCCAGCCCTGATTGGGGCTGCCTTTGGTTCATATGCGACCGTTCCGTGTGGACCCCACGGGGTCTTCTCGGGCAGCATGGGCCTTCGCTCACCCCCAAGTTTACAGAGCTAAACACCTTTCGCCTCTTCCTGGCAAAAGCATTGCTGGCACGAGCAGCCCTGGGCCATGGGGTGGCACTCCAATAGCGGCCTGCACCTCGCGTCACCCCCATACCCTGAGCTGACTTGTCTGCTAATAAAACCTGCCAACATCTCTGGTTTATTTTAAAAGGGCCTAGATGCAACAAGCCTGAGAGTTGTGACTGGGGGAGGAGAGAGCACAAACGGATTCATCTTCCTTCCACCACTGCCCAACAACTGAAGACCACCAACTGAGGACCACCAACTGAAGAGAAACAACTTAGATTACCAACTGAGGGCACTAATTGAAGGCAACTAATGAGGGCACCCACTGAAGGCCACCAAGTGAAGGCCAGTTGTCCTACCAACCAGAACGCATCCTGGTTCAGAGGAAACAATCAGGTCCAGAATCTCCTGCATGCATCCCCACAAACTTGGAACTTGAGAGCACAGGCACATGGCTCACAAGGAACCTCACTGCCAGCGGCCCCACCCCACCTTTCATTCATTGCTGGCTGCTAGGACCTTTCAGGTTTCTCACTGTGAAGAAGTTCCTAGGGATCATCAACTTACAATGAATGATGCTAAAATTACTGAAACCAAATCTGCCTCGCGCAGTGTCTGGGATTCATAGAACCCTCTTCCCCCCGTAATCTCTGAAACATTAAGAAACTAGAAATAAGAGAGATTTCTGCAGGTGCTTTCAGAAAAAACTTTGCCATGAGCTGAGCCTACTCTATAATGTCAAGTCATATTTCATATATTCATATATATATTCAATACACATATATTAGATTTACATTTTTTAAAATAACACACATGCTCAATCAAATTAACAAGGTTAACATAAGAAGTTTTCTAAAATGTACGCACTAAGTATATCACATTTTTCTAATAATCACTTTGATAGAGCAGCTTAGAATCTATGGTTTCAACAAATCAAGAGGCTTTCGTATGAGAAAACCACCACACAATATAAGATTTTCAATGTGATAATCATTGCTACTTTTAAATAGAAATTACCCAGTAAATGTATGTTGAACTGCTTTGTGACTATTGTGATTTAGTTAGTCTTTCTAATCCTTGGTTTGATTATCTCAAAAATATGAGTAGCGCTTATTTTATAAACTTGCCCTAAAAATTAAATGAGAGAAAGAGAATCCTTATTCTCCAGATATTGAACACTTACAAAATTGTAGACATTGTATCCAGATTTTTACACACTTGCCTTATAGAAGCCTGATAACAACCCTCTCTTTTAAATTACAAGCATTTTGCCATGGGTTTTACACACTTACCTTATGGAAGCCTCATAACAATCACATCTTTTATAGATTAGCAAACTGAGGCTCAGACAAGTTAAAAACAAATTCATCTTCACTTCATAAAGAGCGATGGAACTGGGATTTAAATCCAGTTTTCTCTGTCGCCAAAAATGGTGCATGTTAAGGAGAACCAAGTTATACCCAGAACATGGAGGGGTCAAAACATGTGGATTCTCTTTTCTACCCCCTCATGTGTGAATTTCAATGGCTTGCACTGCCTCAGAACAATCCTAAACTCCCTCCCAGGTTGCCTTGCAGTGGTTCCCTTTTTCTTGGGGATGATTAGGAATCTGCATATTTAGACCACAAGCATCACCTTTTAACAGGTGTGTTGATCAAGAAATGAAATTTGCTAGGCCATATGTTACTAAGTGTGAATTGTCCAGCTTCTCTTCAATAAATAAAGGGGCTATTCCGTGTAAAACATCACCGCATCCACTGAATTTGTGTGGGAAGATTTGGAACAATACGGCAGGAGCATCTTACTGACAGCTGCGCAGGAACACCAGCCAAAACACACAAAGCAGGAGCAGCTCCCAAGGCCAGGTGTGGTGGTTCTTGCCTGTCATCCCAACAAAGTGGGAGGCCAATGTGGGTGAATCACTTGAGGTCAGGGTTTGAGACCTTCCTGGACAACACAATGATACCCTGTCTCTACAAAACATCATTTCTTATTATTAGAATGAGGAAGAGTACCTCTAACCCTCAGCCATTACTTTAGGGGAGAGAGCTCTGCTCTAGAACTCGGGATGTGAAATTGGGAGTCCCAATGCGGCTACTTAAGCTTAAATACAAGAGCTGTCAGACATTTCCTCTACCATAATGAAATCGGTGGCATCCAATTTGTATTTTGAAAACTTAGTTTTTGGCCAGCCTAGGAAAAGAAGAGGGCCCAGAAGTGGGTATTTGGGCAGAGCAATGAAAAGTAACCGGCTGGATGCAACAGGGAAAGAAGGAGTGGGGAGTCGAGTCAGAGCAAGTCCTCCTGTTTGGGGCAGGGGATAGGAAAGCGAACTAGGAGCAGGAGGGAGGAGCCCTAGGCTGTGGATGCCTCTGGGGGTACCTTGGGTGAGCAAGGCCAGAGGAGCTCCTAAGACCAAGAGGTATCTGTCGCCTCCCTACCTTTTGGCGTCTTCGGGTCGCCAATGTGCTGCTAGTCAAGGCTCCTGAATCAGACTGGGCAGGCTCCAAAGCAGTGGAGTCTGGCGCTACTCCCACCGCCACCTCGTGGATCTCAGAAAGGCTCCAAACACCGCACCCTCAGCTGGCCCTGCTTGGGGCTGGCATTGGGGGACAGCGTGTTCCGGGCGCCTCTTCTCCTCTGTGCTAGGGCCTTCGCCTTTGCTGGCTGCCCACTCATAGATGTCAGAGCCGCAGGAAGGCTCCGCAGAAGCCCTGTGCGGGCCCTGCCTGGGGCTGGCTTTGGTGCACATGCGACAGGCCAGCGTGGTCCCCATGGGACACCTCTGTTCTTCTCCAGCAGCTTGGGCCTTCGCTTGCCCCCACGCCTGCAGAGCTGAGCACCTGCCACCTCTCCCCAGGAAAGGCAACCAAATGCCACCAACTGAAGGCACCCACTGAAGGCACTAACTGAAGGCCAGTTGCCCTGCCAGCCAGATCGTGTCCTGCTTAGGAGGAACCAATCAGGCCTTGAGTTCCCTCCACGCGCCGCCCTTCCATTTGTGATGTGGGAGTCCAGGCACTGGCTCACAAGGCCCCGCCCCCACAGCGGCCCTGCCCCACCTTTCATTCATTGATAGCTTCGAGAAACTTTCAGGTTTCCTCACTGTGAATTATGAATATGAACTATATTAAAATTACTGTAACCCAATGTGCTTCATGCACTATCTGGCATCCAAAGGATCCTCTTTCGCCCATGTTGGGGTTTTCGAAACTGGAAAGAAGACTGATTTCTGCAGGTGCTTCAGAAAAAATCTTTGCCATGAGTTAAGTCTACTGTGTGATGTTAACATATATATATATATATCATATATATATACACACAGGTATTCAAAAATTATATATTCATTTTATGTTTTTGAAAATAACACACATATTCAAACTAGCACGTGTAATAGAGAAATTTCCTAAAATTTGTACACTGAGTAAACCATATTTTTCTAATGATTTCGTTGATAGAGCAGCTTTCTAGATGCAGCCCTGTTCACATGTGACTGGTATTTACCTTCTTTCATCAAACATGTCTTTAGAATCGACTCAAGGCAAGATGCAGTAGAGAAATGTAAGAGCCAACTAGAGGAGCCATTTAACTACTAGGTGAGACTGATAGGTATACAAGCAACTTCAATAAAATGATAGGCATGGAACGTACCTGGGGAGAAGTGCTAAGATGGGCTCCAAAAGCCCCGTATTCATGAAGATGCAATCTTTATATTTAAAATACTAGTGATACAATAAAATGTTCTCCTTCACCTCTCACCTTTAATTTCATGGTATTGTCATCCACCCTCTCTATTCTGACTAAGCGTTTCTTTCGTAAGCCCCAAGAAATAGCAAAACCACGGAAAATAAACATTTCAATCTTTGCTTTATTGTTGAAAGAAGTGTGTCGTTGATGACTTAGTTTATTATCATAGAGCCAGATTCCCAGTGAGGAAGCAGCATGAGCTGGAATTCATGCCCTTCATTTGGAAAGCTTGCAAATCATTGACATTCTTTTTTTCGCTAAATGTTTTAGAAAATTAGAATTCTCTTTATGCTGTAAAGGGATCTTAAAATGACGGGAATATATTTGTACTCTCCATGACAGTGTACATATTCCTTCTCTTAGTTTAGTACAAAAATAGTACTTAAGGAACTTCTGTGGAATAATAGCAATTCTAAGTAACAACTAGAGTTGAGATTTTTCATAAAACAAAATGTATAAACTCTTATTGTTGTTTGTTCGATTTGAGACAATCTAGCTCTGTCGCCCAGGCTGGAGTGTAGTGTGGTGATCTCAGCTCACTGCATCCTCCACATTCAGTTTCAAGCCATTCTTCTGCATCAACCTCCCAGGTAGCTGGGAGTACAGGCAGACGCCGCCATGCCCGGCTAATTTTTATGTTTTTAGTAGAGACAAGGTTTCACAATGTTGGCCAGGCTGGTCTCCAACTCCTGACCTCCAGTGATCTGTCTGCCTCTGCTACCCAAAGTATAAACATTTTTAAACATTTAAAGTTGACCTTGCCATTTAGAAATGTAGAAATTCATCAGGGTCCTGAGTAATTATAATGTATATTTATCTGCCCACATTTTTTACCAGGTGCATCTTCTCCAGCAAGTTCTTCAGCATCCTTTCCAGAAGCATTCGACAGCCAAGGAAGCAGGCTACGCCTCACCTACTCCTTCCTGGGCTAAAGATCTCAGACTTAGTTGCTTAATTTGGGAAAAATAAATTAAAGAAGTCTTCTATCATTATACGCAACATAGAATAATCTGTTTAAGAAATTATTTTTGATCCTCCACATTTTGATGCCAATCCCACATTTGGTAATAATGATTATATATGCAAATATTTTTAGCCGATTAAATTGGAACATATTCTTTGAAACAACTTCATGATGATTTTTGTTCTAATCAGTAAGTTTAATGGAATAATAAGGTATTTTTGATAAAGCACGTGAGTTATTCTCAATGATTACAAGATCTTACGACATTGTAATCAAAATGGATCATTAGAGCCTGGCTTGGTGGCTCATGCCTGTAATCCCAGCACTTTGGGAGGACGAGGGAGGTGGACCACCTGAGGTCAAGAGTTCAAGACCAGCCTGGCCAACGTGGTGAAATCCCATCTCTACTAAAAATACAAAAAAAAAAATTAGCTCGGTGTGGTGGCGGGCACCTGTAATCCCAGCTACTTAGGAGGCTGAGGCAGGAGAATTGCTTGAACCCCGGAGGCAGAGGTTGCAGTGAGCTATGATCACGCCATTACACTCCAGCCTGGGCAACAGGATTGAAACTCTGTCTAAAAAAAAATGGATTATTAAATATTGATCTAGTATTTACTGTAAACTCAGCACTTTGGGGTATATCAGTGCTGTATTTAGTTTTATTATGCTATATTTAGTTTTATTATGCTCCTAGAGATTTTTTTATCTCTATCATAGAATTTTCAAACATTTACTAAGGTAGAGAAAATTTTAATAGTTTAATGAACCTAATTTACCATTTAATCAGCTTACTAACAATTAATACATTGCCAATTTTGCTTCATCTACACCTCCACACACTTTCTCCATATTCCTCTTTATTGCCTTAATTGAAGTATAATATACGTATCCTCAATTTTTTGGAAATTCAGACATTGTATCATTTCCTCTACAAATATTTCCATATGCATATCTAAATGCTAATGACTTAGAACACAAACAGTCCTTGACATCATATGACCTTGAGGCAAATTAGCAATAACTCTTAATGTATCAAATGAAGTATTCAGTCAGTTTTCAACATTTTCCTATTGTCTTGTAAATTATTATCATCAGCATTATCTTATAGTTATTTTATTTATTTATTTATTTGTTTATTTTTGTGACGGAGTCTCACTCTGTTGTCCAGGCTGGAGTGCAGTGGCGCAATTTCGGCTTACTGCAATTTCTGCCTTCTGGGTTCAAGTAATTCTCTGCTTCAGCCTCCCAAATAGCTGGGATCACAGGCGCCTGCCACCATGCCTGGCTAATTTTTGTATTTTTAGTAGAGACCGGGTTTCACCATCTTGGCCAGGCTGGTCTTGAACTCCTGACCTCGTGATCCACCTTCCGCAACCTCCCAAAGTGCTGGGATTACAGGTGTGAGCCACCGTGCCCAGCCTCTTATGGTTATTTTAATTGGGATTTGAATAAGGAGTATACATTAAAATTAGATGATAAGACGTCTTAAGCTTCCTTTGATATCTTTGAGTATATCACCTACATGTGTCCCTACATCTTTTTTCACTTGCACTCCATTGGTTCCTTTAGTTTCGATTGAAGAAACCAGATTATTTATCCTGTGGTATTTCAACATTCTGCATTTTTCTGATTGCATTCTGTGGTATTATTTACTGAACCTGTGATATAGTTTGGATGTCCCCTCCAAATCTCATTGATATGGTTTGGCTCTATGTCCCCACCCAGATCTCATCTTGAATTATGACCCCCATGTGTGGAAGGAGGGACTTGTGGGGAGGTGATTGGATCATGGGGGCCGTTCCCCCATGCTGTTCTTGTGATAGTGAGAGAGTTCTCATGACATATGGTAGTTTAATAAGTGTCTGGCATTTCCTCTTCGCTCTCTATCTCCTGCTGCCATGTAAGATGTGACTTGCTTCTCCTTCACCCTCTGTGATGATTGTAAGTTTCCTGAGGACCCCCAGCCATGCATAACCATGAGTCAATTAAAACTTCCTTTATAAATTACCCAGTCTCAGGTAGTTTCTTTATAACAGTGTGAAAATGTACTAATATACTCATGTTGAGATACAATCCCCAATGTTGGAGGTGGGGCCTTGCGGGAGGTGTTTGGGTCATGGGGACAGATCCCTCATAACTTGGTGCTGTCCCACTGATGGTGAGTGAGTTCTCAGGAGATCTGTTGTTTCAAAGTGTGTGGCACCTCCCTAGCTTGCTCTCTAGTCCCAGTCTCTCCATGTGAGAAGCCTGCTTCCACTTTGCCTTCTGCCATGAATGGAAACCTCCAGAGGCCTCCCCAAAAGGTGAGCAGATGCCAGCACCATGCTTCCTGTAAAGCCTGCAGACCTGTGAGCCAATTAAACCTTTTTTCTTTATAAATGACCCAGCCTCAGGTATTTCTTTATAGCAACAGAAAAACAACCTAACACAGCATGTGTCTGTGCCCCCTGTATTTCTGTAAATATAGAGCTTCAGTCAGATTCAGAATTGATTTATTTGTCAAAAATAATTGAAATACCGAGCAAACATCTGCCTCAGTGAATGGCCACTATTTCTTCTATAACTACATTTATGTTCCATTTGAATTTCACTTTGTGTTATCCCTTTTTTCTTTTTTTTTTTTTTTTGTTTGCAGTTTCATGTTTGTTGACCACTTCCCTCTTTTGATTGTTCATTTTTGTAAAATGTCACGTGAGCGTCTCACTGGGAGACAAAGAGGCAAGACAACGACATACTTTGTTCTCTTTATAAACTCAGTAACAAATATGCAGTGATTGGCAACCTCATAATTTGAAAGAGATGATGGGTCACTGATCATGATTGCATCTGTTATTTATGTTGTGATTTGTGGACTGAAGAGCTCACACAAAGTTTGTACTTTACGTAATTACTCACAGTTAAAATACCATGGCAACTGAATTTGGAACCATGTTGGGGAACTCACGTTATTTAATTAAATCGTAGTTATTGGAACTAGGTGGAGCAGTGATGACCTGCACCTCTTTTTTCCTGATGTTTTCTTTTATATCTGCAATAAACATTTACAGTTTTCCTTATAGACTTTGAAATTGTCTATCAATTCTAAAAATATTTTAGTTCTTGTTGCTCTTCTGAATCACCCTTTATACTACATTTTACAAATGAGCTTCACTGATATATAGTACACAGGACAGTTTTTAGTTTCTCTACTTAATAGCTTTTAATGGATTGCTTGACTTGGTTTTTAAATTTTAAGTAGATACATCATCTGAGAATTTAAAAGTCTGTCTTTTCCATTCAGATATTTGTTACCTTGTTGGTTTTGCTGTTGTGTGCATTGGCTAGAGACTCCAGGATAATGTTGAATAATATTAATTATAATACTGACTTTAATGGTGTATTAGTCTTGTCTCTTATTTTCTGAATTTGATGCTTTGAAATCTGGGCCTTGTTGACCCTGGAGGGACTGCCCCTCTGAGGATAGGCTAATTGCTGGATGTAATAAACAACTTGCCTGCATGCATGACTTTCCTATATAATCCAACCAACCCAGAGTTTATACCCCCTTCTTTCTCATCTCTTCCTCACTCTTTATTCTTCTTTATCTCTGTTTATCTCTTTTGCAGTCTTTATTCTTCCTTATCACTCTGACATTTCTGGCCACTGTTCTGCCTCTCTAATTTCCTCAGGGCCAGATAGCAGCCTCTTCTTTCCAGAAGACAATGAAATATTTAAACTAGCCAATGCTAAGCCTGATTGCCCTGACTTGCTTGTTCCCTCCCATGGAACTGCAATAAAGATTCTTTCCCATGTTTTCCCCCATTCACGTTGCCTCCTGACTGACCTTGATGTTTCCCTGTCCTCCCCCTTGTGGTGTGCTGTGCCCACAGCTTCTAAGGAACTGTGAGTAGTAAAATAAACTACTTCCCTCATGACAGTCATTTCTGTGTTTGTGTGTCTTACCGTTACTGATTAAAACAAATTCTGGGTAGTATGAATGTAAGTGACATTTCTGTTTGTGCTTTATTATTAAATATGTCCTTTGCTGTAGGTTTCAGACACCTTTCATCAGTATAAAAACATCTTCCTCAGATGCTAGCTTCTTATGAAGTTTTAAATTTTGTTAACAAGCAGTGGTGTTGAATTTCATCAAAAGCCTTTTTGATATTTATTGAAATAATTATTTGATTTTTCTCCTATGAGTTTTTCCAATAAAAAATGATACTGATTGAACAATAGGTTAAAATTAAAGTTTCATCAAAGACCGCCAGAATATAATAGCTCTGAAAGTCCAAATCACCATACGTAGGTTTTCATAGCAAATATCCGAGAACCTGCTCCACAACTGTTAATTTCCCCTATTTACTTTAACAATATGAAAGGATGTAGAGTGGAGAAGACTGCAGGGAACTCTTGCCTTGCACTCTCCCCTATCTTGCCTTTGATAGTCATATGTATGGAGAGGAAAATAATGCAAAGTCTCAACCCTGGGTTTAGAGGAGGAATCCTTAGGGGGCCGCCAGGACAACTGACCAAAAAACTCTGGGAACTAACAAGCAGTTATAGCAAGGATGCAGCATACAGGGTTAATGTAGAAAAGTCAATTGCAATTGCTCTTTTAACACCAGCGATGAGCAATTGGAAGTTGAGTTAAAAATATACCATTATGTTCACATTCCTCCCTGCAAATGGAATACTTAGGTATAAATCTAACAAAATATATAAAAGATCTAGTAGGAAACCTACAAAATTTTGATTTAAGAAATCTAAGAAGAACTAAATAAATAGAGAGATAGTCCACGTTTGTAGATATGAAGGCCTAGGATTTGTGAAATGTCAGTTCTCCCCAACTCGCTCTATAGATTCCATGCAATCCCCATTGAAATCTCAACAATTTATCTTGTGGATATTGACAAATTGAACCCAAGGTTTATATGGAGAGGCAAAAAAAAAAAAAAAAAAAAAGGAAACAAGAATAGCCAACACAATATTAGAAAAGAAGAAAATCAGGGGACTAACACCACCCAATTTCAAGATTTACAGGAAATCTACAGCAATCAAGACAGTGTGGTATTGGCAAAGAATAGACAAATAAATCAGTGGAACAGAACAGAAAGCCCCAAAATGGGCTTATACAAACATTTAACAAAAGGGCATAGGTAATAATGAAAAGATAGTCGTTTCAACAGATAGTGCTGGCACAAGTGGATATCCATATGGAAAAACAAAAACAAAGAACCTAGACACAGATCTTGCATCATTCAAAAAATTTAACTTAAAATGGATCAGAGAACTAAGTAAACTATAAAACTTCTAGTAGATAATATAGAAGAAAATCTAGATGACCTTGGGTATGGCAGTGACTTTTTAGATACAACACCACCAATGACA
The DNA here is from genome assembly GCF_000001405.40 of Homo sapiens. Lineage (NCBI taxonomy): Eukaryota > Metazoa > Chordata > Mammalia > Primates > Hominidae > Homo > Homo sapiens. The sequence goes on along the minus strand of NC_000010.11, from coordinate 26,572,350 downwards.
TCATCCATGAAATAAATAATTGATAAGCTAGACTTCATTCAAATTAAAAATCCTTGTGAAGTGCAAAATCAAGAGAATGAACAGACAAGCCACAGATGGGGAAAAACATTTGCAAAAGACATATCTGATAAAATACTGTTATCCAAAATACACAAACCATTAAAACTCAACAGTAAGAAAATGAACAGTCCAGTTAACAAAGTGACAAAAGGTCTGAATGACACCTCACCAAAAAAGATACTACATACTGTATGATTCCAACTATATGATATTTTGCAAAAGGTATAATTATGGAGACAATGAAAAAGATCAGTGGTTGCCAGGGTTTAAAGGGGAGGGAGAGATTAACAGACAGAACACAGGATTTTTAGGACAGTGAAACTAGTCTACATGATTCTATAATGGTGGATACATGTCATTGTACATTTCTGAAAACCCACAGATTGTGCAACCTCAAGAGTAAACCCTAAGTAAACTATGGACTTTGGATGCTAATGATGTGTCAGTGTAGGTTCATCAATTGTTACAGTGCTATTTTTGTAGAATTGTGGTAGTGGAGGAGACTGTGCACGTATGAGGCAAGTGGCAAATGAGAACTCCCTGTACATTTTGCTCAGCTTTGCTGTGAATCTAATACTGGTCTAAAAAATAAAGTCTATTTCAAAAAACAAAAACCAAAAATGGATGACTTTAACATAGATTAGATTATGCTGAAGAAAGAATTGGTGAATGGGAATTAAGATCTGATGAATATATCCAGAATAGATAAAGAAATAGAAAATACACACAATTTAGAGATAAAGAAGCTAGTGTTAGACGATTTAACACATTTCATTAGAGTTTCAGAAGAAGCAAAAAAGGAGAAGCAATGTTTGAAAACAAAATAAATTACAATTTTCTGGAATAGTGAAAGGCAGATATTTGTAAATTCAGAAACCTCAATGAATTATCAGACAACTTAATAAAATAAATTCAGAGTTAGACCCACTCTATGCACCAAAGACAAAGAAAGGGTCTTAAAATCATGCAGAGGGGAAACAAAGAGATGACCTAATGGAAATAATAATTTCACAGGTAACTTCTCAACAGCAACAGTGAAAGGGAGAAGACAGTGGGGACAATCCCCTCAAAAAACGAAGAGTTTTTACCATCAATTGAAATTTTACATCCACTGAAACCATCTTTGAAGAATGAGGGTGAAATAAAGATATTCTAGGAAAAAAATACTCAGCTGTACCTCAAATACTAGAAAATATGTGTGTGTGTCTCTGTGTGTGTTTGTGTGTGTGTGTGCGAAATCAAAGTGGTCCAAAGTCCATGTATTTTCTAGTTTAAAGTTGTTTAACTTGAGACTTTGAGTATGGATATTATCATTATAGGTAGCTATTAAAAGAATACATACAGTATATAAGTTTTCAACAAGAAGCCTCAAAAAGAGGATAAGAGGAAAATCCTAATCACATGAAGTAGACAAGAAAGGAAGCAAAAATCCCAGAAGAATCCAGGGTAATAGTAAGTACAAAATAAGATGTTAAAAACAAACTATGTAATCACATTCAGAGTAAAAATAATAGGCTGGGCGTTTTGGCTCATGTCTGTAATTCCAGCGCTTTGGGAGGTTAAGACAAAAGAATTGCTTGAGGCCAGGAGTTAGAGAACAGCCTAGGCAACATAGTGAGACCCCCATATCTACTAAAAAAAAAAAAAAATTAGCTGGGCATGGTGGTATGAGCCTGTAGTCCTAGCTACTTGGAAGGCTGAGGCAAGAGGGTGGCTTGAGTCCAGAAGGTTGAGGCTGCAGTGAGCCATGATTGCACCACTGCCCTCCAGCCTGGGTGACAGAATGAGACCCTGTCTCTAAAAATAAAAAAAAAAAAAGAAAATTAAAAAATTTAAAAAGAATAAACTTGCAGTTAAAAGATAATAATTACTAACTAGATATAAACACAACAAAATCTGCTTATATGTCATTTACAAGTGGCAAATGTAGAACATAAAGGCATGACGAGTTTGAAAGTGCATGAATAGATTTGTCAGGCAAATACCTGAAAAAAGACAGTACAGCTGCATGAGTACAAGACAAAAAGCAGAAAACATTGCATGGTGATGGACGGTTCAATTCACCAGGAAGTCACATACGTAATTTTTGTTTACACTTAATAATAAACAGTGTCGGAATATATAAAGCACAATTTGCCAGAACAATGAAAAGATACTGACAAATTTGCCCTCAGAAGATTTTAAAACATTCTTCTTAGTAATTGATGGATGCGACAGACCAGATAACAGGCTGCAGGCAGAAGATTTGTGCAACATGCTTCACAAGCTTGTTCTAAAGAACATGTATATTGTACCCAAGTACACATAAACCGTCGGTAAAAATGGATCACACATCAAGCCATAAGTCTTAAACACACTTCGAAGCCTCAATTATCATGGAATTGGGTCATTTCAGTATCATACCAGCCAAGATTCCCATGATCAAACAAAATACGAGGCTTAAATGTTCATTCTCCTCCTTGAGGACCTACTGTAAAATCTTAGTTCACATTCTATCATGAACTAAAGTTAAATCATGTTTTCTGTAAACTCTGCCAAATGCTGCGGTTTGTATTGCAGTTGGCCTATTGCAATGCCCCATTAGAAGCATTATACAAGAAATTACTGAGTTTTTATAAGCTGTGATACAGGATTACTGTCCTATATTATTGCTTATATATTATTATTCATAACATATATTATTATCCACGTACTCCTTCTCTAGTTCCCAATTTCACTCCAGTTTTTCCACCCCCTGCACCACATACAAATATCTCACTAAACTTTTCATAAAGAAACAAATTTTGCTGCATTTTCAGGATCTAAATAATCCTACTCAGGTATACGTAATACTTGTACAGACCTTTCAGCCAGACACCAAAGATTGCATTACACTTGAGTGAAAATCACAGAATATTATCCTCATGAAAACTCTCGTTTCATGGACTTGGCTGGCTCTATTTGTCAGCATTTTCTTAACGTAAGTGACTCCATTTTGATTCTGACAATTTTCACACTTCTCTTTGCTGACATCTTTCCTGTATTGTCCCAGAGATCTGCATAATGACCATGATTTAGTTGGGTATCAGAAAAGCAGCGTTTTTACCGCATCTAATGTCAAAGGAACATAATAAAATGAGAACTGGGGAGAGTTACTGTTCATGGGATTAAATTGAATGTAAAGCAAATTTACCTTCTATCCTATTTCAAGCATATGCTCCAGAAAAAATTAAGAGCACCCTGCCAGTTTTAATTACTAAATATTTTGGTTTTAAAACTATTCTTTTTTTTTTTTCATTTTAAAGGTTCATTTAAACTGCAGGGGTGTCCAATCTTGTGGCTTCCCTGGGCCACACTGGAAGAATTGTCTTGGGCTACATATAAAATGCACTTACATTAGCGATGATAGGTGATGAACAACAACACAAAAAGTTGAGAAAAATCTCATAATGTTTTTGAGACAGTGTCTCGCTCCATCTCCCAGGACAGAGTGCAGTAGCATGATCTCAGCTCACTGCAGTGTCTGCCTCCTGGATTCAAGGGACTCTCCCATCTCAGCCTCTGGAGTTGCTGGGATTACATGCATGCGCCACCACACCTGGCTAATTTTTGTATTTTTAGTACAGACAAGGTTTTGCCATGTTGGCCAAGCTGACCTCAAACTCCTGACTTCAAGTCATCCATCTGAGTCCACCTCCCAAAAATGCTAGGATTATAGGTGTGAGCCACCACACCCTGCCAAGAGCTATAATATTTTAATTTGTATTGGGCAGCATTCAAAGGGGTCCTGGGCCACCTGCAGCCCATGAGTTGACACAGCATGATTTAGAGCTTACTTTTCTCCAAATATTAAAACATAGCATTAATTAGCTTCCTTTATTTAAAAAAATGCATTATGATTTTCCACTCATTTTAAGAAGATTTTGAGTTTTACAGTTTAAAAAAAAAAACCCCACAAAAATACAAAAACAAAAACAGAGCGATGTAAATAAAACTAAGAAAATGTAAAAGGCCTATCAGAAGCCAATTTGAAAGAGAAGAGATATAGGTACCAAGAACCTAGGATAAATTGGGCATTAAACTTATCTCTGAGGGAAAACATTTCAGGTTGAAGAATATATATATGATTGCCTTTTCCTGCCCCTACATTTTTATTTACAGGATACTAACAGCATTGTAATAACAGAGAATTCAAAAACTATCTAAATAACTATTTTTTTCAATTACTGTTATTCAAGCATTATAAAAGCAAAACCAAAACAGCCAGTGTCCAGGACTCCAATCAATCAAGCCACGGAATCTCAGAGAAAGGAAACAGGCTCTGCTTGTCATGTTTTCTCGTTTTCCTCTCTCGATTTTCCTGCAAATTCTAAAGGTTATAGAGATAGACATGAAAGTCTATCTGAGGTCACCAAGACTTAAGAAGGCATGGGATGTTGAAAGCTATTTTTAATTATAGTGTTGATCTCAAGATAGATTGACCCAATAATCTTTCTAGAAATACCGTCTTCCGGAAAAACGTTTAACTTTTATTTGATGCTTCTGAACATAATAAAATAAATGAACCTAAAACAGCGCTTTAGGCAGCTTGGAAGGGAAGATACATTCCATTTAGGTTAAAATACATGGGAACGATATGTACATTTGGGCAGATATTCTGAACTCTACTGGGTTAATGGTTATGCCTGTACTTGAGCACATCAGTGAGAAGTTTCCCATCACATTTTATCTGAAATGAACAAGATGTCAGGGCAATCTGCTAGCAAAACCTGCGCTCGGGGTCAGCGATGCTTCTCCCTCTGGAACACTCATCATGCCCGTCCCTAGGACACGTTGCCTCTCTTCTTTTGCAAAGCTTTCATGAGGTCTGACATGAAATCTTGCTCCCCGCCTCCTGCTCCGCCGGGGTGCCCTGGGTTCTCTTGCCTCTTGGGGGGCACAGGAGGCCTCTTGGCCACCGCGGGGGGCGGCCTGGCGGAGTCGGGGACGGGGGCGGGCGCGGGCGCGGGCGGCGGCGGCGGCGGCGGGGGCAGCTCTGAGCCCGCGATCCCTGCGTACGACGGCGGGGGCGGGGGCACGAAGTCTGGGGGCGGCTCCATGAAGTCCGGGGGCGGCGGCGGGAGCTCAGGGTCATCGAGGGGCGGCGGCGGTGGCGGCGGCGGCAGGAAGTCGTCGGGTGGGGCGGGCAAGCCCCCGCCGCCTGTGCCCTTGGCCTTGAGGGGCGTGGCGGGACTGCCGCTGGTGTCGGAGGACCTCCGCACCGGAGGGGGCGGGGGCAGGCTGGACTTGGGGGCGTGCGGGGCCCGGGGCACTGCCGGGTCGTGGTGGTTCCCGAGGGCTGGCTTCTTATCCTGCAACCGAGTGGCAGTAGCATTCATTTTTTTTTTAATTTTTGAAATTTTAAATTTATTGTTATTAATTAATGGAGACGGGGTCTCACTCTGTCGCCCAGGCTGAGTGCAGTGGCGCGATCTGGACTTACTGCAGCCTCGACCTCCCGAGCTCAAGCAATCCTCCTGCCTCGACCTCCCGAGTAGCATTCCTTATTCTCAAGGCAGCCCCAGTGGACAAAACAGCCCTAGTGGACAGGGCCATGCCATAGATATGTGAGTCTCTGTCCGCCCCCTGGGGAGCCTCTGTCCCTCAGTCACTGAGACTCCTGGTCGGTCATGAGCTCATCTTTGTTCTGGAATAAGGCAATTATTCTAAATGGTCTTTAAAATTAAAAATAATCATTTTTCTAATTTTTTAATATTTTGGCTGGGCATGGTGGCTCATGCCTATAATCTCAGCACTTTGGGAGCCCAGGCAGGTGGATCACTTAAGTCCAGGAGTTCAAGACCAACCTGAACAATATGGTGAAACCTTTTCTCCTTTAAAAATACAAAAATTAGCCTGGTATGGTGGCAGACGCCCGTAGTCCCGGCTACTGGGGTGGCTAAGGCATAAGAATTGTTTTAACTTGGAAGGTGGAGGATGCAATGAGCTGAGATCATGCCATTGCACTCCAGCCTGGGCAACACAACGAGACTATGTCTCTCTCTCTATATATATTTTTAGAGATGGAGTCTCGCTGTGTTGCCCAGGTTAGTCTCAGACTCCTAGCCTCAAGTGATCCTCCTGCCTCAGCCTCCTGAGTAGCTGGAATTACGGCCACCCCACCTGGCCCAAATGGACTTTAACAGTATTTCCTGTTGTTACAGTGGAACAGCAAAAAAAACGAATGTAACTTACTTCATTTTTGTTTAAAGTGGCCTTTACCCATTCCTGCACATAGGATAATTTTAGAGCACTGATATAAATATGCAAACCCAGCAATCATGTAGTTTTAAAAACTAACTCTGGGATTAAAGAAGTAAACAACTATGTTTTGTTAAAGATTTATATGACCATTGTAACCTGACCAAGGACAGAGTAGTTCCCAACCTCTTTGGACTCTTGTTGGCACCCAGATGTCTGCAGTCTCTGGTCATCTTTTGATCTCAACTCTCTCCCCAACTCTCTCCTCTTCCCCATATCCCACACCCATTAAAATCCTCCAGTTAGCCTGAAAAATTTAAGATTGCACTTTAGAACACTAGTCACCATCTTCATGGTGTTACTGGCTTTCCAAATAAACCACCTTTTCCTCCCATCATCCCTAATCTCTTGAGTCTGGCTTTTAAGTGGTGAGCAGCCAAACCTGGGTTCAGTTACCCTGTGGCACTCATCTACCAAGTCTCCTATAAATGGAAGATCTGGCTATGTTCAATGAGGTGTTTAGATCGTATTTAGATCACATGAGTATCACTTCCTTGGAACTTGCCTTATCCAGGAGTTGCTGTGTGTCTCTAAAGGGGCTTTCGTGGTATATCTCTTGTGGGGTTGGCTCAGTCTATAAACCACCCTCAGCTCATTCATTCCTTCAAAATGGAAGCCAAATGACTTCACTCCTTGGTTCTCAAGCCAAGCCACCAGAGTCCTCGTCATATAGGAAGGGATACATTTTTTCTTGGTCTGAGTTGAGCTGGTTGTGAAGCTCGTGTCAGGAGTAAGCGTCTGTAAAATTATCTTGCTCCTATTCCACACAACACACAGTAGAAACACACAGCAACTCCTGGGGGTTGAGGACTTCCCAAAACCTTCACACAGTCTCCTGGCTTAAATGTCCTACTTTGATTAGGATGAAGGAGATGGAAAGGGAAGAGTGAATGGAAATAGTTCTCTCTTGGCTACAGGTAAGCTTTGTGCAAACGTAGGCACAAAGGATATGTTGCCTGGCAAAGACCTTTCTGCCTGATTTTGGGGACAATGTCTCCTTGTGTTGGTGAGCTGAGAACACAGGTCCATTTTGCCAGGACTGTGGGCTTCTAGGGAGGAGCCGATTACAAGCTTGGCTCCAGCTGGCCTCACAGCTTCAGGGAAGGCAGTGTGGTGGGCCAGGAATCAGGACAGGACATCTGGTCTCTAATAAGTTTACTTTTTCTTTTCTTTATTTTATTTTATTTTTATTTTTATTTTTATTTTTTTGAGGCAGAGTCTCGTTCTGTCACCACGGCTGGAGTGCAGTGGCAGCATCTCCCCTCACTGCAAACTCCACCTCCCGAGCTCAAGCAATCCTCATGCCTCAGCCTCCGGATTAGCTGGAATTACAAGTGTGTGCCAACACCCCCAGCTAATTTTTGTACTTTTTGTAGAGACAGGGTTTCTACATATTGGCCACTCTGGTCTCCAACTCCTGGACTCAGGTGATCCGCCTGCCTCGGCCTCCCAAAGTGTTGGAATTACAGGCGTGAGCCACTATGTCTGGACAGTTTACCATTTCTCAACTGCATGAAACTTGGCTGGTTCACTGGATATAAAATTAGCCCCATAGTCCTCATTATGACTCGTGTCTCAGGTTGTGATGAGATCAAATGAGATAAATATGTGAGTTCTGAAAAGTAAAATCACCAGCATGTGCTATTGGTAGAAACCAGCATGCCAAATTTGGCCTAAGTCTAATAGACGCATAGCCCTTCCTCTGCCAATACTGGAATAGATAATAATAATTTATATAATGAAACATCCCCAGGCAGCTGGATTGAATCCCTCTGTTTTAGTGATAATTATCATTTCAATTTACAGTTTATCAGGGTTCCAGTTCATTTCATTCTCTGCTTAGTGGCCTCTTACCATTGAAGATTAAATTTGGAATTTTTTTCTAATAAAGTGCCTTCTGATTTAGTTTCTATTTTATTTAGTTTATTTACTTCACATGATAAGCTCTTTAACTGGTGATGTATTTTTTCTTTTTATTTAAATTTCTGAACAGGCAGCTTGGGAATTGGTGTTCACATATAGTTAAGTGATTTCTATTCTGAGATTCTTTTATTTCTTTCAGCATTTTTAAATGCTGTCCTTCAATTGGCATTTAGAAATAATGAAAATAATAGTAGCTGAAAGCACATCGCATGAGGAGATTGTCAGGCTTGAGAAGATAATGAGAACATTAAAGAAATACAACGTTTAAAGGTCTGCAGTGGTTGTCAAAATTATAAGTTCGATAAATACCAATATTTAGTTGTTTTCACCACTGGCTGATGGACAAAATGAAGGGGTGAAAGAAGTGAAAAATTGTTGAAGTGAAGCACCCTGCCTGTCCTAGCTGGGTGATATGCTATTGTCACAGTTATTTAAGGTTGTTTTGAATCACACAAGAGAAATATTCAACAGAATATATACAGTCAGCTGAGAAGCTTTGAACTAAATTAGTAACTAAATAATAATTATTAGTTATGATTTTAAGATAGATTTAAAGGAATCTTCACTGATCTATTCGGTTGAAAAAATTTTATGGAGAATTATACCAATTTGGCTATTATTTTACAATGTATTTTCTCCTCCATCACCTGGGGATGTATGTAGGAAGGACATTAATGGGGAAAATAGAAAATACACATTTTTAGTGTAACCCTTCTTTATCTTTTTTCTTTTTTTTAAGACAGGGTCTTTATCTGTCACCCAGGCTGGAGTGTAGTGGTGCAACCAGAGCTCACTGCAGCCTTGAACTCCTGGGCTCAAGGGATCCTCCTGCCTCAGCATCCCAGGTAGTTGGGACTACAGGTGCTCACCACTGTGCCCAGCCCTATTTATAATGTAGCTCTTTTAGCAGTCTTCTAATCTGATTTTGGGGGCCAGTTAGCACTTCATATAGGGCTTCAGACTACTAGTTGCCCTATTTTATTCAAAAAAGGCAAGTAAAATCCCATGGGTTTAAAACTTGGATGTGCTACTATCAGAGAGGGCTAAAATCACTTGACTAAACCAAGAAAACCACTTTGGTCAAAGTAAACATAGCTAATTAACTCCAGAGTTTAAAGGAAATGCTTACATTTTTCCTAAGCAGTGTGATGATAGCTGGTTTTAACTTTTGATTCTAGCATATGTAACTTTAAGATTACAAATATCAAGCAATCAACTAAATTAAATTGTAGTAACTTCTCAGTTGTTGGAACTGCATTTTCTATTTATTTATTTATTTATTTATTTATTTTAAGACTGGATCTTACTCTGTCGCCCAGGCTGGAATGCAGTGGCGCAATCACAGATCACTGCCGCCTTAACCTCCTGGGCTCAAGCAAGTCAAACACCTCAGCCTCCCCAGTAGCTGGGACTACAGGTGCATGCCACCATGCCTGGCTAATTTTTTTTTTCTAGTAGAGACAAGCTCTCGCTATATTGCCCAGTCTGGTCTCAAACTGAAGCTCAAGTGATCCTCCTGCCTCAGCCTCCCAAAGTTCTGGGATTACAGGTGTGAGCTACTGCACTCAGCTTATTTTCTCTTTTTAAAAGAGCAGTTACTGGAATAATGTGAATGGTTTAGAACATGGCTTATAGGGGTCAGCTGCTTGCTGGTTTTACCTTCGATGTTTCAGCATGTCTCTGGGCCTCTTGGAGAACAGCACTGACAGAATGTGTAGCCTGGGGAATCTGTCCATTGGGCTGGGTGGTGCCTGTTTTAGGTCCTGAGAGGGAAGAAGTGAGAAAAGAAGAGTGAGCAAAGCATTTTCAACATTCTTGAAAGTCGATCTGAAAATACAAAGCAGTTTGCATCTCTAAAGCAAAGAAAGATACTTGTTGGCTAGTTCTTACAAAAAAAACAAAAATAAAAACAAAGCAAAGAGAGCAACTCACAGGCATGGCATGGTACACAAAACCTTAAGAAAAATCTGAGGTTCTGTGACAAAACTTTATATGAGATTCAGCAAAAAGATCAGGAAGGTGAGTACGGTATTTGATAAAGCCCACTGAGGAGGGTCTGGACTAACTGGGATCCTGGAGAGTAACAATATGTTTTACTTTTAAAAACTTTTCAGTAATTGAAGAATAAACCTTGAAAACATATTTTTAAAAATTCTTGATTTTTTTAAAATGTATTTATCCAGTTTCACACCACACTGAGTACAGGTACAGGAACAACTCTTCAACATTGTCCTCAACAAAAAGTACATTGGACACAGAAACAACAGACAGAAATTCGGGCAAAATGTGGGGGTCCTTGAAATAATCTGGAATTAGATGTGGTTTTTCCCCCCAAAAGTCCTGGTATGCTATTTTATTTTCCTGCCTTTTAATTTGTCCTTTTGACACAGAACTTTGACTCATGTTACCTTAAAATGTGCTGTCCAGGATTGGGTGCAAGACATCAAAACACCAGGGCATAATCTTATTCTTGGTGTGAACAGTTTTCTGGGCACTAATGGAGCCTTGGACTGATATAATGTTTGTACTTTGATAAGAAACATCTACCTACTAGCTCACTGTAAACAGGAGATCAACACCTCATCCACAGAATATCACGAAAGAAGTGGTCAAAGCTTTGTTAAAAGGCGCTTAAAATAGATACAGGGCTCCAGCCTGGGTGACAGAGCAAGACCTTACCTCCAAAAAAAAAAAAAAAAAGCAAAGAAGAAAAAGAAAACAGGCCAGGTGCAATGGTTCACGCCTGTAATCCCAGCACTTTGGGAGGCTGAGGCAGGTGCATCACGAGGTCAGGAGATCAAGACCACCCTGGCTAACACGGTGAAACCCTGTCTCTACTAAAAATACAAAAAATTAGCCAGGCATGGTGGCGGGCGCTTGTAGTCCCAGCTACTCAGGAGGCTGAGGCAGGAGAACGGTGTGAACCCAGGAGGCGGAGCTTGCAGTGAGCTGAGATCCCGCCACTGCACTCCAGCCTGGGCAACAGTGCGAGAGAGTCTCAAAAAAAAAAAAAAAAAAAAAAAAGAAAGAAAGAAAGAAAAAAAGAAAAGAAAAAGAAAACAGATGTTATAGGGGTGTGTGTGTGAGGGCTGGGCTGAGTCGGGGAGTTTGAGCCTGATCATCAGGTGAGAAACATATTCTGAATGCTGTGTACAAAGTCCTGTTTGTATAGATGTATTGGATACATTTTGAACTGGAGCACCAAGCTTTGAATATGTGTTGGAATTTCTCCTCCACTTAGTACCTGTAGATGGCTGAGCTGGTGCAGCTGCATTGACTGTCCCCAAGTTTGTCCACCGAGAGGCAAGTCCAGCCTTTGCCACAGCCCGCTGGTAGTTATCATAGAGAGTCTTCCCATACTGGGGAGAGAACACAAAGGAAGAAGGAAAGGAATCCATGTATCCCAAATTCTGCACTCAATTGCAATATACATATACAGAAGAAATAAATACTCCACGGCTACTCTGTTCACCACTTGTCTGAGTTGGTTTTTTGGATATTTCCATTAAAATTTAACAAATACACATTCAATCATTTTCCAGATTAACAGAGTCAGTTAATTTTTTCACCTACATATTAGAGAAGAGCTTTGCTCAGTTCTGATTACGTGTGTCTTTATGTAACTCGATCACAGGTTCCATCTTGCGTTTTTTAATTGCACACTAAGCTTGCAATACTCGCCATGAGTAAATATCCGGTTACTGGAGAGGTTCGTGTTTCTATCGCTCCTCCCATTTAGAAAACCCACTGGGCGAATAAACCTGATAATGTCTGTGGCTGAACCCAAGGGTGGGCCAGCTGTTTCACAGTACCAGGAAGGCTGTGCCCAGGTCAGGAAGTTGGCTGGCAAGTTCAAGACAGGGTGAAGTCCGAACGCTCTCTCACCTTGGCTATCCGTATTCCCATGACCCACTGGTTAAGGGTTCTTGTGTCATCACAGCAGAGATACTTGATATACTGGGACTCCTTCTGAATTTGGGGGTGCTAGAAAGAAGCAGTTTCGAGACAATGTATTCACTTGTCATGTATTAGGAGGTCAAAGCACCTGTCAGGAAATTTAAAAAAAATCTCTAACAATATATGTGATTTATGTGGCAAAAATTACTGGTTGTAATGTTAAGATTAGGAAGATAACTTTTAAAAATGACTAAATTTTGAAAGGATTTAAGAAATTTGTTATATGTTGGGAGGCCGAGGCGAGCAGATCACTTGAAGTCAGGAGTTCGAGATGAGCCTGGCCAACGTGGTGAAACCCCATCTCTACTGAAAATCCAAAAAGAAAAAAGAAAAAAAGAAAAAGAAATTAGCTGGGCATGGTGGCGGGTGCCTGTAGTCCCAGCTACTCGGGAGGCTGAGGGAGAATTGCTTGAACCTGGGAGGTGGAGGTTGCAGTGAGCTGAGACTGTACCACTGCACTCCAGCCTGGGTGATAGACCAAGACTCTGTCTCAAAAAAAAAAAAAAAAAGAAAGAAAGAAATTTGTTTTATGATTTATCATAAGCACATCTTTTTAAAAAAAGTTTTTAGAGGCAGAGTTGTCCTGGCTGGAGTGGCACAATCACAGCTCACTGCAAACCTTGAACTCCTGGGCTCAAGAGATCCTCCCTCCTCAGCTTCCTGAGTAGCTAGGACTACAGGTGCACACCACCATGTCCAGCTAATTGAAAAAAACGTTGTTTTTTTTTTTGGTAGAATTGGAGTCTCACTATATTACCCAAGCTGGTCTCAAACTCCTGGCCTCAAGCAATCCTCCTGCTTCAGCCAACCAAAGTGCTGGGATTACAGGCATGAGCCACCATCCCTTGTCTGTAAACACTTCTTACTATATTATCAATAATAATTTTCATTTATGCCTTTTTAACTTTTGGAAGCTTTTCACCTCTATCTTGTCTCTATCCCCATGAGAAATCTGAGCTGCTTTTCCATTTGTCAAATAAGGGAACTTACCTGAGATAATTCTTATGTCATAGAATTAATGCCTATGAGAATTGTGGGTTTATAACTCCCAAAACCTGGTTCTAGGGTTTTTTCTGCTTCCAAAAATTCAGAGTTTTGTGATGACCTTTCCTTCTTAACTGCTATGTGCTGCCCAAGTGGGCCAGTGGCTTCCAGATGGACACCCTGGAGAAGGAATATTTCTGTCTATTACACTTAGTGCAAGTAGCACTAAGCAATGGTTCCGGTTGCTGAACAGGCCTTCCAGGAGCTCACAAAGAGAAGAAGGAAATGGGCAGGTGTGAAAGAGAAACTCCTTGCATTCCTCCTAGTCCTCATTGCTTCTGTTGTTTCTGGTTTAATTTTTATTATTTTTTAAGACAGGGTCTCACTCTGTTGCCCAGGTTGGAGTGCAGTTGTGCCATCACGGCTCACTGCAGCCTCTAACTCCTGGGCTCACGCAATCCTTCCACCTCAGCCTCCTCTGTCGCTGGGACCACAAACATGCATCCATGCTTGGCTTTTTTTTTTTTTTTTTAAAGAAACACTCTTGCTATGTTTCCCAGTCTGGTGCTGAAACCCCGGGCTCAAGTGATCCTCCCACCTTAGCCTCCCAAAGTGCTGGGATTACATGCGTGAACCACCAAGCCCAGTTAGTTTCTGTTTTATGTGTCTGTCTCTGATAGACTGTGTCTTCCATGAAGGTGGGAACTACATCTGTCTTATTCACTGCTGAAGACCCTCAGTGCTTAGCACATGGCCAGCGCATGGCAGGTATTCCAGTCCAGATGTCAGAATACTTGAAGAATCAAGAAACAAGCACAATATTTCCTGTTCAGTTAGAAATCACCGTCATCAGGCGAGGGGCCGGCAACCAAACATAGGTTCTGAGATATTAATATGGGCCATGTAAATTTTCATGGGTCATTATAAGGTTTATTATAATACATTTTATTATGTAGAAAAATAATTAACCACAAGCATCGTGTGTGTGTGTGTGTGTGTGTGTGTGTTTGTGTGTGTGTGTGGTATGGTACCACCTCTTTCTTCTTCCTCCTGTCCTCAGAGGATTCATTAATCCTGCTAGGATAATCCTCATTTGCTGGTGGTGCTGAAAGTGGAATGGAAAGCCAAGAGAGCTGGAAGCATCTATCTGCTCTTCAGTTGGCAGGAAAGGAGGGAAGCTGTCCAATTCCTCTCTTAGGGTATTGCATGGACCTCTCCACTTCTCTTTCGCTTTCCATCTTAAATCACTGACCTCCAAGGAAATGGCTATTCTCAAAGTTGTTCTAAGCAAAGGGTCTCGTGTCTTTAAACTTCAGTTGGAATCTGACTGGCAGCGTCTAGTCACTCTGCTAGACTTTCTAATGACTCAGCCAGCAAGAGCGTGTGGGATTGTAATCTTTGTCCAGAAAGGATAACAAGACCTTTATAGACTCCAAGAGCTTGACGAGAGTTTAGTAATTTTTGGTTTCACAAATGAGAAAACTGAGGCTCAGAGAGGTTACTATATATTCCTCCCTGTGACCCCACTAGAACCTGGGGGTCTCCTGACTAACCACCTAGAATTTCTGTGTTTGTATTAAGCTATTAAACCCAAATCCCAGACTTGGAAGAGACTACGGAAAAATTCAGAAATGATTTTTTAAAAATTCCTCTCTTTGGTCTTTTCAGGCAACTGAGGAAACTCTACTCATATTTTTGTCTTTAAATATGTATTCTCTATGTAGGTCACTCGGCCTCAGAAATTGCATCTCCATTGCTCGAAGAACGGTCAATTCCTATTTGCTTGGGCATAGCAAACAGGAACACAGACATTCTCTCTACCGACGGTGAGAACTTCACATCAGGCTCCTGAATGTTGCTGTAGTTTTCCAGTCTAGCCAGCAGATGACAGCAAACACTTTTGAATGGCTGCTGGGCATTTTACTGTTTTGGCGGTTCAATGCTTACTCCCTCATTCTGAATGTTAGATTTTATTTTTGCAAATGTTACTCCAATAATGATCCTCTTTGGAGGCCCTTAAAATTGGAAATATCTATCAACTCAGGTAATATGGCCCGATAGCAAAAAGGATTTGTTTTCTTAATTAACCTGAAGGTCATATTGATGAAAAATATACTAAAGCCAACACTTATTGGCTGGAACATGACAGCCCACAAATGCCTCCAGCATTCCCTTCAACAATAACATGTGCAAAGCCAAACCAATGCCCTTGTCTTTCAGCACCAGAAACACGGCTCTCTGACCTACAAACAGCATTTGTGTTCTGATTGTCATGTAAGAGAGGCAAGCATTGGTCTCTTCAGCAATTGAATGTTTATAATTGTTCTTAGAAAGCAGCTATTCCACCCACCCCCCACTCAGACATTTAAAAAGCTGACATTGTTACCTTCAAGATAATCTATTATTGTTTTTGGTAGATGTCACGTGAGAACCAAGTTTCCAGAGCAGACTAAATCTCATCGTGTTTGCAACAAAATGCACAAAGCAACTGCTTATATAGAGTTAGCCATTTAACAAGCACCCTAAACAATTTCTTAAGAATGTTATTCATTGAAATAGAGCAAAATGTAGTCACTCCCTTAAAGAAAATGACTTTTGAACATAAAACAGCCCCCTGATGATGGGGTGATAAACCTTGCTATAGGTCAGGTCTCACCAAGTTCCTTCCTTACACTATATGTGTGCTATGGATGTATACAGGAGGATTCTATGACCTCTAAGGTCTCTAGCAATCCTCAGATTTTATGGTTCTAAGATGAGCTACCTAATGGGAAAAAGCTCCTTTCTGGCTCCCTTGGTGATGCAGAAATCGTTCAGCCTTGCAGACATTATAGAGCAAGTCACTGGGCTTGTTCTCCACCGTGTCTTGAGACTTTGCCAAGGAGCTTATTGCCTAACCGAGCCTTTTGCTGAATAATCATTTGCAAAGAGGTTTCAGGAAAATGCTGGTGCAGTGTCACTGGCCAGGCTCTTTCGCAATTGATTTGATTGTTCCCGATCATAAAGAGAGAGAAGCTCTCTTGGGACATGAGAACAGCACACAGAGGTCAGGGCGATTGTGGACTGTCACTGCTTAAAGGGCACTTATAGACCCTCTGAGCTTACGAAATGAGAAAACAGGGTGAGAGAGGGTGAGCAATTTATCCAAGGCCAAAGGTAGTGAAAGAACCAAGGTCCTGTTTGTTCAATAAATATCTCTGGGTGCCAAGAAATATGCTAATTCCTAGGTACATTAAGAGGAGTAAGAGAGGCAGGGCCCCGTGGCTCACACCTGTAATCCCAGCACTTTGAGAGGCCAAGACAGGCAGATCACTTGAGGCTAGGAATTTGAGATCAGCCTAGGCAACACAGTGAAACCTTGTCTCTACAAAAAGTACAAAAATTAACCAGGTGTTGTGGCACACACCTGTAGTTCCAGCTACTAGAGATGCTGAAGTGGGAGGATAGATGGAACCAGGTGTTCGAGGCTGCGGTGAGCCATGATTGTGCCACTGTGCTCCAGACTGGGCTGGAGGAGACCCTACCTCAAACAAACAAACAAAAAAACAACAAAAAGAGGAATAAGAGAGCTCATGTGTTAATTGGGCAATGCTCCCTGGAGGTGTTTTAGGGAGAGATGTATGTAAACACCTGATGTAATCAAATCACATATGTAATGTGATTATGAAATAGTATGTTCCATACTAAAAGTTTGAAAATGGGCCAAGAGAGGGTCTTTGGAAGAAGCGACAGAATGCTGTAATATATTTGGAGAACATGGAGAAATTCTGTATGGCTGAGGTCTGGAAACCATGGAATGAAGAAGCAGAAATTAAGCTGGTGTGGAATCTGAGTAAAGACCCTTGAGTCAAACTAGAATCTAGACATGATCCCCTGGGCAGTGGGGGGCACTGGACATTTTAAAACAGCACAGTGACACAGGAAGTCACTGGGGGCTATGAGGAAGATGGATCTGGAGTGAAGAATAAGATCGAACTGAGGGAGGGCTCAATGGGAGATCTTGATGGGAAATAGAAGAACTTGCTCATAGATTAACGAGAAATGGGGACAGGAAGAAAATCAGGCATGCTTTTTCTGTTTCTAGCTTGGTAGAGTAGGTGGATGTTATGGGTTTAATTATCTCCCTCCTCCTAAAAGCTATGGTACTCACTCCTGGTACCTATGAATGTAACCTTATTTGGAAATAGGGTCATTGCCAGATGTAATAAAGTTAAGATGAAGTCATCCTGATGAAAGTGGGCTCTAAATCCAAAGAGACTGGTGTAAGCCGGGTGTGGTCGCTCACACCTGTAATCATAGCACTTTGGGAGGCCAAGGTGGGTGGATTGCTTGAGCCCAAGAGCTCAAGATCAGCTTGGGCAACATAGCTAAACCCCATCTCTGCAAAAAATACAAAAAATTAGCCAGGTGTGGTGGTGTGCACCTGTAGTCCCAGCTACTTGGGAGGCTGAGGCAGGAGGATCACTTAAGCCCAGGAAGTTGAGGCTGCCATGAGCTGTGATCATACCACCACACTCAGCCTGAGCAACAGAGTGAGACCCTGTCTCAAGAAAACAAAAAACACCAAAACCGACAAAAAACAAGCAAACAAAAACAACCACCAAAATGACACGTTCTTATAAGAAGAGAAGAAACAGACACAGACAAAGACAAAGAAAGAAGATAGTCACATGTTGAGGGAGGCAGAGATTGGCACACGCAGCTGCAAGCCAAGGAATGCCAGCACTGCTGGGAGCTGCCGGAAGCTAGAAGAGGCGTGGAGGCATGGAACAGATTTTGCCTCTGAGCCCTCAGAAGGAACACAACTCTGGTTTTGATTTTGGACTTCTGATTCCAATATCACCTTGATTTGGGACTTCTGGTCTCCTGAACTCTTCAATAAATAAATTTCTGTGAAGTTATCTAGTTACCAGCAGTTTGTTACAGCAGCTCCAGAAAACGAATAGAGTAGGTGATGGTGCCATTCATCCTTGAGGGACTGTGGAAAGCAGGGGGTGGAGGAAATGTTGAAATCAGTGTGCATGATAGAGGTACCCCTTGGACATGTGGTTACTGCACGTGTGGAGCTAGGGAAGAAGGTGAGACTGTCCACTACGGATTAGGAATTATTTGTCTCCAACACAGACAATGGTTGGAGCTGTGGCTGTGAATGTGATCTCAGCGAGAGCACGGGGAGTCTGGTGAGAACTGAATTTAGGACCCTGGAGAGCATTACAGTGTGTAGGGAAGGAGGAGGCACCAGCAGAAGCAGAGTAGGGGTCCAGTTTGAAGACCATAAAATGAGGATGCTGTCATCAATGCAAAAGATGCCATGAGGACTGGAGAAAGCCACTATTCTTTGGAAATCTTAATAATAGCAGTTTCCACAGAGGTGCAGGGAGAAGCCTGCTAGCATGCAAACTCCACAAAGCCAGAGGCCTTTGTTTTGTTTACCGATGTACCCCCAAGTCTGAATAAAGAAAATTCAAAAGATATATGTATACATTCGTAGAGAAAGGGTCTGCCTCTGTTGCCCAGGCTGGAGTGCAGTGGTGCAATCATGGCTCCCTGCAACTTCCAACGCCTGGGCTCAAGTGATTCTCCCACCCCGATCGGCCACCTGAGGAGCTGGGACCACAGATGTGCGCCACCATGCCCAGCTAATGTTTTTAAATTTTTTGTAGAGACGAGGTTTCACAATGTTGCCCAGGTTGGTCTTGAACTTCTGCTTTCAAACAATCCCCCTGCCTCGGCCTCCCAAAGTGCTGGAATTACAGGTGTAGGCCACTGTGCCTGGCTGAAAGGAATGTTGTTGAATGAATGAATTAAACTATGAGAATAAAAGTTGAGGCCGGGTGCGGTGGCTCACACCTGTAATCCCAGCACTTTGGGAGGCTGAGGCAGGTGGATCATGAGGTCAGGGGTTCGAGACCAGCCTGACCAACACGGTGAAACCCTGTCTCTACTAAAAATACAAAAATTTGCTGGGTGTGGTGGCGGGCACCTGTAATCCCAGCTACTCAGGAGGCTGAGGCAGGAGAATTGCTTGAACCTGGGAGGCGGAGGTTGCAGTGAGCTGAGATCGCGCCACTGCACTCCAGCCTGGGCGACAGAGCGAGACTCCATCTCAAAAAAAGAAAAAAAAAGTTGAGGACATGGAGGGCATCATCACTTTCTCAGGAAGTCTGAGTTAAAGAGAAGACAGAGGTCAAAGGTGCTGCTTGAAGAGGTGGGGCAGATACCACTGAGGGGAGTGAGTTAGAGCCCCCAAACCAAGGAATATTTGAAAATGTCTGTGGCCCAAGGAAAAGAGAAGAATTGTCTGCAGAGGGTTTGAAGATGCTGAAGCCAAAGGGAGTGGCTGACGATGTGGTTCCAGAGGCCACGTTGGAGATAGGAGCCTTCTTCCTCTGAGATGGAGAGTCAGGAGGTAGGAGAGTTACTGCGTGGGATAAATTTAGAAGTAAACAGGAAGTAAACTGGGACGATTCAATCCTGTTCTCCGTTTTCTTTCTTATCCTTCCTTTTTTTTTTCTTTCCTTCTTTCTTTCTTTCATTCCTTTCTTTTTTAGAGGTAGGTCTTGCTCTGTTGCCCAGGCCACAGTGCAACAGTGTGACTGTGGCTCACGGCACCCTGAAACTCCTGGCCTCAAGCAATCCTTCTGCCTCAGCCTCCTGAGTAGCTGGGACTACAGGTGTGCACCACCACACCAGGCTGATTTTTAAATATTTTGTAGAGACGGGGGTCTCCCTATGTTGCCCAGGCTGGTCTCGAACTCCTAAGGTCAAGTGATCCTCCTGCCTTGACCTCCGAAAATGCTGGGATTACACACATGGGCCACAGTGCCCAGCTAATTAAGCATTTCTTTAGAGACAGAGTCTCACTCTGTTGCCCCGGCTGGAGTGCAGTAGTGTGATCATAACTCACTGCAACCTTGAATGTGGGCTCAAGGGATCCTCCTGCCTCAGACTTCTGAGTAGTGGGAACTATAGGTGCATGCTACCACACCCTGCTGATTTAAAAAGTTTTTCTGTAGAGATGGGGTCTTGATATGTTGCTCAGGCTGGTCTCGAGCTCCTGGGCTCAAGCGATCCTTCTGCCTTGGCCTCCCAAAGTGCTGGGATTACAGGCATGAGCCACTGTGCCTGCCCTGAACCATGTTTTGAAGGACACAATGGTACAAGGGGCTTTGATCTGTATTCCATCCATCCATCCATCCATCCATCCATCCATCCATCCACCCACCCATCTGTCCATCCACCCATCCATTAATCTATCCATTCATCTGATATGTATTGAGCATTTACAATGTGTCAAATATCACTCCAAGCTCTGGAACACAATAGTGAACACAATAGAAAAAGTCCTTGCTCTCATGACATTTATATTCTACTATGGGAGAAAGCCAATAAAAATACAAAACACTAAAGTAATATAATTTTTCATTGTGAAAAATACTGTAAAGAAAAATATAGCTGAGTAAGGGGTAGGAAGCAGGTGAGCGACGGGGCGGAATTCCAGCGCTCCTTCCATGACATTCCACTACTTCCTAACGGGCCTCCATAGAAACATAACTTCTCCTGGAAGATATTTACTTCTGCCCCATTGCATCTAGCCCCAGAATGGAATGAGAAAGAATGCATGAAGGAACGGCTTCTATCCACGCACAAAAGTGCCTTTATGAGGGCTAAGGAAACTGACCGTGAGTGAGACTGGGAAGCCCCGCTGGACTGCAAAAATGAGTGAAACCGCAGTTGGACGGTAAGGGGATGGTTTCCCCTGACTATGTTGCCCCTCCCCTGAGCCACTGCGGTACCCACACATGGAAAGTCCCCCCGGACTCACACTCAGGTTTCTTACCACACTGGGTCCTTCTGTGGGAGGCTTGCTTCTGCATGGGCCTATGGAGAGCACTGTGAGTACCAAGTACCAACGGGGCTGAAACACGTGAGGCCAGCAAGGGACAAAGAGAGGGAGTGGGGCTAGCAGCAGCCAGGTGGACAAATTTGGCAGTGGCTCACCTTCCCTGCCAGATGTGATGATACACCAGATGGGCTGTTTATGCTGTGCTGTGGGAGGCATGGTCCACAGAACCTCTGGACCTGAGAGCCTGACCGGCTTTCCCACACCATCCAGTGGGCCCTCTGTGGGTCTCCCAGGGCCCATGCAGTTTGAACAGTGTATCCTCGGCAGAGTTAGTGTAGGATTCGGGTCTAACCTGGACTTAGGAGGCCCTCTAGTGCTGAAATGACATACAAAAGTCAATCTGCTCACAATTTCTGCATACGCCCACTAAAAAAGAACGGTCATAAACAAATCCAGACAGGGAAGACTGAAATAAATACCTAACTCAACAATGCAAAGACAGAGCCCAATGTCTACAAGGAGTAAGAATAGCCTAGAAAACATGGTCTCACTAAATGGACAAAAAGAGGTGCCAGCTATCTGGCAGACAAAGAATTCAAAAATAGCTGTTATAACAAAACTCAGCAAACTTCAAGAAAACACAGAGAAGCAATTCAGAAATTTATCAGAAGCATTCATCAGATAAATAGAAATAATTAAAAAAACAAACAAATCCTAGAGCTGAAAAGTATAACAAACAAAATGAAAAATGAAACAGAGGACATCAACTGCAGAATTGATCAAGCAGAATAATCAGTCAGCTTGAAGGCAGGCTATTTGAAAATACATAGTCAAAGGAGAAAAAAGGAAAAAAATGAAAAGGAATAAAGAAAAAATTACATGACCCATGGGACATCATCAAAAGAGCAAATCTACATGTAACTAACTTTAAAGAGAGAGTAAAGAATGAAAAGGGATAGAAAGCTTATTCAAATAAATAATAATAGAAAAGCTTCCAAATCAGAAGAAAGATACAAATATCCAGGCACAGGAAGGTCAAAGGTCACCAATCAGATTCAACCTAAATAAGAATACTCCAATATATATCATAATCAAATTCTCAAAGGTCAAAGACAAAGCGATGCACCTGAAAGCAGCAAGAAAAAAAAAGCAAATAACACATAAGGGAATTCTAATATGCCTGGCAGCAGACTTAGCAGAAACCTTGCAGGCCAAGAAAGAGTGGGACAATATATTCAGAGTGATGAAAGATTAAAAAAAAGATTAAAAAAAAAACCAAGAATACTGTACCCAGAAAAGCTATTCTTCAGAAATGAAGGAGATAAAGACTTTTTCAGCCAAAGAAAGCTCTCAAATAAACAATCTAATGATGCATCTCAAGGAACTAGAAAAAATAAGAACAAACTAAACCCCAAATTAGTAGGAGAAAAGAAATAATAAAGATCAGAGCACAAATAAATGAAATAGAGATTAATTTCATTCATTTGAAAAAGAAATATTAAGGCTAAAAGAGGCTAAAACACAAATATTAATAAAACAAAGAGTAAGTTTTTTGAAAAAATAAAATTGAGAAACCTTTAGCTAGTCTAAGAAAAAAAGAAAGATGACTGAAAGAAATAAAATGAAAGATGAAAAGAAAGACATTACAACTGATACTACAGAAATACAAAAGATCATAAAAACTACTATAAATAATTACACACTAGCAAAATGGAAAACCTAGGAAAACATGACTAAAATCCTAGATGCATATAACCTACCATGATTGAAACAGGAAGAAACAGAAAACCTAAAAAGACCAACAATGAGTAATGAAATTGAAGCTGTAATAAAAAGTCTCTTATCAAAGAAAAGCCCAGGACCTGATGGCTTCACTGCTGAGTTCTAGAAACATATAAAGACTAATTCTTCACAAACTATTTCAGAAAATTGAAAAGGAGGAAACTCTTCCAAACTCATTCTATGAGGCCTACATTATCCCAATTCCAAAACCAAACATGGACACAACAAAAAAGAAAACCTTCAGGCCAACATCCCTGATGAACATAGATACAAAAGTCCTCAAAAAAATACTAGCAATCCAAATTAAATAGCATATTTAAAAGACCATTCATCATGATCAAGTGGGATTCATCCCAGCAATACAAGGATAGTTTAGCATATACAAATCAATAAATGTGACACATCACATTAACAGAATAAAGATTAAAAACCAAATGCTTATTTCAACAGATGCAGAAAAAGCATTTGACAAAAATTCAGCATCTCAACAAATTAGGTATAGAAGAAACATACTTCAACGTAATAAAGTTTATATATGTTAAACCCACAGCCAACATCACCCTGAATGGGAAAAAATTAGAAGCTTTTTCCCTAAGATCTCAAACAAGATAAGGATGCCCACTTTCACTGCTACTATTCTGCATAGTACTGGAACTCTTAGCGAGACCAACTAGGCAAGAGAAAGAAAGAAAAGGCATCCAAATTGGAAAGGAGGAAGTCAAATGGTCTCTGTTTGCAGACAACATGATCTCATATGTAGAAAATCTCAAAGACTCCACCAAAAAAACTGTTAGAACTAATAAACAAATGCAGTAAAGTTTCACGATAGAAAATCGGCATACAAAAATTAGTAGCATTTCTATTCAACAGTAGCCAACTATCTGAAAATCAAGAAAGCAATCCCATTACAATACCTACACAAAAATAAAATACCTAGAAATAAATTTAACCAAGGAGGAGAAAGAGCTCTATGACGAAAACTATAAAACAGTGATAAAAGAAGGTGAAGAGGATATAAATGGAAAGATATCCCGTGTTCATAAATTGGAAGAATTAATATTGTTATAATGTCCATGCTACCAAAAGTAATTTACAGATTCAAAGCAATCCCTTGAACAATGAGAACACATGGACACAGGAAGGGGAACATCACACACCGGGGCCTGTTGTGGGGTCGGGGGAGGGGGGAGGGATAGCATTAGGAGACATACCTAATGTTAAATGACGAGTTAATGGGTGCAGCACACCAACATGGCACATGTATACATATGTAACTAACCTGCACGTTGTGCACATGTACCCTAAAACTTGAAGTATAATAATAAAAAAAAATTTTAATGTCATACTTCACACAGAAATAGAAAAAAGCAATCCTCAAATTTATGTGGAAACACAGACTCCAAATAGCCAAAGCAACCTTGAGCAAAAAGAACAAAGCTGGAGGAGTCACAAACTGATTTCAAAATATACTACAAATCTATAGCAGTGTGGTATTGGCATAAAAACAGACACATAGACCAATGGAACAAGATAGAGAGTCCAGAAATAAATCAATGCATTTAGAGCCAACTGATTTTCAACAAAGGTGTCCCCCACAAAAGAAAAAGAAGAAGAAAAACAAACCAAAAAAGTCACATTGAGGGAAAGATAGTGTCTTCAATAAACAGTGTTGGGTTAACTGGATATCTACATGCAAAGCGTGTAACTTGACCCCTATTTCTCACCATAAACAAAAATCGACCCAAAATAGATTAGTTAATATATGACCCAAAACTGGCCGGGCGCAGTGGCTCATGCCTGTAATCCCAGCACTTTGAGAGGCCGAGGTAGGCGAATCACCTGAAGTCAGGGGTTCGAGACCAGCCTGGCTAACATGGTGAAACCCCATCACTACTAAAAAATACAAAAAAATTAGCTGGGAGTGGTGGCGCGTTCCTGTAATCCCAGCTACTCGGGAGGCTGAGGCAGGAGAATTGCTTGAACCCGAGAGGCGGAGGTTGCAGTGAGCTGAGATCATGCCATTGCACTCCAGCTTGGTCAACAAGAGCGAAACTGTGTCTCAAAAAAACAAAACAAAACAAAGCAAAACAAACAAACAAACCAACAAAAAGAAAGACCCAAAACGGTGAATCTGCCTAGCAAGGAAAACAATCAACAGAGTAAAGAGACAACCTACAGAATGAGAAAAAATATTTGCAAATTATACATTTGACTAAGGGTTAATAAGAAGAATATATAAGGAACTCATATAACTCACTAGCAAAAAACCCAAATAATCCAATTTTTAAAAAATGGACAAAAGACGTGAATAGATATTTCACCACAGAAGACATACACAGGGCCAATAGGAATTTAAAAAATGCTTAACATCACTAACCACCAAGGAAATGCAAATCAAAACTACAATGAGATTTTGCATCATCCCAATTAGAATGGCTATGATAAAAGGACAAAAAATAGCAAATGCTGACAAGGATGTGGAAAAACAAGAACTCTTATGCACCATTGGCAGAAATGTAAATTAGTCTAGCCATTACAGAAAACAGTATGGAGGTGCCTCAAAAAACTGAAAATACATCTACCATATGATCCAGTATTTCCACTGTTGGGTATATATACAAAGGAAATGAAATCAATATGTCAAAGAGACACCTGCCCTCTCATGTTTATTGCAGCACTGTTCACAATAGCTAAAATATAGAATCAACCTAAATGCCCATCAGTGGATGAATAGGTAAAGAAAATACAAAAATATTTAGATTCCACTCATATGTGGAATCTAAAAGAAAATGATTTCATAGGAGTTGAGAGTAGAATAGTGGTTACTAGAGACCGGAGAGAATGGGGAGAGAGGCTTGTCAATGAGTACAGTGTTATAGTTAGGAAGAATAAGTTCTGGTACACTACTGCAAGGTAGGGTGACTATAGCTAACAATAATGCATTGTATATTTCAAACAGCTAGAAGAGAGGATTTTATGATAAACGTTTGTGCTAATTACCATGATTTGATGATTACACAATGTTTACATATATCAAAACATCACATTGTGTGTCATAATGTACAATTACTATGGGTTAATTAAAAAATAAATGAATAAATACAAAGGCAAAAAATAAAAGCAAATTTCTGGGCCCAATCCCAGACTTACTAAATCAAAAACCCTGGGGGCCTAGCAATGTGTGTCTTAACAATCTAAATGGTTCTGATGCATACTAAAGTTTGAGAACCACTGGTTAATAAATAGATTTATTTAATACCAGAGGGCAATAATAACTACCACTTACTAAGTGCTGATATGTTTCTAGACATTGCACTAATGATTTTGTAGGCATATCATATTTAATTATCAAAAGAAGGGCTGGACGCTCTCATCTCTTGAAGATGTGCAGTGAGGCTTAGCATCTTATTAGTGACCCAGTTACTAGGTGACAGGGCCAGGACTCAGACGCCAATCTTTCTGACAGGACCTTTCATGAACAGCCATAGTCATCAAGCTCATATTGAAGAATAAACTTTAGCCTGGCCTTATCAGGCCATGAAATCATGCAATCTTTTTTTTTTTTCTTTGAGACAAAGTCTCACTCCGTCGCCCAGGCTGGAGTGCAGTGGCGTGATCTTGGCTCACTGCAACCTCCACCTCCCGGGGTTCAAGCGATTCTCGTACCTCAGCCTCCTGAGTAGCTAGGATTACAGGCGCGTGCCACCACGCCCAGCTAATTTTTGTGGTTTTTTTTTGTTTGTTTGTTTGTTTTTTTTTTGAGACGGAGTCTCGCTCTGTCGCCCAGGCTGGAGTGCAGTGGCGCGATCTCGGCTCACTGCAAGCTCCGCCTCCCGGGTTCACGCCATTCTCCTGCCTCAGCCTCTCGAGTAGCTGGGACTACAGGCGCCCGCTACCACGCCCGGCTAATTTTTTGTATTTTTAGTAGAGACGGGGTTTCACCGTGTTAGCCAGGATGGTCTCGATCTCCTGACCTCGTGATCCGCCCGCCTCGGCCTCCCAAAGTGCTGGGATTACAGGCGTGAGCCACCGCGCCCGGCCTAATTTTTGTATTTTTAGTACAGATGGAGTTTCACCATTTTGGCCAGGGTGGTCTCAAACTTCTGACCTCAGGTGATCCATCCGCCTTGGCCTCCCAAAGTGCTGGGATTACAAGCACGTGCCACCGCACCTGGCCTAAGTCTGTTAACATGCCTCCCTGTATCCTTAATCCCTCTTGCAATCTACACACTCATTCTTTGCATTTTGGAAATTGGCTCACCCTAATAAAGAATAGCAAGAGTTTTTATTTTTTTAAAACAGCAGACAAAAAGGGAAATAAGTGACCACAATGTTCATAAACAAATTAGGTTCTCCAAACCTCAACAGTTATCCTTTTACTCAGCAAATTAATAAGAATTCTCAATATTTTGGGAGGGAACTGAGAAGCATGCTTAAGAACAAAATGAGCAGGGTGATTGCACATGAGGAAATTGGCTTTAGAACAGAACAGATCATCATCCTGAGAGAAAAGGAAATACACATTCTGCAAGGGTTGCTCATGACTCTTGCTCCCAGATCCATCAGTCCTGCTGGTTTCTCCACCTCTGAGCCCCCTCTCTCCTTTGGGGAGATCCTCAACTCTCTCTTGTAGACCTAGACCTTGGATAGCAGGAAGTTTTAGAAATTCTGGTTCAATACTCTGGGACTTAGGATTTCTATTCTTGGTGTAATCTCAGGATAACCTCATGTTCTAGGTCAGACCGTTCAAGTCCTGCCAATTGTAGGTCCTAGTCCCAAACTTATGTGTCAGTTTGAGAAACTGAGTCCCTCCCCTGTTCACTGTGTCTAAATCCCCATGCTGGGAACCTCTTGTCAGAGACCTTGTCTTTTTCTTGACAGACACCCCTGCTCTGGCTTCTGGACCCCAGCCCTGGGGTTTGGCTCCTGCTTCCTTCTGCTAGACTTTCATCCTGTCTGCCCACTCTGAAGGCCATTTAATCACCAGCTAAGCCATGAGTACTGATGGTTAGAGTGAGTTCTAACACTCAGTAGAAAACTTGACCATGCTTAGGAAAAATGAAGATTCCTAGGCTCCATCCTTAAACCCTAACCCTAACCCTAGGTTCCATCATTATTTTGATTTAGTGGGCCTAGGGCCTGGGAACCTGCATTTGTAAAGAGTCTCCAGTGACTGATTCAGCCAGTTTACTGACCAGTGTTTCAGAAAATTTCTCCAAAACCTTCTCCTGATTTAAGAAGTGTGGACAAGTCTTTGGCAATAAAGTGTGTTGGAATGCTCCATTTTGGTAATTTATCAGGGTCTTAGGATTCCAGACATGGGAAGATGTGACTCAAGGGCAGGTGGCATTGTGGGAGGGACAGGGTAGTGGGCGATGCTTTGTGTCCAGATCTCTGGGGGCCTGAGAAACTGTCTGAGAGAACGGCCTCTGAGCCGCACTGCCTGAGTTCTCATTCTGACTTGGCCACTTCCTGGCTGGGGAGTCTCTCTGCACACATACCACATCTACAAAGAAAATGCCATATAAGTGCTTGCCATTATTCTTATTTTTCCTATATCAGGAACAGACAAGGAGGGGCGAGGAGCAGAATCAGGCAGGGCATGCTCCCCATCTCTCTTCCTTCGGAACAAACAGACCTCCCTCACCTCAGGGCTTTCCAATTCCTGTTCTTATTCCTGGAGGGCTCGTACTGCAGATAATTCTTGCTCCCTCACCTCATTCACATCTTTTGTCAAATGTCACTTCCTAGAGAGCCTCTCTGTGAACACCCCATCCAAAGGAGCCCTGGCCCCAGCCCTACCTCATATTGCTCCTTGTTACTACTTGACATCACATTGCATATTTTTTTGTTCTTTGCCATTTTCCTCATGTTGAATGTAAACTCCATGAGGACAGGGATTGTTGTATTTTTTTAATTGCCGCATTCCCACCACTATTCCAGGTGATGGGAATGCGGCAGTGAAAATAATAATGATAATAATAATCCTTGTCACTCAACAATAGTTGTCATTCAACACATTTTTTTTCTTTTTCTTTTCTTTTTTTTTTTTTGAGACAGAGTCTCTCTCTGTCGCCCAGGCTGGAGTGCAGTGGTGCGATCTCGGCTCACTGCAACCTCCGCCTCCCGGGTTCAAGTGATTCTCCTGCCTCAAGCCCCCCAAGTAGCGGGACTAAAGGCGTGCACCACCACGCCCAGCTACTGTTTGTATTTTTAGCAGAGACAGGGTTTCACCATGTTGGCCAGTACGGTCTAGAGTCCTTGGCCTCAAGTGACCTGCCTGCCTCAGCCTCCCACAGTGTTGGGACTACAGGTGTGAGCCACCGTGCCCGGCCGTCATTCAACAAACATTAAATGACTGAATGAATGAGTGAGTGAACGGATCCAGCCTTCTCCCGGCCTTCAGTGCTTTCACAGTCATTATTCTGGGGCTCTTCTGTCTAGGGCAGGTTTCTTGACAGCAGCACTGTTGACATTGGGGGCCAGAGAAGTCTTTGGTGTGGGGGTTTTCTTGTGCACTGCAAGGTATTTAGCAGCATACCTGGCCTACTAGATGTCAGTAGTCCCTGCTCCATGCCCCAAGCTATGACAATCAAAAATGTTTTTAGGGTTCGCCAAATGACCCTTGGAGGCAAAATGCCTGGTTGAGAACCACTGGGGGAGTATCAGGCTGACTGAGCTAGTATAGTGGTTTTTATTATTAATATTATCTGTAAATAATTAAAAGTGGATGCTTAGGAATTAAAAAAAAAAGGCTAGGACATCTGAATGAAAGTCACTGAATATCCTGAGTCCTTGATAAAGCCAAGAATTTCAACCAATTATTATTTGATGATTATAATAAGTGATTGTAATTGTTCAGGGAGTCAAAATTACTAAATATGATTGAATTCACCTGGTTATTGCATTTGACTAAAAAGAAACGCAGACAAAAACTTACCATAGTCCTTAATCCAGAGTTCTGCAGGCATACAGAAAGACCCGTAACGCATCACATGTGTGGTTGTAATAACCCATCTCCTGATCAGACTGATCTGAGATTCTAATTTTAAAAAATGTAAATCGGCCAGGAGTGGTGGCTGATGCCTGCAACCCCAGCACTTTGGGATGCCAAGGTAGGTGGATTGCCTGAGCCCAGGAGTTTGAGACCAGCCTGGGTAATATGGTAAAGCCCTATCTTAACTAAAAATACAAAAATTAGCTGGTGTGGTGGTGCACACCTCTAGTCCCAGATACTTGAGAGGCTAAGGCAGGAGGATTGCTTGAGCCTGGGGGGCTGAGGCTGCAGTGGGCTATGATTGAGCCACTGCACTCCACCCTGGGTGACAGAGTGAGACTCGGTCTCAAAAAAATGTAAACCATATCTAACATTTGATAATACCTATTGCCTTTTGACAATATACACCTGAAGTTTCATGACCCAGTAATTAAAACAACTTTTTTTTGGCTATTTTCTATAAGTTGTCTAGGAAATCTTGCAAGTTTCTAATTTCTAAAATCTTCTTATGGTGGAATGAGCCCAATAAGAACTGAAAACTTTTTTTAGTCTTATCGATAACATTATAAATTAATTTGTTTAAAATGTGGAACTTTCATTTTCAGAAGTGAAGAAATCCCCAGACAGAGTTACCTTAAAGTTTTAGGTTCAGATAGGAGGCTTTGGGGAAAATGTCCCAAATTGATAGAAATGTTTCCCTCATTCCTATTTTGGTTAAACAATTTCTTATTGTTACACATATGGCTAACTATAATTTAACATTTTCTTCCTTGAAAAAAAATTAACTCAAATTGCTTATAAATCTAAATGAATGACTTCTTATAACATACCTTTAAAACAAAGCAATAGTCAGTGGGCGCTTTATATTTCATTTTATGCTGAGTCCCATAGTAAATGTTGACATTTTCAAACTGTATAAAACACGCCAGATCTCGAGATGTCTGAAAGACAGGGAAAAAAATAAAACTTCAACTGAGATGACAGTTAACAATTTTCCAGAGTTGTCCTTCATAGCACAACTAAGGATTATATTTTAGTAAAGAAAATATTGACTTTTAGGTAATTTATATAAACATCTGCCATGTATAGGTTTTCTCAAAGGCAAGTCTGAAAGGTTGGAATGGAAACTGATATGGCCAAGTTGGGGGACAATTTAGTAAGATCTATACATAAATCTTTCCCAATATGAAAGATATTGAATGTTCCCAACACAAAGAAATGATAAATGTTTGAGATGATGGATGTGCTAATTACCTTGATCTGATCACCATACATTATATGTATCAAAACATCACTATGTACGTTATGCATATGTACAATTATTATTTGTCAATCAAAAAATAAAATTAATTTTTTAAAAAGAGTGCAGCCATGAAAATCGGTGCCACTGACCCAGAAACGGAGTGAAAGATTATACTGCTGTTCTAATGCCTGTCTGGGGACTCCCAGAGTCAGGATGGACTGTCCTTGAGATGTCATTATTGATGCAGTCGAGACAAGGTGACCGCTTAGCCAGAAATTTCATTTTGACTTTTGCCATTCTAAGTCCGTGATGGATTTTGCGATTGAGCATTAAAAAAAAAAAAAAGTCCCCCTCAGGACGAAAAATGAGAGATAAACTTATGCTCAGTAAATCAGCACACACTTCATGCACTTCCTCCTGAGAAAAAGGATTTCTTTCACAAGTTCTCTTTACTGCAGGCAGTGTTGCCATGGAAACAGAGACCTCTCCTCCACGGATAACAGGCACTGTGAAGACTGCAGCCTGTAATCTACATATTTGGTTACACTTCAATTACAAATGTGTTCCATTAGTTTTTTGTTTCGCTTTCTATATTTCTTTACTAGTTAGTGAATAAAGAATAGATGGCAGAACTATTTACACCTTAGTGCACAATTATTTCTTTACATATGCTTGTATTCTTTTCTTACAAGATATTTTCTTCTGGATGTTCAAAGTTTACATTTTTAAGTTACAAACGAATGCATATTAGTCACATTTAAAATATATATATATATAAATAATAAAATGCACATCTTCCTCCACCACCCCTTTTTCTTATTTTGTTCTTTTCTCCAAAGGTACCATAGTTAATAGTTTGGTAGTATTCTATTCTGTTCTATCCCATGACGTTGCCCAGGCTGGTCTTGAATTCCTGAGCTCAAGCGATCCGCCTTCCTTGGCCTTCCAAACTGTTGGGATTAGAGGAGTGAGCCACCGCCCCTCGCCTTCTTTTTCTTAACATTGCATCTAGGAGTCTTTCTACATCAAGACATGAATTAATATATGACATTCATTTTATGGCTGCAGAGAATTCTACGGTACAGGTGTAACGATTTATTTAACTATTCTACTACAGATGATTAGAAGTTATTTCAATATTTAGCTATTACAAAAAATACTGTGCATGTGAGCTTATATTTTTGTGAGATAGATTCGTCAAGCATGGAGTTGCCATTTGAAAGGATTTTTACTCCCTGTTACATGTACATAGATTTTGCTAAATTGTCCCCCAGTTTGGCCGTATGAGTTTCTATTCCAAGCTCCCAGGCGTGAGTGTCTCTTTTTCTTACCCACTTCCACCAAAATTTGGATATTATCTATATTGTTTATTTTATCAATCTCATGCTTAATTTTCATTTCCCTGATCAGTAATGAGACGGAGCAACTTTTAGTTATGCGGTGGTTACCGGTACTTCTTTTTCTGTAAATTTTCCCTTTAAAAGCTTTGCCATTTTTCTGTATGTTTATCTTTTTCTTATTGATTTCTTGAAGTCTTTATATTTTATGGATATTCATACTTGTTTATACATGTTGCAAATGTACTCTCTCACTGTAGTCAGTCTTTCACTTCTTGTTTGTTATCTTTGGCCATAAGGTATTAAAAATAACTTTATCAGGTCAAATCTGGCCATTTTTCTCCGTTATAATTTTGAGTTTTTATTCTTGCTTAGGAAACCTTTCTCCAGCTCAAAATTATAAAAACATTAACCTATATTTTCTTTTTTTTCTCCCTTTCTTCCTTCCTTCCTTCCCTCCCTTCCTCCCTTTCTTCCTTTCTTCCTTTCTTCCTTCCTTCACTCTCTCTCTTTCTTTCCTTCTTTTTTTTTTTTTCAGGATCTCATATTGTCACTTCAGCTGGAGTGCAGTGGCACGAACATGGCTCACTGAAGTCTTGACCTCCCGGGCTCAAATGATCCTCCCGGATCAGCCTCCCAAGTAGCTGGGACTACAGGCATGTGCCACCATCCCCACTAATTTTTTTATTCCTTTTGTACAGACAGGGTCTCCCTATGTTTCTCAGGCTGGTCTTGAACTCTTGGGCTCAAGCTATCCTCCCACCTGGTCCTCCCAGAGTTCTGGAATTAGAGGCATGAGCCACCGCACCCAGCCAGCCTCTGTTTTCTTCTAGGATTTTATACTATTTTTCTCTAAAGATATTTTAATCAATCAAGAATTTAGTTTGGTACATGGAATGAGGTAGGAAATTATATTTCTAAATGGATATACAGTTATTTCAGTTCTATTTGTTGAATACCACATTCTTTCCCCACTGCTGTGATATAAATTCCAACTTTAACTTCT
Organism: Homo sapiens; assembly: GCF_000001405.40. Classification (NCBI taxonomy): domain Eukaryota; kingdom Metazoa; phylum Chordata; class Mammalia; order Primates; family Hominidae; genus Homo; species Homo sapiens. The sequence goes on along the minus strand of NC_000010.11, from coordinate 26,538,936 downwards.
CTGATATTAGACGGTTGTCTGTCGACCTGTTTGTCTCTAGCTGTGCTGTTTTTATCTAATGTTTTGGCACAGCAGGAGATCTACCTTGATGTTCTTCACAATTTTGGGAAGGTCTATTTTGGAACAGTGTCTTTTTTCCATGAAATCAGTCTGTGAATTTCAAGTAAATAAAATCCTACTGATATTTTTATTAAAATTATATTAAATTTATAGAAAACTGGGAAGAATTAATAACTTTTCTTTTAGCAACATGGTACCTTTCTTTTCTTTATCTTCTACTTTTTTTTTTTTTTTTGAGATGGAATCTCACTTTGTCGCCCCAGGCTGGAGTGCAGTGGCATGATCTTGGCTCACTGCAACCTCCGCCTCCTGGGTTCAAGCAATTCTTCTGCCTCAGCCTCCCGAGTAGCTGGGATTACAGGCGCCCGCCACCACGCCTGGCTAATTTTTGCATTTTTAGTAGAGATGGGGTTTCACCATGTTGGACAGGCTGGTCTCAAACTCCTGACCTCGTGATTCGCCCGCCTCGGCCTCCCAAAGTGCTGGGATTACAGGCATGAGCCACCGCACCTGGCCTGCAACATGGTACCTTTCTATTGATTCAGTTCTACTTCATTTCTTTTAATACATTTTATATTTTATGCCATATGAATCTGGAACATTTCTTGCTGAGTTTATTGTTAGGTATTTTGCATTTTCTGTTTCTAGTCTGCATGGATTCTTTTGCATTATGGTTTGCATTATATATATTGTTTGTGTAAAGAAAAACTTTCTTAGTTAATACATTTATTTGGTTCTAACAGTTTTTCAGTTGAGTGTCTCATATTGCTGGATAGACAACACTGTGAAAAATCAGTCTTTGCCTCTTCTTTTCTATTGGTTATACTTATTATTCTTTTCTTTAATATACTAGTTAGTTCCTCAACCCCGTGTTAATGGTAACAGTGAGAGAAGGTATTCTTGTCCAACTCTACTGTAAACACTTTTTTTTTTTTTTTTTTTTGAGACCTAGTCTTGCTCTTTCACCCAGGCTGGAGTGCAGCGGCATGATCTCAGGCCACTGCAACCTCCACCTCCCAAGTTCAAGTGATTCCCGTGCCTCACCCTCCCCAGCTACTGGGATTACAAGTGTGCACCACCACACCCAGCTAATTTTTGTATTTTTAGTAGAGGTAGCGTTTCACCATGTTGGCCAGGCTGGTCTAGAACTCCTGGTCTCAAGTGATTCACCTTGCCTCAGCCTCCCAAAGTGCTGGGATTACAGGCATGAACCACCACACCCAGCCAAATGTAAACACTTTTAATTCTCATCACAGAGTATATTGTTTGTTATATGTTTATTTATATGCACCGTTTATATTCAAATGCCTAAGACATAAACATTTCGAAAACAAATTATTTGTGGGTCAGTTGTGAGGTGCCCAGTGTGGGACTGGAATGAGATGGCAGAGATGGGAAAGCATCAGATCTAAGGGCAGGAAAAGAGTGGAAGAGGCTAAGGAGAACAGTAGCTGTCCTGGACCAAGAGTTAGCCATAATGCCCCTCCTGTCTTCCGATAGAGACAAGAGTCTCCTTACTGGAGGTAGCAGACCTGGATGTTCACCATAATTTCATCGGCTTGGAAGTGTGGGTTAAGCTTTATCAGAGGTAAATTCATGCATTGCAATGCATGAATATACCATTGGTGGTGCCCTGCATTTGGAAGGGAAGGCAAAATGCTTCCGCGTACCCAAGATACAGATTAGACATGTATTAATGGTGAACAAAAGACGGAAAGGTCCTAACCCTCTAAGAAAGGTCTTAGAGAGAGCTGATGGTCAGAATAAGAGTTAAAATTACATTTCAAGGAATAATTTATTACATACTTATAAATTTGAGGCAATAATCCTGAATCACCAAGTAAAAGTTAAATGTTGTCTAAAATACCCTGTTAAATTAGGAAGGGAAATTCAGAGTACACCTCAGAGAATGATTTTAAAATATTCAGAGTCTAAGGGCTAAAATCTCAAGGAAAATCTAGTCAAGAGCTGGGTGCGGTGACTCATGCCTGTAATCCCAGCACTTTGGAAGGCTGAGTGAGGCGGGCAGATTGCTTGAGCTCAGGAGTTCAAGACCAGCCTAAGCAACATGGTGAAACCCCGTCTCTACAAAAAATATGAAACATCAGCTGGGCATGGTGGCATGCACCTGTAGTCCCAGCTACTTGGCGGGGGGTGGGGGGTGGGCTGAGGTGGGAGGATGGCTTGAGCCTGGGAGGTGGAGGTTGCAGTTAGTCCAGATCATGCCACTGTACCCCAGCCTGTGGATTAGAGTGAGACTATCTCAAAAGAAAAAAAAAAAAAGAAAGAAAATCTTATCAAGATTTCCAATACCTCTATGATTCCAGATAAAAGAAATTTAACTATAATGACAATAGAACAACAGGGGTAAAAAGTCATTGGAAATAGACGGGTAAAGTAACAAAATAATCTCTAGAAAAGTGCTTTTGCCATCATTTTTGAAACCTGACTTTAAAATAGATAAAATACTTTTACCTTCAAGAGAGCTACGGGAAAACTCAAAAAGATTTCAATAATACTGTCCTATTTGTATACATGTTGCAGGATTATGGAATCTGCAGCAACAGAGAATGTATTTAACTTGCCAACTAAGGATTTCTTTAGTTTCATTCTCATGAAATGCTTTATTGCTAAGTGCTTTTTTTTTTTTTTTTCTGACCTTAGTCTTTCCTTTGGGTACATAATAAATTCCAGAAGCCCGTAAAAGAAAATAGCGCCTTTTCCAGGATTTCTTTCCATCTTCTTTCAAATAAAGAGCTCCTTCCAGTTCTGGTACAATGATAGATGTTCCACAGAAACTTTCCTGAAAGTGAGATTCCGACGACATAAGACACACACGAAAGATAAAGCACGCATTTTTATTCACATTTAAAAACTTACAAATTAGCTTTTAAACTAAAAGTCAATTTTGTGTACAACTCTGATCGAATGCATATGTTTATATTATATGCTATTTGCCAGAAGAGAGGAAGAATAACACATCGATCAAGAATCCTGGCTCCTGAGTTAGACCTCAAGGCCTCTTCACCACTTAACTCTGTGACCGTGGGCCATTAAACCTCAGTCCACTTACTTGTTAAAATGGAATAATAATAGCCCAACTTCATAAGGTAGGTTGTCAGTACAGTCTCGGCATATTGTAAAAGTAAGCCTTTAATAAAAGCAATTAATGTTATTATAAAATGGAAGACAGAATAATTATTACTTTCCTGATAAGTAAAAAAGTTACCATTTCATTGCTGGTAAATAGAACAATTATTATATATAATTCTACACATAAAATTGGGGAGAATAGTTAATGGGTACAAAAAAATAGAAAGAATGAATAAGACCTACTATTTGAAAGCAAAGCAGGGTGACTATAGTCAATAATAACTTAATCGTACATTTAAAAATAACTAAAAGAGTGTAATTGGATTGTTTGTAATACAAAGGACAAATGCTTGAGAGGATGGATACCCAATTCTCCCTGATGCGACTAGGTCACATTGCATGCCCATATCAAAATATATCATGTACCCTATAAATGTATACATACTATGTACCCACAAAAAGTAAAAATAAAAAGAATAAAAATAAATAAGTTAATATTTTATTATTGGGATAGTTTTCTTTTCAAAGAAGGAAGAAGGCAGTTATAAATACATCAGTATCAGAAAAGAATAACAAAGCACATCTTCTAGTTGTAGATTTTTAAATCTCAAAACTTGCATAGGATTATAGAATTCTTAATAAATTTTGTTTTAAAAATCAATAGAATAAAATTATATATTATTCTATTTTACAATTCAAATAGTCAAACTTATTTTTTGCTTTCTTTTTATAACTCTCAACATCCTCTCATTTAGTTCCATAAATGCAAAATAAACTGGATTTTGCATCCTCCAAGTACATTTTTATGTAGTAGAGCTGGAAAATATTTCTGTTTACACTCCCCAATTTCTCCCCAAATTTGGCTAGTATTAGTCATCCTGTTAATAATCTCTTAAATTCAGAGTTTTGACCCCAATTAGACAGCAGGATAACGATTGTTCATAGCATAGCATGCTTTGAATTTTCTTTTACATCCAGCTGTAAAACATCGCTGAATTCCTGGAACAAGGACTATCCTGTTGGGCCTCCCTGGGAAATGCTCACTGTGCTCATGCTCCCAGGCACCAGAACCTGCAACACCTGAGCTCAGCATCTGGGGGGTGGCAGCTGGTTCTGGTAGCTGCTTTATTTGGCACCGGGCTGTGAAAAGCAGGCAGGGAAAAGACATGCGCAAGGCCTGGGCGGAACCTTAATGAACGAGAGAGGGCGCTCTTCAGCATGAGCTAATTGGCTCCAGCATGAGCCAATTGGCTCCAGGTGGGAACCGGATGCCGAGGGCATCACCAGGTCTTCTGATTTTTCAAGGGAGGTCCAAAATTTACTAACTCAGGAAATTTACTAACTCAGGAAAAGGTCCATGGATTGTCTCAGGGAAATACAACCTGGGCAGTTCTAGCATGACCATTTGTGATTTGAGATCTGGCACTCATTTCAACTGCGTTATGTGCTGCGAACAGATCCTCGATTTTTTTTTTTTTTTTTTTTTTTTGAGACTGGATCTTGCTTTGTTGCCCAGGCTGGCCTTGAGCTCCTGGACTCAAGTGATCCTCCCACCTCAGCTTCCTGAGTAGCTGGGATTACAGGTGTGTGCCCCCATGCGAGGCTCAGAGCCTTGATTTTTAACATAGATACTATGTGAAAACTCATTAGAGGTTTCCAAAAAATCAATTGTCAAATGAACTTCTGGAACACGCCCCAGTAGTGGTCATCATAGACATCTGTATGGTAATCAACACAGTGCTTTCCCCATCTCCCTGAATCTCTGTGATAATTCAATACAATTCGGAATCTGTCAGGTTCTCGGGGGGGCGGGGACTGTCCCATGAGCACATGAAGAGTGCTAGGCAGAGCCGCCTCCTGTAACGGGTCCCTGACTCCAAATCTCACACTTCCTACCACGTCTAAAATGTTGAGAGAGCATCTTAGAGGTCCCTTTTAAAAAAGATTTGGAAATTTTTACGTCTGACTTCCGTGGAGCACTTAAGTAATGGAAACTTGGAATGCTAGAAGTTTTTAAAAGTCAAGAATTACAAATCCAGCTTCATTTATCTAAAGCCACATGTTGTAACAAATGACTCAAAAAAGAAAAACAGTTGAATTATCTAAATAGCTATAATTTAGAAATAATTTGATTTTAACACCCCAACTTAAAATTTCAGTGTATGTCTTTAGATTTTTCCATTGTTCTCGGAAGCAAATGACTTAAAAATAGAGCAAACGTCCTTCTCTTTTCTTCCACTCTGCAAAATTAACCTTACCTCAAGTAAGGATTCCTTGTTCTTAGCATTCATTTTCTCATTAGTTTCCTTGCTTTCTTTTTTTCCTCTGTTATCCAAGTAGAAATTCTAAATAAAATGTTAAAAGATCAGATCAGTAAGTGTTCATTACCGTACTAGACTCTGCAAGGAACTCACAGTCTTGCTGGAAAGAAGATGTTAAGTGTGTGAAACAAACAGGGAACCAGAGCATATGATATCAGTCAACCATCAGAGCCTTCCCAAATGCTGATACCACATTGCCAAGGCAGGAGTGAAACCTCTTCATCCTCCCATAGTGTACACAATCAATGAAAACACAGAAGATAGAAAACAGTAGCGAAAAATACATCATTTAATTGTTGAAGTCCATGCATGGACCATGCATGTTAAATGCTGGAAGCTGGAAGTCCCCAAGGCACTGGCAAGAGCTGGAGGCTGGAGTGAAGGTCAAGCTCATGTCCTATGCTCAAGAGGGGAACTGCTCCGGCAGGCAGATGCCACATGGGAGCTCAAGGCCTTGTAGGCTGGCGGGATTCTGGCTTATCAAGAGAATCCAGAAATGTAGATGTTTGCAAATGTTAGCGGCCTCTTTTATTTTTTAAAAGAACTGCCTGGGTCAATCACAACACAAGGTTTACTATTTAGCAACTTCCAAGGACAGAAAGAAGCAGAAAGGGCATTTCTGGAAAGAAAACCAGCCTAAACAAAGACAGGGAGGACTATGATCTAAGCACTCACAGTCTGGGTGTGGCTCATGCCCATAATCCCACCACTCTGGGAGGCTGAGGCAGGAGGATTGTTTGAACCCTGGAGTCTGAGACCAGCCTGGGCAACATAGTAGGACCCTGTCTCTACTAAAAATAATAATGAAAAAATTAGCTAGGCATGGCGGCATGCATGCTTGTAGTCTCATCTACTTGAGAGGCTGAGGCTAGAGGACTGCTTGAGCCCAGGAGTTTGAGGCTGCAGTAAGCTATGATCACTCCACTGCACTCCAGCCTGGGCAACAGAGTGAGACCTTGTCTCAAAAAATAAAATAAAATAAAAAAATAAAGAAATAAAAGAACTCACAAGTGGACTCATGGTCTCTAAGCATGGTTTGTATTAATTTCTGGATCATACTTTGTTAATACTGAGTATCAACAGGATGGCTAAAAATAAAGGGTTCCAAAAAATCACGAGCACTCAAGGACTAATTTTACACAATAAGTGCAGCTGAGGTATCCATATGCACCGTGAATATAATGAGTGACCACTGTCATAGAGTGCTGAGGATTTTATGTAAAAACACGGAGTTTTACAAAATAATACATAACAAATGTATTAAAGGCAGAAAATGTATCTCAGAAGCACTGTGACTAAATTAAGGACCCTACTGAATCTAGGCACAAGTGTTTACACCATAGGAGTGTTTCTCCAAGTATAATCCTCAGACCACCTTGAAACTTGATACAATGCATGTTCCTGGGCTACACTGGAATCTCTGGGATGAGGCCTGGAAATCTGCATTCCAATATGCTTTCCAGATGATTTTTATGCACACTGAAGTTTGGGTTTTTCTTATCGTTGGCTTTTCTTTAGAGACAAGGTCTTGCTCTGTTACCCAAGCTGGAGTGCAGTCACATGATCATAGCTCACTGCAGCCTTGAACTCCTGGGCTCAAGCAATCTCCCCTGCTCAGCCTTCTAAATAGCTGGGACTATAGGCATGTGCACCATGCCTGGTCATGCTGAAGTTTGAGAATCAAGTGTACTGGACAGAAAGGAAAAAAACTGCAGACAAATAAAATGTAGAAGTTTAAAATATCTCCTTGAAATACAATGCATAAAAAAGGTGATTTGCTAACTTTTTTTTTTTTTGAGACGGGGTCTCGCTCTGTCACCCAGGCTGGAGTCCAGTGGCGCCATCTCGGTTCACTGCAAGCTCCGCCTCTCAGGTTCATGCCATTCTCCTGCCTCAGCCTCCCGAGTAGCTGGGACTACAGGCGCCCGCCATCGCGCCCGGCTAATTTTTTGTATTTTTAGTAGAGATGGGGTTTCACCATGTTAGCCAGGATGGTCTCGATCTCCTGACCTCGTGATCCGCCTGCCTCGGACTCCCAAAGTGCTGGGATTACAGGCATGAGCCACCGCGCCTGGCTGCTAACTTAAATAGAGGAAATAAGTCAAGCACAATTTTTTTTGTTTTTTTGAGACAGCGTCTTGCTCTGTCACCCAGGCTGGAGTGCTGTGGTGCAATCTTGGCTCACTGAAACCTCTGCCTCCTGGGTTCAAGGGATTCTCCTTCCTCATCCTCCCAAGTAGCTGGGATTACAGGTGTGCACCACCATGCCCAGCTAACTTTTTGTATTTTTAGTAGAAATGGGGTTTTTTAATGTTGGCCAGGCTGGTCTCAAACTGCCCCCCTCAGCCTCCCAAAGTGCTAGGATTACAGGCATAAACCACCACGCCTGGCCAAGTACAATTCTTTTGGTAATTCTTATTGAAAAGAAGTTTATTTTAATATGTTTTTCCAAGACTTTTAAACTTTTATTTGTTATTTGAAAGGATGTTATATTGTGAATTAGTGCAATTACAATATAGAATTCAGAAAACTATTTAAATCTTAAATGTTTTGCTTGAAGACCACGACTAGCCATATTAGGTAACATATTCTACCTGCTGGAAACCTATGCTAAGGCTTTACAGATACGATTTTATTTCATCCTCACAAGAACCCCGTAACATAGGTACCATTGCTATTGCTACTTTACAGATGAGGACACAGAGGATTAAGTGATTTTCCCAAGGCCGATTAGTGGCAGAACGTTGAGTTATTAAATAATTTTTTTTTTTTTTGAGACAGAGTCTTGCTCTGTCGCCAGGGTGGAGTGCAGTAGCGCGATCTCGGCTCACTGCAACCTCCAACTCCTGGGTTCAAGCAATTCTCCTGCCTCAGCCTCCCGAGTAGCTGGGATTACAGGCACGCACTACCACGCTCAGCTAATTTTTGTATTTTTAGTAGAGACGGGGTTTCACCATGTTGGCCAGGATGGTCTCGATCTCCTGACCTTGTGATCTGCCCGCCTCGGCCTCCCAAAGTGCTGCGATTACATGCGTGAGCCACCATACCTGGCCAAGTTATTAAATAATTTTTCTCAGCATTAAAATACTCTTAAGTACAGAGCCGGGCATAATGGCATGCACCTGTAGTCCCAGCTACTCCAGAGGCTGAGGCAGGAAGATCACTTGAGCCCAGGTGTTTGAGTCCAGCCTGGGTCACACAGTGGGGGCCTCGTCTCAAAAAAAAAAAAAAAAAGAAAAAGAAAAAAAAGCTTTAAGTACCATAGGGGAGAATCTAGCACAGCAATGTGAATGTACTTAATACCACAGAAGGGTACACTTAAAAATGGTTAAGATGATAAGTCCTATGTTACATATATTTTTCCACAATAACAAAAGATGTGACCCAATATGAGTTCGCCCATTCATACAAGAGTGATTTCAAGGTGCTGCTAGAAAGCAAACCTTGGCTTAGGAAGGCCAGATATTTGAATCACGTATGATGAACTGGAAGCATGAACAGAGAGCATAATGAAGACTCCAAACCCGGGTGCGGTGGCTCACGCCTGTAATCCCAGTACTTTGGGTGGCCAAGGTGGGTGAATCACCTGAGGTCAGCAGTTCGAGACCAGCCTGGCTAACATGGCAAAACCCTGTCTCTACTAAAAATACAAAAATTAATTGGGTTTGGTGGTGGGCGCCTGTAATCCCAGCTACTAGGGAGGCTGAGGCAGAAGAATCACTTGAGACTGGGAAGTGGAGGTTACAGTGAGCTGAGATCATCCCACCGCACTCCAGCTTGGGTGACAAAGCAAGACTCCATCTCAGGAAAAAGGAAAAATTAAAAGAAAAAAAAAGACTCCAGAGCAAGTGTTTGTCATCATCCTTATCTGGGAAAGACAGAGCATCTGTCACCCTCTGCAGGGAAGAACCTGTCTAAACTGTGAAGGGCCACATTTCACCAGGGTGCCCTAAAGAGGCAGGATGTATAGCTGTACCTTTCTCTGAGAACTTTCTCTGACATACTTCTGACTTTTTCAGCTTCAGAATATCCTTCTAAGTGACCATGCTACACTGTTTTTGTTTTTTCTTTTAATGAAATAGCAAAAAACACAAAGCAAATCTGTGCTGGAGGAGGGCAGTCCTTAGAATAAGAATAATTCTTAGAATAATAAGACTGATTGCTTTCGGATCGGAACTTCCACCTGCGGTGTGGGCGCCCACTCAATGCGGGCTGTTCTGTAGAAGTAGTGAGCAGAACTCAACGTTTAGTCATTATATCCTGCAAATGGAAACTGGGTAAACCTGAGTCGAATAATAAAGGAACTTTAAAATGGGAAATGAGACTCTTGGTCATAGCTTGCTCTCTTTTCTCACAGCTTCTGGGAGTGCAACATTTGGGGACAGCTGGATAGGAAAGAAACAGCAAATACTTTTTAAAAATCTTCTTGGAATAAAGAGTAAATCAAGCAAACAGTTATCAGTTCGTGAAGAAATATTTGTGAGTACCCTTTATACATGTAAAACATCCCTGTTCTTTCTTTGGGGAGGGACATATCTCACTCTGTCACCTATGCTGGAGTGCAGTGGCGTGATCATGGTTCACTGCAACCTCCGCCTCCCAGGTTCAAGCAATTCTCCCACCTCAGCCTTGCAAGTAGCTGGGGCTACAGGCACATGCCACCATGGTCAGCTAATTTTTAAATTTTTTGTAGAGATGGGGTCTTGCTATGTTGCCCAGGCTGGTTTGAAACTCCTGAGTTCAAGGGATTCACCTGCCTCGGCCTCCCAAAGTGCTGGGATTACAGGCGTGAGCCACCATGCCTGGCCTCAAATCCCTGTTCTTAAGAAGGTTGCTATCACATGGAGAAGATAAATACAGATCGATCATAGTGAGATGGACAGATGACTCTATATCTGTCAATGGGGAAGATATAAGAGACTACAAAAATTCAAAATGAGCCACAGTCTAGAGATTTTCAGGAAGGAAGAAATTACTATGGACTGCGATGGTCAAGAAAAACTTTACAGAGGGGGTCAAAGTTTGAACGAGGCCTTGAAAGCTGTTCAATGTTCTGGTAGGGAAAAAAAGAATAAGAATAGATTTCCAGGGAGGAGAACAAGCATGCACAAAGGCACAGAGGTGTCTTTGGAGCACTAGTGAGCAGCCAGTCAGGCTAGAGCTATGGGGTTAATGCAGTTCACTGAGTGAAGATCAGACCATCGCTCCCAGTTCTCTGCTCGCTGTCAGGTGACTGGGCAGTAACTTCCCCCAGAATGGGTGAAGCTTATTTCCTTGCTTCACTTACGTTGGGTTTGGCCATGTGACTTGCTTTGACCAAAAGAATGTGGCAGATGGGACGATGCATGGATTCTAAGCAGAGAGCTTGAGGTGCAGAGTGTGTTTCTGTCATTTGCCTGTACTCTTCCCATTGACCGTGGGAAGAATATGTCAGAGTTCTGTGCTATCCAGGGACAATAAGAGAGGCGTGGGGCCAGGCGCAGCGGCTCATGTTTGTAATCCCAGCATTTTGAGAGGCCAAGGCTGTTGGATCACCTGAGGTCAGGAGTTCGAGACCAGCCTGGCCAAGATGGTGAAACCCCATCTCTACTAAATATACAAAATTAGCCGGGCCTGGTGGCACATGCCTGTAATCTCAGCTACTTGGGAGGCTGAGGCAGCAGAATCGCTTGAACCCGGGAGGCAGAGGTTGCAGTGAGCCGAGATCGTGCCATTGCACTCCAGCCTGGGCCACAGGAGCAAAACTCCATCTCAAAAAAAAAAAAAAAAAAAAAAAAGACATGGACCTACCTAAATCTAAGTCTAAGTCATACTCTGGAGCTAAGGACAGGGAGCCTGCAGACCCTGGAGAGAGGAAATGTCTGTTTCTGCAAACCAGTGGGATTCTGAGATAGTATTTTTTTCTTTTTTTTTTTTTTTTGAGACAAGGTATTGCTCTGTTGCCCAGGCTGGAGTGCAGTGGATCATAGCTCACTGCAGCCTTGAACTCCTGAGCTCAAATGATCCTCCCACCTCAGCCTCTTGAGTAGCTGGGACCACAAGTGCATGCCATCACACCCAGCTAATTGTTTGATTTTTGCAGAAACTGGGATCTCACTATGTTTTCCAGGCTGGTCTTGAATTCCAGATTTCAAGTGATCCTCCTGCTCTGCCTCCCAAAGTGTTGGGATTACAGGTGTGAGCCACCATGCCTGGCCTCTAAGGTTGCCTTTCATGCATCAATACACTGACTAATCACACACGCCCACACTGGCTGGTGAGAGGATCCAGGGCACCGAAGTCATGGGTAGACCTTCCTTTAACACATTAGCCCATGCTGGGGACCATAAAGGTGATTACTGTATAACTTTCCTTCTAACCACACCTGGTCCTGGATGGTCAGAGACTGCCCTTGGTGGGCTGAGGGAGGCTGGAAGGGAATGGAAGAATGATGCCACAAGGTATTAATACTTTTCTCCCACAATAGCTGCCAGGCTGTGGCTGAGACACTTCTACACCTGGGCAAAGAAGTTGTGTTTCTGTCTCTGCTCCTCACTCATGCAGCCACCAGTAGAGTATAATCATCATCAAATTTCAGTTAAGAAACAGAATAATCTGTGGAATAAAAGTTGCCTAAAATATCAATAGTGATTATTGTTAAAGAGTGAGATTATGGGTGATTTAGATTTCCTTCCTTATATTTTTCTGAATTTTCCAACTTTTCCTTTTATGATAAATTGATATTATTATTATTATTATTATTTTGAGACAGAGTCTCACTCTGTTGCCCAGGCTGGAGTGCAATGGTGTGGTCTCGGCTCACCGCAACTTCCGCCTCCCGGGTTCAAGCGATTCTCCTGCCTCAGCCTCCCGAGTAGCTGGGACTACAGGCACACGCCGCCATGCACGACTTGTTTTTGTATTTTTAGTAGAGACAGGGTTTCACCATGTTGGCCAGGATGGTCTTGATCTCCTGACTTCGTGATCTGCCTGCCTCGGCCTCCCAAAGTGCTGGGATTACAGGCGTGAGCCACCATGCCTGGCCAGATATTATTTTTAAGTTAGCAAAAGAAAGTTATTAGAATAAATAAAAAGTAGCACAGTAAGGAACTTATCTGAGGAAATTACTTGAGGCACAATCTTACATGAACTTACTTTACCTCATGTAAGTTTGCGCCTTACGTGAACTGACTTTACCTTATGTAAGGTTGTGCCTTACATGAACTGACTTTACCAATTCCTTTTCTGAAAAAGAGATTCTTAGGGCTTCTAGCAATAAGAATGGCTTACGTTAATACCAGAATGATTTTCCATGTTCATACTCAGTCCTCAATTCTCAGATCTCTATTTTGGTTTCAGGTGACAGGGTTTAGGACACGCTATCCCAAACTATGGCACCTTGTCATTTGAGAAAACAGCAGAAGCAGGAAGGTCCCTCTCACCTTTTCCTGTCCTTCTCTGAAGCAGGTCTTAAAAGAATCCTCTGACCTTTCTCTAAAGTAAGTCACAGGATCCTTGTGAGACAGGCGCCCACCCTATACCCAGAGGAAAGGAATGTCCCTGTCTCTGAAGACACAGGGACCCAGAGAAGAATTGGAACAGGCCTTGCCAAGTTTCCCTCAGTTTATTTCCATTAGATCATACAGTTTTGTCCTGCAATCACACTTCTGCACGACTGTCCACAAAAATACCCACTTCTTCCTGTTTCTTCAGATCTTCATTTCTGAAAGCTCCTGTGTTACTTACATTAAATAAATTTCTGTGCTTTTTTTGTTGTTGGTAATCTGTCTTTTGCAATAGCGACCTCAGCCATAAACCTAGCAATGGGTTAGAAAACAGCTCTTTCTCCCCTACACAGGCAATGTCACTGATTTTTGTACAGTAGGCTTCTAAACTAAAGCTGCCTTTATGAGGATAATACTGTTCTACTGCCCCGGCCCACTTTCCCAAAAGAGACCACATCCCCTGTGCAAGAGAGTCTCTGTAGGGGAGAAAAAGTCTTACCTTTTCCTCACCCATTGCAGAGGTCATGGCTGATACCCCTAGAACAAGAGAGAGAGTAACAAGAGAAAAGCAACACAAATTCATCTAACCAAAGTTTTACGTGACATTGGAGCCTTCAGAAATCAAGACCCAAAGAAGCAAATTATGTATTTTTATGCTAAGTAGAAGACTGAACTCTGAGCTTTCTTTTTTTCTTTTTTAGACAGATCTCACTCTGTCACCCAGGCTGGAGTGCAATGGCATGATCACGGCCCACTGCAGCCTCGACCTTCTAGGCTCAAGTGATCCTCCCACCTTAGCATCTTGAGTGGCTGGGACTACAGGGATGTGTCACCCCGCCCAGCTAATTTTTAATTTTTTTATAGAGATGAGGTCTCACATGTTGCCCAGTCTGGTCTCAAACTCCTGGGCTCAAGTGATCCTCCTACCTCCTAAAGTGCTGGGATTACAGGTGTGAGCCACTGTGCCTGACTTTTTTTTCTCTTGCCAGGATTCCTTTTTTTATAAAAAAAAAAAAAAAAAAAGAAAGAAAGAAAGAGAAAGAAAAAGAAAGAAATGCATAGATTATATGCAATCTTGCCCAAATTCCTTCCTAAGGGCCAGGGGAGTCATAACCTATAAACCACAAAATCTCGTGAGACAGGTTTTTAATTAACCCTGTAGAGTGTAGCTTACTTTCCAACCTGATTCTGTTATAGTATCACATAAGAGACAGCAGACCTCCTTATCTTCACTTAGGCATTCCTTTCTGTTGACTTCAAGTCTTTAGATAAAGCTCAGTTCTTTCAACCAATTGCTAACTCAAGAATCCCTAAAATCCACCTATGACATGTAAGTCTCTGCTTTGAGATGCCCTGCCTTTTTGGGAACCAATGCATACCTTCCACATATTGATTTATGATTTTACCTGCAATTCCTGTCTCCCTGAAATATATAAAACCAAACTGCAAGCCAACTGCCAGGGGCATACTTTTTCAGGACCTCCTGAGACTGTGTAATTTGAGCTCAATCACTCGTATTGGCTCAGAATAACCCTCTTTAAATATTTTGTCATAATTTGTTGTTGTTTTTTTTTCATCATCAATCTGATGAAAGAAGTGGGTAATTACGGAGAAACATGATCTAATGGCAATAAACTGGGGGAGCTCAGCAAGGCCTGTTTATTTTGATTTGTTTCTGTGTCTCTGTGTGACACTCTTTACCCCCCGGGTATGGGGCAGGACGCTTGCCACAGGAGGACCTTCCAGGGGCAAAGGGAGGAGGTCAGAGAGTGATCTTTCTAGGTTTCGTGGCTTGCTTTGGGGAGAAGAAGTTGAGTTTCTATAATCTGCTTCAGGGGATAAATGCGGGAAGGAGAAAGGAGGGTGGGAGAAGGTCACAGAGATCGTCTGGCTTCTTAGAAGGTCCTTCTAATCTCCTTCGGTTTAAAGTACTCAGCATGCCACGGTGCCATAGTTTAGGGGCACTGTGTTCTGAGTGCTGGCATCCACCTAGGGCCTATTGACTGTTGAAGATGAGAAATGATGACATAAATTATTATTTCATAATAGGCACAATGGCTTTGTAAAGCAGAGGACAGTTAACCATGGGGAAGCCTGAGCCACTCATAGTGAGCCACCATTCAAGGCCAGGGTCTTTCTTTTTTTAAGAAATTTATTTATATTTTATTTTTTTTTAAAGAAATGAGGTCTCCTGTGTTTCCAGGCTGGTGTTGAACTCCTAGCCTCAAGTGATCCTCCCACCT
Source organism: Homo sapiens (assembly GCF_000001405.40). NCBI lineage: Eukaryota > Metazoa > Chordata > Mammalia > Primates > Hominidae > Homo > Homo sapiens. Next base: position 26,523,735 of record NC_000010.11, on the reverse strand, counting down.
TGGCCTCCCAAAATGCTGAGACTGCAGATGTGAGCCACTGTGGCTGGCCTTGGCCAAGGGTCTTTCAACTGTGTCCCCCCGCCCCTCCATGTCCTATAATTACATGAAGCCCCTCCAAGAGCATGCTGTGCAAATTGTCACATCCTCAGTCTTGAAGTGTACCATTTTCTAAAGTGGACCTGCCTGAGAATGGACGGCCCCTTTCACAGTTGCCTTTTTGCATGTTAGAAAGGAAAATCTCACCTGCACCCACACAGAATCTTACTGCCCCAGGGTAAGGCTCAAAGGCCCTAAACAAAAGGACAACTTGAAACACCAGTGCAGAGAAAGAAGAAGACTCATCACAAATCCTTTTGGAAGTCATGTGGATTCTAATTCTTTGCTTTCAACATAATAGAAGGTACCTAATTATCTGGTCAGCTAATGGATGAAAAGAACCATCATTGATCCTCCTGTGGCTTTTGGCTAGTACCTTGGAAGGAGTTCAAAGAATTGAATGGCATTCTTCTGTTCCCATCTACTTATTTATGTGAACAAGGTTTCTCAATATAGAAAGTACTCAACATCTGTAAAAATGAAAAACTGGAATGTAATTGATACGGAAATTCATCCTTTGATCCTGGAATTAACCAGGGGGAAAATGGCTCCACCTAATCTATTTCTAACATTAAGAGATGTCCCCTCCCCATTGTTTTTTTCTTGGTTTTTTTTTTTTTTTTTTTTTTGGAGATGGAGTTTCATTTCACTCTTGTCACCCAGGCTGGAGTGCAATGGCACGATGTTGGCTCACTGCAACCTCCACCTCCCGGGTTCAAGCGATTCTCCTGCCTCAGCCTCCCGAGTAGCTGGGATTACAGGTGTGTGCCACCATGCCCAGCTAATTTTTTTTTGTATTATTAGTAGAGACAAGGTTTCATCATGTTGGCCAGGCTAGTCTTGAACTCCTGACCTCAGGTGATCCAAAGTACTGGGATTACAGGTGTGAGCCACTGTGCCTGGCCTCCCATTTTTGCTTTTTATATTTAATTAATATCAACATTTATAATAAAAAAAGGTTTCCATGTTGTTTTGGTCAACTGTGATTTTTTAACCCTTAAGTGTCCTATGGTGACAGAAAAGAAAAGCTCACCCATCAATTTGTAAACATAATTAGTTGAAGAGGAGTATGGGACAGAGAATAATAAAAGACTTTTCAGCATATCAATATATTACAATAGGATAAATCTTTGTGGAGAAAATGAAATGAGAACAGTTCAAAGGGAAAAAAAAGGAACAATATAAAATGTCCCAAATGTTGAAAAAAGCTTACTGTACATCACCAAAAGTGAAGATTAATGTCAATTATGGACTTTGGGTGATAATAACGTGTCAATGTAGATTCATCAACTGTGACAAATGTGCCATGCTGGTGGAGGGTGTTGATAGTGGGGGAAGCTGTGTGTGTGTGAAGGCACGGGATATATAGGCACTCTTTCTATTTCTGTCCAATTTGACTGTGAATCTAACTGTTCTGAAAAGAAAGTCTATAAAAAAAATAAAAACTTATTCATGTGCTTCTTAAAAAGATGATGGTGGGAATCAAATTGTCATGGAACTGTATTTAGATTCCGTTGAATAGTTTTTTTAAACTGTCAACATTCAAAATATGTTGGACATGGCATTCTTCGTATCTATTTAAACTTGTAGGCTGGGTGCAGTGGCTCATGCCTGTAATATCAGCACTTTGGGAGGCCGAGGTGGGCAGATTACATGAGGTCAGGAGTTCAAGACCAGTCTGGCCAACATGGTGAAACCCCATTTCTACTAAAAATACAAAAATTAGCTGGGCATGGTGGCGCATGCCTGTAATCCCAGCTACTCAGGAGACTGAGGCAGGAGAATCGCTTGAACCTGGGAGGCAGAGGTTGCAGTGAGTCGTAATCATGCCACTACACTCTAGCCTGGGTGACAAAGCAAGACTCCATCTCAAAAAATAATAATAATAATACTTAATAAATAAACTTGTGATGAAAAAATTTGGATGTCAACAAACAAATGTGTGAGGTGGCACATGGTTTTTCAAACTTCTTCTAGGGTTACGCAAGCACAGAGTTTGAGATCCATTTATAGAGGAGCCATCGTCTGAGGTTGGCTATAGGGGCTATGTGGGAACAGATAAGTAAGCTGAGGAAGGAAGTCCACCAAAGGGAAGAAGAATGACACAGCTGTGCACAGGGACAGAGAGTGACAAAGAGAGATGGAGACCCAAGGGAGGGCTGGGACCAAGATGCTTGCCATCATGATCCCAGCAACGCTCCAACCCCTGCACCAGTCCCTGGGAGGCCTGACTGTACTTCCTATCTTTCATTCCAATGAGATGCCTCTGGGTCCTTTCAGTAATCTGAAAAAATTCTAATTAGAGCAATATCTGTTCTTATACCCAAGGATCACCACTGAGAGTTGATGGCAGGAGCTAACAGTGTCTGTGCACTCAGATTTCAGCAGTGGCTCTGGAGAACCAATGATGGTCTTGCACCCTCACCAAATCTCAATAGTTAGACTCATACTTGGCTCCCACCTCTTGGGAGTGAAGCTAAAACACAGACTGTTCCAAAAAGCTGATAAGTTACTTTCAAATGGAACAGTGCATAACAGCAGCCATCAGAAGAATCCATTAAGAGTTACTCTGTTTTCTCTCATTTAAAATGGGGTGATCTCCTATTGCCTCCCCAAATGTAGACAAGTTATCCTTTTGGAATTCCTTCCTAATTAAGCATCTTTCTGTTCACAAATTTGCAGAGTTTAGTTTCTCTATATTCATTTATTATAGATAATCTATTATACAGAACTTTACTGTAGATGATTGCTGAATTTCAGTTGAGATCAAACCACTTTACTTTTATGCATAACTTCACAATGTGGCAAGTGGTTTTCACGCTGGATTTGATTTTGTGAGGTAGGAAGTACAGCAGCATCAACCATTTTACAAACTGAGAAGTGAATTTAAGTGTTGTCAAAGAGCACACCAAGATCACACAGCAGGTGACATTTGAAACCTAGGTGTGTGAAGCCACATTTCCAGTCACCAGTGGAAATGGATGCCTAGCAATTATGCCTGCACAAGCATATCACTAATGTCTCTGAATTCTTACTTATTATTGCTTCTGAAAATGGAGCTCAAAGCCTCCCTCTGCATTCACTTTCTTGCCTCTCCCAGGCACTATCCCCCAAGACAAATAATTTGTAAAAGACGTCTGTTAAGTATTGAAGACTTCAGTATTGGTACTTTAAGAATGAAATTTTAAAGAGTTTTTTACAGTTTGATAATTTTCCAGAAAAACTGATATTCTGGGCCAGGTAAGCTCTTTCTTAATTAAGCTGCAAATAAGTATTAATCTGTCTTAGTCTTTTTTCTGTTGCTATAGCAGAATACCAGACAGTGGGTAATTTATAAGGAAAATAAGTCTATTTGGTTCATGGTTCTGGAGGTTGGAAAGTCCAAGGACATGGTGGAAGCTTCTGAGGAGGGCTTTCATACTGTGTCATAACATGGTGGAAAAGCAGAAAGCAAGTAAGCAGGCATGAAAAAGGCAGCAAGAGCAAGCTGAGCTCACTTTTATAACAACCATGTTGCCCAGGCTGGTCTTGACATCTTGTGCTCAAGCAATTCCCTTGCCTTGTCCTCTCAAAGTCCTTTTGGAATTCCTTCCTAATTAAGCATCTGGAATTACAGGCACGAGCCACTGTGCCCAGCTTTAAACAATCAAAGGGTATTAGCACAGGGCTTAGACAAGAAGACTTTAGGTATTTCAAATTACAAAGCCTCCCTTTTAGGAGCCATGACATCAATGAGAATGGTCACAGCCTGCTTCTCTCACTCTAAGGTCAGCAGGCAGAAGCCACTATGTATGCAGAGCACTGGCCAGAAGATAGATTCAAACACTGAGAAAATGGAAATACATTTACTTAAAATTGGCCACTTCAAAATTGCCTCCACTTCAATTTTGGTCTTTAAATTGGATTGTAGATTAGGAGAATGTATAAAAGTTGGCTTTTAAGAACATATTCTTGTGCAAAATAATTCATGAGGAGAATTTCTGCTTCCCGCTATGTTACAGTAGTAATGGTTTGGATTCATGGCCTGGCCCAAATTTCATCTCTAATTGTAATCCCCAGTGTTGGAAGTCGGGCCTGGTGGGAGGCAATTTCTAACAGTTTAGCACCATGTCTTTAGTGCTGTCTCATGATAGAGTTCTTAGGAGATCTGGGTGTTTAAAAGCATGTTGCATGCCCCTTCTCTCTCTTCCTCCTGCCCCAGCCATGTAAGGTGCTCACTCTCCTTCCCCTTTACCCTCTGCCATGATTGAAAGTTTCCTGAGGCCTCCCCAGAAGCAGATGCCACCATGCTTCCTGTACAGCTTGCAGAACCATGAGCCCATTAAACCTCTTTTCTTTTTTTCTTTTTGAGATGGAGTTTTGCTCTTGTTGCCCAGGCTGGAGTGCAGTGGCACGATCTTGGCTCACTACAACCTCTGTCTCCTGGGTTCAAGTGATTCTCCTGCCTCAGACTCCCTAGTAGCTGAGATTACAGATGCCCCCCACCCCACCCCACCCCCACCATGTCTGGCTAATTTTTGTATTTTTAGTAGAGACAGGGTTTCATCACGTTGGCCGGGCTGGTCTCGAACTCCTGATCTTAGGTGATCCACCCGCCTCAGCCTCCCAAATAAACCTCTTTTCTTTATAAATTACCTAGTCTCAGGTATTTCTTTATAGCAGTGTGAGAATGGCCCAATACAAGTAGCTTGCTGTACACAAAACCGCTAGAAATGCTGGATTTAATAAAAAATCTGTGTGAAGGCATTAGAGAGCTATTGAAGCAATTAGGACGCAAGAGGTCAAGATCTAAGACAGAAATGAACCATAAAGTGGTGTTCAGGTCTCCAGAAAGCCACACTTCCCCTCAGGGCATTTGTTGATGCTTAGTCTAGGGTGAGAGACTGGGAATCATGGCAAAGGATTTGAGCAGGCACTTCACAAAAGTGGGTATTCAAATGGATAATAAACATTTGACAAGATGCTACAATCACTGGCATCAGGAAAATTCAACTTAAAACCACAGAAGATGCCACTACAAACCCCTAGAATGGATAAAATTTAAAAACTAATGGTAACACCAAAGGCTATCAAGGATCTGGAACAACAGGAATTCTCATACAATGTTAATGGGAGGCTAAGTCATAGAATCTGTGTGAAAGCTGCTTGGCAGTATCTACTATAACTAAACATATTACCAGCCTGGCCAACATGGTGAAACCCCGTCTCTACTAAAAATACCAAAACTAGCCAGGTGTGGTGGTGAGTGCCTGTAGTCCCAGCTACTCGGGAGGCTGAGGCACGAGAATCACTTGAGCCAGGGAGGTGGAGGTTGCAGTGAGCTGAGATTGTGTCACTGCATTCCAGCCTGGGTGACAGAAGGACTCTTTAAAAAAAAAAAAAAAATAGGCTGGGCGCGGTGGCTCATGCCTGTAATCCCAGAACTTTGGGAGGCTGAGGCAGGCAGATCACATGAGGTGGAGCTCAAGACCAGTCTGGCCAACATGGTGAAACCCTGCCTGTACTAAAAATACAAAAATTAGCCAGGCATGGTGGTGGTTGCCTGTGATCCCAGCTGTGCAGGAGGCTGAGACAGGAGAATCGTTTGAACCCAGGAGGCAGAAGTTGCAGTGAGCCTAGATTGCACCACTGTATTCCAGCCTGGGTGACAGAGCAAGACTCAATCCCAAAAATGAAATAAAATAAAAAATAAAACTAAGCATATGCACAACCTGTGGTCCAGCAATTGCACCTATAGGTATATATGCAAGAGAAATGTCTACACATGTCCAACAAAAGACATGTACTGTATAAGAATGCTCCCAACAGCATTACTTGTTAAAGCCCCACGCTAGAAACAAGTCAAATATCCATCAGCAAGACAATGGATAAATAGGTTTTGGTATAGTCACACAATGGAATTCTAACAGTGAAAAAGAATAAGCTAGTGCTATGGGCAATAGCATGAATGAGAGTTGAGCCAAAGCAAAGCTAAACAAAACCAACCCGGGCAACATGGTGAGAGCCTGTCTCTCAAAAAAACAAAAACAAAACTTGGCCGGGTGTGATGGCCTGTGCCTGTGTTTCCGGCTACTCTGGTGGCTGAGGCGGGAGGCTTACTTCAGCCTGCAAGGTGGAGGTTGCAGTGAGCCAAGATCGTGCCACTGCAAGATCTGGCTGGGCAACAGAGCGAGACCCTGTCTCAAAAAGAAAGAAGTACTGTGATATAATTCCATTTCATATATAAAGTTCAAAAAGAGGAAATGCTAAGGAGATAGAGGCTAGAATCATGACGACCTTTGTAATGGGTAGTAAGGACTGGGAAGGGCCAGGAGGAAGGCCGCTGCAACTCCCTGAATGCTCTGTTATCTTCATGTGGGTGGTAATTACATGGGTTGGTTCACTTTGTAAAAATTCAGAGTGTACCATTATGATATGTGCACTAGTTCATTAGTTACCATGGCAAACTGCAGATGCCCACTGAAGGACTGAAAGACATGCCATCCCCAAAAATGCTAGATTGGTGCACTGATTACTTCTAGTTGAAAACATTGGAGAAACTGCGGTTCCAGAAAGGGTGAGCTGACCTCCTCTTCCTGCAGGCAGCAAGCCATCAAGATTCCTCTGGGAGGGGAACCCTCAGCATTTCGGGGCGAGAAAATAGCCCTTATCACCAGAGACTGGGAACGGGGCTGCAAAGGAGCTGAATAAATATACTCAACAAAGGAACCCTTATCTTCCACTATAGGTAAAGTAACCCTTATCTCCCCCCATATATCTTCTGGTGATGCCCTCTAGTGAAAGGAAAATAAAAACGCGGGACCCCAGTTCACGCTGCCAAAAGGAATAAAGTAAGCTGAAAGCTGAGTCATGCAAGACGTTGCCTTCCCTTTTGTTCCTAAACAGACAGCTACAAATAAAAGGTTAAATATCTCCACAGGGAGCAACTCTATGTTCATCTTATCTTCTGTGAAGTTCCAACTTACTGAGTGCGAGAGGAATACAGCCATTCACTCTTCCCCTACCTGCTCCTTTTCTCTTGCAATGTGTGCGTTACCACACCCCTCCCTCTTTCCCCTCCTTGACTTTTCCGCTTTACTTTTTTTTTTTTTTTTTTGAGATGGAGTCTTGCTCTGTCACCCAGGTTGAAGTGCAGTGGTGCTATCTCGGCTTACTGCATCCTCTGCCTCCTGGGTCCAAGCAATTCTCCCTTCCTCAGCCTCCCAAGTAGCTGAGATTACAGGAGCCCACCACCATGCCTGGCTAAGTTTTAAATTTTTAGTAGAGATGGGGTTTCTCTATGTTGGTCAAACTCCTGACCTCAAGTGATCCGCCTGCCTCAGCCTCCCAAAGTGCTGGATTACAGGCGGGAGCCACCGTGCCTGGCATCCCCTTTAAATATTGAAGCCCTCAAATTCATCTTTGGAGAAGGGCACAGACCACAGACTGTTTCTGTGATTCTGTTTGTTTGTTTGTTTGTTTTCTTCTGGGCATGTCCTTAAGCCTTGGCAAAAGAAACTTCTAAGCTGATTGAGACCTGTCACAGAGACTTTCCGGTTTACACTCCCCTAGAAACTTTACTGCCCCTAGCCAGATTCCCTTTGTTCTGTCATTTTTTTTTCAAATTTATTATTTGTTTAAAAAGTATAGAAGCATCTTGCCTCGGCCACTTCTTTAGACTTGACTCTTGTGAAGATCCCCATGTAGATGTAAAACTGATAAAAATGTGCATACTTTCCTCTTGTTAATCTCCCTGGTGTCAACTTGGTTTCTAGATCCAGCCTAAAGGGATATGGAGGTAATCCCTAATCCAGCCTAAACAGGTATGGAGGTAATCTCTGATCCAGCCTAATGGGATATGGAGGTAATCTCTGATCCAGCCTAAAGGGGTATGGAGGTAATATCTGATCCAGCCTAAAGGGGTATGGAGGTAATCTCCGGCTCTCCCACCATGGCTAATCTTAGTTATACAATAGCTATTCCTTCTCTTAGTTATACAATAGCATAGCCATGTTGCATGACTCTTGGGCATTATTTTTATAGATTCAAGGGGAAAGGTGCCTCATGGAGGAGTTATGCAAAGTGGTGGCCCTGAATGTAACTCCCTAGTTTTAGCTGTGCATATGGTTGTTCAGATAGACACTACATTTGTCAGCTTTCCTTGTAGCTCAGTGTCATTATGTAACTAATTTCTGGCCAATGGGATGGAAGCATAAATCTGAATGTGCATTTCCCCGGCTCTTCCCTCACTTCATATGGACTGGAAAATGGTGAGGCGGAAAAGCTAACATGGAACCAAAGATGGAAACCACATATCGAAAATGGCAGAGCCATTCTACTAGGTCTAGCTACCTGTGGCTGGACCAGTGCGTGAGAGAGAAATAAGCTTGTAGCTTGTTTGAACCACTGATTTAAGAGTCTCTTTGCTACAGCAATTTAGATGGTACCCTCACTAACGCAGTTGTTAAAGCATGCCATTGGGCTGGGTGCAGTGGCTCACACCTGGAATCCCAGCACTTTGGGAGGCCAAGGCGGGCGGATCACGAGGTCAGGAGATCAAGATCACCCTGGCCAACACGGTGAAACCCCATCTCTACTAAAATACAAAAAAAAAAAAAAAAATTAGCCGGGGGTGGTGTCATGCGCCTGTAGTCCCAGCTACTTGGGAGGCTGAGGCAGGGGAATCACCTGAACCCGGGAGGCAGAGGTTTCAGTGAGCCGAGATTGCACCACTGCACTCCAGCCTGGCAACAGAAGAAGACTTTGTCTAACAAAAAAAAAAGAAAAGAAAAAGAAAAAAGCATGGCATTGAAGGTAGTTAGGGGCGAAAAACTTTGTACTTTTAATACTATTTAATTGTTGTGTTGTCAGTCAGCCACCATACAACCTAGGGAAAACCCAGAAAATAGCATTTATAGGAGAAATTTTCCCGCAAGGAAGCTGCCCTAATTCTCCCTCTAGTGATATGACACTTTTTTTTTTTTAACCTGTAAAAGGGAAAGGTGTCTGGAAAATGGAGAGGAACTTCTTCACCTTTAACATTCTTTGATTTTCAAAAAGAAAGTAATGACCCTCACACAATTATAGTTGCTTGAGGCCACAGTTGGGAAAAATCCTGGACATGCTTGTACACATGACTTGAAGGAAGCATTTCCAAACATGAAGAACCAATATGAACAAGTATGAAAAGAAGAACAAATATAAATTTATGCTTTTTACTTGCACAAATTGTTTGCAACAAAATCACAATAAATTGCACATTTTCTAGGTAGTCCTTTTAGTTTTCCTAGCAAATATAAGCACCAAATACAAACAACAAAGAAAAGAGCATCTTTCAAGCAAGAAGCAGGAAGAACCAACAGTGAGTGCATGAAGATATATTGGATTAATACAGCCACACAGAAACAGGGACAGAAGAGGATGAGAAAACCACAGAGAGATAGGTTTTGGATTTGGAATGAAAAAAAGCAAAATGGATTCTTTTCTTTCTGAATCCTTCAAAGGACTGTTAGCGTACATATAGCTTAAGAGTTGAGTTTGTGTTTATTTGAAAATAATATATTTGTGATATTTTGTGAGACAATGAATGGTGTGGTTAGTATACAGGTGACATTAAAAAAAATCCTTGGCTGGGCGCAGTGGCTCACGTCTGTAATCCTAGCACTTTGGGAGCCTGAGGTGGGCAGATCACGAGGTCAGGAGATCAAGACCATCCTGGCCAACATGGTGAAACCCTGTCTCTACTAAAAAATACAAAACAGTTAGCTGGGCCTGGTGGCCCATGCCTGTAGTCCCAGCTACTTGGGAGGCTGAGGCAAGAGAATTGCTTGAACCCAGGAGGCGGAGGTTGTAGTGAGCCAAGATCACGCCACTGCACTCCAGCCTTCGAGACTCCGTCTCCAGCCTTTCAGACCCTGTCTCCAGCCTTTGAGACTCCGTCTCAAAAAAAAAAAAAATCCTTTGTACTTTATAGGGTTTAACAATATGCAGATCATCTTACCTGGGGGTTTTTAAATACAGCATATTTCTCCTCTTTCTCCAAAAATAGTATTTTATTTTCTGTGTCTCTTGTCCAGTCTGATAAGACTTCAACAACATTTTCATGGTCTTCAAAAAACCTCTCTGATGAAATAAGAAAAGGTATTCTTTCAGACCCAAGACATCAGGGTTTCCAAGTGAGAAACAAGCTATTATTGAGTTAATGCTTCATGACTTTCATCAGGTGCCTGGGATTCTTATTAATAATTCTCACATGATGCCACACTGTAACATTTCTATTATGTTTCTCTTTCATTGTCTTCAAGTTATCTTCCATTATAAACAAGATGAAAAAACCCATAACACAGTGACAATGGTCAGCTGTCACACTTATTTCTTTTTTTCTTTCATTTTGTTTAAGAGATGGGGTCTTACTGTGTTGTCCAGGCTGGAGTGCAGTGGCTATTCACAGGCTCAAGGCTCAAGCAATCCTCCTGCCTCACCCTCCCAAGTAGCTCAGCCTACAGGCATATGCCAGTGTACCCAGAGACATACTTTTTTCATATCGACATTTTTTACTTTAAATAGTCCCAGATGGTGGCAAACATTCTACGTGAGGTGGACAATCAGTCAATGACTGGTGAAACACTTTGAATGAAATTGTGAGAGCCAGTGTGTACTCTAAAACATCACTCCTTAACACTCTAAAAGCAATGTGTGAATGCTTGAATTAAAACATAAAGAAAGGCTTTCATTTCTTCCCTTGACTCACAGAATTGAAGAGAAATTTAAGGGACTGCTTTAGTGTAAACCATCTTATCCAGAAAAAAAATTGCTCCCAAAGCTTCCAGCACAGGCAATTCTCCGTCCCACCCAGCTCTCCTGAGAGACGACTGTCCCATTATTAAAAATGAGAAATATGATGATGTGTGCCTATAGTCCCAGCTACTCGGGATGCAGAGGCAGGAGGAGTGCTTGAGCCCAGGAGCTCGAGGCTGCAGTGACCCGTGATTGCGCCATTGCACTGTAGCTTCGGTGATAGAGCAAGACCCTGTCTCAACACCACCACCACCACCAAGAATAAGTAACAGTATATCTTCAGTTAACCTTTTTTTCCACTTTTGAAAAATTCCATCAGTGTCTACCAACTGTTCTTTGCACTGAGGCTGAAACTCTTCCACTAGACAAAGCATCAGAGACTAAGCCAGTGGGGAGGGAGGAAGGGGAAATGAGCACTTGTGGGAGGCTATGGCAGGGTTATGGTCAGTTAAGGAAGCAACCACTAAAGGGGCATTAGCCAACAGATACCCAGGCTCTCCTGCCACCTGCTCAGCTTATTAAGCATGCAGCATCTTAGTAAGTATCATCCAGCCACTCTCTTTCCCTTATGGAACCACTAGAGAAGCAGCAGTAATAGTGCTTATATCCCCCAAGGTCTGGCCACCACCTGCTAGAATCCAAGTTCTTCACTACAATGAAATGAAGAGTCAAGCACTAAATCTCATATAAGGGAATTGAAAGCCTTGAACCAAAGTCTTCTCAAGGATGAACCAGGCCAGGCGCAGTGGCTCACACCTGTAATCACAGCACTTTGGGAGGCCCAGGTGGGAGGATCGCTTGAGCACAGGATTTTGAGATCAGCCTGGGCAGCATAGTGAGAGCATGTGTCTATTTTTTATATAAAATTAAAGAGAAAAAAAGAATAAACCCAAGCCCATTATACAGCAAACCCACAAGGTTTTTGGAGTACAGCCCATTGCTGGGGATGGGACTTACCAATTTGTAGTTCCGGGTAGATTTCATAAAGACACCAGTCTACATTGCAGTCACAATGAGTTTTCTCGAAAAGGTTGTCCAGAACATCTCGGGCCAGCTGCCGCTCATCCACCATCAGTGACTTTGTGCTGTTATCATTCATGTGCACCTTGACGACGAGCTGAGGATAGAACCATGGGGCAGCCAGTAAATTTCAGCAACTGGAGAAGGCTACTAAGATGAGGGTTTCAAAGTTGCTATTGTTTCTGCAAATTTCTGTAAGAATGTGTTTGGTGAACTTGCTCCATCTAAACTAACTTGCATGCCAAGCACTTGTTTTAGGTGCTAGGATTACAGAGGTGGAGAAACCAATTCACAAAAATAGAAAATAGATAATAAACACAGTCCTTGTCTAGCCTTCAGAGACAGGCAGTCTGGTGGGAGAGACAGAAAACAACAGAACAAAAAAAGTGTTAGCTTCTTTCTTTCCCAATAATCTTTCCCTTGTTCTCATTCCATCCTGGAGCCCAGAAACTTTTCTAGATTAAAAGCTATGTCTGTATCTTTATTATTATTATTATTTTGAGATGGATTCTTGCTCTGTCGCCCAGGCTGGAGTGCAGTGGCGTGATCTCAGCTCACTGCAACCTTTGCTTCCTGGGTTTGAGTGATTCTCTTGTCTCAGCCTTCCTAGTAGTTGGGATTACAGGTGCCTGCTACCATGCCCAGCTAATTTTTTTTCTTTTTCCAGTGGAGATGGCGTTTCACCATGTTAGCCAGGCTGGTCTTGAACTCCTGACTTCAAGTGATCCACCCACCTCGGCCTCTCAAAGTGCGGGGATCACAGGTGTGAGCCACCACACCTGGCCACCTGTTTCTTTATAATAAACTCTTCTCTTTTGCTTAGCTGGAGTTGAGTCCCATTTCATGCAACCCAAGAGTCTGAAGACACCAAATAAGACCAAGTTGGTTAATCTACAATTCTCTAAAGGTCCACAGAGCGTATGTTAACACGGTATCACTGAGGGGGCCCCACTGAGAGACAGATAGTTAGAGCAGGGCACATTTGAGATCACAGTTGGATTAAGTGAAATGAATGTAGACTGAGAAATAAGCTGTTTTGCAGGCACATGATAAATCTAATTTTCATTTGTGTGTGTGTGTGTGTGTGTGTGTGTGTGTGTGTGTGTGTGAGACAGGGTCTTGCTCTGTTGCCTAGGCTGGAGTGCAGTGGTGTCATCTTGGGTTACTGTAGCCTGAACCTCCTGGGCTCAACTGATCCTCCCACCTCAGCCTCCTGAGTGGTTGGGACCACAGGTGTGCACCACCACACCCAGCTAATTTTTGTTCATTTTTTTGTAGAGGCAAGGTCTCACTATGTTGCCCATGTTGGTTTCAAACTCCTGGCCTCAAGCAATTCTCCTGCCTCACCGGCCTAAAGTGCTGGGATTACAGGCATGAGCCACTGTATCCAGCCCCTAATTTACTTTTTATTCCATTTTCAAAATATTCTATTGAATTAAATTCACAATAAAATTGGTAGTAATCTCATTCCAAATCTGTAGGTTTGGAGGAAGCTGCATTTACTTATCTTCAGTAAAAACACAATATCCTTGACTTTTTCTAGGCAACTTGTCAAAGTTATTAAAACATCTGATTCAGCCGGGCATGGTGGCTCACGCCTGTTATCCCAGCACTTTGGGAGGCCGAGGTGGACAGATCATGAGGTCAGGAATTCAAGGCCAGCCTGACCAACATGATGAAACCCCGTCTCTACTAAAAATACAGAAGTTAGCCAGGCGTGGTGGCATGTGCCTGTAATCCCAGCTGCTCAGGAGGCTGAGGCAGGAGAATCGCTTGAAACTGGGAGGCAGAGGTTGCAGTGAGCCGAGATTGCAGCACTGCACTCCAGCATGGGGGGTGGAGCGAGACTCTGTCTCAAAAAAAGAAAAGAAAACAACAACAACAAAAAAGATCTTATTCGTTAGAGAGACCGTGATTTTCATGTAATGTAACAGAATTAATTCTTGAAGTTATGCAGCTAGGCTTTGGATTTTCTTTGATACCTGTGTATTTGTAGCATATGAGCTTAACGGTTGGTCCCGGTTATTCAACGATAAGACTCATTGTTATTAAAAAAGTGATTAGATGGACTGAAAAAGGAGAGAGAAACCATAAATTTGGTAACATTTCTTTCTCTCCACAAGTTTGGATTAGGTTCTGAGCAGCCAGGTTCTGTCCTATTCCTACCTCCCATCCAAGTACTAACCAGACCTAACCCTGTCTAGCTTCTGAGATCGGATGAGATAGAGTACAACCAGGGTTGTATGGCTGGCTGTAGCTTTATTCTTTCCTAACACTCTATAGTTAACAGGTTGAAGAGTGTAGTTCCTGTAGATGGTTCTGCAGAGTTACTGATAGCAATGGAAGGGTGTGTGTGGTGGTAACCATTTGGGTGAGTTGCAGGCAGCAACCACAAGTTGAAGCAATCATGTAATACCTTCTATTTCCAACATTCACAAACACCCCCAAGATCAAAATGTAGACATGGGGCAGTCAAAATGCTTTCTTCCTCCAGGGACCATTTAAATCAGAGCCTTATCCCAGGGTTTCCTAAAGAACACTTTTTTTTCCCCCTTGAAAATCTCTAGCCCAGACATCTGTAGTTGGATAGTTGCTTTTTCCCTGTATTTGTATTTTGATGATAAAATGGTAGGCCCAACTATAAATGGTAGGTGTCAAAGATCCATTCATCTGACCTTAGAAATGAGTCATGGAGGGTTGTATGGAAATAGAGAAATTCTTCAAATAGCAGTCTTTACTAGGATTTATTTTCTGTGGAAGGTGTACTTGCTGCTCTCTGCTGAGAATTACTGCTGTAAAGTAGCTACATGTGCTAAGACACACTACCAATGTTAAGGCTTAGAAAATTTAATGTTCCTGATGGAAAGATTAATGATGTTTGACTACATCTCAATCCTGCTTAGGAATTCTTAAGAAAATAAAACATATGTTGCTGTTTTTTATGTTCTATAAAAACATACATACAGAGAAAAAATACTAAACCACATAATTTGGCAATGATTAAAGGTGTTTTTTTGCAGAAATTGGAAACTAGAGTTAATCTACACGTACTTATGAATGTCCACAATTATAGAATTTAGAAAACACACACACACACATATAACCAAGAGAAGCCTTGTGATGTTTAGCAAGAAGAAATTATATTTACTATTCTTCACAGCTTCCCTCACGTTTGCAAGCTAGAGTAGCTCTATACCAACACATAACATTAAATCACAGTTATGTGATTTAGTAAGCTAAATCACAGTTATGTGATTTAGCAAGCTAAATACTTTCATATTTATGGGGCAAAGTGATTCAAGGGTGAAAAAACTTAAATGATCTATTAAAGATTTTATAACTTTTATAATTTTTTATAATTTCTTCTTTTTTTGCAAGATGCTAAACACAAAATTTCTGAGACCTAAATCATTTACAGTTTTGTGGGGGGTTTTTTTTGTTTTTTTTTGCTTCTATACTAAAATTTATAAATGGAATTGTTCTCTGGTGTCCCAGGGCATTTTTAAAAAAACAATAAAAGTAATGCATGAGTCTGATTCTGTTTCTAGTTCCAAAATCTTTGTAGCACAAGCTGTATACATCATTTGTAATTCAAAATGATGTCAACAGCCCACAGAATACTTGAGGGCAAAGTATGACAGATAGATTTGATTTCCATCCTTTAAAAACATGTTGTAGATTATGCATGAGTACATTGCGGTTATTCTTTTAATGCATGAGCGTGTCTGTTATTTTCTTAATATTCTGCACCACAGAACAAATACATTCGGAGTGTCTGAAATCAGAGCAAATACATAACTTGTCTTCGTAATTTTCTTTTCTTCCTCACTGATCAGAGCGGCTTCTGTTTTCCATCTTCTTTGTTGAATCAAGGCAGCTTGTGCTTTGTGTGTGCCATTATAATTCATCTAAACTAAATCATGGCAACACTTTCTCACTGTCTGATATATGGCAGGAAATACTTGCCCTCTCCTCCTGTTCTCTTAGTCTCCAGCTGAAGCGAATGAATGGAATCTGCTGGCTGTTCTATCTTTTAATCTAAGAAACAACTTACTTCTCTTTTCATTTCCCCTTCTGAAAATACATAAACAATATATTTTATACATAATCCAGGGGTTTGAAATAGTCTAATTAGAAAGTTTACTTTTACCATTTTCTTTTGTCTTTTTATCTTGAGAGGTAAAGTCAATGACTCAGCACAGCTCATCCTCAGCTGCCAACCATGTGTGATCAATTCTACATGTTTATCCATGTGTGAGATTTTGTGCTACAATCCTGCTCTCATACCTTGCCCCTACAATCCATTTTCTACAAAGTAGCCAGTATGACCCATATTTATTTATTTTAGAGACAAGATCTTGCTCTGCCACCCAGGCTGGAGTGCAGTGGTATGATCACAGCTCACTGCAACCTTGAATTCCCGGGGTCAAGGGATCCTCCCGCCTCAGCCACCTGTAGCTGGGACTACATGTGTGAACCGCCATGCCCAGCTAACTAAAAACAATTTTTATTTTTGTGGAGATGGGGTCTTGCTATGTTGCCCAGGCTGGTCTTAACTCCTGACCTCAGGCGATCCTCCTGCCTCGGCCTCCCAAAGTGCTGAGATTAGAGGTGTGAGCCTCTGTGCCTGGCCCTTTATGACCTTTAAAAGCCGTGTATTCGTCTTACACTCCCCTGTTTAAAACCCTCAAATGGTTTCCCATTGCACTTATAATACAACCCAAACTTCTCCTTGGGCCTATGAGACCCTGTGTCTCCCAGCTGCCTCTCTGTCCTCAGTTCCTTCCTTTTTTCCCCACCTCCCCGAGCTGATTCTTGCTGGAGCATATTTCTCTCTCTGTTCCCTCTGCCGGGAATGCCCCCCAGCACCACACCCACATGCATCCAGCTGCTTCTGGCCGGAGGCCTCCCCTTCAGGGCTGCCTGCTCAGAGAGGCCTCCTCAGCACCAGTTCCAGCTGGTAGGGTTGCCTGGGTACTCTCTATCACTTCTTCCTGGTTTATTTTCTTCAGAGCTAGAGTCTAACTAGACTCTAACTCTCCACAAGCAGGGACCACACTTGACTTGTTCACCTCTGTGTGATCCTGACACCTATTCTAAGAGATGGGGATGCATTGGTGGGGAAAAGAGACAAAGATCCCTGGGGGAGATCCTGTGGGGTGGTGGGGAGGGGATACGGGCAATACATAGGACAAATAAGTAAAGTAGGCCAGGCGAAGCAATCCTCCCACTTCAACCTCCCAAAGTGCTGGAATTACATGCCTGTTTCTTCTTTCCCTTAATTTACCAAATTAACTATTTTAACTATTATTACATGCCTGTAATCCCAGAACTTTGACAGGCTGAAGTGGGAGGATTGCTTGAGGCCAGGAGTTTGAGACCAGCCTGGGCAACATAGCCAGATCCTTTCTCTACAAATAATTTTAAAAAATAGTGGGCCATGGTGGTGCATACCTGTAGTCTCAGCTACTTGGGAGGCTGGGTGGGAGGATCACTTGAGCCCAGGAATTTGAGGCTTCAGTGAGCTGTGATTGTACCACTGCACTCCAGCCTGGGTGACAGAGCAAGACCTTGCCCCCCACCCCCCCCCCCCACACACACACGGTAGTGTTAAGCACTGAGGGGAACACTAAAGTGGGGGAAGGATTGGGAATACTGGGGATGTGTGCATGTGGTGTTAGATAGGAAAGGCCTCGCTAGGAAGGTGACCAAAGACTTAAAGGAGATGCACAGCGAACCTACTCAGAATCCAGGGAAGAGGCAGAGGACCTGCAAAGTGCCAAGGTCCCAAGGCAAGGGCAGGCCTAGAGTGCTTAAGGGGCAGCCAGGAGACCAGGCAGCTAGAATGGGGTGAATGAAGGAGTGAACACTGGGAGATGAGGCCAGGGAGGTGACTGGTCGCCATGTCATGCAGGGACTGGAGGCCACTGGGAGGATTCATTCTGGCTTCACGTGTGAGATGGTCAGACATCGGAGACTTTTGAGCAGAGGAGGACAGAAAGAGAGACTGCAGCCCAAGAGAAGAGTCTGGCCCTCGGCAGAAACATAATGATTTATCCATTGTTAAGGAAAGAATATGGGATATATGGGTACAGATGCACGCAGGTAGATAGGTAGATGTCTTGGTGGGAGCTTGCGCAACTTTTGTTTTGACTGTGTCTATTTTCCTTGCAAAATGGGCAACAAAATCATTAGCTGAGGCCAGGTGTGGTGGCTCATGCTTGTAATCCCAGCACTTTGGGAGGCCCAGGTGGGAGGATCGCTTGATGCCAGGAGTTTGAGACCAACCTGGGCAACATAGTGAGACCCTTGTCTCTTAAGTAAAATGGTTTTGTAGGTGAGAGAGTGATTGAACCAGGGTAGCTCACTGGGCACCCAGGACTGAGCAGGAGGAAAGTTGGATTTAACCAAGGTTTGAGAAAAGGACAAGGCAGATGAGGACGTGGAGTTCCAATGATGGACTGTGGAATTAATCACTTGCAGAAAACAGGGGAGAAGAATGGTAAGGAAATTTGGGCACGTTTGGAATGAGTGGAACCAGACTAATCTGGGAAGACTCCCCTAGATGAACCTTGAAAGTCTGGCTCCAGGGGTAGCCAAGGACTACTTCCTGAATATCCATCCATCGGCAGGTATTGAACACCTTCATTCAGAGAACTGTGATAGGTGCCATGGGAATAGAAAGCGTAAAGCCCTATGTGAAAAGGACAATTCACACAACTCTTAGCAGAAAATCCTCAATGAGTCTCAGAGATGTTATTTGCTTCAGGAGTTGAAATCAGATGAAGAGCCAGGCATGGTGGCTCACACCTGTAATCCCACCACTTTGTGAGGCTGAGATGGGTGGCGCGCTTGAGCCTAGGAGTCCGAGAAAAGCCTAGGCAACATAGGGAGGCCTCAACTCTACAAAAAATAAAAATAAATCAGCCGGCATGGTGGTACATGCCTGTGGTTCCAGCTACTCAGAAGGCTGAGGGAGGAGGATTGCTTGACCCCAGGAGTTTAAGGCTGCAGTGAGCCATGATCAGCCTGGGTGATAGAACAAGACCCTGTCTCAAAACAAAACACGATGAAGACTGTTTCATCTTTGCCTTAATTTACCAAATTAACTTTTTTTTTTTAATTTTTTTTTTTGAGATGGAGTCTCGCTCTGGAGTCCAGGCTGGAATGCAGTGGTGCAATCTTGGCTCACGGCAACCTCCGCCTTCTGGGCTCAAATGATTATCCTGCCTCAGCCTGCTGAGTAGCTGGGATTACAGATGCACACCGCTGCGTCCAGCTAATTTTTGTACTTTTAGTATAGACAGGGTTTCACCATGTTGGCCAGGCTGGTCTTAAACTCCTGACCTCAGGTGATCCGCCCGCCTCAGCCTCCCAAAGTGTTGGGATTACAGGCATGAGCCACCGCGCCCAGCCTAACTATTATTAACACTTTATTATCATTAGGTATATTCTTCTAGTGAAGTTAAATACAGCTGTATCTGCTGTTACAATACAATACATGTGTTCTTCAAAAACCTATACTCTGAAAAAATGCATGATCAACTTACAGGCTTATTAGGAAAGTTGGGTTAAGGGCAGATTACTCAAAACCTATTTTGAAACCAGAGCACCAGCAAAAACAGCATTTGGTACCCTGGGATATAACTTGGACATCTAGGTCAGCAGCAGGGCTGACGGCTGCCCCAGGGCATAGGAAAAGTAGACAAGAGCAATTGAGGAAAAGCAGAGGCCAGGCCGACAGAAGCTGAGCTCTGACCCAGTTAGGCATTCCCCAAAGGTGGCGCCACCTGCTATCAACCAAGAATTTTGCAAAGTCCTGGAGAGGGCAGCTCAAAGGAAGGGAGCCCTGGATGTGCAAACTTGTTTTAAAATGTCTTAAGATAGAGCTGAAAGGGCCCCTGCCTGTACAGCACCCAAGCCAAAGGCCCTTTCCTTTCTTGTTGAAGGTATAATTCTACTCCCATCATTCCAGCTCCCAGGAAAATTCATGTATAAGCCAGCAAAAAAAATCATGTACAAGCCAAGGAAACCTCTACATTTATATTAACACAAGTCCCTTATTTATCAATCACAAGTGAGCTAACTGATGTTATAGAAAGAACAATTGTGTACTCTTATCTTTGTCCTTAAAAGTTTTTGAAAATTACAACTATTTGGAAAGTATCACACAACATTTTCTTTCTTTTTTTCTTTTTTTCTTGTTTTTGAGATGGAATCTCACTCTGTCTCCCAGGCTGGAGTGCAGTGGCTCGATCTCAGCTCACTGCAACCTCCACCTCCTGGGTTCAAGCAATTCTCCTTCCTCAGCCTCCCGAGTAGCTGGGACTACAGGCACCTGCCACCACGCCCAGCTAATTTTTTGCATTTTTAGTAGAGACGGGGTTTTGCCATGTTAGCCAGGATGGTCTCGATCTCCTGACCTCATGATCCACCCACCTTGTCCTCCCAAAGTGCTGGGATTACAGGTGTGAGCCACCGCGCCCGGCTTTATTTTGTTTTTTATCATTAAGCATAATCACAGGTCCTTAATTGAACTGCCCCCATGCAAAAGGGATTCATGATTCACCTTCTTAACCTTGGCCTCCTTCAGTTTTTCCAGCGCCAGCTTAATTTTATCAGCCTTGGCTTGGGCTTCTTCCTCTTCCTGGAAAAGGGCAAGATATTCTTCAATACAGTCCATTAAGTAATACCAGTGAGTAATCACTTCTGTCATTGCTAGTGTCTCAGCTACGTTGTATTAACAAAAGGTACCAAATTTCACATGCTTGATTTTCAGAATTTATTAATTACTTTTTAAAGGCATACAAAGTGTAATAATTACATCTGGATAAATGGGGTATCCATTACCTGAAACGTTCAATTTTCAGAATTTAGATGACTATAACAAAATTCTTCAACTCAAAGATATAGAAGGCAGTCACTCTTTATAGCTTGGGAATGGTAACTTAAAAGATGAAATGATGACTTTAACAGTGGTTCGTATATTTAGACCAGAAAAATCCGCTTGGCTCACAAACTGGGATCCGACCTAAGGAATCTATAGATTGACACATCTCCAGGGATTTGAACATTCCCTGAAATTATATGCATACTTTTGGATCAGGATGTCTTTTTGGGGATTTCCAATTTTTTATTAGATTCTTAAAGGGGTTCTTAATGCCCCCAAAGGTTAAGAGAGACTGATTTTTTTTTTTTTTTTGAGATGGAGTCTCACTCTGTTGCCCAGGCTGGAGTGCAGTAGTGTGATCTTGGCTCACTACAAGCTCCGCCTCCTGGGTTCACCCCATTCTCCTGCCTCAGCCTCCTGAGTAGCTGGGACTACAGGCGCCTGCCACCATGCCTGGCTAATTTTTTTGTATTTGTAGTAGAGATGGAGTTTCACGGTGTTAGCCTGGATTGTCTCCATCTCCTGACCTCATGACCCGTCCACCTCGGCCTCCCAAAGTACTGGGATTACAGGCGTGAGCCACCACGCCTGGCCCAAGAGACTGAAATTTAAACTTACAATTCACCAAAAAACAAAAGCACTGACAAGCTCATATGAACAGGCTGAAAAGTGAGTGAAGTATTTTATGAGCCCAAAGCTCTTTGATTTTTGCAAGTTAAGTATCTCTTCTATTTATAATGTTGAGGAAATGAGCTGTTCTGGTTACATTCTAATTACTTGAATATAGGCATGTATCTTTTTATAGCAGTGGTTCTCAAATTGTTTTTGAGCCACAAGCCCCTTTAAGAAAGCCCATAAAGCTTCACAAGTCCATTCAACTTTGTACTTTGTTTACTTTCAGCGGGTGCATGGCCCCCTCGAAATCTTCATGGACCATACATTAAGAGTCTCTGTTCTATATCGATCTCCATTTTCACATAAATTTTCTATAATAAGTACACAATAGAGCACTGTGTGTGATAGAGTATAATTTAATATTTGATTTATATTCAATATTTGTTCATTCAAAAGGCATTGTATGACCTTTCGGGGTCCCTAGGGTCTTATTTGTGAGTACCAAACATCATGACACAGTGTGACCATTGTAGAAGCCACAGGAAATTGAACTGGACTCTCCTCTAAAATATTTGGCTTACTCTAAAAAGAAAATCCTTAAAAGTGCTCTTTTTACTTTTATGAGAGACATACTATGAGTTAACATCCCAAATAATGATCATTTAAACTTTCCAGTTGTCTGTTTTTCAATATTCAGAAATTTATCAATATCAAGCACCCATCATCTGCCTGCTTTGTAACACCCTCCCCAACTATGACATTACAAGTGATACTTGGATGTACCTGTCCTACTGAACAGGGCTGCCAAGTTCAACAAAATTCAATTTCACTCTACTCAGAAAATGTATAATGAATGCCTTCTATTCTCTATGTACTGAGCTAAGAACAGGGACATGGAAATATATAATCAGTTCCACATTTCAATATGATGTTAATAAAACATTTCCCCCAAAAGATTGAGTTTTATCAAATAGTTTTTGCATACAAATATTTTTTAAGCAAACTACAGTAAATCCTGAATATGGCCCTAATACATTCTTGATACACACCCATGTGGCTTGCTTACGGAGGGTTCTAGCTTTGCAATGAGCGTGCTCTGTATCTTTGTTTTTTAGTATCTCAGATCTTTGGATGTACCAACTTAGGAATGTAATGATCACTTCAAGGAACATCAGTGATAGGTAGCAGAGGTTGATGGTCCTGCCATCTCTGGTCCCACATACTTACCTGAGAGAGAGGTTCAGGAGGTGGTGGTGGCAGTGGAAGGTCTAACACAGGATCGGCTGGTGGAGGTGGTAAGTCATCCTCATATTGGCTGATACCAGTGGCAGCAACATTTGTTCCATAACCAAGAGAGGCTGCACCACTGAAAATTGATGCTTGTAGAGATGCTGAATGATGTTGATTCTGCAAGGACTCTTTCTGTGCCTGGATTGTCCTCTGCTCAGCCTCACTTATGTCTGCTACCAGATCTGCCATGAGAGCATCTAAATCTTGGTCTTCCAGTGCATTTAAGGACTCTAGTAGGGAAAATCACATTAATGGTATAAAAACCTATTTGCATCTGGAAAAACTGAAAGAAGATAATTTTTAAGCATAATATTTGAGTAGAAAGGAATCATTATCTTGATTGGTTATGATATGAGAAGATTGAGAATATTTTAATTCAATAGCACAAGCGTAGGAATTCCTAAAAGAACTGTTGCTGCATTTGTTGCATGGTTAATCCGACTGAGTTTCTAACACCAAGAAAAAATATTGGGGGAAATGTGTTCTCTACACTGGGGCACCTGACATACCAGCTATAAAGTCAAATCCAAGCACACGAATAGATGCCTAAGTAGGAAATCCTATAATGTAACATCTTAGAGTTTTAGAAAAGTAGCAGAGGGGGGAGCATTGGAAATGGATGGAAGGGGAGTTTTCCCTAAGCATTTGGAGGGCAAAGAGAGTACTGCTGCTATTTAGAAGAAATTGGATTTCAACCAATGGGGATTTAATGTGCCTGTGACTTTGGGGTGAAGACGGAGCTTCTATAGCCTCACCACCTAACTGTAGAAAACTTCATATTCAGAGAGAGAGCAATTTTTTCTTTTCTTTTTTCTTTCTTTCTTTTTTTTTTTTTTTTGAGACAGAGTCTTAATCTATTGCCCAGGCTGGAGTGCCATAGTGAGATCTTGGCTCACTACAATCTCTGCCTCCCAGGCTCAAGCAATCCTCCCAACTCAGCCTCCCAAGCAGCTGGGACTACAGGTGCATGCCACTACGTCCAGCTAATTTTTGTATTTTGTGTAGAGACAGGGTTTTGTCATGTTGCCCAGACTGGTCTCAAACTCCTGGACTCAAGTAATCTTCCCACCTCAGCCTCCCAAAGTGCTGGGATTAGAGGCATGAGCCACTGTGCCCAGCCAAGAGCCATTAATGATAAATAGCAGAAATTAAAACACCATAGGTGGCAAGGAGTTAAAAAATTATGGGATTAAATGGTAGAAACTTAATGAAGACAGTAAGCTGGGAGTTAACTTTTAAAAGAAAGGAAAGACATAAATTTTCAGAGTGAGAGGGAGGGAGGAGAGATCTCCTTAGGATTTCTTCCAGGTGTGAGATTACTATGGTAGAGCAGATGTGTGATCCTGAATGTTGATTAGATCATGTGGTGTAGTTGGGGTGGTGTTGGTGAGTAGTCTTGGTGGAGTACTTTGATGATCAGGCATACATTATATAGTGAATGTAATGAACAAAGGATGGACAGACAGGAAGGAAGTGATCCATGAGGAGAATTCTAGCTGCTATAGATATGATGAAACAGACTGAGGAAATGGGAGCAGCTGGAATAAAGCCTACTCAGTAACAAATAAGCTTTGTCAGACATCATCATCATAAATGTCACACAGCATATTCCAGTAATGCTAATAGTGCTAGTTTACAGTACTTGGACTAAAGTTTGGGTTTCCTAAACGTGTAAAAACAGTTTATTTTACTGTAAGCCTTTTTTATATATAATTTCTTTTCTTTTTTTTTTTGAGACAGAGTTTCGCTTTGTCACCTAGGCTGGAGTGCAGCAGCATGATCTCGGCTCATTGCAACCTCTGTTGCCCAGGCTGGAGTGCAGTGGTAGGATCATAGCTCACTGTAGCCTCGACCTCATGGGTTCAAGCAATCCTCCCACCTCAGCCTCCCGAGTAGCTGGGACTACAGGCACATACGAGCATGCCTGGCTAATTTTTTAATTTTTTTGTAGAGACAGTGGTCTCATTATGTTGCCCAGACTTGTCTCAAACTCCTGGGATTAAGTGATCCTCCTGCCTTGGCCTCCCAAAGTGGTGGAATTACAAGCATGATTACAGGCTCGCACCCAGCCTGGGCAAAATATTTTGAACTTGTTTTAGCAGTGTTTTAAAGGGAAGACAAAACAAATCTATTCTTAATCTAATTCCATACAAATTTAATTTTCCATACGTAGCAGTAGTTTTTAAATGTCTTGTCCTGTATCCAAATTAGGCCACATGTGTATATCTTGATTCCTTAATGAGAAGAGTGTCTTATTACTGTAGTGTAATATCACTATGTTTATATCTTGCTGGGTATCATTGCTCCTATCATTGTCAGTACTGTGATACCAGGCACTGAGTTAGTGCTTAGAAAGCGTTAGTTGAGATGACTACAATTAAGTTGAAATATTGATTAAATTTTAACTTTAATTGAACTGATTATAAAGCATGTGGCTGTTATGAATTGGTGAGGCTAAATTTGCTTTTTTCATATGTGCAAGTATATGTTATCTATTGCCATCATAATTTTACTAAAGTGTATAGCATTTATTTATTTATTTGACAGAGTCTTGCTCTGTCATCCAGGCTGAAGTGCAGTGGCATGATCTTGGCTCACTGCAACCTCCGCCTTCTGGTTTCCAGTGATTTTCGTCCCTCAGCCTCCCGAGTAGCTGAGATTACAGGTGCCCGCCACCTTGCCTGGATAAGTTTTGTATTTTTAGTAGAGATGGGGTTTCATCATGTTGGCCAGGCTGGTCTTGAAATTCTGACCTCAAGTGATCCACCAGCGTCGGCCTCCCAAAGTGCTGGGATTATAGGCAAGAGCCACCACGCCTGGCCTGCTTTTGTAAAAAAACTTCATGAATGTTACCATCTTAATGGAAATGACTGGCAGGAATAATAAATTTATGTGGCAAATAAAAAAAGTGTAGGAAAAAGAGAAAATCGCAAGATGTATATTATAATTTATCAAGAAAGAGTCACTGGCACTTAATGGTTTACTACAAAACTACTAGAAATGATAGAAACAAAGAAATCCTGGTCGGGTGCCATGGCTCACACCTGTAATTCCAGCACTTTGGGAGGCTGAAACAGTTGGATCACCTGAGGTCTGGAGTTCGAGACCAGCCTAGCCAACATGGCAAAACCCCGTCTCTACTAAAAATACAAAAATTAGCCAGTCATGATGGCGCATGCCTGTAGTCCCAGCTACTCGGGAGGCTGAGGCAGGAGAATCGCTTGAACCCAGGGGGCAGAGGTTGCAGTGAGCAGAGATCCCGCCACTGCACTCCAGCCTAGGTGACAGAGAGAGACTCTGCCTGAAAAAAAAAAAAAAAAAAAAAAATCCAGAGGACAGAAATAAAACTTGGAATTCTGGATTTCTGTAATTGAACTTTTCTCCTATTTTGCTTTTCACATTTTTGGTAGGCACAGCAAGTCTTTGGGAAATCTTTTTCCAGAGTTGCAGGGAGTTCTCACTAATTTGAAAGTGATTGTTTCAAGACTTTTTTTTTTTGAGGCAGAGTCTCGCTCTGCCGCCCAGGTTGGAGTGCAGTGGCGCGATCTCAGCTCACTGCAAGCTCCGCCTCCTGGGTTCACACCATTCTCCTGCCTCAGCCTCCCAGGTACCTGGGACTACAGGCACCTGCCACCACACCGGGCTAATTTTTTGTATTTTTAGTAGAGATGGGGTTTCACCGTGTTAGCCAGGATGGTCTCGATCTCCTGACCTTGTGATCTGCCCACCTCGGCCTCCCAAAGTGTTGGAATTTCAGGCGTGAGCCACTGCGCCTGGCCTCAAGACTTATTATAATATGAATAGCACGTGGCCTAAAGATGTCTCCATTTAAATAAACAGAGTTTTTGTTTTGTTTTGTTTTTTATTTTCTTGAGATAGAATCTCACTCTGTTGCCCAGGGTGGAGTGCAGTGGCAGAAACACAGCTCAGTGCAGCCTTGATCTTCCTGCCTCAGCCTCCCAAGTAGCTGAGACCACAGGCACATGCCACCACGCTTGGCTAATTTTTTTATTTTTTACTTTTTGTAGAGATGGGGTCTTGCCATGTTGTCCAGGCTGGTTTCAAACTCCTGAGCTCAAGCAATCCTCTTGCCTTGGCCTCCTAAAGTGCTGGGATCACAGGTGTGAGCCATCATGCATGGCTGAGAGATTTTTGGTAATAAAATAAAGTGACAAGTTCAGGAAAAATGAAAAAATGTCAAGTAGACTAAATTACATATAAGTATATATTATATATAAATTAAAAAATATTTTAAATAAAATATTATGAAGTATCTATTCATATTTATTAATCATTATGAAATAGTTGATTTCTATCACTGAAGGGACATTTCCTTACTAATATTTTTGTATACTACCCCTTGTTACTCTATGGGCTCAGTAATAAGAAGAAACTCCCCTTACTTTAAAACACGAGATCATTTCGAGACTTTTCACAAATGCAGAATGGTGTTCCCTTTCATTATTGGTGAAAATGTCTTCTTGACTCTCTCAATTCAATCTAGACACAGTAAAACCCAGTCTGAAATCCATGATTTTAACAATATTTATCATGATGTTTAGGTTCCTTTAATTTAGTTTTCAAATTATAGTTTCATACTGATTTGAATCATCATTATGATTTTGAATTACTTAAGAAAAGAAATTGTTATGCTTACCATTTAAATCTTTAAACCCCACACTGTAGTTAAATTCAGCTCTGGGTGGATTAGGGTCAGGAGGAGGGAGAGTGTCAACTCCTAAACTCTGTGAAAAAAGATCCCCCCATCAAAGTTATTCATGATACAAACATTTCTGTAGCACACTTTACTCAGCAAGTCAAAAACCATGTATCATTTACACATTTTCTCCCTTAGTGTGTTCTCTGAAAACCATATGGTAACTTGAAAATGTTTTATGTAATTTTTCCCCTATAGAAAATTACAGCTTAAAAATTATTCTAGAAGGAAGATCTTGAAACAGACCACGTCAATTGAGAGCAATGATAATGAGGTAGTTAATTTTTATAAAGAACACATAATTTCTTGTAATGGTGAACACACACACTATATATATATAATATATATATTATATTTATATATATTAAATATATATAAAATATATTTTATATATATTAAATATATATTATATAAAATATATATTTATATAAATATATATATATAAAATTCTGTAATGACTTAAGTCATTACATCAAATAAAGAAATCTCCAGTTACTTGGAGAAGAAAAGCTGTTTGAGGATGCAGTCTGTCGTAGTAAAATTTTTCCTTAGCCTACAATCTTGAGAACCTACCTGTTGGCAGGGCTGTTTAGCCAAGCAAACCTATGAGTACATCCACTTGGCCACAACAAAGAAATAGCAAAAACCAAAAGGGCTTTGTGTGAAGGCAGGTCCAAGAGACTAAAAGGGGCCTCTTTCCTATTCTTTTTTTTTTTTTTAACAAAAATGAGACGGGGGTCTTACTATGCTGCCCAGGCTGGTCTTGAACTCCTGGGCTCATGTGAGCCTCCTGTCTTGGCCTCCTAAAGTGCTGGGATTACAGGTGTGAGCCATCATGCCCAGCTTCTTTCCTGTTCTTGCCTTACAGTAACAATACTTAAATGTGGTCCTGCAAAAATCCCAGACTCTGACCCATCAGAACACTTCCCCCACTGGCTGCAGGAATGAGGTACAGAGAGACCACACACGTTCACTTAAACTCTCCTCCACCATAGGAGGAGAAAACACAGTCCTCATCTTAAGAAATGTGGTTGCCATTGGCTCACACCTGTAATCCCAGCACTTTGGGAGGCTGAGGCAGGCAGATCACAACATCAGGAGATAGAGACCATGTGGGCCAACATGGTGAAACCCCGTCTCTATTAAAAATACAAAAATTAGCTGGGTGTGGTGGTGCACACCTGTAATCCCAGCTACTCGGGAGGCTGAGGCAGGAGAATCGCTTGAACCTGGGAGGCGGAGCTTGCAGTGAGCCAAGATCTTGCCACTGCACTCCAGCCTGGTGACAGAGTGAGACTCTATCTCAAAAAAAAAAAAAGAAAAAGAAAGAAAGAAAGAAAGAAATATGGTTGCCATCCTAACACCTTTTAACCAGCACCCCTTCCTCTAAGCCAACTGTCTTGTATCTTATCCCTTCTTTCATAGAATCTAAACTTTTCTGACTCTTATTGGGAATATAAAGTAGATGCTAACTAGAATTGGTTTATTTTTTATTTTTGTTTTTATTGAGATGGAGTCTCACTCTGTTGCCCAGGCTGGAGTGCAATGGCACAATCTCAGCTCACCATAATCTCTGCCTCCTGGGTTCAAATGATTCTCCTGCCTCAGCATCCTGAGTAGCTGGGATTACAAGCACCCACCACCACGCTCGGCTAATTTTTGTATTTTTAGTAAAGATGGGGTTTCACCATATTGGCCAGCGTGGTCTCGAACTCCTGACCTGTGATCCACTCACCTCGGCCTCCCAAAGTGCTGGCATTACAGGTGTGAGCCACTGTGCCCGGTCTAGAATTGGTTTATTTTTTCCTAAAATAAATAAGTCTTTCAAAACACAGTCTATTCATTTATTTTTTTTAGAAAGCTTTTGAAGATCCTTATCTTATTTAGGAATATTGGCTTATTCTTCTTTTGATATTTTATGCAGAAAAGTGATGAGCTGATTAACTTATTAGTCAAAGGCTCATTTATGAGCACACTCTAAGACATTCTAAAGCCCACCTGACTGTAACCTGGCTTAGTGGCCCCTGCCACTTAGGGCCCCTGGCCCTACAGCTGCCAGGCTGTAGTGGCGCTGACAGTGGGGCTCAGTGACCTCTGAGTCAATCTGATCTTGATGCCAGGGGCTTTTTTCTCAGTCTATGGTTGAGTGGTTTTCACATTCCTTTGAGGGTACTGAGTTCTTACAGTTTAATCACAAGGTCACCATAACTCCCACTTAGTTCTTTAAAATGTAGCATTTCCTCAAGGGTTGGTAAAAAGTCTTTACTAAAGATGATATCCAGCCTGGGCAACATAGTGAGATCTCGTCTCTATAAAAGAAAAAAAAAATTAGCTGGGTGTGGTGGCGTGCACCTGTAGTCCCTGCTACTTGGGAGGCTGAGGCCAGAGGATCACTTGAGCCCAAGAGGTTGAGGCTGCAGTGAACCGTGATTGTGCCACTGCACTCCAGCCTAAGCAACACAGTGAGACTCTGTCTCTCAAGAAAACCCCAAAATCAAACAAAGATAATACTTTATTAGTGAGTCTTTATAGAAGTAACCACAGGGAAATGGCTCAGCGCTGGTGGTTGTAGGATAGTAAACTTGGGGGTAAATTTCTCTATTGGTAAATATTTGGATACTATGAGCTTGATGTATGTCTAATCAATGTATTAAATTAACTGAACTCAAAAGAATATAGTCAGGAACAAGCTTTTTCTTTAACCCATCATTGTCACAATTATATCAGAACTATATAATGTTGCCAATCTTCAGGGTGTTGCGGGAAGTCAGGGACCCCGAATGGAGGGACCGGCTGAAGCCATGGCAGAAGAACTTAAATTGCGAAGATTTCATGGACGTTTATTAGTTCCCCAAATTAATACTTTTATAATTTCTTACGCCTGTCTTTACTGCAATCTCTGAACATAAATTGTGAAGATTTCATGGACATTTATCATTTCCCCAATCAATACTCTTGTGATTTCCCTGCCTGTCTTTAATCTTTTAATCCTGTCATCTTCATAAGCTAAAGATGTATGTCGCCTTAGGACCCTGTGATGATTGCGTTAACTGCACAAATTGTTCGTAAATCATGTGTGTTTAAACAATATGAAATCTGGGCACCTTGAAAAAAGAACAGGATTACAGTGATGTTCAGGGAACAAGGGAGATAACCATTAGGTCTGACTGCCTGGGAGCCGGGCAGGACAGAGCCATATTTCTCTTATTACCGAAAACGGGTAAGAGAAATATCACTGAATTCTTTCCCCAGTAAGGAATATTAATAATTAATAGCCCTGGGAAAAGAATGCATTCCCGGGGGGGCCTCTAAAATGGCCGCTCTGGGGGTGTCTGCCTTATGCAGTTGAAGATAACGGATGAAACATGCCCTGGCCTCCTGCAGCGCCCCCAGGGTTGCTAGGATTAGGAAATTCCAGCCTGGCGAATTCTAGTCAGACTGGTTCTCTGCTCTTGAACCCTGTTAAGATGTTTACCAATGACAATGCGTGCACAGCGGGGCATGGAACTTCATTAATAATTCTAGTTTCTCCCTGACCTTGTGACCTTGCCCTGCCCATTTGCCTTGTGATATTTTGTTGCCCTTGAAGCATGTGATCTCTGTGACCCACACCCTATTCATACACTCCCTCATCTTTGAAAATTGCTAATAAAAACTTGCTGGTTTTATGGCTTGGGGGTATCATGGAACCTGCCGACATGTGATGCCTCCCCTGGACACCCAGCTTTAAAATTTCTCTCTTTTGTACTCTTCCCTTTATTTCTCAGACCCGCCGTCACTTAGGGAAAATAGAAAAGAACCTACATTGAAATATCGGGGGCTGGTTCCCCCGATATCAGGGTTTTAAAAAAGACAGCTCCCTTGTCATATTACAATGAAATTCTGCAACTCTATTTTTGTTTTCCAATTTGCCAGTTAAAAAGGGAAGTTTACCTGAGTCAGAAGATCCATCTCTCCCAGCAAAGTGCTGAACATTTGGTCTATGTCTTCACTTGACTCACCCATCTGAAAAAGGAAGAAACTGAGATATTAGCAGTCTCATAAAAGCCTGATCCTAGGATACTCTTTGCATCCCTCTCTTTCCCCCAAGAGCCCCATCCATGGGCAGCTAAGTTGGGAGAGGACTATATTGAGAGGAAGGCTTATGTTAGCCTGAAATTTCATGCCTGGCTTCTATCCAATCTGCTTGATCCAAGATTGTGCCAAACGTTGGGAAATGCCTCAGAGCCACAGTTGAATTTTTCCAGGCTAAACTAGTCTTCTTGGCACCAAAGAAACAGGCTGGATCACGCCTGTAATCCCAGCACTAGGGGAAGCCGAGACAGGCAGATCACCTGAGGTCAGGAGTTTGAGACCAGCTTGAACAATATGGTGAAACCCCATCTCTACTAAAAATACAAAAATTACCTGGGTGTGGTGGCACGTGCCTGTAGTCCCAGCTACTCGGGAGGCTGAGGCAGGAAAATCGCTTGAACCCAGGAGGTGAAGGTTGCAGTGAGCCGAGATTGCGCCACTGCACTCCAGCCTGGGTGACAGAGTGAGACTCCGTCTCCAAAAAAAAAAAAAAAAAAACCTTACACAAAAATGATGTGAGGAGTGATTAAGCATATTTACCCAATAATTCCCTGCTTTCAAAAGATATTTCTGAAATAATAGTTTTTAGTACATTTATTTAGAAGTACTGGTGGACAAACCCTTAGAACTTAAATGGCAGCCCTGCCAAGTGAAAAGAGATAGAAAGAAAACTTTTTTTACATTTTAACCTTTCTTTGCCTAAACCAAATGAAGCAATTGCCCAAGAAGAGGAAAAGTTTGCGACAAAATAGGGTGGGACGCACTGTGAGTTGCAACTGGCTGCTCTGTTTCCTGACATTTTTGGCAAGGCTAAGTTGGGAAGTTAGGAGACATTACTAGTCCTTTGGCCACTTAACTAGCATTATGTAGTTTGGCAAAGGTAATCAATTGTTTCATCTGTAACATGAGGAATTTGCTGCAGACCATTTCTAACGGCATTTCTCTCTTTCTTTTCTTTTCTTTCTTTTTTTTTCTTTTTTTAGATGGAGTCTTGCTCTGTCCCCCAGGCTGGAGTGAGTGGTGCAATCTCAGCTCACTGCAGCCTCCGTCTCTCAGGTTAAAGCAATTCTCCTTCCTCAGCCTCCAGAGTAGCTGGGATGACAGGCACCCGCCACCATGCCCGGCTAATTTTTGTATTTTTAGTAGAGACGAGGTTTCATCATGTTGGCCAGGCTGGTCTCAAACTCCTGACCTCAGGTGATCCACTCGCCTCGACTTCCCAAAGTGCTGGGATTACAAGATTGAGCCATCTTGCTCAGCCTCTAAGGACATTTCAAAATGCTCTAAAACACTGTAATATTAATGCCAATTATAGCTCATACTGAGAAGTCTGGTGGGTGTAGGGAATCAGTATGTATTATTTAAGCCAAATCACAATATTTACTTGAATTTGTACATGCATGCATTTGTATCTCATTCTTTTTATATGGAAATTAAAAATATATAAAAAAGCAGAGAGAATAATGATTTTCATGTACACATTGTCCAGCTTTAATAATTTTCAACTGGACTGATCTTTTTCCATTTATATCTTCCTACAATAGATATTTTAAAGCAAATATTATTTTTCCATAAATATTTCAGAATGCAGTGCTAAAAGATAAAGATACTCCATTTCTTTTTTTCTTTTTTGAGATGGAGTTTTGCTCTTGTCGCCCAGGCTGGGGTGCAGTGGTGCAATCTCACATCACTGCAACTTCCGCCTCCTGGGCTAAAGCAACTCTCGTGCCTCAGCCTCCTGAGTAGCTGGAATTACAGGCATGCCCCACCACACCTGGTTAATTTTTGTATTTTTAGTAGAGACGGGGTTTCGCCATGTTGGCCAGGGTGGTCTGAAACTCCTGACCTCAGGTGATCCGCCCGCCTCTGCTTCCCAAAATGCTGGGATTACAGGTGTGAGCCACCACGCCTGGCCCATAAAGATACTTTCTAAATCATAAACATAATACTATTATCTCTTCATGTGTGTATTTAAAATAAATTACTGGGCTGAAATAGGCCAAGTGGAGGCAAATCTATCTTTCCTTGAATAAATTACCTTGAAAACTTATAGTTCACCCTTTAAGTGACTTTAATATTTTAGCAGTCACATATTTTTATTTTTAATAGCTATAGCTAATCAGGGTATCTTAGTCTCTTTATTAAATATGTCTATGAAATAAGCTTTGTCACACTAACTTTGCTTTCTTAAAAATGATTCCATTGATCTTCTTCTTCCTCTTCTTCTTCTTTTGAGATGGAGTCTCACTCTGTCTCCCAGGCTGGAGTGCAATGGCCTGATCTCAGCTCACTGCAAACTCTGCCTCCTGGGTTCAAGCAATTCTCCTGCCTCAGCTTCCTGAGTAGCTGGTATTATGGGCACCCACCACTATGCCTGGCTAATTTTCGTATTTTTAGTAGAGATGGGGTTTCATGATGTTGGCCAGGCTGTTCTTGAACTCCTGACCTCAAGTGATCCACCCACCTGGGCCTCCCAAAGTGTTGGGATTACAGGCGTGAGCCATCACACCCAGCCAAATGATTTTAAAAATATCACAATTCTTAAAAGTGAAGTGATGTAAATGATGATGATGGTGATAACAATAATACTTATCTGGCACTAACTCTTTTGCAAGAGCTGTTCTATAAGCCAGAGTTGATATTAGCAACATTTAGCACCCAGGGTAGCATTGACGCTGAGCAATCAGAACAGATGAGGCTGTAAAATCATTTTGCGTGAATCAGTGCATATCCTCCAAATATCCACCCTGCAAAGCTAGCACTTAATCTTCCCAAATTATCTTCAACAATTATCTTGCGTTTATCATTTAGGAAATCTGACATAATGAAATCTTCTTGCTTAATTTTTCCATCGTATATTTCCCCTTCTCCCTATTTTAAGAAGAAAAAAATTATTTTCTTCTCCTACATAACCTTATCACCCTCGCCAAACAGGACTGAGAACATTTTCCATCTGAATGTTCTGCTCCCTGCAGTGACTTTTCTTTTGCCGTCCTTCTAGTCACTCCCTCTTGAGAAACACAAAAACTACCCTGAGCTAGAGGTCACTGAGCATATTCCACCATCATTTCAAGGTTTAAGTTTTGCATGTTTTATTTTGGAGGACAGATGCTTGAATTGCTATGTGATGTATTAATTTTCTCTACTGCCCTATCTGGCGTCCAGTGTAGGAGGTGTCTTGCAGGAGCATGGGAAGTTGTAAAACTGTGTTGGCCAGGAGGCATTGAGAGGGTACAAGAAGGGGTCTTTAGTTAAGAGAGGTCTAGATTCCATTGAACTAGCACATTTCTTAGTGGCAGACGCATCCCAAAGAATCAGGTGTACATACACATGGGACAAGGAGGTGTGTGTTTGAATCCAAGGAAGCCACTCAGTGAATGCTAAGGGTCAGACCACACAAAGCAGGCAGGTGAGCACCCAGGTATAGAAGCAACAGGTGAGAAAAACACCGAAGGTCTAGGTCTATGTGTGCAGGGAAAGTCAGAGAGGAATCAAACACAGCATCAGTGACGGATGATGGAAGATCCTTGTCCTATTTTGTGTGTATTGTTGGGATTAAAAAAGTGTTTATGGCACCTAGAAGAGAGGAAGATGGCTGCAGGTGGGCCCTGCCCCTGGTTCATGAGGGAAGTCAGCATGAGGAGTCATTTCCATGGGGTTTTATCCCCACACAGTTGCTTACAAAGTATCTGAATCATATCCTCCTTTCTTTAAATTTCCTACAAGGCTGGGCATGGTGACTCACGCCTGTTATCCCAGCACTTTGGGAGGCCGAGGGGAGAGGATTGCTTGAGGCCAGGAGTTTGAAACCAGCCTGGGCAACATAGAGAAACTTCTGTACAAAAAATTAAAAAATTAGCCAGGTGTGGGGGCACGTGCATGTAGTCCCACATACTTGGGAGGCTGAGACGGGATGATGGCTTGAGCCCAGGAGGTCGAGGCTGCAGTGAACTATGATGGTGCCACCAAAGTCCAGCCTGGGTGACACAGCGAGACTCTCTCAAAAAAAAAAAAAATTCCTACAAAATGGCAGAAAGTATTTAAGTAGATATTATCTCCATGGTTTCACAAATTGTCTCCCAAAACAACTAATATGGTATTAAAAATCTTGTCATGGGTTTTTAAGTTATTATTTTAATAAGGGGAAATTAATGGAAAAAACAATAAAATTCCAGAACTGCTCATGTGAATTGCTTTCTATCTGAGTACAATAGTGTGAGAAAATAAAGGAATCCTTCAGATGAATTATTATTAAGAGTAATTATTGGTGTTAACACATTTCAGATTTTTTTATGAGAGTAATCCATTTTATAAGAATAAATATAGATTTGTTTGCTGACCTCAAAACTGCCAACTAGCATTACAATAAGCTTATAGGAATCAAATATAATTTGAGTAACAAGAATCTTGCCATTGATTCATTCTCCTGAACCCTTAAATTTGGAAAAGCACTAAAATAAAGTCTGGAAATGTGACATCGATGAGTCAGAAAAACCCACTGAACCCAAAGGCCTTCGTTTCTCAGGCTGTGCACACCACTGCTATATAACAGGTTAATGACGTGCCACAGTGAATCATCCACCTAAGATGGAAATAACTCAAAACAACAGCGCGTTCTCGTGACCTCTCCCTGCATTCATCTGGTGAAAATCTTTCCCCCTGCCCTTTCCCCTGCCCTTTCATTCCTTTCCCCCAGAGTCTGTTACTGAGTTATTAAGTGGAGCCAACATCAAAATTGTGCTGAAACGTACAGTCATAAGTAAACTTGCTTGTGAATGGATCACAGTTGCACCCACGGTGAAGATAAAAAGACATTTGACTTCAGGGCAGTTTGTTAACAAAAATTATTAATCTGTAAATTCAGTCATATTACATAATTGACCTCCCTGCAAGAAAACCTTATTATTGAAATGGACAGACAAGAGTTATACACATGTATACAGTGTACACACACACAAGCGTAAGAAAATAGGGCTGTGCCTATATGTACGTGTGGTATTTTCCAAAGGTCAAAATAAAGATTAAAAGAGAGAGAGAGAGAGAGAGGAAAAAAAAAAAAACACCCAGCCCTGACAGCTAAAAGTCTTATTTGGGTTAGCAGCCAGAAAGAGCTGGGGTGGAGTTATCACAGTGAAGCAATGCATTGCAAACAAGCCATGCTCACATCGTGACTGGGTGGAGTTAGAATCTTTTTGTGAGTATGTCACTTCTGAGTTCATTTTATGTCTTGGGAAGAACCACAAGTTGTTGATGAAAAAGAAATGGAAATACTACAAAATCAGCTAGATTTTGTGATTATTATTGTTATTATTGGATAGATGAGGGGTGAGGTGGTTGAAGCCGCTTGTCCAGGCTAAAACTTTCCCTTAGATTCCTTGAACGACAAGGAAATTTTCCCTAATGCTTAATATTTCTAGGCTTCAGTTTTTCAATCCTTAAATCGTTTCTCTTTTCCACCTGGATACATTTCAAAACTATGTCTTTTAAACATTTATCCTAAGTACTGTGATGCATATGGTTTACAGGACATATGTTTATATCGACGGCAGAGTTAATCTCACACATTTAACTCAGTTTGCATGCAGTTTGGGATGCCGTGAAGATCAGCAATTCCAGCCATGGAATCTGGAATTTTGGACCTGGATGAGGGCGGCCTTTATTGCATCGGTCAGAGTAGCTTGCCTAAACACAGCCAGCTCAACATCCCCCAGGCATTTCCCTCTAAGTAGCTCCGACTCACTACTCCCCTTCATGCATTCTCTTCCCATGCGCCTTAACTTGGTAAAAGGCCATTAGTCACATATCAGTCTGACTTAGAACCCTTGGCATAGTCCCTTACTCCTCCCATTTTTCCATCTAGTCGGTCGAGGAATCTGTTGGCTTTTCCTGTAGAAGGCTTCTCCTTGCCTTCATTCTCTCTATCAAGCCACAGTTGACACCTCACCAGCTCACCCAGCCTCCAGCCTTCCAGACTCCCCATCAATATTCACCACCACCGTTGCTGCAAATTGCAAATACAAATGTGAATGTGTCACTCTCCTGTTTAAAAATCTTCCCTGGCTGCTTATGATGAAGTGGAGAGCGTTCAGGCACTCAGCGTGTCTTTCAAAGTCCTTCCTAATTTGTCCCATTCGGGGCCTTTTATTTTTTAATTTATTTATATTTTTTTACATTATTTTATTTTATTTTTAGCAGAGACAGGGTCTTGCTATGTTGCCCAGGCAGGTCTCAAACTCCTGGGCTCAAGTGATCCTCGCACCTCCACCTCCCAAAATGCTGGGATTACAGGCTTGAGCCACCAGGCCTGGCCTCAGGACCCTTGATGTTTTCTGAACAGGCTTTTTAGAACTCTTTTTGTCTTTGTATATGCTATTCCCTTTAAATAATATCCTCCTCTGTGCATATCTCCTTCATAAAATCCTACTGATCATTCAAAATCCAGCTGTCATGCTAACACTTTAATGGTATCTTCATTCCCAGCAGAGATTTGCTATCTACTGCACTTGGTAAACATGTCAGTAAATCCTGGCCTTAACAACCAACTTGACATGGTATTTAATCTCCTTGGACTTCAGTTTCCTTGTCTATAAAATAAGGAAAACAATAATGCCTAATTCTTAGGCTTGTTGTGACATCTAAACAAAATAGCCAAAAATACTTAGCATGAATTTGCAATCAGCATTTGCCACACTGAATCACACTCTTTTTGTTATCGTTATAGAATCTCTTAGAAAACTGGGAGTTGTTATTAAGTAAGAATCAGATCTTGTTGATGTTTGTGTTCAGAAATGCGTCGTTGGAAACCCAGAGAGATTAAGTAGCTTCCCAGACTAATGAGAAGAACTGGGCTAGAGTCCAGATCTCAAGCCTCATAGAAAGTTCTCTCTCACTTGACTGGCTACATGTTCTACATGGCTCCTGGTGTGACACACTCAGAAATGTCACATTCCAGGGCCAGGCAGTCCTTAGAGACTGCCAAATAACATGGTTCCGAGAACTATCAGAGCCGTTAAACAGTCTGTTTCTAAGCTGCTGCTATAGGTACAGGTTTGTGGAACCTCATTCACTATAACACTGTTTATTTTTCCAATGCTATTTCCAGGTGAGTAAATACTGATACTCACACAGATGTGTTTTGTTGGTAAACAAAACTTTCACTGGGGCTCACATCTATTTAGGCCTGAATCAGTTTTCAAACCAAAAATTTTAGTTGCCTTGAGAAAAATTCTGATAACTACCATGCAACTTGAGGCAACTTGAGTGACAGTATCAATGACTTTTCTTCTTTTCTAATTCAATCTAAAGTCAGTTAACATTTCAAGTAATAGGTTAATCATCATTTAGTAAATAAAAACACTTTATGTTTTCTATCTTAATTATTTCTTAATTCACATCATATAACTAATTTCATGTGTACCCCTTTGTTATAACAATAATGTGTTACAATTTCATGCTAGAAACTGAATTTTGAGCAGAATGGTATTAAATTAAGGGATTATTTGATGCACTTAAAACTAAAAGATTTAGTCATAAAAGTGTACTATTTTATATATTAAGTGAAATATGTAATAATACAATTGTTTATATAGGAATTTTTTAATAAAACAGAAAACAAATAAAAGGATACACTATTTTTCATGTAAGTTCAAAAAAGGCCTGGTGCAGTGGCTCACACCTGTAATACCAGCACTTTGTGAGGCCGAGGCAGGTGGATCACCTGAGGTCAGGAGTTTGAGACCAGCCTGGCCAGCATGGTGAAACCCTGTCTCTACTAAAAATACCAAAAAAGTAGCTGGGCGTGGTGGTGCGCACCTATAATCCCAGCTACTTGGGAGTCTGAGGCACAAGAATCGCTTGAACCCGGGAGGCGGAGCTTGCAGTGAGCTGAGGTCGTGCTGCACTCCAGCCTGGGCGACAGAGCAAGACTCCATCTCAAAACAAAACAAAACAAAACAAAACAAACAAGTGGTCCTAACAACTTCTGCATGAAATAAAAAACTTGTTAAGATTTTTCTCTTCTTGTGATTATCAAGTTTTGGGTTTACAGAGTTGATGTTTTCGGTGGCAGCAAGTGTCAATACAATGAAGAAACTCATATTATTTACATTTTTATAAGGAGCTTATCTGTCAAAACCCTGCTTTCTTATATTTCTTATAGCACCGTATTAAGATATTACAAACTCACGGGTTGTCTAAGCTAATTTGAATGGTTGCAAATTTCACCGTTTCAGCTGTACTTTTAGTTATGCTTAGTCTTTACTTGGACTAAGATACTAATACCAATAACAGAATGAAAATTTCAGAGCACTGAGAATGAAAAGAAAAGACAAAACAGAATATTTGTGAGCAAGACCCTGTCTCTACAAAAAATAAAAAAATTAGCCAGTCATATTGGCATGCGCCTGTAGTCCCTGCTATTCAGGAGGCCGAGGCAGGAAGATTCTTTGAGCCCAGGAGTTCAAGGCTGAAGTGACTCATGATTGCACTATTGCACTCCAGCCTGAGCAAAAGAGCAAGACCCTGACTCAAAATAAATAATGATAAAAAAATGAAACAACAGAGGAGGTATAAAAATGACTTTGCAATTATTAAAATGAGACACAGTCAATGAAGTTCAGGAAGGTTAGAATTAGCCTTCAGTATTAACCAGAGAAGTTGCTACCTGTCTGTCTACCAAGAAGAAAACTCCTCACTCAATTGCTTCTGTGCATGGCTGGGGTTGAGAGAGAGAGAAATCTCCCCTTGCTCTCTACCTGCCTGATAATAATAAAAATAACAGCGAATAACTATTAGGTGTTCTCATTCCATGCCAGGGATTGTCCTGGTGCGTTACGTGCATTGACTGATTAAATCCATCCTCACACCCTAGGTGAAATGAAAACACTTTTATATTCATCTTAGATGAGAAAACTGAGGCATCCAGAGATAAGTAAATCGATCGAGTTTACACAAAGTAAGTCAGTCATCAAATATTTATTGATCCCAGACATGATTGGAGGCTTAAACAAATTTCTGGAAGATTTTTCTGTGTGGGTTTTCCTCAGCTGTATTTCTTCTCTTCAATGAATTTATCTGCATACTGTACATCTTTCTATGTTAAAGACAGTTAAAGAAAAATGTTTGTATCCTAGTATTGACTGCTTTTTTTTTTTTTTTTTTTTTTTTATCAGATGGAGTTTTGCTCTTGTTGCCCAGGCTGGAGTGCAATGGTGTGATCTCGGCTCACTGCAACCTCCACCTCCCAGTTCAAGAGTTTCTCCTGCCTCAGCCTCCCAAGTAGCTGGGATTACAGGCACCGGCCACCATGACCAGCTAATTTTTTTTTTTTTTTTTCACTTGAGAAAGAGTTTCACCATGTTGGCCAGGCTGGTCTCAAACACCTGACCTCAGGTGATCAGCCCGCCTCAGCCTCCCAAAGTGCTGGAGTTACAGGGACTGTTGTTTTTTTACCCTACAGTGTTTTGAGTTTATTACTAGATTGCCAAAACTAAAATAGAACTGGAATTGATGAGAAATAAGTTTCAAAAATCTGAGGCTCTCCAAGTATCAATTTGCTTTGATATTTTTATTATTTTTTAATTAGAAACCATCTGGCAACATTTTTTTCTAGGAAATAAATCAGTAGACATATTACAACTACAGATACAAAAGAGGAGAAAAAAATTTTAAAAAGCTTATGAATGGGATTGCCCTTAGGATGAAATACGCACTACAGAATTCGGATGCTCGCAAATGCTGGTGGAAACTGTGAAGTCACCTGTGTACAGTGTGATTGAAAATAACTTAGAATATTGAATTTTACCTGATTCCTTCAGTGTTGTATTTTTTCAAAATGCAATGAAAGCGTTTTATCAAGAGGAAGTGGTTCACAGAATAACACAGCATATGGTTAAAGGTTCTTGCAACGTTTGAGGGAGGAGAAAGGGGAAGCCGAGGCTTCTGTGTAGCGTAAAACAGGAAACAGAAGCATCTCTAAAGTTACGGATTATATCAAATAATTCACTCAACAGAGAACTAAGGTGAAGAAACCTCTTGGGCCAACTTAACCAACTTTGCACTGTACCCCTGAGATCGGTGAAAATCTTAATAGGCTAGCAAGTAGTTACTGAATCAAAAGGACAATGACTGTGGT
This sequence comes from Homo sapiens, assembly GCF_000001405.40. Taxonomy (NCBI): domain Eukaryota; kingdom Metazoa; phylum Chordata; class Mammalia; order Primates; family Hominidae; genus Homo; species Homo sapiens. The sequence goes on along the minus strand of NC_000010.11, from coordinate 26,482,125 downwards.
CATATGATCAATTCAGACTAATATGCAGTGAGTCACAAACAAAATTCATATGGACATGTGTATATACATAGGTAGGGTCACACAGAAGGGACAGCCAAGACAACAGGGTCCTTTTGTAAGCAATATTGTCATGGCAAAAGTTACCTGTAAATAACATTTTAAATAAAAAACTAATCATTAAATGAAATGATTTATTTCAGTAATTTAAAAAAATACTAAGAGAGTGCTTTGAAAAGTCTTAGAATTTTGCAGTAAAGACACACACACACACACACACACACACACACACACACACACACGTAATGAGATGGGCTACCACATTTTAAAAAATATGATTTAGGCCAGGTGCGGTGGGTTACACCTGAAATTCAGCACTTTGGGAGGCAGAGGTGGGAGGATCACTTGAGGCCAGGAGTTCAAAACCAGCCTGGGCAATATAGCAAGACCCCATCTCTATCCCCTCTGCCAAAAAAATTAGCTGGGCATAGTGGTGCGCACCTGTGGTCTCAGCTACTCAGGAGGCTGAGGTGGGAGAATCCTTTGAGCGCAAGAGCTCATGGCTACAGTGAGCTATGACAGCACTACTGCCCTCTAGCCTGAGTGACAAAGTGTGACCCTGTCTCTAAAATTAAAAAATAAAAACAAAAATAACAAAACAAAAAATAAAAGATACAATTTTTAAATGTGCTTATTTCCAAATTGCTGTGATTTTATGCAAACCATAAAGTTAGTGAAAAATTTATGTTTTGCATAAAATCAAAGCAATTTGGAAATAAGTGGGTGGGACAAGGTGGGGACACTCTGCTAAGTCAAGCTTCAGTTAGAAAAAAGTGAGAGAACTGAACAACACCCAAAAATGTTCCCCAGGACTCAAGTGCAAGAACACTTGACACAGGACAACAGAGGTCAGCACATATGAACCCAACATCCCCACTTCCATCTGTCTGTCTGGCCTCCAGCTCTGGGAGACAAGTTGTAGACTAGTTTCACTTGGATGCCCACGGGTTGGAAAGAGAGTGCCAAGTCTCTAGATTATTTTAAGTTCCCTTTTTTTTTCTACTTTGGGTGTCTATATAAGGAATGGGGAACTGCTTTTGTATTTAGGACCTACTGTGACCTAAAACCAGAGGGACAATGCAATTTAGAATTTTTTGAAGAGATACAAATAGAAAATACTCTGTTTATCATGTTGTATTAATAAATAAAAATCATGAACATTTCTTTTTAGAAACAAAAGTCCTGTGAATAGTTAGGTCAATTCACTGTCCCCTACTTGTCTTTATTTTCTCATGAATCTATCTCAACTGGACTTTTGTTTGCACTATGTCACCAAACTGTGTGCCAAGATTACCAACAATCTGTGGTGTATGGTGGCTCATGCCTGTAATCCCAGCACTTTGGGAGGTCGAGGTAGGCAGATCACTTGAGCCCAGGAGTTAGAGACCAGCCTGGGCAACATGGGGAAATCCCATGTTTACCAAAAAAAAAAAAAAAAAAAAAAAAAAGAAGCAGCTCAACCATTCCAATATTAAAGTTATTTTGAAAGAAGAGATTACCAATGATCTCTCTGTTGTGAAATCCAATGGTTAGTTCCCAGTCAGCATCTTATACAGCCTTTAATATTATTGATCACTCCCTCCTGGAAATATTTTCTTCACTTGGCTTTCCTGACAGTTTTCTTTCCTGGTTTTCCTCCTCACAGAGGCCAATGTACCTTGAAGCCAACAAAGAAGCTTACATTTCAGGGCTTCTCACTTGCAGGACCCTTCTGATGCCACATGTCTCCTCTGGCACCCCAGCAGCAGCACACAACACAACACTGTTCTGTTGCTGGGAGGTCACCTGGGTCAGGGTTCCTAGGTCTTGGAGTGGGGTCAGGCGACTACCAGCACTATCTCCACTTTACTTGGAGTCCAGCAAAAGCCCTCCCATGATGCATTTCGTGGACATTAGATCTCATGTCCCAATCCAAGGAGAAGATCTGAAGGAAACGCTCTGCTCTGCTCCTTGCCCGGGGTCACCTTGATCCAAGCTTCCTGGCTACCTTATGTCACCCCCAGCTCCAGCTCAGGATTTGGGAGGGTGGTGGGAACTGATGGTTCTGTGGTCCTGGCCAAACAGTCCAGCTGTCGCCTGGGCCTTTGGATGCCACAGGGTGCCATGTTAGTAAGAACAAAGGCTGCACTTCTCTGAGGCCTTGTTCACTGGCAAGAAGTACCGCCAGAGCTAGAAACCACAGAGGAAGTTACAGAGGAGGCATTACCATCTAGAGCTGTCAAGCAAAAGTCAACTTCTTCTCAACTCTCAATCCTAAAAATTAATTTTGATCAGCCATGCTGGAGGAGACACTAAATCATCTATACAGAAAATTGTATTTCAAATTTATTCCCTATAGGAAGAGAAGGTAAAAGAATATGCAGCCAAAAGCGTAGCAAAAATACATCAGCAAGTTATTTAATCATCATAAAGATTACAATGTTGCTTTTTAGATATATACACTTACGTGTCAATTTTTATTTTTATTGTTTTTTTTCAAATGTTTGCATATTCTAATAATGCTGTAAAATAAAGAGTTTCATTTTAGGCAGTGAAAACTATTTTTTCACAGTAAAGTATCACAGTTAAGTCCTTTTGGGTTCAGTGATCTCTAGTGATTAATAACAAATACACTTTATAAATTATACACTTTATAAATTATTGCTGTCTCCTATCCCAGCCATGATTTTAAATATTTTTCTTTATTTTATTTAAAAAATTATTTTAGGTTCAGGGGTACATGTACATGTTTGTTATATATGTCAATTTTTTTTTTTTTTTTTTTTTTTTTTTTTGAGACGGAGTCTCGCTCTGTCGCCCAGGCTGGAGTGCAGTGGCGGGATCTCGGCTCACTGCAAGCTCCGCCTCCCGGGTTCACGCCATTCTCCTGCCTCAGCCTCCCAAGTAGCTGGGACTACAGGCGCCCGCCACTACGCCCGGCTAATTTTTTTGTATTTTTAGTAGAGACGGGGTTTCACCGTTTTAGCCGGGATGGCCTCGATCTCCTGACCTCGTGATCCGCCCGCCTCGGCCTCCCAAAGTGCTGGGATTACAGGCGTGAATATATGTCAATTTTTAAAAATTGGTCATTCATTGTGATTTCCTTTTTGGCTCTAAATAAATATTCCCTCTTGTCCTTAATTTTTCATTGACAATTTTGTATTTTTTTAAAGGGAGACTTCATCTCCCACCCCAAGTAGAAAAAAATCCCTTCTTTTTAAAAGGGAGCCTCCCAAAATTGTGTAAGATTCAGGCCCCAGAGATTCTGGCTCCATCCCTATCTACCTTACCAGCTTCTCCTTCCAGCCTTCTCTGTGGGTTCCTCCTCATCCTTCCTGACCTCATTTCTCTTCAGCCTTGGTCTACACTCACTCCCTTGGTGCTCTTAGGGCTTTAAATACCATACATATGCTGCCAACCCCCAAAGCACATCTCCAGCCCAAGTGCCTCTTTCTTTTCCTTTTTTTTTTTTTTTGAGACGGAGTCTCGCTCTGTTGCCCAGGCTGGAGTGCAGTGGCACAATCTTGGCTCACTGCAACCTCCAGCTCCCAGGTTCAAGTGATTCTCCTGCCTCAGACTGCTGAGTAGCTGGATTACAGGCATGCGCCACTCCTGACCTCAAGTGAACCACCTGCCTTGGCCTCCCAAAGTGCTGGGATTACAGGCATGAGACACCATGCCTGGCCCCAAACGCCTCCTTCTAATTCACACATTCAGCTACCTTCTCAACCGCCTCCATCCTCCCGCCCCACTCACTGGCCCCTTGGATTTTATCTCTGTGCTCTGCTCACATGAGCCTCCCAGCTGTAACTCGAACCCTGTGAGCGTGCATTCGCTCATGCTTTTCTCTCTGCCTGGAACACCTGTTCCCTACTCACCCAAACAGCGGTTCTCTCACTGCCTTTAGGTCTTTGCTTTAATGTCTCCTCATTACTGAGCCCTGACCTATTTCAAAATCAACTGTTTCTACCACCTCTGCTTTCTCTAATTATACTCTCTTCCCGCTCATCAACTACGGTGTAAGCCCGGTGAGGGCAGGGATTTGACTGTTTTTGTTCACTGTTGGATTCTCAGTAAATAGAATAATGTAAATACATGATAGACTCTGAGTGACTATTTGTTAAATAAATGGATAAATTTAAAAAACTACCAGCCTGGGCGACACAGCATGATCCCGTCTCTACAAAAAATTTTAAAAAGTTAGTTGGATGTGGTGGCATGCACCTAGCTACTTGAGAGGCTGAGGCGGGAGGATCACTTGAGCCCAGGAGTTTGAGGTTGCAGTGAACTGTGATCTAACATTGCATTCAAGCCCAGGTGACAGAGTGAGACCTTGACTCAAAAAAATTAGAAACATGGTATATTCACTCAAGCTCCACAGGGGCAGGAGTCGAGGCCGTGTTATTCGCCTTTGTGTTTTGTTGCTAAGCATAGTGCCTACCTTGGTCATGAAAAATCTTCAAAAGTATTGCAAAGTAGGTTAACAGCTTAAGAGAGAGCAGTAGAAGAGACAATGATAGAATTTTTTCAAAAGACATAATTCTACAACCACCATGGTGGGTGGCAAGAATAAACAATGAATGAATAAACCACTAGGTGAAAGATGGTTGGAGAACATGGTATTCACTTGAAGTATCATTCCACTCTGCAAAGTCAAACTCCAGGGTAGGTGAAAAAATGAGAATATGACCCCAAAATGCACAACAAGACTCAGAAGTAAAACTATATGAAAACTATTACTTAACACTTATCAAAGAAATACTTTTAATTGAGAAAATCTGGTGGACATGGCTTTAACCAAATGATCAAACTTAGAATTATCAATAATGGGACCATGTGACATCGTGTGCCCCACTGATGCAATCCCCTGAGGACACAGCCTCACCTCTGTAATACTGCTACCAAAATCAAGATGAATTGATCAGCTAAATCCAAACTGAGGAATATTCTGCAAAATGAACAAAGTAACTGGTCTGGGAAGAAAAGTAGGGCTGGGTACGGTGGTTCACACCTGTAATCCCAGAACTTTGGGAGGCCGAGGTGGGTGGATCAGCTGAGGTCAGGAGTTCGAGACCAGCCTGGCCAATATGGTGAAACCCCGCCTCTACTAAAAATACAAAAATTAGCCAGGCATGGTGGCATACGCCTGTAATCCCAGCTACTCAGGAGGCTGAGGCAGGAGAATCTCTTGAACCTGGGAGGCGGAGATTGTAGTGAGCTGAGATCACGCCATTGTACTCCAGCCTGGGTGACAGAGCAAGACTCCGCCTTAAAAAGAATAAATAAATAAAAATAAAAACAGAAAAGTGGACATTGTTGGGTAATTGGAAAAGTTGAATATGGACTATATATCAGAATATAGTATTAAATCACATAACATTTACTGAGCATGATCACATTTACTGTACATTTACTGTACTGTGATACATGCATTGTGTAACAAAGACAGAACGTCTTTGTTCTTAAGAGATAAATGGTGAAAAAAATAAAGCAGGAATGTAGCAGAATGTAAATAATGAGTGAATCTTGGTGAAGGGTACATGCCTGTCCATTACACGATTCTTACTTTTTTTAAGTTTTAAAACTTTTTAAAACTGTCTCTTTTCCTTTCTTTTCTTTTCTTCTTTTTTTTTTTTTTTTTTTGAGACAGGGTCTTGCTCTGTCACACAGACTGGAGTGCAGTGGTGCAATCAGAGCTCACTGCAGCCTTGAACTCCTGAGCTGAAGCAATCCTCCTGCTTCAGCCTCCCAAGTAGCTGGGACTACAGGTGCACACCACCATGCCCAGCTAGTTAAAAAAATTTTTAGTTTGAGACCAGCCTGGCCAACATGGTGAAATGCTGTCTCTACCAAAAATATAAAAATTAGCCAGGCGTGGTGGCGGGCATCTGTAATCCCAGCTGCTCGGGAGGCTGAGGCAGGAGAATAGATTGAACCCGGGAGGCGGAGGTTGCCCTGAGCTGTGATTGTGGCATTGCACCCTAGCCTGGGCCACAGAGGGAGACTCTCTCAAAAAAAAAAAAAAAAGTTTTTATAAAGACAGCATCTTGCCCAAGATGGTCTTGAACTCTTGGCCTCAAGCGATCCTCTGGCCTTGGCCTCCCAAAGTGCTGGGATTATAGGCATGAACCACTGCACTGGTGTAAGCTTTGAAACTTTTCAAAATGAAAAGCTGGAGAATAAAAGAAGCAGAACCAGCCTTTGAAATTGACTCGACCTGGGTTAAAAAACAAAACAAAACAAACAAACAAAAAACAGAGAAGGGGAAGAAGGGAGAAGAGCAGAATGAAAAGCAGTAGCAGGGAAAGACTATGCAAAGGAAAAAAAATATTATCTCTCCTGTGTACTGCTGATATATTATCTGGTCTAAATCTCATAGAAACCATGTGGGGGTAGATAATATCACTCTTTTCTTAGATGAGGAGCTTGTGGTCAGGAGTTCGAATGACATGCCCAAGATCACACAGGACATCCATGGCCGGATGGGATTTAAACGCAAGTCTGATCTCTTTCATTACACTGTTCCTGTCTGCTCCAGAAAATAAGCCATATAGACAACATATCAGGGCCTGGGATTGTGTGAAGGAAAAACACAGGTGGAACACACACTTAGACACACACAGCACATCTGACATGTACTCAAATCCACACAAAGAAAAAGCAAGGGAAGGCCAGGCACGGCGGCTCCGGCCTGTAATCTCATTCCTGGGAGGCCCAGGTGGGCAGATCACGTGAGGTCAGGAGTTCAAGACCAGCCTGGCCAACATGGCAAAACCCCGTCTCTACTAAAAATATAAAAATCAGCTGGGTGTGGTGGCAGGGGCCTATAATCCCAGATGCTTGGGAGGCTGAAGCAGGAGAATCGCTTGAACCTGGGAGGCGGAGGTTGCAGTGAACCGAGATTGCACCACTGCACTCCAGCCTGGACAACAGAGTGAGACTCTATCTCAAAAAAAAAAAAAAAAGAAAAGAAAAAGAAAAAACAAGGGAAGACACGGACACATCAGCGAGAGTCAAACAGAAACCTGCTTTCATAGAGCCACGTTCTCATCTCAAAGGAGGGAGGTGTCTGTTACATCACTGCTTCTAGAAACTTCTAAAACTGGGTTATGTCTTCATAGACATGATGGCGTTTCCGCCTCTAGAACAGATAATGTTAAGCCAAGGTCCAGATCTGGCCATGGCCTTGAGACCTACCTTTAGCTTGGTTAAAAAGGAGATGCAAACAGATGCCTGGATCTAGATGTCTTACTTAATAAACAGGCTGAAGTGGAACTTTTCTGGTAATCACAAGATTTTGAGCAATGATGTAGAAAAATTAATCTTTTCTCTCCTTCCAACTCCAAGCTGGAAATGGAGAAGGAGGAAGTGGGAGAACCTAAAATATTTTAGACTCAATTTTTCATTTGGCTTCAGCAAGGAAGACAATTTATTTTTTACTTTTTAAAAAACTTATTTTTTAAACCAACAGATACAGTTCTATGTATTTATCATGTGAAACAGGATGTTTTGAAGTATGTGTACATTGTTGAATGCTTAGTTCTAGCTAATTAACAAATGCTTTACCTCAGTTATTATTTTTGTGGAGAGAACATTCAACATCAACTGGAAGATGAACATTTTCTAGTGCAAGGAAGATTTTCCTGGGCGATTAGTAAAATTCTTTTACTTAGCATGAGCATATTAGTGTCAAATGGCTTTTTAACTTCCAGGAGCCCAGAGGGGATATTTGCTAAAGATTCCAAGCAATGAAGTAATGAACTTGCTTATTACTGGAGTAATGAAAACCAGGCCTGTCCACTGAGGTTTGGGCATCAGCCCTAGGCAGAGCACAAATTCCAGGCTTTGCTTAGAAGGCAGGATACAGCCACTGGAGAGCTGAAACCACCACTTCATACACTCTCTGAAAGGCTCAATCTACCACAGCCCACGCTAGAACTGGTAGTTGTTTTGTGAGTTGTTTCTAATTGCAAAATAAATCCACAAATTGCTGGAGAACATTAAAAAAAATCACTGAAACCAAAAGGAGAAATAGTGACAACATATTTCTTCTATTCAAGAACATACTTTTTTTTTTTTTTTTTTTTTTTGAGACAGGGTGGCTCTGTCACCCAGGCTGGAGTGCAGTGGTGCGATCTCGGCTCACTGTAACCTCTGCCTCCGGCGTTCAAGCAATTCTCATGCCTCAGCCTCCTAAGTAGCTCGGATTACAGGCATGCACCCCCAAACCTGGGTAATTTTTGTATTTTTAGTAGAGATGGGGTTTCACCATGTTGGACAGGCTAGTCTCAAACTCTTGGCCTCAAGTGATCTGCCCACCTCGGCCTCCCAAAGTGTTGGAATTACAGGCATGGGCCACTGTGCCTGGCCAAGAATGTATGTTTCTATATTTTAGTGCTTCTGAAATCATGATGGTTCACACAGTAGACTATGAAATTTGGCTACCACCAACGGGGGTCACCTATGATGTAGTTTTCCTCAACCATTTATGCGCAAACTGAGTGAAGCAGGATCCAATTGTCATTCAGTTGAGTTATTTGCATTGGTGGTAGAACACACTGCTTAACTATTAATTTAAATTTGGATCACACAACATCATTTTAAAAGCTTTCAAAAAGACTCACAATGAGACAGCGCTGAAATGCAGTTATTATACCATTTAGAGAAGACGGCTGTTCACAGGACAGGCCAGCCAATTAAGACAGCAGAAATTCCCAAAGTGCCCAGATTTTAATTTTCAAAGTCAAGAGAGACTGATGTGGCAGATTTATCCATCATGAAAGATTATCCATTAGGTACCAAATGCCTACCTAGCAAATGCTTCCTGTTGGAATTCAAGAGAAGTTGTTAAACTTCCAGCAATATATAACTCAATAATGAGAAATAAACCAACAAGAAATATAGAAACATTCATGACATTTTTTGATAAACCTAAAAATCATGTTGTGAGCTCTAAAAGTTGTAAGGAACAAGACTAAGGGCTTGAGTAACAAAGAGTTGAGGGTCCTAGCCTGTTCCATATGCCTTAGAATCTTTGTATTGTCAATGTAAAGAAGTGAAGACACACTTCTTTTGTAATCCTAAGAAGAAATGATATGTACCTCTATGAATAACTGTATGCTGTTATCTCTTAAGATCTTTTTCTTTTTGTTTTTGATGAAGTCTCCCCCTGTCGCCCAGGCTGGAGTGCAGTGGTGCAATATCAGCTCACTGCAACCTCTGCCTCCCGGGTTCAAGTGATTCTCCTGCCTCACCCTCCTGAGTAGCTGGGACTACAGAAGTGTGGCACCATGCCTGGCTAATTTTTGTATTTTTAGTAGAGACGGGGTTTCACTATATTGGCCAGGCTGGTCTCGAACTCCTGACTTCAGGTGATCTGCCGGCCTTGGCCTCCCGGAGTGCTGGGATTATACATGTGATCTTGACTGTGCCTGGCCAAGATGTTTTTCAACATTTAATGCATCATCTCTCATGTCCAAAAGAAAATGTGAATGAATGAATGAATGAATGAATGAATGAAACAAACACGATGAGGATACTGAATGTTCTCAAGATGAAAATGAAAGAATGACCTTTGGCTTTAACTGCACAGATACCTCCCTGGTTATCAGTGCAGGAGTGTTGAGGGTAGAAGCCAAACTGAACTCCTTCAGAAGTGGGTGGGAAATAGAGATAAAGACATGAGGAGAAGGTGGGTCCATACAGACCATAGCGATTGTAAAATGCTTTCCTTTCTATTATTGGGCATTATTCCAAAGCCACTTTCATGGCTCCAGGCCTCTTTCCTGTGGATGCACTGCACTATAATTTAATCAGCTCTATTGTTGAAAATGTGTAGCTTGCTCTTCTTTTCAAGATATGATGATCTGAGCCAGATGTTTTCATGTGCAGAAAAATTACATGCGGTGTGGCTCAAGGATAAAACTGGAACTATCAACCAACTCTTGCTTTTCTGTGGGGTGAGGGATTTTCTGTTTTTCTTCCCCCCGCAGCCCCCACCCATCTTGGTCAACGTTCTGCATCTGTCACTGAAAACCCCAGAGGATTAGAGCTGTTAGTAAAAATCCCAGTCAAGTCTGCTAAAGTTTGCATGAATAAGCTCAAACAGGCCGGGCACAGTGGCTCACGCCTGTAATCCCAGCACTTTGGGAGGCCGAGGAGGGCGGATCATGAGGTCAGGAGATGGAGACCATCTTGGCCAACATGGTGAAACCCCATCTCTACTAAAATATAAAAAATAAGCCAGGCATGGTGGCACGTGCCTGTCATCCTAGCTATTTGGGAGGCTCAGGCTGGGGAATCGCTTGAACCCAGGAGGCGGAGGTTGCAGTGAGCCGAGATTGCGCCACTGACCTCCAGCCTGGCGACAGAGCAAGACTCTGTCTCACAAAAAAAAACAAAAAAAGCTTAAACAGTGCAGGTCCCAAGGTGCCTTTTACCTCTCTCTGTTTGGAAGGAAGGATTTACGGTCATTTCTGTGACTGTCTGTATGTCCACAATACATTGGGTGATCCATACCATAGAAAAAACTTTATATCAGAAGAATCTGAGCTACCATATGATTTTTCAGTGACAATCCAGTTTTAATTCTTTTCCTGCATTTCTTAGTAAATATTCTCCCTTCCTCCTCAAAGATGCTACTGACAATATTTTTCACTCTGTTATTTGGAAGCAAGAAAGGAACTGAGTCTTTACCTCCCACATTCAGAATGATTCATTCATTAACATAAAACAAAAAGTAATAGTTAAGATTCCTCCCCAAAATTATCTTGCAGAATTAGCCCCGTGTGCAGTGTGGGGGTCTCTATTTTGTGCACGTATCTCTTGTGATATGTGGGGCCATCTAGGTGAGCTTCGGTCTAGAGGACCACTGAGCCACATGATGCAGACAAAACCCTTGTCCAGAGGCAAGGACAGAGTTCAAAACCCAGCCCTGACACTTATTGGCTGTGTAATCTTGGGCAAGTTATTTAACCTCTCAGTGCTTTAGTTTTTTTTTAATCTTTAGAAAAGGTGTGATGATAAGCTATTTCATGAGGTCAAGGTGAGAATTCGATAAGTTAATGCATGTGAAGTGCTTACAGGAGGCTCTGGCTTAGAACTGAAAGTTCAGTAAGTGTTGCTCTTACTATCATGAAGCCATTGGAACTGCAGTAATCATGGAGCTACCCCAGATGCCTGGACAGATGATGGGCAAGGACGCAGGCTGAGGTTGGTGAGAGATTATGGGCAATTACACAGGCTGAGGTTGGTGAGAGATGATGGGCAAGGACACAGGCTGAGGTTGGTGACTCTGACCGTGGGTTTGGATAGAAGCAGGACGTTGACTATTGCGTGGCATATTATGGATGCTCCTCAACTTACAATGGGACTAAGTCTGGAAAAACCCATCGTAAATTGAAAATATCCCTAAGTCGAAAATGAATTTAATACACCTAACCTACTGCACACTGTAGCTTAGTATAGCCTAACTTAAATGTATTCAGAACTTACACTAGCCTATAGTTGGGCAAAATCATCTAACGAACATATTTATTTATTTACTTATTTTGAGATGGAGTCTCGCTCTGTCGCCTAGGCTGGAGTACAGTGGCACGATCTTGGCTCACTGCAACCTCTTCTTCCTGGGTTCAAGCAATTCTCCTGCCTCAGCCTCCCTAGTAGCTGGGATTACAGGCGCCTGCCTCCACATCCGGCTAATTTTTTTGTATTTTTAGTAGAGATGGGGTTTCACCATATTGGTCAGGGTGGTCTCAAACTCCTGTCCTCAGGTGATCCACCTGCCTTGGCCTCCCAAAGTGCTGGGATTACAGGCATGAAACACTGTGCCCAGTCCGAGCCTCTTTTATAATGAAGAGTTGAACATCTTATGTAATTCACTGGATACTTTATTGAAAGTGTAAAGCAGAATGGTTGTATGGGTCCTTGAAATACAGTTTCTACTAAATGTGTGTTGCTTTTGCACCACCATATAGTGGAAAATCATTAAGTGGAACATTGTGAGTCAGGGACTATTAGATCCAACTGTCTCCTGACCAGGGTCCCCGCCACTTGCCCCATCCTTTCCCCACCAGAGGAACAACCTGGCCCCTGTGTTGTAGTTGGTTGGGGTTGTTGTTGGTTGTAGTTAGTGAGGAAGGGGAGATCATGAGTTGAAATAAAAGGGAAAAGGATTTAAAAAAAGAAAAGTCCTAAGTGGATTAATACAGGAACAGAAAATCAAATACTGCATGTTCTCACTTATAAGTACGAGCTGAACATCACGTACTCATGGATATAGAGATGGGAACAATAGACTTTGGGGACCACTAGAGTGGGGAAGGAGGGAGGAGAGGCAAGTTTGAAAACCTGACTGTTGGGTTTAATGTTCAGGACTATGCTCAGTACCCGGGTGATGGGATCATCTGTACCACAAACCTTGGCATCACACAATATACCCAGTGACAAACTTGTACACGTATCCAATGAATCTAAAATAAAAGTTGAAAAATAAAAATAAGAAGTTAAAAAAAGAATTAAAAAATAGAAAATGCTTATATTGGCCAGGTGCGGTGGTTCACGCCTGTAATCCCAGCACTTTGGGAGGCCAGGCAGATGGATCACATGAGGTTGGGAGTTTGAGACCAGCCTGGCCAGCATGGTGAAACCCAGTCTCTACTAAAAATAGCCGAGTGTGGTGGTGCACGCCTGTCATCTCAACTATTCAGGAGGTTGAGGTTGGGAGAATGGCTTGAGCTGGGAGGCAGAGGTTGCAGTGAGCTGAGATCGCTCCACTGCACTCCAGCCTGAGCAACAGAGCAAGACTCTGTCTCAAAAAAAAAAAAAAAAAAAGAAAAGAAAAGAAGGAAAGAAAACACTTATATAAATAGATAAATAGAATAAGGATATAAAAATATTTTTGTACAGCTATACAATGTATGTGTTTTTCAGCTAAGTCTTATTTCAAGAGTCAAAAAGTTAAAAATTTAAAAAGTGTTAAAGTGAAAAAAAAAAAAGAAGAAGAAAAGGACTATCTTTTGAGACCCTAACGGAAGTCAAAAGCACAGGTCTCTGTCTTGTGGTTTATGTTAGAAGTGCCTAGAGTAACATCTCAGCCCGCAGCAGTTGCACAGAGATCAGAGGAAGGCAGACACCGCCACCTCAGGAGGGGTCAAATCCAGGTAACCCCAGGAGCAGTGCATAAGCCTGTGGGGACACGACTGTCCTGCCACTGGGAGCCACAGAAGGTGCAACAGGAATGATGAAATCCTTTGCACAGGGCAGTGACATCGGAGGGTTCCTGTGAGACACATCCAGGACTCTGTGAACAGGAGCAGGAACAAGCCAGAAAGAGCCGATGAGCTGGGCTTGCAGAGACTCCACCAAGGATGGCTGGACCAGTGGCTATTACTTAGTTACTGTTATATTAGGTTGGTGCAAAACTAATTGTGGTTTTGGCCATTACTCTTAATTGTGAAAACCGCAATTACTTTTGCACCAACCTAATAATAATGTTTCCCAATTGTAACTTAGTCTGGTGTGACCTAGAGAAACAGGGAACCCACGAACATATACACATAACAATCACTTGTTCATTTTCACAGAAACTCATTCATCTACACAGTGACGGGTCAAGGTTTTCTGCCCTGATTTTTCCCTTCTGATTTCATTCACTCATTAGCTCAAGAAGCATTTATGGAATGCAAACTCTCTGTTAGGTCATTGCTAGAATTCATACCTTGAATATTTGTTAAATGAATCAATAAAGTTTAAAGTCTGAAGAGGGTGACAGACATAAAAATAACTTAGCACTATACTATGTAACAATAATTTTATAAAAGGAATAAATAAAATAATAAGGAGCCAAAGAAGAGAGACTATTATTTCTCTTGGGATGAGGAGTTGCTCTTGGCCACCTGAGAGGATGGGGAGAAGTTAGCTATTAAGAGCATGAGCAAGGATTTTGGATTCTGAAAGACATGGGTCCAGCTTTTCATTTACTGTGGATGTTGGGAAACTTAGCCATAATACGGCCTTAGTTTCTTCATCTGTAAAATTGGAATATTTCAGTGGGCTTTGTAAGGATTCCATAAAATAATGGGTGCAAAGTGCTTGCCAAATGTCTGATGTGTGTTAAACACTCAGTAAGTGGTGATAGCGGTTGTAGTTTCTATCATTGTTGCTGTTCTTCTTATAGTTAGTACATAAATCTCATAAGCGATTACGAGACACTTAAAAGCTCTTGCAGGTTTGCATAGTTGAGTAATTTGGTGAGATCAAAGCTAAGCTTTGGGTTTGGTTCTACATTTTCTCAGAAACAGTGGTTCTCAAAGTGTGAGTCTTCAGACCAGCATCACCCAGACACTTCTTACTGAAATAAAAATTCTTGGCCCCACCTCAAAAGTATTATTGCTAGAGACAGAGTCTTGCTGTGTTGTCCAGGCTGGAGTGCAGTGGCATGATCGTAGCTCACAGCAGTCTTGAGCTCCTGGGCTTAAGTGATCCACTCACCTCAGCCACCTCTATAGTAACTGGGACTATAGGTGTGCACCATCATGTTGGGATAATTTTAAAAATCTTTTGTAAAGACAAAGTCTCACTATGTTGCCCAGGCTGGTCTTGAACACAATTATGGAATCAGAACTCTTGGGGTGGGGCCCGATAATCTGTGTTTAGCAAGCTTTCCATATGATTCTATTGCATATTAAAGTTTGAGAACCACTGCTCTACAGGTAGGTAACAACTTTTTTTTTTTAATTTAAAGGCAAAGGCAAGTAAGTATGTAAAGGGATTATGAGAACTAAATACATTAGTGAAGGCAAAACTTGCTTTTGCTTCATGTCAAGCATGAGGAAAAAACAGCATCCCTCATACTTCTATTCTCAAAGTTAAAAATGCATTAGAAGGCTGGGCACGGTGGCTCACGCCTGTAATCTCAGTACTTTGGGAGGCCAAGGCAGGTGGATCGCTTGAGGCCAGGAGTTCGAGACCAGCCTGGCCAACATGGTGAAACCCCATCTCTATATTAAAAAAAAACATTACAAATGATCACATCTTTTTATTATTTAGAGGTACAGAATGAAAAAAAATCTGGTGTTAAGCTATGTATTAGGGAATCAAACTCATTCTCACTATTAATGTTCCTGCCCTGGACAACTACATAATTTTTTTTTTTTCCATAGGGTCTTGCTCTGTCATCCAGGCTGGAATGCAGTGGTGTGATCATAACTCAATGCAGCTTCAAACTCCTGGGCTCAAGCAATCTTCCCACTTCAGTATCCTGAGTAGCTGGGGCTACAGGTATGCGCCACCATGCCTGGCTAATTTTTAAATTTTTTGTAGGGACGAGGTCTCACTACGTTGCCCAAGCTGGGCTCCACCCACTGGCCTCAAGCAATCCTCCCATTTCAGCCTCCTGAGTAGCTGGGACTACAGGTATGTACCACCATGCCTGGCTAATCTTTAAATTTTTTGTGGGGCCGAGTTCTTGCTATGTTGCGCAGGCTGGTCTTGACCTCCTGGCCTCAAGTGATCTTCCCACCTCGGCCACCCAAAGTGCTGGGATTATAGGTGTGAGCCACTGTATCCAGCCAACTGGATAACTTCTTGAAGCAAATATTCACTTAATTCCTGTTGGATGATGAAAAACTTTCTTTCTTTACTCATATTCAAGAAACATACTCACAGTGTAATGATAATGATGGTGATGGGCCTCCTATTCTTTGACACTTCTCCCATTAAGAAGTGGGGTCTGTGTCCCATCGCCTTGAACTTGACCAGCCTTGTGATGGCTGTGGTGGATGCCACCATGTGACTCTGGAAGTCCCCCCATCAAAAGCCACCTATCTGGGCCTCTCAGAATATTCATTCTCCAGACATTCCTTCTGGAAGCCCAGCTGCCTCGATAGTAGAAGCCCAGGACACCCGGAGGGGCTGTAGAAGGGGATCTCATCACTGCCAGTCCTAGCTCAGCCCAGGGACCAGGAAAGAGAGTGAAAAACCCTCCAGATGAGCCCAGTTTCCTGCTTTTTGGGTCACCCCCAACTGCTCAAGTCTTCCCAGCTGAGGTCACAGACATCATGGAGCTGATACAAGCTAGCCCTGCTGTGGACTGTCGGAATTCCTGACCCACAGAACCTGCAGCCATAATAAAATGGTCTGCTTTACACCTCTAAGTTTGGGGTGGTTCGTTGAGCAGAAATTGATAAGTGTAACAAATTATCCTAATACCTACCATTTCCAGGGCACCTGCATCTGGCAATATATTATGCTTTAGAGGTTATGCCTCTCATCCTTTCCACTTCTCTGCAAAATATATTATCCTCATTGTGCAAGTGAAGAAATGAAGGCTCTGAGAAGATAGGTATCACACAAGGACACACATCTGGTGAATGACATGTTTATGTCAAAATTCAGTGCTTAAACATGCCCAAAATGTCAGTCTTTAGTCACCTAAAAATGATAATTACTAAGTGATGAACATTAACAATTAATAATGACATAATTATAATTTTTTCTTTAAAAATGTAAATATCTTTTCTATGGAGAATTTGAGCATTGTATCTACCCATCAGAAGGTGCAAAAATCATTAATTTATTATTAATTACAATGAGTAATTATTATATCATTATGACACATAATATATAAAATGTCAGCATTATTACTAATTTATTTTCTTTTGCCATAATGATGAGATGTTTGTCACGAAAAAAATAGAAATTTGTGTCCTTGAATATGTCAACTAGCTAGACATGTACCTGTCTACAGAGTGTCACAAACAGCAAACTAGTTAAGATCTGAGCACATTCATGAAGCAATGAAGGGTGCCTGTCAATTCAGTGGACATCTGATCACATTTTATGCTCTACATGAATTTCTTCAATTTCTTTTTGATGAATACTGACACACACTTTCCTATGGGTAGTTTTTTCATATATGGAAAATGACAGCCTTTTAATTTAATCATAGTTTTCTCTGCACAGTCTACATGGGAATCACGCCTGGTCTGCAGCTACTGTATTTTTCATTTCTCTCTTACAGCTGTGCGAGAAAGCACATGTCTAAAATGGAAATAATGTCTTTGCAAACAGAGAATGCCCCAGAGTTCTCTGTTGGTTTTGCTTAGACCACAAAAGTGAATTCTCTATTTAATTCATATATCAATAAAATAAAAACAGAGAATAAGGAACTTGGATTTATCCCTGTTTGTCCTTCAGATGGTACCTGTTGGGGCCCTGCTGTATCATCAGAAAACTTATTAGGTGTGAATGTGGTAACTGAATGAGTCAAACTCAGGTTCAATGCTAACTACTGCATGATGTTGAGTAACTTACTTAACTTGGTTCAGCCTCAGTTTTTTCATCTGTAAAACAGGGCTGGGAAAATTCATAAAATTATTATGGTCTGGGCATGGTGGCTCACGCCTGTAATCCCAGAACTTTGGGAACCTAAGGTGGGAGGATCTCTTGAGGCCAGGAGTTTGAGACCAGCCTGGGCAACACAACAAGAACCTGTCTCCACACACACATACAAGTAATAATAATTAGTTGGGCATGGTATCGTGTTCCTGTGGTCCCAGCTACTTAGCAGGTTGAGGTGGGAGGATCACTTGAGCCTGGGAATCTGAGGCTGCAATGGACCATGATTGTGCCACTGCACTCCAGCCTGGGTAACAGAGTGGGACCTTGTCTCAAAAAATAAAATAAAATAAATTTGTCACGAGGACTAAATGAGCACAGTCAGGCCTGGGCACAGCAACTGGTACATAGCGGTGTTTGCATATAGGTGGGTATTAATACATTTAAAATGTACTGAAAACTAGTTCCAAATAGTGGGGGTGACTATATACTGTCTCCTAAAATTCCAATGAAATGACTTTATAACAGTCTGGAAAGCATGGAAGGATGGTATGAGTAGATCAAAATGTTGAGAAACTTCTGGAAGATGCTACAGAGAAGGGACTGTAGATACTGAGTAACTAAAGCAAAAAATGTGGAGTCCAGTATGGATCTAGAGGAGGGCTGCTGAAGACAGAGCCAAGACAGACACCCAAGCTCCAGGTCAGCAAGGATGGGAATCCAGGGACAACCAACCAGAGGAATCACTATTTAAAATGTTATGGTCCTGTTCTCACTCATAAGTGGGAGTTGAATAATGAGAACACATAGACACAGGGAAGGGAATATCACACACCAGGGCCTGTCCGGGGTTGGGGGCAAGTGGCGGGGAACATTAGGACAAATACCTAATGCATGTGGGGCTTAAAACCTAGATGATGGGTTGATAGGTGCAGCAAACCACCATGGCACATGCATACATATGTAACAAACCTGCACATTCTGCACATGTATCCCAGACCTTAAAGTAAACATTTTTTAAAAATGCTATGGGCCATTTGACTTCCCTGTCAACAATGGGCTGCCATAATCACCCCCAGTCTACAATCAGCAAGAACCCTTGCCTTAAATAACGTGGAAAAAATACCTCATTGATTCCAAAGGTGGGTCTTGAGCCAAAAAACAAGTAGAGCAGTGCCCAGAAAGCTTGGGACACCATAACAGTCAGGCAGATTCCCATCCAACCAGCCAAGCATCCAATCAATCAATCAGAAGGGAGTGGGAAAAGAAATTTCCACATTCCAGTGAAGTTTTACATTTTTTTAAAAATTTTAGACATGGGGTCCCACTCTGTCACTCAGGCTGGAGTACAGTGGCACAGTCATAGCTCACTACAGCTTCAAACTCCTGGGTTCAAGTAATTCTCTCGCCTTAGCCTCCTGAGTAGCTAGGACTACAAGTGTGTGACACTATCCCCAGCTAATTTTTTGAATTTTTTGGTAAAGATGGGATCTCACTATCTTGCCCAGGCTAGTCTTGAACTCCTAGCACCAAATGATTCTCCCACCTCTGCCTCTCAAAAGGCTGAGATTTCAGGTGTGAGCCACCACGCCTGGCCTTCCAGTGAATTTTACTAAGCACTCTTGGGTGCTCCATTTTCAGTACATATTTTTGCTGGCTTCGGCAAATAACGCTCAACGATGGCTGAAGTTTACTGTCTGATCTTCATCCAACCCAAAGGGTAGATCTGTCTATAAATGCCCATGTTCATCTACAGAATGCCACAGTCAGCCTCTCAGTCCAGAAGGAGGCTTGCTCTAGTTCCCAAGTAAATCCATACCACCTTCTATGTCATTCTAACCCTTTCATTAAAATTATGAGTCGACAATCGGGGTCATCAAACATTTGAGGAGTAACAAGAGCATGAAGCATCGAGATTAAAAACCAAGATATTGACCCCAGAGGAAATTGAGTGGATGAAAGAAATAGAAGAGAGGCTTTTAAGAAATTCCAATTGCTGTCTTCAGAGAGATTTAAGATGACAGCAACAAGAATGAGTTGCCACTAAAAAAAGCATTCCTAAAATAGGAAAACAACAAATCACTATTACTTACAAATATAGATGAAAAAATCCCAAACAAAATTTTCAAAAATTGATCCCATAAATACATTAAAAGGATAGTACATAATAACCAAGTATACAAGAACAACTCACCAGTGGGAAATGTATCAGAATAATTCACTAAGTTAAAATATTAAATGAGATACTATATGATCATCTCAATGCATGGTGAGTAGGAAGTTCCTAAAATCCAATACCCACTCCTGATAAAAATCTCTTAGTAAGGTTGAAATGGTTAGTGTTTTCCTTAACTTGATAGAGGTTATCTACCAGAAACCAATGGCAACCATCATTCTAACTGTAAAACACCAAAAATGTTCCAATGTAAAACACAAGTCAAAGGGGTCCCGCCATTATTGCTACTATTTAGTTTTGTTTTGGTTGTCCTTAACAATAAGAGGTCCAGAAAAAGATCTTAAATTTATAAACAGTCAATGGCAGGACTTGGGAAACTTTTTTTTATAAGGGACAAGACAGCAAATACTTCAGGTTTTGCAAGTCAGATGGTCTTTGTCAGAACCACACAAGTCTGCTGTTGTAGACACTACGTAAACAAACAAGCATGGCTAGTGCCAATAAAACATTATCTACAGAAGCAGCCACGTGGATTTGGCCTGCAGATCCTGGAGAAAAGACAAAGTTAGCAAAATATGGAGGTGATACAATTGTCTACATAAACAATTCAAGAGAATTGTAGTGTGAATAGTAGAATTAATAAGGTGGCTGATGTGAAGTAAATATATACACATCAGTAGTGTTCCTATATATACACCAATAAATATTAGAAAATGACATGGCAAAAGATCAGATTTACAACAGCAACAAAAACTACGAAAAACATAGAGATAAATAATAAGCAATTTGTCAATTCAAGATAGAAAAAATAATAAAACTATATGGATAAAAGAAGACGAAAAAATGAAGGGAACTACCATGTTACGGGAATTAATGTAGGGAGAGACATCTTTACCATATTAAAATGGTAACTCTTCCTAAAAGAATATGAAACTTTTTGCAACTTCAATTAGATCCCCAAATGGATTTATAAAAAAGAAAAGAAAGTCAGCAAGTTGACTCTCAACTTTATCTGAGAATAAAAGCTTATTCCTAAAAAAAAAAGATTATTCCTAAGTAATAAAAATGTATTTTAAAGAAAAATAAACATATTTGGCACTTCAGGATTTACATAAATAAACCAACGGAAAAAGACAAAGATTTCAGAATTTAAATTTGATGTATGAAAAAGTTAGCAGTTAGTAATCAGTAGAAAAATAACAGAGTATTTAATGAGTCGTATTGAAATAATCGGCTATATATTTGGAAGAAATAAAGTCAGATCCCTATCCTCATTGCCATATGCAAAAGAAATTCTTGTTGAATTATGAATCTATGCATAAAAGCAAAATTATAAGTCATATAAGAAAAAAAGTTTTTCCTTCCTTCCTTCCCTCCCTCCTTCCCTTCCTTCCTTCTTTCCTTCTTTCTTTCCCTCTCTTCCTTCGTTTTATAATACTTTTGTGGTAGATACTTTTGACTGGCTCTCTGAACGCCCTCTCCAAGTGCCTTTTATGATGTGTTCCTATAATATAGAAGCTGGAAATCTAGAAATGATGTTTCCCAGGCTCCCTTGCAGTTAGGATTCTACCTGTGATTAGTCAAGCAGACACATTGACATGAGACCTAGGAGGTGGAAATTAGCAACATGAAGTGAAAGCCAATGTGGAAAACCACAATCTTCTGGGGGCAGTTTTGTCCCTACCATCTTAGACTGAGGAGTGAGTGCTGGCAGCAGTGAGCTTTTACCCCAGCATCCATTAGCTATTCTTCCTGATGCTCTCCCCGCTCCCCATCCAACCCTCTGACAGGTGTGTGTTGTTCCCCCAATGTGTCCATGTGTTCTCATCATTCAGCTCCCACTTATAAGTGAGAACATGCAGTGTGTAGTTTTCCGTTCCTGCATTAGTTTGCTGAGGATAATGGCTTCCAGCTCCATCCATGTCCCTGCAAAGGACATGATCTCATTCCCTTTTATGGCTGCATAGTATTCCATGGTGTATATTTACCATATTTTCTTTATTCAGTCTATCATTGATGGGCATTTGGGCTGATTCCATGTCTTTGCTATTGTGAATAGTGCTATTGTGAACAATGAACATATGCATGCAAAAATATAACATCCTACTGTGAGGGCAGCTCATAAAAAAGGGGAAAGAGATTTCTCCACTCCATCCTATTGTGGCTTTATTCTCCTAAACATTGCTGGGGAGTCAATGTGAGGAGGACAATTTGAGATGGACAAGTGCATTGCAACAAATTCTTTGTCTTTCTTGACTACATTCTAAAATTCTAAATGACTCTAAAAATTCTTAGGGAAAAGAAGATGCAAACTACAGTGTATCCTTCATGTATTGTTTCTGACTAGCAAATTTTATGATAATTATTCCTAAGAAGGGTGTTTTATTTGTTTATTTATTTGTTACTGTGCTCAGTAACTTTACAGAGAGTGTTATTCTTGTCATCAGCTAATTATTTTCTTTATTTCTCTGGAGGCAAGAACTGTAATTAAGAATTTAGCATTATTTGTCTTGGTTCAGAACTGAGTCATCATTAAATTTTCCAAGCAAAAATACATTATTTTGTTTATACAAATTATTTTTAAGACTAAGTAAATAGAAAATAATAGTAAAAATTTGGCTTACAAAATTATGACCTTAGCAATGGTAATAAATTTAATTTCTATATTTGACTGATTAATAGGGGAAAGACATAAATATATTATAGGGGATTTGAGTAAAAATTAGGCTTAGCTTATAAATTATTTGTTGAAAACTAGTTATGTGCCAGAAAATGTAAATAAATTTCTCAAAGGAGAAATAGCCACATTCTCTGACCAAGATACAACAATAATGAAAATGAAAAATAAGGGCTAAAACAAATTTTAAAAAAAACTCCTTAAGTAGAAAACATTTTCCTTAACAGCTGAGGAAACAGAGAAGAAAATTTCAAAAGGACAATATCAAACTACCTAGAAAATAAAAAAGTCGGGAAACAACAGGTGCTGGAGAGGATGTGGAGAAATAGGAACACTTTTACACTGTTGGTGGGACTGTAAACTAGTTCAATCATTGTGGAAGATAGTGTGGTGATTCCTCAGGGATCTAGAACTAGAAATACCATTTGACCCAGCCATCCCATTACTGGGTATATACCCAAAGGACTATAAATCATGCTGCTATAAAGACACATGACACGTATGTTTATTGCGGCACTATTCACAATAGCAAAACTTGGAACCGACCCAAATGTCCAACAATGAGAGACTGGATTAAGAAAATGTGGCACATATACACCATGGAATACTATGCAGCCATAAAAAATGATGAGTTCATGTCCTTTGTAGGGACATGGATGAAATTGGAAATCATCATTCTCAGTAAACTGTCACAAGGACAAAAAACCAAACACCGCATGTTCTCACTCATAGGTGGGAATTGAACAATGAGAACACATGGACACAGGAAGGGGAACATCACACTCTGGGGACTGTTGTGGGGTGGGGGGAGGGGGGAGGGATAGCATTAGGAGATATACCTAATGCTAAATGACAAGTTAATGGGTGCAGCACACCAGCATGGCACATGTATATATATGTAACTAACCTGCACATTGTGCACATGTACCCTAAAACTCAAAGTATAATAATAATAAAAGAAAAGAAAAGAAAATAACCACAGTAAAGAAAATACACACTTATACACAATTTAATTAAAGTCAAATTCAGAGGAAATTTTGGAGAAAAAAGTAATGAAAGCAGACAATAATTAAAACAGAACAGTAAATAAGAATAAAGTAGATAATAATAGAATTAGTGAAAGTATATTCAAAAATATCAAAGAATTTGGTGCTTTAAAATCCTACCAGAATCTAAAACATGAAGTGAAATATGGCCTTAATTTTTTGATGATAGCATATTATAGTCTTTGTTTGTTACCTATTTTATCATTAATAACTTATTACTACTGCCTTACAATGGTCCAGTGATGCTCTGATATAAAAGGCAAATAATGTATTAAGATACAACTTAGGTTTGTTATGATGTAGACACTGAGAGAAAAAAGTGATACTGGAAAATTAGCTTTGTTAATTTTTTGGTCAGGTGTTCATGGATCTTTCCAGAAAAACTTTCAGTAATCCCTCTCTCCCTCCCTCCATCCCTCCCTCCCTTCCTTCCTTCCTTCCCTTTTCCTACCTTCCTTCCTTCCTTTCGACAGAGTCTTGCTTGGTCACCCAGGCTGGAGTGCAACGGCAAGATCTTGGCTCACTGCAACCTCCGCCTCCTAGGTTCAAGCGACTTTCCCACCTCAGCCTTCCAAGTAGCTGGGACTAAGGGTGCATGCCACCTCGCTCAGCTAATTTTTATATTTTCAATAGAGACGCGGTTTCACCGTGTTGGTCCAGCTAGTCTCAAACTCCTGACCTCAAGTGATCCACCGACCTTGGCCTCCCAAAGTGCGGAGATTACAGGCATGAGACACCACATCCAGAGAGTTTCAGTAATACTTTCAAGAAATCATTCATTAAGTCCTTGCACTTTCGGCTCCATACAACTTCTCTGCTGTCCAAGGGCTTGACAAAGGTATTAGTCAGGCCATAAAAATATCCAGATTTCATAAATACCAATAAAGACCCAGCTTTAAGTGTTTTCTGAAGGAATGGTGGTAACAAGTTTACCCTTTCAGAGCAAATAATTTAGTCATTGTAGCTATGATCCAGATTATCTTTAGGATAAATCTTCCCTGATCTTTGTTTGGTATTATACTTATTCCTGTTATCTAATCTCTATAGATATTGCTTCAGAGGGAAGCAGAAAACTCATACTTATCTGTGTCTTCCTCTCCCTCCTCATTTTTAAGCCCTGCAATTATACTTCCCATTGCATAGAGAGCATTTCCACCAGGCAGCCCTACCGGTGGTTTAAATGCAACATGGCCTCCTTCCAGCCTCCTCTTCAGCCTGTTCCCAGGTCCCCTGGCTTACCAGTATAGGTTTTGGTATAGGGAGATCTAAGCCAGATGTTATCTTGGGAACTGGGGACAAAGTCAGCACAGAGAAACCCTGGATGAAAATCAGATACTGAGTTAGGAGTTGAACAGTGCAGTGAAGTGAGGCTGCGACTGGATGTCTGGGTAAAGGATACCAAAATCAAAGGTGAGGCCAGGCACAGTGGCTGATACCTGTAATCCTGGCACTTTGGAAGGCGGAGGCAGGAGGATTGCTTGAGGCCAAGAGTTCAAGACCAGCCTGGCAGCAGAGTTAGACCCTGTCTCTTAAAAAAGAAAAATTCAAATGCGATAGTTACCAGAAATTGGGGAACTGAAAAAGAAGCGTACATTAGAATTTGAAAAAGCAGACCAGAGAAAGGGAAGACAAGGCTCGGAGAAGAAACACAGGTGGGCTGACTTGATGGCTATGAACATCTGCAATGACCAAGCACAGCCTAGCTCCTGTGCTGTGAGTGTCTAAAAGGAGCCACTTGGACACAAGGACTCCTCTTTTCAGATAGTATCCCTCTCTTGCTAAAGAAACAAACACCCAAAAAACCAGCCTACATTTATCTTGACCTATAGCCCAATAACCTTCACTAAGCCAATCTTCTCAGAAGCATCACCTATTCTGGAAGTCCCAAATATGATCAGTTTGTCTGGTCAGTTTAGCCTTTCTAATGCCCTTGAACTTGTCCCACACTTTCCCCAGCTACCATCCTAGTACAGGTCTTCCACATCTTATCAGGATTCTGCCCCCAGCTTACTTTTCATCTTCCTATCTCCAATCTCTCCTTCTTTTCTTTTGTAATTATTTTTCATATGCCTACACAGGCTCAAACAGTCTCTCCTTTTTTTTTTTTTTTTTTTTTAGACAGGTTCTTGCTCTGTCACCCAGGCTGGAGTGCGGTGGCATGATCACGGCTCATCGCAGTCTCAACCTCCTGGACAAAAGCCATCCTCCCACCTCAGCCTCCTGAGTAGCTGGGAATACAGATGCTCGCCACAGTCTCTGCTTCTTAAATCAGCTTCTATAATGCCACCAGAGTTTTCTTCTTAAAACCCAGTTCTGTCATATTCTTTCAAGTAGCAAAACTTTTCAGTGGCTCTCTACTGTCCATAGGATTTAATATAAACTCCATAAGGTGGCTTTTAAATTTTTCCATAGTCCAACCCGCATCAACCCCTCCAACCTCATCTTTCAGACATCCATCCTGTTCTCTCCTAAAATCTACTCCGCTGCTATCACTGCTATTTTCCCTATAATTCCTAGGCACACCAAAGGCTTTCACTTAATGTACTGAACCCAGAGTGCAAATTGCACCTAGTGCATCCATTTTCCCGTGGATAGAGCAGCTCCTTGCATGCAGGTGAAATGAAACAATCCACCTATTTAAAGTGTATAATTCAATGGTTCTGGCATATTCACAGGGTTGTGCAACCATCACCACAATCTAATTTTAGAACATTTTCTTCTCCTATAAAAGAAACCCTGTATCCGTTCACTCCTCCTCTCCCCATCCCTTAGCAATCATTATTCTACTTCCTCTCTATATAAAGCTGCCTATTCTGGACATTTCCTATCAATGGGATGATACATTAATGTGGTCTTTTGTGTCTGGCTTCTTTCACTTAATGTGTTCAAAGTTCAATCCAAAATGTAATATGTGCTGACACTTCATTTCTTTTTATTAGTTGATGGACATTTGGGTTGTTTCCATTTTTTCAGCTAATACAAATTATGCCGGTATGAACACTTGCCTGCACATTTTTGTGTGGATGTATGTTTCGATTTCTCTTGGCACTCCTAAGAGTGCAACTGCTGGGGCATATGGTAACTCTGTAAGTATTTAACTTTTGAAGAATTGACACACTGTTTTCCAAAGCTGTGGCCTTGGAACCACAAACCAAAAAAAAAGAAATCCCCCAAAACTCTAAACAGCTGAATCAGCAGACATAGTGTAAAATTCAACTTCGGGAAGTGTATGTATTTTATATGTGTTTCACATAACAGTAACCACGTAACTTTACTAAGTTAACGTGAGCATCCCCAAAGACGTTTTTCTTCTTATTATTATTATTCTTTTTTTTTTTTGTTCTGTCACCCAGGCTGGAGTGCAGTGATGCAATCTCAACTCACTGCTACCTCTGCCTCCTGGGTTCAAGCAATTCTCCTGCCTCAGCCTCCCAAGTAGCTGGGATTACAAGCGCCCGCACCACACCTGGCTAACTTTTTTGTATTTTAGTAGAGACAGGGCTTCACCATGTTGGCCAGGCTGGTCTCAAACTCCTGACCTTGTGATCCGCCCGCCTCGGCCTCCCAAAGTGCTGGGATTACAGGCGTGAGCCACTGTGCCCAGGCCTGACTTTTTCCTTCTTAATGATACACTCACAGTACTTTACTCCATGGCCCATATTTATATTTAAATTAGCCGAGCAATATCATATACTGTTTTTCCTGGCATCCCTCTCATTTGCCTCTTGGCAAAAAATCAGAACTACCCAACTCCATTCAGCATCCTGTCTCATCCATTTCCTGAACAGCCAGAATAGAGTCCTGCAGCAGAGACAGCCTCTGAGCAGAGACAGCCATCAAAAATGAAATTGTTCCCTCATTGCTTCATCATGTGTTGTCAAACTGTGGAGAGCCATTCAAAGCCCTCCCAATTTCTCCACATCCTCATCAATACCTGTTATTGTCTCTCTTTTGGATTATAGCCATGCTAATGGATGTGAGGTGGTATCTCACTCTGTTTTTAATTTTTAATTTTGGTGGGTACATAGGTGTATATATGTACGGGATACAGGCGTGCAATGCATAATTGCATCATGGAGAATGAGGTATCCGTCCCCTCCAGCATTTATCCTATGTGTTACAAACAATCCAATTATATTCTTTGAGTTATTTTAAAATGTACAATTAAATTATTATTGACTATAGTCATGCTGTTGTGCTAGCAAATACTAGGTCTTATTCATTCTTTCTGGTTTTTTTGGACCCATTAACTACCCCACATCTCCCCCACCCCAGCTACCATTCCCAGCCTCGGTAACCATCCTTCTACTCTCTACCTCCATGAGTTCAATTGTTTTTATTTTTATTTTTTATTTATTTATTTTTTTCGAGACAGAGTCTCACTCTGTCGTCCAGGCTGGAGTGCAGTGGCACGATCTCAGCTCCTTGTCCCATCAGATTCCTGAGCAGCCAGAATAAAGTCCTGCAATCCTGCAACCTCTGCCTCCTGGGTTCAAGCAATTCTCCTGCCTCAGCCTCCCAAGTAGCTGGGACTACAGGCATCCACCACCACGCCCGGCTAATTTTCATATTTTTAGTAGACATGGGCTTTTGTCATGTTGGCCAGGCTGGTCTTGAATTCCTGACCT
The DNA here is from genome assembly GCF_000001405.40 of Homo sapiens. Classification (NCBI taxonomy): domain Eukaryota; kingdom Metazoa; phylum Chordata; class Mammalia; order Primates; family Hominidae; genus Homo; species Homo sapiens. Next base: position 26,454,225 of record NC_000010.11, on the reverse strand, counting down.
CAAGTGATTCACCTGCCTCAGCCTCCCAAAGTGCTGGTATTACAGGCGTGAGCCACTGCACTGGGCCTGTTTCTATTTTTAGATCCCATAAATAAGTGAGAACATGCCATGTTTGTCATTCTGTGCCTGGATTTTTTTACTTATAATGACCTCCAGTTCCATCCATGTGGCAAATGACAAGATAACATTCTTTTTCATGGCTGAATAGTACTCCATTGTGGATAAGTACCATATTTTCTTTACCCATTCACCTGTTGATGGAATTTGGGTTGTTTCCAAATCTTGTGAACAGTGCTGCAACAAACACAGAAGCGCAGATATCTTTTTGATATACTGATTTCCTTCCTTTTGGGTATACACCCAGCAGTGGGATTGCTAGATCATATGGTAGATCTATTTATCGTTTTTCAAGGAAATCTCAAATTGTTCTCCATAGTGGTTGTACTCATTGTGGTATTGATTGGTATTTCCTTTATGACTAGTGACGTTGAGCATTTTTTTCCTGTGCTTATTGGCCAGTATCTGCCAGGGGCAACTGTCCCTTGAGGCCTTTTTCAGGAGGGCTAGAGTCTGTGCTATAGCCCAGAGGAACACTAGTGGTCTCCATGGCCAGGTCAGTAGGATATCTGAGAATTCTAGGTCCAGAGGGGACAAACACCAAATCTGGCAAGTCCACGTCATCAGAGAAAGGCAAGCAGGAGATGAATGAGTGGATGGAGGAGGAAGGCCAGTGCTTCTAGTCGAGGAGCAGGGACCTGGCAGGAAAGCCCTGTCCCACCCTCACTGTCACTGTGTATGCAGGCTGTCCTCATGTCTCCCAGCTCAGAGCAAATATCTCATAGGATGGGCTCATCCACAGTCCATGCCCAGCACACCACTCCAATTTCATCTCCATCTTCTTCTCATTAAACCTTGCCTTACAGTGAAAGGAGTTTTTCTCCTCCTGTAAACACACCATTGCCATTACCTCTGTGCCATTTCTCCACTCAGATAAGTCCTACCCACTACACAAAGCCAACTCAAGACCTACAGCTCCATTCTGGCAGCATCAGAATCACGACTTTGACAGTTCATGACCTGCTTTATGACTTGTTTATCTCTTTATAGACATTTTTTAATCTCTTCAGCCACATTACAGGAGCAATATTTATACCTCAACTCTCTTAGTACTGGCACAGCACCACCACTGGCACTTAAAATGAAATATATGCTAGCTAGTATTAATGCATAATAAGAATAATGTAAAATATTTAAATGAAGATAGTATATCTTAATTAAAAAGAATAGTAGGAGTTATACTCAGAAACAGAAATTCAAATACTGCATGTTCTCACTTATAAGTGGAAGCTAAACAATGAGTATACATGGCTATACAGAGTGGAAAAATAGACATTGGAGGCTACAAAATATGGAGGGTTGAAAAATTACCGATTGGGTACAATGTTCACTATTTAGGTGACCTGTTCACTGAAAGTCCAGACTGCACCAGGATGAAATATATGCATGTAAGAAATCTACACTTGTACCCCCTAAATATATAAAAATTAAAAAAAGAATAGTAGGAGCTATAAATATGGAGCAACTACTACAGGTCAGACACCTACAGTATCTCATTTAATTCTCAAAACAATTCTATGAGATAGTGACATGATTCCAATTTTATAGGTTACAAAAATCAGGCCTAGAGAAATTAGATAGTTAGATAACTACATTGTCTTCTGAAAACATGAATTGTGATTATTAAGAGGTGGAAATTGGTGGCTTCCTTGGTAATATGTTTGTGATGGTGTCTCCATGTCCACATCTAATATAATGTGCATGCCCGTCTTTCACATCACACAGTGAGTTCAGGCATGGCATCTTGTATTTTCATTCAAGTGTGTGACATGCACCATGTACTTGTAAATATACTTAGCTGCTGGATGACCTTGGGCAAGTCATTTAGACCTTCTCTCAGCTTAGTTTCCTCGTCTGTACAACGAAAATAATTCCTACCTTAGATAATCGTGCAAGACTGGAACACCTTTTTAAGGTTTTATTTGTTTTTAGGAAAGGAATAAACACACTTTTTTTTGTCTAAGAATATGTTTGATATAATCAACAAAACCTTAAAAATTGCTGATTATTTAAAAAATGTCTGTCATTGAAATGGATCATTGGTAAATTTGATGTCTCATAAGTCTTCATCTATGCCACCATATACGGCACAAAGGGCTTTTATTTATTTGTACATTTACATGTTCTAACCATCCTTAAAACCAGATAAATGCCTTGTTTTGAAAGGAAGTGTTGATAATTGATATCTAATATCCTGACTTCATTCAAAGGTTTTAAGCCAAGTGATTGTTATTTCTACTCTTATATAGGAAGTCTCCATGTCTACTGATTTTGAGGATTGACTGAAGATTGCCTTCATTCCTGGACAATCCTGTCTTCATGCATATAATCTTAAAACATTGGAACTAGGAAAGTAAGCTCAGTTTAACTTAATCCAAGCATTTCATTTTATAATTGAGAAAACTTAGAGGCAGGGAAGATAAATGACTTTCTTATAGTGTTTATTAGTTATTTATTCCACATCTCCTGAAAAAGGGTTTAAGGTAATTTACAGATACAAGATAAGAGAAGAAAAATAGAATAGGATCTCAATAGTGGCTGAATTTGGCCACAGATGTGATTCTGGACGTCCAAATGGCAAAAGCAGAACGCATCATTTACAAAATCCAAGGTGCCTCTGAGTTACCTCAGATCTTAAGTAAAGCACAGAGTTCCTCCTGAGGACTGAGAGAAATGCTTCAATCCACTATTAATACATTCTTAATTAGGAAGCAACGCTAGGCTGGGCGCAGTGGCTCAGGCCTGTAATCTCAGTACTTCGGGAAGCTGAGGCGAGAGGATTACCCGAGCCCAGGAATTTGAGACCAGCCTGGGCAACATAGTGAGAACCCACCTCTATCAAAAACTAAAGTAAAACGAAGGCAACTCTAATGTGACTCCCAACCTGGTTTCTTTCCTTAATGTCTTCCATGTCACCTTAATTTCATATGATAAAGATTTAAATAATCTTTATTTTATTTTAAATAAATAAAACACCCCTTTCATTTCTTATAATTGCTCTTTCCTTAGAATTAATTACTGTCTCTCAACGTCCTGTGTATTTTGCCAATCTATAATAGTTAACACTTTTCACACACCTGCATCTCATTGCTTGAAACAGAATCTGAGTTCTAGGCCAGGCACGGTGGCTCACGCCTATAATCCCAACACTTTGGGAGGACGAGGCGGGTGGATCTCCTGAGGTCAGGAGTTCGAGACCAGCCTGACCAATATAGTGATACCTTGTCTCTACTAAAAATACAAAAATTAACCAGCTGTGGTGGCACATGCCTGTAGTCCCAGCTACTTGGGAGGCTGAGGCATGAGAATCGCTTGAACCCAGGAGGCAGAGGTTGCAGTGAGCTTAGATTGAGCCATTGTACTCCAGCCTGGGAGACAAAGTGAGACTCAGTACTCAGTGTCAAAAAAAAAAAAAAAAGAATCTGAGTTCCAGGAGGGCAGGGGTCAGGGAACAACTTTACATTTACTAGTTTTCCACAGCCATAGTGGAGTGTTCCACAAAGAGTAATTGTCCAAAACTGCTTAACAAAGAGAAGGAGAAGAATAAAGAAAAGAATAAAAATATTAGTGTATACTCTTATCATCTACCTATGGACTATTTGACTAAAACACAGTGGCTGTGAAATTGTGTTTAATCTACAATGTTTCATGCCCTTAGAGGCATGTGGATAACAAAGGCTTATTTCAAATGTCAAAATACAAGGAGATAATACTTGAGTTCTTTTCAAAATGTCAAAATACAAGGAGATAATACTTGAGTTGTTTTCAATGGTAACTTCTAGGGGGGATTTAATTTTGTTTTGTTCTAAATGTTTGAAACAAGATATTTGATTTTTGAGCGCATGCTACATGCCAGGCATTATTCTAAGTGCTTTGCATGTACAGACGCATTTAATGGCTGAGTATTTATAAGCCTTCCAATAAATATAATGCCAATTCCAATGCCCGTGTTTGATCCACTGCAAAACTGCCCAGCGTTTAACACAACCCCCTTTGCCCTCTTATACCCTTCTCTGAGATGCTGTAAACCATTCTCCATAATTTTACTTTCCATACTACCATTTCTGACAGGATGTTGCTGATACTCAAGCACTTTTTTTTTTAAGACAGGGTCTTGCTCTGTCACCCAGGTTGGAGTATAGTGGCACGATCATGGCTCTCTGCAGCTCGACTTCCTGGGCTCAATTAATCCTCCTGCTTCAGCCTCCCAAGTAGCTGAGACCACAGGAGAATGCCACCATGTCTGGCTTTTTCATTTTTTTGTAGAGACAGGGTCTCATTGTATTGCCCAAGCTGGTCTCCAACTCATGGGATCAAGGGATCCTCCTGCCTCAGCCTCCCAAAGAGTTGCGTTTACAGGCATAAACCACAGTGCCTGGACTTCAAGCACCTTTGAGTGGGTTCTGATGAGAAAATTTGACAACTATATTGGAGAATATGGAATCACATTGGCAGTAATGATTTGATACCTGGAACACTTTTAGTCAATCAAGATGATATCCCCTTGAAACAAATGCCAATACTTCTATTCAACTGGAATTTAGAAAGAAACTAAAGGCTCACACAGACACACACACAAAACAAAACAACAGTTCCTGCTTCATAGGGATGAGGTAGTTAGTGCTTGTAATGTACTCATTATAATGCCTGGTGCATATGAAGTGCTTAATATCAGCTATTATTTCTATCATCCTCATCATCATCATCATTTTTATTATTGTGTTTTCCCTCTAAAACCAGCAGTGGAAAAAAAAAGTGTCAGTCATTTATTCTCTCTCTCTTTCACACACACACAGATATACACACACAAACATAAACACACACCCAAGTCCACAAGGGGATGGTTACTTCTGTCTGTTGCATCTTCATGCACCTGGAGACTGAGTTAAACTGCCATTTTTCTTTGTAGGTCAGGCACGCTTTTAAAAGACTAAGCCACTGGAAGGACATCTGTAAGTATAGTTTCTAGAACAGGGATCCGTAACCATTCTTAACAAGGAAAGAACTGCACTGGAATCTCCTTGAGTCTTTTTTGAGTCATATCCTACGCATCTCCAACCCATTTTCCAAATCTTAGCACTACTGCCCTCCCCTGAAAGACAGGCGTATTTTTGGAGCTGAGAACCGCCACAAAGAGAGTGGCTGTCGATGAGAGTGTTATGCTTGTGAACTAGCAGGTGGAAGCAAAAAAAAGAAAACAGAAGAGTTGACCACCATGGTTGCCTAGGGCAACAGATCACATTTTGCCGGATGTGGGTTGAGGGCATCCTGCTTCGCCATTTGTTTCCAGTTCTTTTTCAGTCCTTCTTACTTTTAGGCAGAATCCATAATATATAAGGTGGTGGGGAGTTGGGGGAGAAAGAGGATAAAAAGGAAAGCAAGCAAATGACTATCTGAGGTTGTTTTGTTACTAGAGGGCAAATAATGCATTCTGGGTGTAGGTTTAAAGATGAATTAAAATCAGATTGTAGGGACAGGCCCCAAAGTAATTGCAAATGCTGTTTACTTCCTTTACCCTAAAAAATTCTGAATACTTTAGAATTCACCTAATATCCTCCTTTCAGTTGCATAGTCAACACATAGTATAGGATGCAATATTTGTGAATTTATCTCAATCTGCACTGCCCAATTCAGCCACTAGCCACATGAGGCCATTTAGCACTTTAACTGTGGCTAGTCTGAAATGAGATGTGCAGTAAGTGTGAAAACACACTGGATTTGCAAGACTTAGTATTAAAAAATGGAATAAAATAGCTCATTAATAATTTTACTATTACTGGCAGGATGCCTATAATCCCAGTGCTTTGGGAGGCTGAAGTGGGAAGATCACTTGAGGCCAGAAATGTGAGACCAGCCTGGGCAACATGGTGAGACCCTCATCTCTACAAAAATTAAAAAAATGAAATAATCTTACTATTACTTAAATGTAACATAATTTCAATTATATCAAAATTAATATATTATTTTTAAAATTTTTAGTAAAAATTTATGTCACTTGATTTTTACTGTTAAATATAATTTCAAACATTAAATTTAATATAACTTCAAACAATTCACATTTTAATAGTTTATTTTATTAAATGAAATATCCAAAAATAATCATTTGATCCAGAGTGCTATTATCATTTTTGGATATATCATTTAATAAAATAAGTGATTAAAATTAACATCACAGTTGGGCACAGTGGCTTACACCTATAATCCCGGCACTTTGGGAGGCCGAGGTGGAAGGATTGCTTGAGCCCAAGAGTTCAAGACCAGCCAGGGCAATATAGTGCCTCGTTTCTCAAAAAAATAAAAAAATGGGATGGGAGTGGCTGTGATCATGCCACTGCACTCTTGCTTGGGTGACAGAGTGAGGCCCTCCCTCAAAAAAAAGAAAAGTCATGGTTCTTTTTACTGTTTCTAATGTGGCACCAAGGAAATTTAAAGTTAAACATGTAATTTGCTTTGTAGTTCTACTGGACAGCTCTGCTCCAGAGTGCTACAGTTCTGTTATTGCAAGCGCCTCAGTATTTGACTCAAATATGTTGGGTTGCAGGGACCACATCACATTAATGTAATCTGAATATTACTCATTCTATGTTACATTAGATTCTCCCCATTTCCTTTCCCACTGCATTTTATGCTTCAGCACTGCTAAAGTGTTTTACACATCTGGTGCCTGGCGTATCTTTCTTCCATTTGGCCACAAGGTATAGAAAGGCATTTCTTTTTTTTTTTTTTTTTTTTTTGAGACGGAGTCTCACTCTGTCACCCAGGCTGGAGTGCAGTGGCGCGATCTCGGCTCACTGCAAACTCCGCTTCCTGGGTTCATGCCACTCTCCTGCCTCAGCCTCCCGAGTAGCTGGGACTACAGGCACCCACCACCATGCCTGGCTAATTTTTTGTACTTTTTTAGTAGAGATGGGGTTTCACTGTATTAGCCAGGATGGTCTCGATCTCCTGACCTCGTGATCTGCCCTCCTCAGCCTCCCAAAGTGCTGGGATTACAGGCATGAGCCACCACACCCCTCCTAGAAAGGCATTTCTATACCTTTCTCCTTCAAAGCACCTCTTGATCATCCCCCCATAATATCTGTCCTATAATCATTATCTGCACCATATTATTTCTGTATCAAACATTGCACATTCTGCACTGTAATGTATTTTTTTTACATGCCTGTCTTTCCCACTAGACTGGAAGCTTCTTGAGGGTAGGGACCATATCTATCTATTTCTATCTATCTCTCTCTCTATCTATCTATCTATCTACAGGTTTTGCTCTGTCACCCAAGCTGGAGTGCAGTGGCGTGATCATAGTTCACTGCAGCCTCAAGCAGTCCTCCTATCTCAGCCTCCCACGTAGCTGGGACTATAGGTGTGACCCACCATGCTGGGCAGGGGACCATATCTTATCCTATTTTAGCTACACGTGCCCCCTACACTGGCATGGGGTTGGCCATCAATAGACGTGTGGTGAAACTGGAAAAAAAGTTCCAATTATATTACATTGAGCAGAGTCTGATTCAGCTGAAGTGTGTGTTTCAGTACTGTAGCCCAATCTGTAAACCCAGCCTTGAGGAACAGTGAGTACTGTTCATTTTAGCTTGGGCATTCTGCAGTGGTCTCACGGCCGGCCATCTTTTCACCACACTGCATAGCACTTACCGACATTCATGGCCCAAGCAGCTTCATTTCTGTGTGTTGCTTACAACAAGGGAAATATAATGCCACAGAATGAGTAAACACATGAAGAAATAGTCTTGGTTTGCTAAGCCATACCGTTTATGAAATTTAATCAGAAGGAAGCCATTATCTTAAAAGGAAAACAATACTGTATCCAAAACCTAATGAGTTCATTGCCCTAACTGTCACCTGTGAATGTTATGTGATCAACAGAGATGCATGAATTTGTTAATGCTATAAAAACAGTGGCCATAGGTAAATTTACTTAATCAGTAACCTAATTGTGATAATACACTATAATATGATGTGAAATCACCTGAAAAAGATTTTGTGGGATTCCCCGCTTCTGCCCCACATAACTAATTTGTTCTTTTCTTTCTGAGGTGAAATCCTACAAACACACTTGAAAGACTGAACTTCTGCCCCGTGGAAAACACAGTTCTACTAGGTGGTAATGAATACCTTTTAGCAGCATTCTACTGAATATTACTATTTCGTTATTACCCTGGCTTGATAGCAGTTAATAACTAAGACAAATGAAATGTCACTTATCTCGATCACTGTTAGTAATTACTTCTTAACCACTTTCAGCTCTCCAAATATCTTAACAGTGTTGTCCAGCATTCTTCAACAGCTCCTAGAGAATTTTTAGCCCTGCTCTAACACTTGAATCCATTTGAAATCCAGTTGTGTAAGGGGCAAACATTCCTATCTTCCAAATCTGGTTTGGATTTTGAAATTCTAAACATTTGAAACCTCCGGGCACAAAAAACTTCTTTGTGGGAAAGGTCTCTGTCCTAACTTCCGCAGAATCTTGTTTTTAAACTGCACAGTCTTGGAAGCCTTGTATTGCATAAAGTCTACATCATGGGTTAAGAATTTACGTGGCCAGGCATAGTGGCCTATGCCTGTAATCCCAGCCCAGCCCTTTAGGAGGCCGAAGCGGGAGGATACTTGAGCCCAGGAGTTTGAGACCAGCCTGGGCAACACAGCAAGACCCTATCTCTATTAAGAACAATTAAAAAAAGAATTTATGGATGGGGCTTTTAAGTATTCATTTCTTGCTTTCCACTTCTCAAAAATAATTTCCATTGTTTTGATTATTATGGAGGTAGAAAATTGCTGATTAGCTAACTATATTCTTATTTTAGCTACCTAATAAAGATTTTGGATCAACTCCTTCTCAAAGTTTTGAAAGTTTAATTAAAGGTTTTAGGATTGCAAAGACTTTGTTTTATGTCCCCTTTTCTTTCTTTCTTTCTTTCTTTCTTTCTTTCTTTCTTTCTTTCTTTCTTTCTTTCTTTCTTTCTTTTCTTTCTTTCTTTCTTTTCCTCTTTTTTTTTTTTGACAGAATCTCACTCTGTCACCAGGCTGGAGTGCAGTGGCATGATCTTGGCTCACTGAAATCTCCACCTCCTGGGTTCAAGCGATTCTCCTGCCTCAGCCTCCCGAATAGCTGGGACTACAGGCGTGCACCACCATGCCCAGCTAATTTTTGTATTTTTAGCAGAGACAGGGTTTCACCATGTTGGCCAGGATGGTCTTGATCTCTTGACCTCATGATCCACCCATCTCAGCCTCCCAAAGTGTTTGGGATTACAGGCGTGAGCCACCACGCAGCCTATGTCCCATTTCTTAAACTGTGTAGCCTTGGGCAAATTTCCTAAACTCCCTTACCTGTCATTTCTAATTTGCAAAATAGGAGCAATAACAGTATCTTCCCAAATGGTTACCCTGCTTTTAGCCTTATATATAATAAGCACATCAGTATTCCCAAATGATACTTCATATCTACATCCAAAATTGAACTTCTAATCATCTCCCTTCCAACTTGCTGACTTTAGTTGATGACAATTTCATCCTTCCAGTTGTTTAGGCCACAGACTTTGAAGTCATCCTTGACTCCTCTTTCTCAAACACCCCACATTCCTTCTGTCGGGAAATCTTGGCTCTCCTTCAAAATATACGCAGAATCCAACGCTTTGTCATGGGTTCCTTGCTTTCACCTCTGCTCCCCCAGGTTTATTCTCAAGCAGTCAGAGTGAGCCTTAAGTCAGATCATGTTATTCGCCTTCTCAGAATCCTGCAATGGCCCCTCCATTTTGCTCGGTGTGAAAGTCAAAGTTTTATAATGGCCTCTGGAACCCCACGTGATCTGCTATCTCCTCGCCCTTCTCATACTTCTCCAACCACATCTGTTTCTCTCTCCCTTGCTCATTTACCTCTAACTACAGGGGCCTTCTTGTTGCTTCTCAAATCCACAGACATGCCCCTGCCCTACAGCCTCGACTGTTCCCTGTGCTTGGAACACTGTTCCCCCAGATAGCCACTTGGTTAACTCCATTGTCTCCTGCAAACGAAAGGGCCCAGCCTGACCACCTTATCGCATATTGCAACTTCACCTTGCTTTTCGCTTACTAATACCTATATTATTTACTTATTTATTATGCTTATTGAGTAGCATCTGTATCTGTCCACCAGAATAAACTCCACAAATGCAGGGATCTTTGTCTCTTTTGTTCACTGACATTCCTTGCGTCTATAATAGTGCTTAGCAAACATTTTTGACTGAAAATGATTGAATTGTATTTAAACTGGAGATCTGGCCGGGCACAGTGGCTCATGTCTGTGATCCCAAGACTTTGAGAGCCCGAGGTGGAAGGATCACTTGAGCCCAGGAGGTCGAGACCAGCCTGGGCAACAAAATGAGACCCTGTCTCTACAAAATTTTTTTTTTAATTAGCTGGGCATGGTGACGCACACCTGTGATCCCAGCTACATGAGAGGCTGAGGCAGGAGGATTGCTTGAGCCCAGGAGGTTGAGGCTACAGTGAGCCTTAATTGTGCTGCTGCACTCCAGCCTGCACCCTGTCTCAAAAATGAATGAATGAATGAATAAATAAATAAAGTGGAGATGACTTCCTAAGTTACATATTCTTTTTTTCTTTTGCCTCCTTTATTTATTTTCCTCATATAAGTAATTTTTTTTTTTTGAGATGGAGTTTCGCTCTTGAAACTTTTTTTTTTGAGATAGAGTTGCCCAAGCTGGAGTGCAATGGCATGATTTTGGCTCACTGCAACCTCCACCTCCTGGGTTCAAGCGATTCTCCTGCCTCAGCCTCCCGAGTGGCTGGGATTACAGGCATGCACCACCATGCCAGGCTAATTTTTTTGTATTTTTAGTAAAGACAGTGTTTCACCATGTTGGTCAGGCTGGTCTTGAACTCCTGACCTCAAGTGATCCTCCTGCCTCAGCCTCCCAAAGTGCTGGGGTTACCAGTGTGAGCCACCACGCCCGGCCACATATTCTTTATTCCACTTAAAACTCATAGTTCTTTACTGATGATTCTTGGTCACTTTATCAATGTCTAAGATAGCACAATTTCCGTGGTACTTACTATTAACTATTTCTAATACATGTTGTTTTTATGCTATTCAATTAAAGTAAGCTGTCTTTACTGAACAGCACAAGCTGCTTGTGACCACCCAGAGTCGGTGGAGAACCTGACTCCAGTCTGCCATGCCAGTGTTCTTTGATCCCCAGTTTGACACCATCCTTTACAAATGTATGTACATGCTTCCTAAAAGCTTTTTAAAAATTAGCACATTCAGAATAATGATTACCTCTAGCTGGGAAATGGGGAAATGTTATTGGAAGGAGACCAGGAAATGTCTTGGTAAATATTCTACTTCTTAAGCTGGGTGATAGGTACCCAGATGTTGGCTTTATTATTATTTGTTGTTATTTACATATATACATCATCTTTTGTAGATATGAAACATTTCATAATAAAACATGAAGGAAGAAATGAATCTAGTCATGATTCACTTGCTCTAATATCATTTTTTGTTTCTCTCCAGTTTGATGTGATGTAGCTCTCTGGATGCAAACCCTCCAGTCGGTTTGGGGAAACACAGTTGCTGTGTGATTTAGCTTTTATCCCCCATCCCAGCCCACAACCATCTCACTGATGAGTCTGTAACATGAAACTAAATCAAAAAGATCCCCAACAGAATTAGAAAAAATATTAAACTCACTGCTTGCTTGTTGATTTAATCAACCTAGCCGGCTGTCATGTGGGATTAGAATAAAATAAACACAAAAATGAAAACACACGATTGCTAACAAAGCAGATTCTTTTTTCAAGGCACACGTAAAGATAATAACTTCAAAGTTGATTATATTAACTTGTCTTCCCATGATAACACGATAAGTTCTTTGCTTGGTTTCCTTCTATTCAACCTTCTCCCGTGACCCTGGTTGGGGAGACCAGGGACCCTGATATGTAGTCCCACAGCACTCAACTCTGGTTCCGCATGGAATTCTACATCTCCTCTTACATCTAGTTACATCTCCTCTTCTAGACTATAAACTCATTGTGGAAAGGCCCCAGGTTTTTTCATGGGTGCCACCATCAGATGGCCCAGTTCAAACAACAGCTCTGTTTCTTACTTCCTGCGTAAGTTTCTTACCCTCTCTGTGCTTTCATCTTGATGTGATGATTAACAAGATGACACATCTAAATTAGTACAGGGCCTGGTAGTATTTATAAGTAAACATTATAATAATTATTATTTGCTATTACTATGTGATGATCAAAGAGAAAACTGAGTTGACAGAGAAGAAAGAAAATAGCTCTTATGATTCTTAATTATTCAAGTTCATGGTCAACGCTCAGGAAATGTTTTAAAACTGAGTCACGGAATCAAGCTCCAGAATATGTGGAATAATGAGAACGTGTGATGCCTTGGAGTGGTGTCACCTCTCTGCTTGCTCATGCCTGAGGTTTGGGACCAGTGGAGCCAACGGGATCTCAGGGGCTTGTGATATTTCCATGGTACCACTCAGTGAGATTAATATATTCTGCACATTTAGCCAGCCTCTTTGGAGTCCTCATTTTGGGATCACAAATTGGCTAGGAAATGATGATGCAGTGGTGGCAGGTCACATCCTCTAGTCCCCCAAAAGCTGTCCTCAGGGTCTGCCCTTCCAAGCTGCAGGTACAATCTAGTCTCTTTAACTGGGTATAGGTGTAATGGCATTCCTTCATGCGGCTAGTTCTCTCTTTTCAAGAGAAATCTAATGATTACTGTTCCAGATATCTAGCAGTTTTCTCTAAAAGTCATGTTTCTCACGATAATTAAAAGTGTAATATGTATTTTAAAATCCCCATGCAACCAGTGTAGAAATCTTACACTTTAAAATCTGGCATTTATTATGTACATGAATTTATAATAAATGCTTAAGCTTTAAGTGACTTGCCTCTTAGATGACAGCAGTGACATAAAACACACACATTCATTTTCATACTGAGAAGATACCTGTTGTGTTAATAAAAATTGTTCTGTTTTGAGGCAAGCATTCCTAAGATCACCGTAGTCTCCATAATATAAACTCATGGGGTCCTATAAAATTGTAAAGATTGTGGTCCAATAGGCTATGGAACGCAGACAATTTATTATAAGATTTGTGGACTCACTAAAATGTTTTAGGCATAAAAATAATTAAAATAAAATTGAAGAGAATTAGAAGAAAATGAAAATAATAATGCTCTTTGGAAGTAAGATGGCTTAAAGAAAATTCAAAGTGACATATCAAACAGACATTTATGGCAATGAACTTTATAAGTAGCTCATTCTAATAATAATATGGAACTATTTAAAACTTTGATTGATGAGTGAAAAAAGGCAAATCAATAGTGGATAACTGGTGAACATTCTTAGGATATAAAAATACAAAAAATGTAATAAATACTATAAAACCTAGTATTGTGTTTAAGATTTAAAGTAATGCCATAAAGTAATTCATATTACAAAGTTATATTTCTTGAGAAATAGCAATTTAAAGATTTCAAAATATAATATTGACCTGTTCAAGTTTGGGCTGTTTCTTATCTCAGTTTTCAAATAAGATGGAAATTTGCCTTTTTACATATAGGCCAGATATTGACTGCGCTTTTACAGGAACTTCTCAGAAACAAAAGACCTCAAAGATATTGATATTTCAGAATGTAATCTGTTATGGTTATGATTATTTTCTCCATTTTTAAAAAATTTGTGATCAGCAATTCTAATGTTGATATAATGTTGCCAGTATTCCAGTTGGGACCAATTCAAAGAATTATAGCAACTCCTCAATTGCTATTTTAAGAACAGACATAATGTAGCCCAATCATCTCACTTTACTGACGTTATCTGAAGTCCAGGGAGAAGTTATGCAAGTTAATCAATATCATCCTTATCTAGATGGGGGAGATATAAGAGCCAGAACCCAGGTCTCCCAAGTGCTGAGAAAAAACCCAAATATTAGTAATTATTAATAGTTTAAGGATTAATAGTTTAAGGACACACATTATTAATAGTTTAAGGATGAAGTTAAATTTCTTAGACCTTTCACAACACACGTTGAGCAGACAGGAAATACCACTAGAAGACTTTATAAAGTATTTCTCAGCAGATCCTTGCTAATTTCGCCAGCCAGCATCATCGTCCTGGCCCATGTGCCACCCATTATTCCAGTGAGGCCAGAGGGAAAATCGCTGCTCTAGGTTTATGAAAAAGGACAAAGTTTTCCTTTCTGAAATTTCTCTCTGGAGACCCAGATTTTAAAATGAATAGTAGCTAGTACCGGCACCTTTGTTTAAACCACGTTATGCCACCAGAAAAAAACATCTGGGGGCATAATAAACTCACGGGCCCTTTTCTTTTGTTACTTTCCTCTAGTACTCCGTCTCGTCAAGGATCACATTAAAAGTTCTTTTGAACCGCTATGCCCTGAGTGTCTAGGAAACACATTTCACGTTCCACAGGGGTATGAACTAAGAAATACCTTAGCAGGAAAGTAAGAGGTACACCGGGCTAGGTCTTTGGTGGAACACCTGCGCAGAGGTTCTTGGAGACATTAGGACACCCTAGTTAGTTTCCTCCATTCTGTAAAAGGCCCTCTGGATATTCATTTCAAGCCAAATTATGAAACTTGTGCCTGGTGTCCAAATCTATCTTTATGGTATTTTAAAATGAAAATGAGAATATTCGGGGGAAAAAGTTATTTTTAAAAAGAGGAAAGAGTTGTCCAAAAGTTTTAGAGGAAGGAAACACTCTAAGATGCATCAGACTGCGAGCCACACTCAAATTCTCACACGGCTGGCATTTAATCCACATCTAATCTTGGCCCCTCAAGAATCCCTCCAGGTTCCGGGAGACTGGGGCTCCCGGACCTGCTGACCTGCTGACCTGCTGACCTGCTGGACGTGCAAGGGTTCATAGCAGTTCCCCGTTTGACCTTGCAGCAATTTCCTGGGCAGGAAATCTGTCAAATCTGTTGCAATAGCTCGGGAAAAAGCAAACCCGAACCCCAAACCCTCACACCCCCACCCTCGCGAGCCGGGTCCAGAGTGGAGATCAGCGGAGGGGACCCTGGGGACCCGCTGCGCTCGAGGGCCACGCCTGGGGGCACGCGTTCACGAGGCCAGATCCTGGAGCTGCCCCCGGCGTCGGACCCGACGGGCTTGACAAACGGGTTCCTGACAGCCCCGAGGGGCCCGTGCTGGCGCTCCCAGGGCTCCCGGGACTGGGAGCGCCACTTACCTCGACTGCTCTGCGGGGCGCTGCGGGGCGCGGGAAGGCGGCGAGACTCCGGCCGGGAAAGCGACGCGCGGTGCAGACTGCCGCACCCGGGCTCCAGGTCGCTGCCCCGGGGAGGAAGTGCTGTCAGCCCTGCCCTTCCCACGCAGCGCGCAGACGTGTGGCGCTATCCGAGCTGCTTTGCTCCGAGGTGCAAGGAAGGCCCCTGGTTAGAGACAGTGGGACAGACAAACATATGCGTAAAGGACTCCGAGTTAGGGGCTGCTTTCTCCAACTCATCGAGTCTGCGCCTGATTTTCTCTCCCCCATCCCACCCCTACTACACAACCACCTTGAAGGGATTTTTATTTTATTTTATTTTATTTTATTTTAATTCTGGGAAACGTTGCGCCTCCCCCTACCTGTGCCGCGCGCGCCCTTCTCTCAGGAGCGTCTCCTGGCGAATGGAACCATTTTGCAGCCTCGACGCAAGAGGGACTAAGGGATTGGGGCCTAGTGATGGTTCCACCAAAGACTGAGAGGCCGCTTTATGTTGCAACGGTCTCCCAAAGTGTTTACTTCAGCACTTTCTGGGCTTCCTCTTTTGGGCCGGTTGTGCAAGGCTTCCCGGCCGCCTGCAGCCCGCCCTCAGGGGACGCGGTGCAGGGCTGGACTGGCAACACGCGCGTCCCGGCCGGAGTTCAGCTGTCTCTCGGGTGGGGGTGGAGGAAGGGCGCGCTGGGCGGAGGCCCTTTCTCAACCATCAGGTTGGTAACCTCACCCTCCTCCCTCCCCACGTTTAACCACGCTCAGTTGGCCGGCCAGGGTGTAGAGGAATAGCACTGTCTTCATTGCTCGTAGAAATCCAAAATGGTCTGAACCCCGTGGAAGAGAATTGAGCAATATCTATTTAACTTATGTATGGATTCGCCTTTTGACCCCGTCATCCCACTTCCAGGAGTGTGTTACGAAGATCTGCTGATGAAAATAAGTAATGCACACGGCAGAGGGCATTCATGGACTCACTATTTGCAACAGCATAGGACTGGCTGGAAATAGCACCTGTCAGTTGGGAGTGGAGTTTCCTGAGAGAAAGTCGCTGGGGAGGTCTGAAAATACAGAAGTTAAAATCAGTTATGATTTGTAAATGCGGTTGAATAACCCTCCCCTTCTCCTCTACAGCTGTGTCTTCAAAGGCTTATATGTCAGGGAAGGTGGTGAAGACATAAAGACAGAAATTAGGTGCATGTGTTAATTAGGCAATTTCAAATAGTTCTGTCATTTATTTAATGAGAAACTATTCGTAAGCACCAACACTTCTAAGAACAATGAAAATAGTTAGAGGAAACAATTTCTGCTCTCATGCATGGTGCATTCTAGTTGGTAGAAAGCAGACAATAAACAAATTAATATTTAACATGTCAAGGAATGTAACTAGTTTTGAAGGAAGTTAAAAGGTGAGGGATAGAGAGTGATGGGCATGGGGATGGGGTTGCTGTATTAATTAGGGTAAATAAACGATAAATAAATAGAAAATATATTTTCTCCTCATGATTTTCTTAATAACAGTTTCTTTTCTCTAGCTTTCTTTATTGTAAAAATACAGTATTTATCTAAATACATATAACATAATATGTGTTAATTGACTGTTTAATATTATCAGTAAGGCTTCTGGTCAACAGTAGGCTATTCGTGGTTAAGTTTTGGGGGAGTCAAAAGACATACATGGATTTTCAATTGTGCAGCAGTTTGGTACTCCTGAAATCTGGCATTGTTCTGTTACAGTAGGTAGCTAGTCAGGCATGAGCAGGGCAGGAGAGGGCTCCTCCCACCCCCTACCAGGAATGTCAGGTGACCATCAGGTGATGATCAAGCAGTTGTTATCAGCCTTACTGATAACATAGTCGATTAACTCATATTATTTTATATATATTAAATACTGTATTTTTATAATAAAGTAAGCCAGAGAAAAGAAACTGTTATTAATAAAATCATAAGGAAGAGAAAATGTATTTTTCATTTATTTATTTATTATTTATTTATCCTAATTTTTTTTAATATAGCACCAGGGAAAGGCAGTCTCCCAATAGACAGAAACACCTGAAACTGGTATTTCTGTCTGATAAGTGACACTTGAGCTAGATCTAAATGGCATGAGAGATTAATCCACACTGGGTTTTTAGATGGGAATATTCCAGGCAAAAGGAACAGCACATTCAAAGACCCTGAGTTAGGAGAGCACTTAAGATATTGGAAAAACACCAAGGAAATTAGTACGGCTGAGCAGAGTGAGATGGGAGGGACAGACATGAGATGGGATCAAAAGGAAATGGTGCCCAGATTGTGTGCTATTTGGGAGCTGTGGAAGAGAATTTGATGTGAGTGAGATGGAAAGCCAGTGGAAGGTTCTGAGCAGAGTTGTAAGTGCTACATAAAATATAAAATCAAACAATGAGAGTGACTTTCTTGGGGCAGGGAAAGTGGTCAAGGATCACCTCTTTACAAAGTAATGAGAAGGGGCAGCCATTCAGAAACTTGGGAAAGGATTCCAAGAGAAGGAAGAACAAGAAGAGGGGCTGAGATAGGAACATAGAAAGTTCAAAAGAAGGCAGGCCAGTGTGCCTGGAATGTTCTGAAAGAGTAGGGCAGCAATAGTGGATGGGGACAGAGAGGTAAGCAGGAACCAGAACAAGCAGGACCTTGTAGCCAGCATTGAGGACTTTAGGTTTTATTCTAATTGCAATGGGGGACTATTGGAATGTATTTAGCAACTGAGTGCATGATTTGACTTAAGCGATAAGCCATCCTGCCAGTTGGTGATTGTTCAGAAAATCAATTGATTGAAGCAAGAGAAGAGAGATTCCTCAGTAGACTATGGTCAGAGTCCAGATGAAAAATGATAGTAGCTTTATTAGTATTCTAACAGTAGATATGGTGAGAAGAGTTTGGAATCAAGATACAGTTTTCAAAATAAAACCAAAGCTTGGCACAGTTGCTCATGCCTGTAATATCAGTGCTTTAGGAGGCCAAGGTGGTAGGATCACTTGAGGCCATGAGTTCAAAACTAGCCTGGACAACATAGCAAGACCCTATCTCTACAAAAATGGGGGAAAAAATTAGCTGGGTATGGTGGCTTATGCCTATGGTTCCAGTTGCTTGGGAGACTGAGGCAGGAGGATTGCTTGAGCCCAGGAGTTCAAATCTGCAGTGAGCTATGATGATGCCACTGTACTCCAGCCTGGGCAACAGAGCAAGACTATTTAAACAAACAAACAAACAACCACCTAGCAAAGTAGAACCAATAGCATTTGCTGATGGGTGGGCTGGGAAATGGGATGGGAGTAAGGGAGTGGCAGAGGGATTAGAAACTGAATGGAAACCAGTATGATTGGAGTTATGGAAGGTCTGGTTAGAGGTAAGGTCAGTAGGGGCAAACCATGTAGGGTCATGTGGACTATGTCAAGAATTATTTTCTCATCCTAAGAGCAATGAGAATATATTAAATAATATTTTAAGCTGGCAAATGATGGGATTTATGCTTTAGGAAAATCACTCTGGCATAATTTGGGGAACGGATCAGATGAAGAAAAGAATAGATGCAGGAAGACTTCTGAGCTAAGTTGGGAAAGAAAATACAATTGGCCTTTGAACTGCCAGCAGCAGAATATATCTGAGACACGGCACCAAAATATGTTAGCTTTGGCAAAACCATATGGGTCTGTAGCGACCTAAATTCTTGCCTCCTCAGAAGAAAGAATTCAACTGAGGGGCATAAGGCAGAAGAAGAGACTAAGGCAAGCTTTAGAGCAGGAGCGAAAGTTTATTAGAAAACTGTAGGGCAGTAACAAAAGAAAGTAAATTATACTTGGAAGAGGGCCAAGCGGGTGACTTGAGAGAAGTGCGCTGTTTGACTTTTGACTTGGGGCTTTACGCATTGACATACTTCGGGGTCTTGTCTTCCTCCTCCTGATTCTTCCCATGGAGTGGGCTGTCCACATGAGCAGTGGCGTGCCAGCACTTGGGAGGTGAGCATGCGCAGTGTGTTTACTGAAGTTGTACGCGTGTTCACTTTAGGCATTCTTCCCTTACCAAATGTCCCTGGAAGGTCATTTGCCAGTTAAACTCCACCATTTTACCTCTTAGTGCACATGCTTGAGCCCACTCGCCCAACTCCTGAGATCTTATCTGGAAGCTGTTGATCACCAGTTTCAGGTGTTTCTATCTATTGGGAGACTGCCTTTCCCTGGTGCTGGCTGTGATCAATTATTATTTTAGAGACACGGTTAACAGTCCCCTGACCACCACCTGATAGTCGCCTGACATTCCTGGTAGGGGGTGAGGGGAGCCCTCTCCTGCCCTGCTCATGCCTGACTAGCTACCTACTGT
Organism: Homo sapiens; assembly: GCF_000001405.40. NCBI lineage: Eukaryota > Metazoa > Chordata > Mammalia > Primates > Hominidae > Homo > Homo sapiens. The sequence goes on along the minus strand of NC_000010.11, from coordinate 26,434,491 downwards.
AACAGAACAATGCCAGGTTTTAGGGGTACCAAAATGCTGCACAGTTGAAAATCCATGTATAACTTTTGACTCCCACAAAACTTGACTACTAATTGTCTACTGTTGCCCAGAAGACTTACTGATAACACAGTCGATTAACACATATTATGTTATATGTATTAAATACTGTATTTTTACAATAAAGTAAGCTAGAGAAACTGTTATTAACAAAATCATAAAAGAAAATATATTTTCTATGTATTTATTTTTTATTTATTTTCAGAGTCTCACTCTGTTCCTGGACTAGAGTGCAGTGGTGAGATCATAGCTCCTTGTAACCTCAAACTCCAGGGCTCAAGGGATCCTGCTGCTTCAGCCTCCTGAGCAGCTGGGACTATAGGCATGCACCATCATGTCCAGCTAATTTTATTTTAAATAATTTTTTGTAAGATGGGGTCTTGCTATGTTTCCCAGGCTTGTCTAAAATTCCTGGCCTCAAGCGATCTTCCTGCCCCAGCCTCCCAAAGTGCTGGGATTACAGGCATGAACCACTGTGACTGACCTCATATTTACTATTTATTAAGTGGAAGTGGATCATCATAAAGGTCTTCATCCTCATCTTCACGTTACTCAACTTGAGTAGGAGGAGGAAGAGGAGGGGTTGATCTTGCTGTCTCAGGGGCGGCAGAAGCAGCAGGAAAATCCAAGTATAAATGCACCCATGCAGTTCAAACCCATGTTGTTCAAGGGTCAACTGTATAATTGTTTTGACTAGGTCAGCAGCAGCGGAAATGCGAAGAAATGGGTGAAACTGAGAGACATTTAGAAGGTAGTTTGCCAGAGATTCAGAGGACTAGATATAGGCAGAGGGAGAAGAGCGGGGGAGGCAAGGATGACTCCAAAGAATCAGGTTTGTATGATGATGGCTGACCATCCCATCATCAAGATGGGGAACTCTGGAAGAGGAGTATTTGGGCAGGGGAAGATAGTGAGTTTTATTGTTTGCAAGTTGAATTTGACAAATCTTTAGGACATCCAAGGGGAGACTTCAAGTAGAGAATTGTATATAAGAATCCTTTGCCCAGAGAAGCGTGGTTCAGAGTTAGAGATATACATTTTGAGTAATCATCATATAGGTGGTGATTTATGAGATTGCGTAGAGAGACTATGGTGTGGGATGAAACAGAGGCCTCAGGCTAAGCCTTAAGGAACTCCACCATCCAAAGCAAAAGACACAGAGCCCACAAAGAACACAGAGGAAGAGCTTTAAAGGGGTGGATGGAAAACCAGGGGAAAGTTCTGTGGAAGCCACAGTGTGGGAGGATGTGGTCAGTGATATCCAGAGATGTTGCAAGGACAAGTCAGACAAGACTGCAAAGTGGCAATTGGCTTTAGCAATGTTAGTGACCTCAGAAACCAATTGTAATAGCATGTTGGGGCTGGAGGCCAAAGTGGGTTGAGGGGTGAATAGGGTGTGAAGAAATGAAGATGGTGAGCAAAGCAACACTTGTGAATAGTTTGCCTATTGTATTGATCTGTTCTCACACTGCTAATAAAGACATACCGGAGACTGGCTAATTTATAAAGAAAAGTTTAATTGACTCACAGTTCAGCATGGCAGGGGAGGCCTCACAATCATGGTGGAAGGGGAATGAGGAGAAAAGTCACGTCTTACATGGCAGCAAGCAAGAGAGCATGTGCAGAGGAACTCCCATTTATAAAACCATCAGATCTCATGACACTTATGCACTATCACAAGAACAGTATGGGAGAAATGGTTGCCATTATTCAGTTATCTCCACCTGGCCCTGCCCTTGACATGTGCAGATTATTACAATTCAATGTGAGATTTGGGTGGGGACACAGCCAAACCATATCACCTATAAAGAGGAGAAAGGGGACAGGGAGGCAGTGGTTGGGAGACATGAAATTGAGGAAGATTTTATTTATTTTATTTTATTTTATTTTATTTTATTTTATTTTTAGAGACAGGGTCTTGCTCTGTTGCCCAGGCTGGAGTGCAGTGGTGTGATCATAGCTCACTGCAGCCTCTAATTCCAGGGCTCAAGAGATCCTCACACCTCAGCATCCCAAAGTGCTGGGATTATAGGCCTGAGCCCCAGTGTACCCAGCCTTTTATGTATCTTTTTAACATTATTTTCAAACAGGAAGAATTGAGATGATAGTGAGGAGTTGACATTAACAAGAGAGTAGAAATAATTGATGGTGAAAAGTTTTCAAGATGGAGGAAGTGGGTTGAGTCCAAATGAAGGTAAATGAATGGGCTCCCAGATAAGAGAAAAGAGACCTCCTCCATTTTACTGGAAAGGCAGAAGGGTGAGTTTAGAGTAGATAAGGATCTTCTTTCATATGGCTGTAAGATAAGGAAATTCTAATCTAAAGCCTCTGTTTTCCTTGTGAGAAGAAGGTTCATCTGCTGAGAGTGAACTATGAGGTAGGCCAGGCATGGATTTGGGGAGCTGGAGAAAGTTTGATAAGGTCATTGAAGAGAATGGGAGAGAGAGGTGATCAGAAACATGTAGTGGGATTTCCAGGCAGACTGAGGGTCCATTTGAAACTGGCGATCATGAATTATAGTGGAAGCCATCTGCTCGGTTGTGCCTCTCTCCTGCAGGGCTAGGTTTGGAGAAAGTGTGGCCGCCATGGGAGTGGCCAAACAAACCAGATGGAAGGATGGGTTATTGTGGTCGGAAGGTAGGCAGGGTGAACTTGCTTCTGGAGGTAGTGAAATAATGTGTGCTGACATAGACCAGGGGTGACTGTGGGCCTGAGTGGCTGAGATGACCAAGGAAATGAGAGGCTAAGGGGCTATGTGCATCATCCCAGCTAACTGTTTAAGTCACTCAGGATTGGAGTGGCCACATCATTTATTGTCTCAAGACCGGGACACTTTTGAGAGTACCAAATTGCCAAGTGGATCGGAAGCTAAGAAACAGTTGTAGGCCACGTGCAGTGGCTCACACCTGTAATCCCAGCACTTTGGGAGTTCAAGCCAGGAGGATCGCTTGAGTCCAGGAGTTTGAGACCAGCCTGGACAACACAGCCACAAAAAATAAGAAATTAGCTGGGTGTGGTGTGTGTGCCTGTAGTCCCAGCTACTCAGGAGGCTGAGGTGGGAGGATGGCTTGAGCCTGGAAGTTTGAGTCTGCAGTGAGCTGTGATCATGCCACTGCAGTCATCCAAGGTGACAGAGCAAGACCCTGTCTAAAAAAAAAAACTTAAAGTATAATAAAACATATAAATAAATAAATAAGTATTTAAAAAATAAAGACAGAGACAATAATCTAAAAAAAAAAAAAAGACAGAAACAGTTATAATTCATGACTGTCCCAGGCAAACAGAATGATGACAGGACTTCAGGTCATCTTAAAGGGTGACAGGGAGTCACGTGTCAAGGTTTTGAAATGAGAAAGCAGAACTGGATTGTTTAGTCAAGTGGCATGAGCCTCAAAAGAGAAAGCTTTTTTCGCTTGCTTTTAGTTTTGTTTTTAATAAAAAGATTAGTCATTTATGATTTGCAAGTAGCAGTGAGGAGCATAGAGAACCATAAACTCACCTTCCGAACTTAAGGTGGCTGGAATTTAAGAGAATAAACCACTTTCTTTTGAGAAAGCTGCAGTGGAAATGGTGCCCTCAGGGCACAGTTAAAGCCTGAGGTTAGCAGAACACTCCAGAAATAGCTTCAAGATACAGGAGTGGCAAGAAAGAGTTTGGGAGGTGGGGAAGAGAATGACCCATGGGGCCATGAACACAGAAGAACAGCCCATCATGGAGACGATGGTGTGGGGGAAAACCCCCCCAGGTGGCATTCTCTTTGGACAGTGACCAATGAAAACAGACTTCAGTCAGAAGCAGTGGCTCACGTCTGTAATCCCAGCACTTTGGGAGGCCAAGACAGCCAGATCACTTGAGGTCAGGAGTTTGAGACCAGCCTTGCCAACACGGTGAAACCCCGTCTCTACTAAAAATACAAAAATTAGCCAGGCATGGTGGCGCATGCCTGTAATCCCAGCTACTCAGGAGGCTGAGGCAGGAGAATCCCTTGAGCTGGGGAGGCGGAGATTGCAGTGAGCCGAGATTGTGCCACTGCACTCCAGCCTGTGTGACACAACAAGACTCTGTCTCAAGAAAATAAAAGCAGAATTCCTCAGGTATTTCGGAAGAAGATGGTTAGTGGCTAAAAGATGTGTGTTATAGAACTGTAAAGAAACTCAGTTTACACTGAGTTGGATTTGACTGTGTCTCACTACCTCACTCTGTTGGCAAGCCCATCAAATCCAACATGTATTCTGGCCAATCTCTTCCTGACCAAAGTACTTTCACCTTCTGTAAGGGGACCCGGGTTGACTTGAAGTCAGAATCCTGCTAGCTTTTTCTTTTTCTTTCTGTCATTCTTTTTTTTCACAGGTAATTTTCTTTAGTTTAGCATTTTATAAAGCTTTGTCTATTTATTTTATTTGACTTGCCCTCAATTGTAGGGGATATTAGTTTCTGATTTAAATATCTAGCTTATTTTTAAAAATCTAACTTTTATGCCATCTGTAGTAGACTGTATTTTCCAAAGCTAGTCATGGCCATATCTTCCTTCCCCATTAAGAGGTAGGATCCATTTCTCTCCCTCTCCCTTGAATGTACTTTGACACATAGAATAGAACAGAAGTGATGGTGAACATAGTACTTAAATCCTGCCTCTTCTGTCCTTGAGCAGTCATGAAGAAGTCCTGGCTACTGTGTCGGCAATGAAGCCACATGGTGGGGCATGGAGGCATCAGATGTGAAGTGAAGACACCATTTTCACTGCCCAGACCCAGGAAAACTTCAGATGATTCCAGCGCCAGCTGTCCTCTAAATACAACTGCTTGAGAGACCAAGGGAGAACCACTGCGCTGAGCCTCATATCCCTGAAAGATGATGATAAATGGCTGTCTTAAGCCTCTAAGTCAATGGTCTCCCAGGGACTAAGTTCATGGCACCAGGGACTGGGTTCGTGGAAGACAATTTTTCCACAGATTGGTGGGGGGGATGGTTTCAGGATGATTCGAATGCATTACATTGATTGTGCATTTTATTTTTATTATTATTACATTGTAATATATAATGAAATAATTATACAACTCACCATAATGTAGAATCAGTGGGAGCCCTGGGCTTGTTTTCCTGCAACTAGATGGTCCCATCTGGGGGTGATGAGAGACAGTGACAGATCATCAGACATTAGATTCTCATTAGGAGCTCACAACCTAGATCCCTCACATGCACAGTTCACAAGAGGGTTTGTGCTCGTATGAGAATCTAATGCTGCTGCTGATCTGACAGGAGGTGGAACTCAGGCAGTAATGCAAGTGATATGGTTTGGCTGTGTCCCCACCCAAATCTCATCTTGAATTGTAGCTCCCACAATCCCCACATGTCATGGGAGGGACCTGGTAGAAGGTAATTGAATCATGCAGGTGGGTCTTTCCTGTGCTGTTTTCTCATGATAGTGAATAAGTCTCACGAGATCTGATGGTTTTATAAAGGGCAGCTCCCCTGCAGACGCTCTCTTGCCTGCCACCGTGTGAGACGTGCCTTTGCTCTTCTTTTCCCTTCTGCCATGATCGTGAGGCTTCCCCAGCCATGTGGAACTGCGAGTCCATTAAACCTCTTTTTCTTTATAAATTACCCGTCTCAGGTATTTCTTAATGGCAGCATGAAAATGGACTAATACAGCGAGTGATGAGGGGCAGCTGTAAATACAAATGAAGCTTCACTTGCTTATCCACTGCTCACCTCCTACTGTGTGGCCTGGTTCTTAAGAGGCCACGGACTGGTACCAGTCCATGGCCTGGGGCTTGGGGACCCCTGCTCTAAGTGTTGGTTTCTTCACAGCAGTAAACACCCAAGACACCATCTTGGGTATCTGTGCTTCTCATTTTTTCTGTCACAGTCAAGTTTCAATGCTTTAACTTTTTAAATATTATAAACTGGCAATGAAAAATAACTCTGCTCATGATTTCTATTTTAACCATAACAGGTATATATAATTAGTATATTTTTACTAATTATATATGTCACATATAGTGAATATATTTTCTCTTGCCTGTTAACAAGATCCTCCCTCTACCTGCCTCCTTACCTGCTACTGGTCCCTGGCCTTTGTTTGAAGCCAACTCCCTTCTCTCCTACACTCCAGTGGTACTCAGCAGGAGGAGAACCAGAAAGGAAAGGATGAAGACCAGCAGCAGAAAGAGAGGAGTGAAGAAGACATGAGAGAGTTCAAGAAGGCTTAGGAGAGAATCTTTGGTGGGAAGCTAAGAGCAAGGCAAGGAGAAAAAGGTTTGAGGGAAACTGCAGGATATGAGAAGGGTGGAGTTGAGAAGAAAAGGAGGAAGGGGGTTTTAAGAAATGTGGACTTGGTCTGAAATTAAATTGGCTGCTGGTTTCTTTGCACTGACACTGCACAGGGGCTATGCCCTTGGGAGGGGGCCCAGTGTTAGTCAGGGTACTAAATAAGCATGAAATTCGTGAAACTCTGAGATATACATTTGATGCTTGAACAGGGCAGGGGTTAGGTGAACTGACCTCTGCGCAGTTGAAAATTCCACGTATAACTCTTGACTCCCCAAAATCTCCACTGCTAATAGCCTACTGTTGATCAGAAGCCTTACCGATAACATAAGGAGTTAATTAACACATATTTTGTATGTTATATGTATGATATACTGTATTCTTACAATAAAGTAAGCTAGGGGAAGGAAAATCTTAAGAAAATCATAAGGAAGAGAAAATATGTTTACGTGATTTACCCACTCCACCCATCCCTATATGCACAAATATTCTGACTTTTTGAAATTATATTTTTCTGAATATTTGCCACCATTTCAGTAAAGTCATAGCTGCTCTTGAAAAAATTGTTAATAAAATAATATCTGCCCTAGAAGCTGATTATCCAAACTTTATTAGGTTCATTAAGTGGAAGTGGACCATCATAAAGGTCTTCATCCTCACCATCTTCACGTTGAGCAGTCTGAGGAGGAGGAGGAAGAGGTCTTGCTGTTTCAGAGGTGGCAGAGGCAGAAGAAAATTCACGTATAAGGCCAGGCGCAGTGGCTCACGCCTGTAATCCCAGCACTTTGGGAGTCCGAGACGGGCGGATCACGAGGTCAAGAGATCGAGACCATTCTGGACAACATGGTGAAACCCCCATCTCTACTAAAAATACAAAAAGTAGCCAGGTGTGGTGGCGGGCACCTGTAGTCCCAGCTACTTGGGAGGCTGAGGCAGGAGAATGGTGTGAACTTGGGAGGCGGAGCTTGCAGTGAGCCGAGATCGTGCCACTGCACTCCAGCCTGGGTGACAGAGCAAGACTCTGTCACAAAAAAAAAAAAAAAAAAAAAAGAAAAGAAAGAAAAGAAAATTCATGTGTAAATGGACCCATGCAGTTCAAAGCCATGTTGTTCAAGGGTCAACTGTATATGCATACACTGTCTCTCCCCAGAGCATGTGTCTGTAAACCAGTTATCATGACTACCTAGTATAATTGATTAAAAGTACAAAACACATGGGGATTGTTTGATTTGCCAGGATCAAAATCCATTCAAACGGGCTCAAGCAAAAAGGGAAGTTATTGGAGAGAAGCTCTGATAGCTCATGGAACAGCAGGAAGGATAGCCAGGTCTCGAGGGATGAAACCAAGAACTCCAGGACCCCCAGGGAGTCTCTCCATCTCTCTTTCTTTGTGTGCTCACATGATTGATATCTAATATTCTCTAATATTCTCTGCCCAACCTTTTTATCCTTTTTCTGCAGATCAGCTTTCTCTGGTCTACCACAGCCATTGCCCTGGATCAGGTTTCCTGGACTCCATACTTGTGGAGATGGAGATGGTGCAGAATGTTCCCTAGGAGAGCTTTCAGGAACAATATATGTAAAGTAGGGCAGGAAGAAGGATTGGATACTGGGAGAAATTAAACTATGATGCAGCAGCAACGGAGGCTCCAGCCAATTCTATACGGAGTTCTAGGCCAGACTTTGAACTGTGCGCGTTGACCAGCCATTGGATGCTGGCTGTCCCTGGTGAGAGGGACATATCTTTAGACAAAGTGAATCCCTTTGGTCAAGGGTGATTTCTGGGGAGGATCTCAGCTATGAATAGTCAGTAGTTAGCACCCTTGCAAGGGGGATGATGAGCCCTGGGCACCCATTCAGCCACCCAGTCCAGCTTGACCTCATGTCTCATCTCAAACACCAACTGGGACTGAAGCAAGTCCCTGTGTTCCACTTCCAAATTCCTAGGAGTGAGCATCTGACTGGATTAGGTATCCTTTTCCTGTTCTGATCAGCTCTGGCCCTGGAAGTCGGGTCACAAGATATATTACCCAGTGGGTATTAACTAACACATTTGCTAATAATCAATTAGCAAAAACAATTTGTCTTTGATGATAAATGCAGATTTGTCTTTTAATAATAAATGCAAGTCAGCAAAGGTTGGATAATCAGTTTTTAGGGCAGATATTACTTTATTAACATTTTTCGTTCAAGAACAGCTGTGGCAAACATTGAAATAGTGGCAAACATTCAGAAAAATATGATTTCAAAAAGTCAGATGGGTGGGGTGGCAAGTCATGTAAAAACAAGCAAGCCCACATTTATCCAGAAGACAGGTGAATACTTATCTTTATTATTATTATTTCTTTTATTTATTTATTTATTTTTTGAGACAGAGTCTTGCTCTGTCACCCAGGCTGGAGTTCAGTAGCATGATCTCAGTTCACAGCAACCTCCGCCTCTCAAGTTGAAGCGATTCTCATGCCTCAACCTCCCACGTAGCTGGGATTACAGGCACGCCACCACACCTGGCTAATTTTTGTATTTTCAGTAGAGATGAGGTTTTGCCATGTTGGCCACACTGGTCTTGAACTGCTGACCTTAAGTCATCTGCCTGCCTCGGCCTCCCAAAGTGCTGGGATTACAAAGTGCTGGGATCCCAAAGCGGCATCAGTCACCGTGCCTGGCCAACATTTACCTTTTAATAGCATATTTTACCCTTTTGTTTACCACATCTTTAGTTTTGCCTTTTCCAGAATGTCATGGAATTGGAATCATACAGCATGTAACCATTTCAGACCAGCTTAATTCACTTAGCAATGTGCATTGAGGATTTATTCATGTCTTTGTGCGGCTTGATAGCTCATTCCTTTTTACTACTTACTAATATTTGATTATATAAATATATTGCAGTTTGTTTATCCATTCATCTATAGGAAGCCAGAAAAGGGGTCTTGAGCTAGACTCCAAGAGAGGGTTCTTGGATCTCACACAAAAAGGAATTCAAGGCAAGTTGCAGAATGCAGTGAAAAAAGTTGTTTTATTGAAAGCTACTCAGATACAGAGTAGGATGTCCTCAGAAAGCAAACAGAGGAATGCACCATCTTTATTTGAGATTTTTCTTATGTAGAGGTCTTGTCTATGACAAGACTAAACTAAGCTGTGCCTGTGTGTGGGTTGGCTGACAGCATGATAGAATTTATTATTTGATTGATTTAAAGAAAACTATCTTGACAGTTTAGTGTGTAAGTACATCAAAGCATAACTATAGTTATCCTGAAAGCCTATCTTGTTATGGCTATTGGAACTTCTGGACTTCCTGTTGCTGTAGGAGTTTGTTCTTGCAGGCATTACCAAGTTACCTCCTTAGCTTTGTAAGTGACCAGTAAGCAATGTTCCTTGCTAGTTTTAAGATGAAGGAGATTTTAAAATGGTGTCACCCTGCTAGTTTTAAGATGGAGGTGATTTAAAAATGTTGTCGGCCGGGCACTGTGGCTCACACCTGTAATCCTAGCACTTTGGGAGGCTGAGGCGGGTGGATCACGAGGTCAGGAGTTCGAGACCAGCCTGAACAACATGGTGAAACCCCATCTCTACTAAAAATACAAAAATTAGCCTGGTGTGGTGGTGTGCACCTATAATCCCAGCTACTCAGGAGGCTGAGGCAGGAGAATCACTTGAACCCAGGAGATAGAGGTTGCAGTAAGCCAAGATCGTGCACCATTGCACTCCAGCCTGGGTGACTCTTTCTAAAAAAAAAAAAAAGAAAGAAAAGGCGTCATCCTAGGCTCCTGCTCCCCTAACAGAAATACATCTTGGTTACTCCCAGTTTTTGGTCATTATGAATAAAACTGCTATAAGCATTCACACGCAGGATTTTGTGTGGACATAAGTTTTCAAATCAGCTGGGTAAATTCCTAGGAGTGCAATTGCTGGATTGTTCTATGTAAAATGTTTATTTAAAAATGGAATGCTTGTTCCCTGGTGCTGCACTCTAACATAAATGTAATTCTCTCAGCAAGGCCAATTTTACTTTCTGCAGAAAGGGTGCTCATTGCAGATGTAACAATGGCTAGAGCACACCTGAACAAAGGAAGGAAGCAATTTTTATCCCTTACACAGTTTGTCCCTGCTACTGTGTCCTGTCGCCATTGGCTGGAGCCAGACCTCACAATCTAAACTAAAACCCAATTGGCTAACAGTTTAAACTTTTCTAAATAGGTGAAAGTAATGGAAAGACAAAGGAAAAGAGGAAGTTGCTTATGCCAAAAAAGGAAGGGGCATAGGCTGCAAGCTGGAACATGCCCGTGAGCATGTCCAGCACAAATATCTTGGTTAAGGTACAAGGACATAGAATGTACTACATGCCTGCGAGCATGTTTAACAGCTACATAGGACAGGGCTTACTTACCAAACAGTTATTAGCACAAAGCAAGAATGCTTAAAGGAAGTTAGTTTTTAAAATAAGCTATTATTTTTAACACTTATGATTTATTCTTTAACAAGAAGGGAAACTTTGAAGAGGAACTTTTACTTTCTACATGGATCATATAAGAAGACTATGATTAGTTTTGTAAGAAACTGCCAAACTGTCTTCCCAAGTGGCTGTACCATTTTGCATCCCCACCAACAATAAATGAGAGCTCCTGTTGCTCTGCACTCTCACCAGCAATTGCTGTTGTGGCTTTTTCAGATTCAAGCCATTCTAATGGGTGTGTGATGGTATCTCATTGTTGCTTTAATTTGCATTTTCCTAATGACAAATGATGTTCAGCATCTCTTCATATGCTTAATTACTATCTGCAGATGTTTTGCCCATTTTTACTTGGCTTTATTGTGTTATTGATGAGTTTGTAAGAGTTCTTTGGATATTTTGAGATGACTGGATTTTTACTATTCGATTCCTGCTTACTTAGAATTAATCCTAGCAAGGCCTGAAGAACTTCTTCTCCCACCCTCATTTCCTTTCACACAGTGGTGGCAAATGGCAGCTACCACCAGTCAGCTTTTGTATGAAAGACCAAATTTAGTAAAAGGTGGTTTAGGGCTGTAAAATGTGTGAAAAGGCAGGCTATAACATCTTTACTTAAAAATACCTCCTCTATTAAAATGGACCATTCGTTTCATCCAGTGTGGTTCTTAACTCTGGGTGCGCAGTAGGACCACCAGGGTAACTATTAAAAATACTGATGTCTTAGCCAATATCTTAAAAAAATTATTTATAATTTTTTCTTTTTTAGAGATATAGTCCTGCTCTGTTACCCAGAGTAGAGTGCAGTGGCACCATCATAGCTCACTCAGCCTCCAACTCCTGGGCTCAAGGAATATTCCTGCCTCAGCCTCCTGACCACCAGGTCTGGCTTATTTTATTTTATTATTTTATTTTTTGTAGAGATGGAATTTTTCCTATATTGCCCAGGCTGGTCTCAAACTCCTGGCCTCAAGTGATCTTGTTACTTCAACCTCCCAAAGTGCTGGGATTACGGGTGCAAGCCATCTCACCCAGCCCAATATCTTAAAATAATTGTTGATATCAAGACTTCAACATCAACTAAAACCATATTAGACACTACTACATATCCACTTGATTGACTACAATAAAAAGCATTGATCAAGTCAGGTGCGGTGACGTGTACCTGTGGTCCCACCCGCTCAGGAGGCTGAGGTAGGAGGATTCCTTGAGCCCAGGAGTTTGAGACCAGCCTGGGCAACATAGCAAACACAGCAAGACCCTGTCTAATTAAAAAAAGATTGATCACACTAAGTGTTGTAAAAGGGTATGGAGGAACTGGAACTCTCATCCAGGCTGGTGGGAATGGAAATGGTGCAACTTCAGAACACAGTTTAGCAGTTTATTAAAAAGTTAAACATACACCCAGTATACAACCTGGCCATTCCACTTCTAGGTGTCTATCCAAGAGAAAGAAAAAACACACGTTCATACAAAGACTTGTACATGAATGTTCATGGCAGCGTTTGTAATAGCCCTGAATTGGAATCAACCCAAGTGCACATCAATAGGTAAATGGATGAACAAAGTGTGTGATATTCATATGGTGAAATGCTACCCTGCAATAATAAGAAGTAAACTTCTGGTACAACATGGATGAATCTCGAAATAATTAGGCTGCATGAAAAAAGCCAGTTAGTAAGAGGATCAAGTGCGATTTTATATAAATCACACATGTGTGACATAAATGTGTGATCACATTTATATAAAATTCTTGAAAATTTAAACTAATCTATAGTAACAGAAAGCACTGGGAAGGGGAGGGATGAAGGAAAAAGAAAGGATGACAGAGGGTCACAAGAGGGCTTAGAAGTAATGAACATGTTCGTTATCTTGTTTTTTGTGATGGTTTCCAGGGGTGTGTACATATGTCAAAACTGACCAAACTGGACAGTTTTCATATGTGCAGTTTACTAAATGTCAATTGGACCTAAATAAAACTGTGAAAAATATTTTTGTACCTTGACCTGTTATCCAATTCATGATTTCAAAAAAATCTAATGTTTTAAATCTATAAGCTAAACTTTAGTTACAATCTTATTTATCAACAATAAGGGAAAATTAAAAAATCTGCAATATCACTGCATGTTCTCACATAAAAGTGGGATAGAACATTGGGTACACAAGGTTATAAAGATGGGAATGATAGACACCGGGCACTACAAGAGTAGGGAGGGAGGGGGAAAAGGGTTGAAAAACTACCCATTAGGTGCTATGCTCACTGTCTGGGTGACAGGTTCATTTGTACTCCAAGCCTCAGCATCTTACAATATACCTTTATAACAATTCTGCACATATATCCCTGGAATCTAAAATAAAAGGTAAAAAAGAAAAAACTTTAATATTAATATTTTTCACACATATTGATAAATAGGGAAGAATCTATGATATAGATTAATTTAATTTAATTTTTGAGACAGGGTCTTGCTCTGTTGCCCAGGCTGGAGTGCAGTGGTGCAAACGTAACTCACTTAAATCCTCTACCTCCTGGGCTCAAGTGCTTCTCCTGCCTCAGCCTTGCAAGTACCTGGGATTACAGGTGTATACCACCATGCCTGGTTAATTTTTTATTGTTTTGTAGAAATGGGGACTTGTTATATTGCCCAGGCTGGTCCCAAACTCCTGGCCTCAAGTGACCTGCCCACCTCAGCCTCCCAAAGTGTTGGGATTATAGCTGTGAGCCACTGCATTGTCCTAGATTTTTCATAACTTGACATTTTGTTGTTGAAAGCCTTGACCTGAAATATATATCAAAGAGAGAGAAAAAGAGTGAAAAGTCAAAATTGTGTTGGAAGAAATGTGAAATCAAATACTATGAGTTTCCTGGAAGTTCAGTCCAATACCGTAGGCTACAAAAAGCTATAGGATACTGTGGAGTCTTACTGCCCTATATATATTGTAGGAGGGTGTTGAAGTAATCATACATGCTTTACTACAGCAAAGAGGTTTCTGTATCAGAACTGAACACAATGAAAAAGCAGAAGATTTAAGAAATGCTAATGTTACATGTTTTAAAAGTTTAGAACACAAGTTTTATTAGAGGGCTTTTTCATCCAACTTAAAGTACCTTTATTGTCTTCTTTGCTAGAACTCTATGACTTCTGGTAACAGAGGCCAAAACATACAAACTCCTCAGACTATCTGGTGAAACTCCATCAGGAATAGGAGAGTTTCTACCAGTTCCAATTTAAATAATTTTCTGTATGTGTGTATGTCAAGATTGTAATAGTTTGATTAAAGTAAGAAAGAAATGTGCATGAGAATGTATTGCAATGCTGCAATCTTAACCCTGTTTCATATTTGATTTTTATTTACTTATTTGTTTATTTTTTAATTGAGATGGGGGTCTCACTAAGCTGCCTGAGCTGTTCTTGAATGCCTGGACTCAAACAATCCTCCTGCCTCAGCCTCCTGAGTATTAGGTCTGTTCACTAATTTAGAACCACAGATTAATATTTGATAGCTTTTAATGGGCACAGAGTCATTTTTAAATGTTGGCCACAAACACTGTCCAGTTGAATATAAGGTAAATATAAACTAGTTCCCTAAGGCACTTCACGTTATTGGCAGGTCTTCTTCAATAAAAGTGTTTAAACAAGAAATGGGAAAAGGATTCCCTATTTAATAAATGATGCTGGGAAACTGGCTAACCATACGTAGAAAGCTGAAACTGGATCCCTTACTTACACCTTACACTAAAATTAATTCAGGATGGATTAAAGACTTAAATGTTAGACCTAAAACCATAAAAACCCTAGAAGAAAACCTAGGCATTACCATTCAGGACATAGGCATGGGCAAGGACTTCATGTCTAAAACACCAAAAGCAATGGCAACAAAAGCCAAAATTGACAAATTGGATCTAATTAAACTAAAGAGCTTCTGCACAGCAAAAGAAACTACCATCAGAGTGAACAGGCAACCTACAGAATGGGAAAAAATTTTTGCAATCTACTCATCTGACAAAGGGCTAATATCCAGAATCTACAAAGAACTCAAACAAATTTACAAGAAAAAAACAAACTACCTCATCAAAAAGTGGGTGAAGGATATGAACAGACACTTCTCAAAAGAAGACATTTATGCAGCCAAAAGATACATGAAAAAATGCTCATCATCACTGGCCATCAGAGAAATGCAAATCAAAACCACAATGAGATATCATCTCACACCAGTTAGAATGGTGATCATTAAAAAGTCAGGAAACAACAGGTGCTGGAGAGGATGTGGAGAAATAGGAACACTTTTACACTGTTGGTGGGACTGTAAACTAGTTCAGCCATTGTGGAAGTCAGTGTGGCGATTCCTCAGGGATCTAGAACTAGAAATACCATTTGACCCAGCCATCCCATTACTGGGTGTATATCCAAAGGATTATAAATCATGCTGCTATAAAGACACATGACACGTATGGTTATTGCGGCACTATTCACAATAGCAAAGACTTGGAACCAACGCAAATGTCCAACAATGATAGACTGGATTAAGAAAATGTGGCACATATACAGCATGGAATACTATGCAGCCATAAAAAATGATGAGTTCATGTCCTTTGTAGGGACATGGATGAAGCTGGAAACCATCATTCTCAGCAAACTATCACAAGGACAAAAAGCCAAACACCGCATGTTCTCACTCATAGGTGGGAATTGAACAATGAGAACACTTGGACACGGGAAGGGGAACATCACACACTGGGGCCTGTCGTGGGGGAGGGGGAAGGGAGGAGGAATAACATTAGGAGGTATACCTAATGTAAATGACGAGTTAATAGGTGCAGCACACCAACATGGCACATGTATACATATGTAACAAACCTGCATGTTGTGCACATGTACCCTAAAACTTAAAGTATAATAAAAAAATTATGATTTTTCATTACCTTAAACTATTTTTCTTATCTTTCTTAGAAATGAAAGAAAACTAGTTTGAGAAAATTCCTGCATTTTAAAATAAATCTCTATTTCAGCCAGACGCGGTGGCTCACGCCTATAATCCCAGTACTTTGGGAGGCTGAGGTGGGTGGATCACCTAAGGTCAGGAGTTCAAGACCCACCTGGCCAAAATGGCAAAACCCCATCTCTACTGAAAATACAAAAATTAGCTGGACTTAGTGGCACACGGTTGTAATCCTAGCTACTGGGGAGGCTGAGGCAGGAGAATTGCTTGAACCCAGAAGGCAGAGGTTGCAGTGAGCTGAGATCGCACCACTGCACTCCAGCCTGGATAACAGAGTGAGGCTCCATCTGAAAAAATAAATAAATAAATAAATAAATAAAATGAAATAAATTTCTATTTTAATGAGAGGCTTGTAGAAGAAGATATTAGCAGATTTGTATTGTAAATTTATGACATAATAGTGTGGCTCTGCAAATAACAGCAAATATTGTTGATTATTATTTATTTTCCTTCTGTGAACATTAACTTTGTGAATTATGATGTTTTTCATTTTTACAATAAACATTTTTCTTAATAGAAAATTTTTAGTTTCTTTATTTACATACTGAGAAATGCATCTTTTTTAAGTGTACAATTTACTGAAGGTTTTTCCCCTTTGATCATGTTTTTAATTTTGATGAAGTTCAATTTATCCATTTGTTTCTTTTATGATTGTTTTTTGTGTGTGTCCTACCTATAAAATCTTTGCTGGCTCCAGGATCACAAAGATTTTCTTTTGCTTTCTTCTAGAAGTTTTATAGTTTTAGGTATAGTTTAAATTTATGCCTAAGATCAATCCTGAATTAATTTTTATGAGTTGTGTGAGGTAGGGGTTGAGATTCAATCTATTTTCATGCATTTATTCTGTTGTCCAAGCATCATTTGTTGAGCGGATTTTCCTGGTTTAGCACTGCTGTGGCTTGGGTGAGTTGGTCTAATTCTAGAGTTCAGTGATAGAAAGCCCAGCTGGCTCTCATACAGAGCTACACACCCTGTCTCTAGTCTAGCTTTTATGATTAAGAAGGTGATATTTTGGCTTCCAATAATCATTCACTTGTCTTTTGTTCAATATATTCAGAACTCAGGTGGGGAAGAGAGATGCTATTCACAACCCCTTCCATGAAGAGGTCTAGGTTCAAAGCCAGAGGCTAACTAGTTATAGGTCCAGGCTCTATGATATTTTTGATGGCTTCTTCCTCCTTGGGTTATTAAGTTACGTACAGTCCACAGCTCTAAGTAGTGTTTGGTTGAAGCACTTTTTTCCCCTTCATCTTCTTTTCATTGGAAAATGTCCTTGTTAACAGATAAATTTTTAAAATGATCAACTACAATTCTCATACAAATATAAAATCCATGCTTGTCAAATATTTTATTTAATTCATTAACTAATGAGGGAACCGGTAAGATGTTACAGTTGTTTCAAAGAAGCACATGTTTATATGCATAAAGAAATGTTGAAATGAATTTACAAACAGATTTAAAAAACTGGTCTATCTCCAATACCATAATCCATTACATTTCACCAGACACAAGTCAATTGCACTTTTGTGAGCAAGAATCATTGGCACTATTACCGGTTTTTCAGAATTTACTGTCTTTGAGAGTTGCAAAGCCTCTGGAGATAACCAGGATGGTAAAGCTAGACAGGACACCCACTAATCTTTTTTATCCATTTCGAAGTCTTTTGTAATTTTTCCTGACACTTTCTATCTTCACCCAGTTTCACATGGTGAGCCTAGTCCTGTTCTCTGCTACAAGAAGTCTAGCCAGCTACAGTTACATTTACTTGGTTTTATCTAATTGCCTTCTTGACCTTTCCACTTGAGTATTTAAGAGGTATGACATGGATAAAACTGAACTTTTGATTTTTTTCTTAAGCCAATTCTACCCCTAGTTTTTCTCATCTCAGTAAAAGGCATCTCTTCAGTCCAAAACCCATGAACCATCATTGGTTATTTATTCTTCCTCATCTAATGAATTAGCATGTCTTTATTATATATCCTTTTCTTTGTCTCTATCCTCACTTACTTAGACCAAGCCCCATGAACTATTCCTCGGGCCACTTCAATAACTTCTCAGCTGGTCTTTTTCCTTACCCTCTCACTCTCAATCCATTTTCCACACAGTAGGATGCATTAGTTTTTAAAAATATAGACAAGTAACATTTACCAATGCTTTTGTAGAGACAAGGTCCCCTATGTTGCCCAGGCAGATCTCAAACTCCTGGGCTCAAGCCATCTTCCCACCTCAGCCTCCCAAAGTGCTGCGATGAGAGGATTAAGTCACCACGCTTGGCAAATAAATCATTTTAAAACAGTCCTATGCTGGGCTATTATTGCTGCTATCTTTCTTTTATAAATGAGAAACATGACATGTGGATTTTAAATAATATGCCTACACCCACCCATGTAATAAATGGTAGAAATGATATTTAAATCTAGGTCGTCTGATTCTGGAGCTTGGACTATTAACCACTGTATGTCCTGCCTCCCTAAACAAGTCAGATTTGTCATTCCTTGCTTACATTAAATTTAAACTTGCTCTTGTACTTGGAATAAAACTTGGACTCCTTGCCAGACTTACAAGATCTGACGCCAACCCCACCTCTCCAACCTCATCTCGTTGCTCTCTCTCCCCATAGCAAACCAAATTCAAGCCATACTGGCATTTTCTTCTCTCTTCCTGAGTATTTATTTATGTAATGACAAGTCTTGCTCTGTTACCCACGCTGGAGTGCAGGGGTGCCATTGTAGCTCACTGCAGCCTCAAACTCCTGACCTCAAGGGATCCTCCCGCCTTGGCCTCCCAGAGTGCTTCGATTACAGGCATGAGCCCCCACATCTGGTCTTTTCCTGAATATTGAGAACCGCTTTGCTGCTTAGAATGCACACCTCCTGGCTCTTTGCTGAGTGGTGTCTCTGACCTTTGCAGTCTCAGCTTAAAGAAGTCCTCTTGCTCCTGTTGGGTGAGCTCCCTGAAGACACCGGGGCATAGCTGTAGTAGGGGTTAGTGGGTGTGTGGGAGGTAGAGAGCGGAGGGAACGTAGGGAGTCTTCATTTCTCCAAGCACATTGTTCTAAATTGGTTCTTCCTTTTCTAAGAGAGGTAGTGTGAAGTAGTCAGTTTAAACACCCAGATCAGACTGTGAAACATGAGAAGAAAGAGGTCAGAAGATCACTTTATGGTCTTACCAGCACCTGGACTGTAAAATGACACCAATCATAATGCCTTCCTGCCCTCATCACAAGGTTGGTGTGCAGATGGCAACATATTCAAGATGGCTTTGACAGCTGTAAACAGGAACAGATGTGAGTAACTTCAGGCCAATGTGACCTTCACACTCTAGTGGTGCCTTCACTTGTGAATTGTGCCCAGGACCAGGCAGTGAGGCCAACATGCTTAGAGAAGACCTCGATGAGCATGTCATTGTCCCATTCTGGGGACCTCAAAGACTCTGCACTCTATTTCTGCTCATGCAGCAATCTTCAGACACTATGCAATATTCTTCCAATGAACATAGCAAATAAATACATTTCATTTTATTATTATTATTGTTATTTTGAGACAGTCCTGCTCTGTCGCCCAGGCTGGAGTGTAGTGGCCCGATTATAGCTCATTGTAACCTTGAACTCCCAGACTCAAACGATCCTCCCACCTCAGCCTCTTTAGTAGCTGGGACTACAGGTATATGTTACCATGCCCAACTAATTATTCTAATGTTTTGTTGAGCTGGGATCTCACTATGTTGCCCAGGCTGGTCTCAAACTCTTGGCCTAAAATGATCCTCCCACGTCAGCCTCCCAGAGCACTGAGATTATAGACATGAGCCACCACACCAGGTAGAAACACATTTTATTTATTTATGTTATAGAGATGGGGTCTTGCTATGTTGCCCAGGCTGATTTTGAACTCCTGCGCTCAAGAAATCCTCCTGTTTCAGCTTCCGAAAGTCCTGGGATTACAGGCGTCAGCCATTGTGCCCAGCCAGAAATACACTTTATTTATTTATTTAGAGATGGAGTCTCGCTGTGTTGCCCAGGCTGGAGTGCAATGGTGCGATCTTGGCTCACTGCAACCTCCATCTCCCAGGTTCAAGTGATTCTCCTGCCTCAGTCTCCCAGGTAGCTGGGATTACAGGCGCCTGCCACCATGCCCAGCTAATTTTGTATTTTCAGTAGAGATGGGGTTTTACCATGTTAGTCAGGCTGGCCTCTAACTCCTGACCTCAGGTGATCCACCTACCTCGTCTTCTCAAAGTGCTGGAATTACTGGTGTGAGCCACCACACCTGGCCCAGACATACACTTTAAATGAGAAACTTTTCTCTTGTTTACGTTAGTCTAGAATTCCCTTCTACCCTCTAACCTTTAGTCTATTTCTCTGCCTTCCTCTCCTCTCTCCCTACCTTCTCTCCTTCCTCCCACCCTCTCCTTCTTCATTCCCTCCCATCTTTGCCAAGATTAAAGAAGGAATCTGGTCAAAGTGGAAAACTCCATATGAAAAAATGAATTTCAAGCACAGAAAAATATGTGGTAGTAGATATTTTCAATGTTAACCATAAATGATATTAGAAGGTGTTGGTGTAATTGAATGACCAAGCAGATCCTACAAAAGCTACCTCAGCTACTTCTAATTTGGTTTGCTTTATTCAGTTTTATATCCTACAACTTCAGGTAAAAGTATAAAATAATTCATTACTAAAAATTTAACTTTTTAGCTAGACCCATATAGAAATATTTCTCCACTTTTTAATTGTAATTTGTTCTCAATGAAACCATATTGTTGTTCTCTCCTGGAGCCACATTTACAATTAGTCAATGAGATTATATTTAGTAAAATCCTCGTTTCTGTCAACAGTTCTCCATCATTTCAGCTTTCATTTTTTTAAAACCCCAACTGATTCTAAGTTATTTCTGTTATACTTTCAAAAGGGATCTTAATCAAATTTTTTCAGACTATCTTTCATGGTGATATAATTCTCTTTCATTTGAATCTTATGAAGTTAATCCCAGCAAACCTCCTTGGTCTTAGCACCTCTAAGTGCCTTGATTTCAGCTCTCAGTGTCTTTTCTTCATTATTCTAGACACACAGGAGAAACACGTCATGCTGGGGCTTTCCACGTCATGTTGGGGCTTGGGGACTGTGAATGGCATTTTCCAGCCCACTGGCTTCAGTTTGCCATGCAACTATATTTACCAGCTGTGAGGGTGTGGGGGACACTGGCATCCTCCAAGGGCATCCAGATGAGCATCAGGGTATGAGTCTACCTGACTCAGAACTCTGATCCCTGCAGACTTGGCCAAAAGGCTGGGAAATCCATGCCAACTTCCCTTTCTGCTCCTCTTCTCTCAAAGGCTCTCCTCCCATCCCAAGCTTTGATTGGAGGCTGAACGTATAGGTGGGAAAAATGAATTCTGCTCAATTGCATATATTTCAAATCCATTGTCTTCTTCCTTAACACAGAATCTTGGATAATGTGTCCAGCTAGCAGGTCTGTATCCCAGCCTCCCTTGTAGCTACTTGCAACCATGTCAATAAATTTTGGCCCAAAGAGAGATAAGTGAAAGTATTATTTGGAACTTTCAGGAAGTGCCCTTGAAGTGTGCCTTTTTTCATATCCTCTTTCCCGCTGGTTGGAATGCAAGCCCAATTATTGCCCTCTTGGACCATGAGATGACCTTGAATTTAGAAGCTTTGGACATCAGAGCAGCAAAGTGGAAGATGCCTGGGCATTTGAAGGCTCTGTGGAATAGCCTCATTAGCCCTGGACTAGCTACTTGTAGATTGTTTGTATGTGAGGGAATCAACCCTTGTGTGATTAAATCTCTAATTTTAAGATCTCTGTTACACACAAACACGACTGCTATCTAATATACCCAGGGAACTTCATTTTTTAAGCTTAAGGGACAAGAATTTTCTAATCTTGATTATATATACTTGCAGATAACTTGTATCTGACACCTGGATCTTGACTTTTGAATCTTACAAGCTAAGATCTTGGGTCCCCAGATTTACTGGGACAGCCCTGCTGTGTTATCTTTCCCTGGATGTCCACAAGAAATCTTCAGGAAAGATCTATGTCACTTGTCAAGGTGTTTGGGTGGCAGAGTATGTTTCTTTTGAATTGTACTGGAAGCAACCATGAAGCAAGGAAAAGCAGCTCCTATATATGCAAGTTAACAGAGTCTTTGCACAGTGAAGCTGCGAGTCTCATGTACTTGGCTTGTTATTCATTGCATCTATATGTTTAGATCTGTGCTAAAGGATCTTGACTGACATCTTGAAAGTAAATGTTCTCTCTTCTTTGGCAAGTGAACTTAATGATTCTAGTTTGTAGCTAAAAAGTCATTATCTTTAAAGAGCCATTCTTGTCAAATGTGGGTAAATGATGAAATAAATGTGATATTATAGCCTCTTGGTATGTGATGCTTTCTATCTAAGCAGAACTCAACAACATGTGTTACTATAACATTCAGTTGAAGTAATTTATCACGTAAACTGAAAGGAAAGTCACTAAATAGAATAAGGTATAACCTACATTAGAGTGTTACATTGTTATTTGCACATT
The DNA here is from genome assembly GCF_000001405.40 of Homo sapiens. Classification (NCBI taxonomy): domain Eukaryota; kingdom Metazoa; phylum Chordata; class Mammalia; order Primates; family Hominidae; genus Homo; species Homo sapiens. The sequence continues at coordinate 26,412,170 of NC_000010.11, read as the reverse complement.
ATTTTATTGTCTGAGACTAGGTCTTGCTCTGTCACCCACAGCACTGCACTGGAATGTAGTGGTGCAAATATAGCTCACTGCAGCCTCCACCTCCTGGGCTCAAGCGATCTTCCCACTTCACCCTTCCAAGTAGCTGGGACCACAGATACACACCACCATGCCCAGCCAATCTTTAAATTTTTTTGTAGAGATGGAGTCTCACCTTGTTGCTCAGGCTTGTCTCAAACTCCTGGGCTCAAGTGATCCTCCTTGCTCGGTCTCCCAAAGTGCTGGGATTATAGGTGTAAGCCACCGTACCTGACCTATTTACACTTTTAGTATATGGTAACTACAAAGATTAGCTGAGATAACACATCTATATAAAACACTTAGTAGGTACCCAAATACTTGCTAAATAATGACACCCCAAAATACAGTCTACTCTTTCCAGAGGGAAGATCCTTTTATTTACAAAACGATATTTTCAATCCTTAATTCTGTAACACTTCCTTTATGCCAATCTTTCACTTTCTCCTGGGAATCCTGGTTGCTCTTGCTCAGTGGTCACAACAATCCAGAGATGAGAGCTAATGGGGAGCCACAAAGAGTGGAGTTTCAGCAGCTCCTTCTGCAGTGACATCCTGGTGATAACAAGCATGTATGGCCACTACAGAGTCCCCTGTGGTATAGCTTTGAGTGAGTTTACTTTCACTGACTGCTAAGAAAGAAATTTACAGTTTAAAAAATGTTTAGTAGGGTTTTAATTTAAACTTTAGTAGAGACAATACATAATTTCCATCTATTTCTTTCTTTTTTAAAAAAATTTTAAACAGGCTGGGCATGGTGGCTCATGCCTGTAATCCCAGCACTTTGGGAGGCCAAGGCAGGGGCATCAGCTGAGTTTAGGGATTTGAGACCAGCCTGGCCAACATGGTGGAACCCTGTCTCTACTAAAAATACAAAAATAGCCAGGCATGGTGGCGGGTACCTGTAATCCCAGCTAACCAGGAGGTTGAGGCAGGAGAATTATTTGAACCCAGAAGGTGGGAATCACTTGAACCCAGGAGGTGGAGGTTACAGTGAGCCCAGATTGTGCCACTGCACTCCAGCCTGGGTGATGGAGTAAGACAAAAAATAATAATAATAATAATAAATTTTAAATTGACAAAAGTTGTACATGTTTATGACATACAACATGATGTTTTGAAATATGTTTACATTATTAAATGGCTAAATTGAGCTAATTATCATATGTCTTACCTCACGTGCTTATTTTTATGTGCAGTGAGATCACTTAAAATTTACGCTGTTAGTGATTTTCAAGTATACACTACATTTTGTTTTTCTTTTTTGAGACAGGATCTTGCTCTGCCACCCAGGCTGGAGTACAGTGGCACACTCATGGCTCACTGCAGCCTCAAACTCCTGGGCTCAAGCTGTCCTCCCACCCAGCCTCCCTAGTAGCCGGGACGACAGGTGCATGCCACCACACCTGGCTAATTTACATTGTTGTTAGCTGTAGTCATCATGTTGTACAATAGCACTCCCGTCTGACGTTTTGTACCTTTTGACCAGCATGTCTCCAGCCTTTCACCCTCTTTATCGCTTTTACTTTGTCTTTCTAGTGATGCCTGGGCCAGGGCCAAGTGAGTCTCCCTGTCTCCTTACCCAGGGGCCACTTCAGTTATCAGTCATTCTTCACTGCCCTTGTTTGCTGTTTAGCTCATCTGTCTGTATTCTGAGGCATTCATCCTCATTACACATTTATCATTTTGTGGAGGTGATAGCAGTAGGTCCCAGTCGAGTGGTTATACAGTGGTGCTTCTTGCTTCTGTCTCCTAGGGTTACCCCTGAAATCTTTCACACACTTTTACAGCCAATTAGAGCCACTAACCTACTGTAGTTGACTTCTTTTTCAGGAAAAGCAGGTAAAACTCAATAGAGAGGAACACAAAGTTCATAGGGACCACCATGGGGACAGCCTTGGTCTTTTTATGTACCATTTTCAAAGAGGCCTCATAATTTTTACACATTCTTGACAAATACAAATTACATTTTTTTTACTTGTATTTATTTTATTGTATTTTTTGGGGGATGGAGTCTTGCTCTGTCACCCAGGCTGGAGTGCAGTGGTGTGATCTCAGCTCACTGCAACCTCTATCTCCTGGGTTCAAGCAATTCTCCTGCGTTGGCCTCTTGAGTAGCTGGGATTACAGGGGCCAACTACCACCCTTGGCTAATTTTTGGTATCTTTTTTAGTACAGATGAGGTTTCACTATGTTGACTAGGCTGGTCTTGAACACCTGACCTCAAGCAATCTGCCTGCCTTGGCCTCCCAAAGTGCTGGGATTACAGGTGTGAGCCACCGTGCCTAGCCACGAATTACAATTTTAATCAAAATAGATGTGCACTGACACAGACTAAGGGCTAAAATGTCAGATTGAATTAATTCTTCATATTAAAGGAATTATGATTAGGATCTTTAACCAGTGAATTGTTGAGTTTTTCACTGCTAATAAATAATACCCCTTTCTTTCTATCTTGAATTCTAAGCTGAATTAAGAATAGTAGGAATCAGACAGATGGAGATAAAAACAGCAGCTCTGTAATTAGCAAATTTGAATTGTAGAATTCAGTTTGACTTGGGGAAAAAACATCTTTCTAATGTTTCCTACGGAGTTGGACTCACCTGGTACCAGGCTGAGCAGCTGCTGGCTACACATTAGAATGATCTTGGGATCTTCAAAAAATACCAGATACTCAGAGCCCCACCTCCCGACCAGCTGAATCATAATCTCAGGGGTGGAGAAGGAGTTTGGGGATCTGTATTTTTGGAAAGCACCCCAGATGATTCTCAGCAAGTATTGAGAACCTCCGAGGCTGAGGACCATGGAGCTTGATCATTACAAAGGCAGACCTGTTTCCTCAGGGTGGAGAGGAAAGGGCAGAACACAGCTGACCTCAGGGCAAGCCCACCTGAGAATGGGAAAGAGGATGTTGGGTGAGCTAATGCCCCCAGTGAAAGATGAGTGAGGAAGTGAATCTGTGGTTTCATGTCTTTTGTCAATTTCAGAACGAATTCTGAGCTTTTATTATTTTTGTAAAAATTTATTTATTTATTTATTTATTTATTTATTTATTTATTTAAGCTGGAGTCTCACTCTGTCACCCAGGCTGGAGGGCAGTGATGTGGTCTCGGCTCACTGCAGGCTCTACCTCCCAGGTTCAGGTGATTCTCCTGCCTCAGCCTCCCAAGTAGCTGGGATCACAGGCACACACCACCTTGCCCGGCTAATTTTTGTATTTTTAGTAAAGACAGAGTTTCACAATTTTGGCCAAGCTGGTCTCAAACTCCTGGCCTCAAGTGATCTGCCCACTTCAGCCTCTCAGAGTGCTCAGATTATAGCTGTGAGCCCCCATGCCCGGCCAAATTCTGAGCTTTTAGTTCATCAGAAATCACTCTTGTCCTGCTCCCTCACTCCTCTCTTTCTGGGATCCAGATTGCATGTATATTAAAAGTTTTTACTGTGTCAAATGTGTCTCTGGCTCTTTTCTATAGTTTTAAATTCTTTTTTACCTTCCTATGCTTTGATCTTCTGATCTACCTCTTCACTCATCCTTTCAGCTCTGTAATCTACTGTTAAACCCAATTGATTTTGTTCATAATTCCAGTTCTATAATTCATTTAAAAACTTAGGTCCATTTTAATAGAGGGTATAGAAATTCATAACTCAAACAATTCATAAAAGCTATTACATACATACTATAAGTTGCACCAAGAGTGCAATAATATAAATCCCGTGGTCTGCAGATAAGAGATACTGCACAAACTGTTAAGATTGACTTTTATATTTTCCCCTCCTTTCTCTTGTCTTTTTTAAAGATCAGTTTCCAGTTCTCTACTGAGTTTCTTCATCATGCCATCTCATTTCTTGAACATATTAATCATAATTATTTTAAAACCTGTGTCTGATGCCCCCGATATCTGTAATTTCCTGTGGGTCTGTTTAATGCTCATAATTTTGGGGGGCATGTGGTCTTATTTATGGTATGAGAGGTAATTGATTGAATGGTGGGCATTGCAAAAAAAAAAAAAAAACAGCTGTAGATATCATTAGAGCCTTTAGATGATGTCATAGTCCTTTGAGTTCTGATTTATTTCTAACCCACTCCCGGATGCAGTCCTTTAGGAATCTTGGGGGGGTCCCACTGAAAAAGCTGAAATATCCCTTTAAATCTCTCTTGTTTGCTGGGTTCTCACTTTAATTTGGTCTCCCATCTCAGTAAGAGTGTCAGTTCCTCAGTTTCTGACCTAATTGCAGTTTGTTAATCAGCAAATCCCTCAAGAGGAATAATTGCTTGAATATGGAATTCTATACATCCCTTCTTTCTGCAATCTTGCATTCTCAAGTGCTTGTTACTTTTGTACCTTCTCTGTGCCTTCTATGTCTGTAAGAGGTTTCAAAAATATTTTGTTTGCTTTCTACTAGTTGTCAAGGGAAGGGTTGCTAGTGAGCCATTACTAAAAACATCAATTAGAATGTTTGACTTGCAAGGACCTTTGATGATGACTAACTGATCATGGGATCCCTTTAGACTCTATTCCTCCAGGCCTGGGCCCTCTGCTCTCTTCAGTCTGTCTTCTCATGCGTGACTCACTGTGGACAGGCACACAGAGGGAAGATGTAAAGGGAGCATGGAAGGCAGCTAAGCTTGGCCTCCAGGCTCCTGCCTTCCACATATTCAGCTGGCGCAATAGCCCAACATTAAGAAATTTTAAAACATCAGGAAAATGAATGAAAAGAAAGTAGGATGATGGAAAGGGATAGTTGAAATTAATAAAAATAAATATTTTTCAGAAAATGTAAATTACAACAAATACTTGTTTCTTAATTTACTTTCAGTTAATAATTTATTCTTTTTAGAGACAGAGTCTTGCTATGTTGCATAGGCTGGAATGGAGTGGCTACTCACAGATGTGATTATAACACACTACAGGCTCTAACTCCCGGGCTCAAGTGATCCTCCTGCCTCAGACTCCCAAGTAGCTGGGACAACAGGCTTTTACTTTTTTAAAAAGCAACCAAAACCCTCAAACAAATAAAAATAAAACCTTGACAATCCTGATTAAGGAAAAAAAGAGACAAAAGAGAATAATATTTGAAATGAGATTTGGAAGAAATTAAGTAAGTACATAAGAATATAATAAATAATTCCATAAAATACTTCTGGAAATTGAAAGAAAATGGATTACCAATATATTAACTCTTAAAATTACTCCATGAGGGTGCAGAAAACATTAAAAGGTTATTTGCCATGGATGATACTGGAAATGCTGACTTCTATATTTAACAAAAAGGTTCAGACTCAAATGCTGTTATAACTGAATTAACTCAAACTTCTAAAAAATAGGCTATTCCTATGTTAATCCACCCTAATCCATAGAAATCATGGAGATGTCTCTAATGCAGTTCACCTTAGAATAATTTCAATATCAAACTCTGAAAAGATAGTATAAAAGATACAAGAAGTACAAATGAATTTCTATTTTGTCTAGATATAAAATAATAAAATATTGAAAATCAAATCTAGCTGTATATTGAAAGAAGACTGTATCATGCTCAGAAGAATTCATCCCAGCAATGCATGGATGGTTTAGTGTTAGAAGACCTAGTAACATAATTCCGTATATCAATGCAGGAAAAGACAAGTACGTGTTTTTAGCTCCAAATCTCATAAATTCATTTAATAAAACACAGCTGTCATTCCTAGCATAAATTTTATAAATTTTTAGTAATGTAGGAATGGAAATACATTGCTTAAACATAATAAAATAAAATCACAAAACCCAATTGACAAATGATACTAAATTGTGTAATGCTGCAGCCATTTTAAATTTAAGAATAAGACAGATATGCCCACTCCTAGTGCAACTAGTCAATATTGTTCTTGAAGTTATAACACAGTAATCATTATAGTTAATATAATAATAAATATAAAATACACAAAAACAGTAACTCAATAGTTAGTATGAATGTGAAAGAGGCAAAATTATACATGCAAATAGTATAAGCAGTAAACTTAAGAAACATCTAGAATTAATAACATTATTTGGTGAGGTAGCTGGATGTAAGGTAACTATTCAAAGCCCGGTAGTTTTTTCCTTCTGGTAATAAACAGCTACAAATAGACTTGAAAATAGAATACATTTTTTTTTTTCATAATTGTATCCAAAAAGTTAACAAAAAAGGCACAGGACCTTTATTTAAAAAAAACTATAATACCTTCTTGATAAATAATAAGGAACAAGTGAAACGGGCTAGATGGGAAGACATGGTATCATAAATAGGTCAATACTTCAAAATTACTAAAATTCCAATTAGAATGTAACTTTTTGGTAATAAACTGGATAAAAATAATTACAAAATTAGTACTGAAGCATAGATATCCAAAATAATCTAAGAACATAATGAAAAAAGGAAAAATACTAGTAAGTAAAAACCTGGCTTATCAGTTATTAAAGCTTGCCTAAGATTTTAATTGGTGACAGAAATAAAGTGGTTAGTGGAAGAGTCTAAAGAATCCAGAAACAGATCTAAATATATATGATACTTTAACCCATGGCAAAAATGGTGTTATAGTTTGAATGTGTCTCCCAAAGATTCCTGTGTTGGAAACTTAATCCCCCTGCCCTCATGTAGAGATTAATGCTGCTGTCACAGTAGTGGGTTCATTATTGCAGGAGTGGCTTTCGTATGAAAGCGAGCACTCTCTGACTCTCTTGCTTCTGCCCTCTTGCCATGTGACACTCTCTGCTCTGCTATGATGCAGCAGGAAAGTCCTCACCAGGTATCTGAGCCATGCTCTTAAACTTCCCAGTCTCCAGAAACATGATGAAATAAATTTTCCTAGAAAATCAGTCTATGGTCTTCTGTTACAGCAATAGAAAACAGACTTAAGATAGAAGGCATTTTCACTCTATCTATACATTAGATAAATAGATAGATAGATAGATGATAGATGAATATAGGTAGATGTATATATTTAAATATATATCAAATTAATATAACATTATATATATATCTGGGGAGATAAATGATAAGAAACTCAAAGCTAGAGCCCTTTCTCATACTATATACAAAAATAACAAATATTTAATATCAGAAAACAACAAATGATTAGAATAAAAATTTGGAGAGCAAATTTTCAATGGTGAAATGCTCCCAAACAAACCAGTAAACTCAGTAATCAGAAAGATATATTTGTTTTGTTACATAAATACTTTTAAAAATTCATGGCAAACACATGAACAAACAGTAAATAAAAATACTAAGAAATGGGAAATATATTTTCAACAGATATGACAGACAAAACTATTAATATTCACAATAGAAATAATTTCTCTAAATCAGTAAGAGAAAACACATAAGAAAAAGGGCAAAAGTGATTCATAGAAGATACAATGTAAATATCCAATAAACATATAAAAAGACACTCAAACTTTCTAGAAGTCAAGTAAGTAAAATTAAACCAGGAGAATAATTTTTTTTTTTTTTTTTTTTTTTTACTTTAAGTTCTGGGATACAAGTGCAGAACATGCAGGCTTGTTACATAGGTATACGTGTGCCATGGTGGTTTGCTGCACCTATCAACCTGTCATCTAAGTGTTAAGCCCCACATGCTTGAGCTATTTGTCCTATTTCTCTCCCTCCCCTCGCCCCCCACCCCTTGACTGGTGCTGGTGTGTGTTGTTCCCCTCCCTGTGTCCATGTGTTCTAATTTTTCAACTCCCACTTATGAGTGAGAACATGCAGTGTTTGGTTTTCTGTTCCTGTTTTAGTTTGCTGGGGATGATGGCTTCCACCTTCATCCATGTCCCTGCAAAGGACATGGTCTCATTCCTTTTTATGGCTGCATAGTATTCCATGGTGTAAATGTGCCACATTTTCTTTATTTAGTCTATCATTGATGGGCATTTGGGTTGATTCCATGTCTCTGCTAATGTAAATAGTGCTGCAATAAACATATGCGTGCATGTGTCTTTATAGTAGAATGATTTATATTCCTTTGGGTATATACTCAGTAATGGGATTGCTGGGTCAAATGGTCTGTTTCTAGATCCTTCAGGAATCACCACACTGTCTTCCACAATGGTTGAACTAATTTACATTCCCACCAAAAATATAAAAGCATTCCTATTTCTCTAGAAAATACATTTTTCATCATCAAATTGACAGACGAAAAAACAAAAAAGAAATGAAGTGGGGAGAGATCCCATTTTGTGCTGTCAGGAGTACGGGGAGGCAGGTGCTCTCTTACCTGGCTTCTGACAGCAGTGAATTGCTGCATCCTTGCTGAATGTAATCTGAACATCTCTATGAAATAAAAAAAAATCTATTCTCTTTGGCACAGGAATTTTAGTTTAGAAATCTTTCCTGTGAAAATAACAGCAGTGTTATGAAAAACCATATGTTCCAGGATATTTATTACAGCTTTGCTTGTCATGGCAAGAAAACTGAAAATGATTAAGCTGTCTATCAATTAGTGAATGGCTGAATTAGAATAATGTTAATATGCCAAAGACAAATCCCTTCATAAAAAGATACTAATAGGGATCCATGTCATGTGACCTTGCTAGTGCAACAGAGATTGTTCCGGGGTGGAAATGCCCTGACTGTAGATCTAGGTTTTTTTTATTTATTTATTTTATTTTTTATCTTTTTACTTTTATTTTACTTTAAAGTTCTGGGATACATGTGCAGAATGTGCACTTTGTCACATAGCACCTTGTGCCATGGTGGTTTGCTGCACCTATGAACCTGTCATCTAGGTTTTAAGCCCCACATGCATTAGGTATTTGTCCTAATGCTTTCCCTCCCCTTGCCCCCCACCACCCCCGACAGGCCCGGGTGTGTGGGTGTGTGATGTTCCCCTCCCAATGTCCATGTATTCTCATTTTTCAACTCTCACTTATGAGTGAGAAAATGTGGTGTTTGTTTTTCTGTTTCTGTGTTAGTTTGCTGAGAATGATGGCTTCCAGCTTCATCCATGCCCCTGCAAAGGACATGAATTCATTCTTTTTTATGGCTGCATCGTATTCCATGGTGTAATGTGCCACATTTTCTTTATCCAGTCTATCATTTGTGGGCATTTGGGTTGGTTCCAAGTCTTTGCTATTGTAAATAGTGCTGCAATAAACATACGTGTTCATGTGTCTTTATAGCAGAATGATTTATAATCCTTTGGAAATACACCCTGTAATGGGATTGCTGGGTCAAAAGGTATTTCTGGTTCTAGATCCTACAAAGTCTAGTTCTTTACTTTGAGTTCTCTAGACATGATTGTATTTAAATGTTTGAGTTAATCATGATCTGTTCTGCCTTGCTTAGGTATGCAGTTTGGAAATTCTTTGTGATAGAGGGAGCCTTGAGTAGCTATGCAGTTAAATTATCCTGGAGTTTTGCACAGGCTAAACAGAGGTGGTTTATCTCTATAATACATTTGTATGTATTCAGATATAATTTATATACTGACATGCATCTATATATCACAATATATTTGATATAGACATGATATAGACATCATATATATACATATATATGATACATATTGGCAAAGGTGGGGAATGTCCATTGTTATGGTTAACTATGAAAAGCAAACTGCTGAGAAATATCTATAACATGATCCCACTGTTGTCAGAACAGATACATGCCCCATATACATGTCTCCATATATTTGCATTTGTTCATATGAGTTTGAAGGAATTTGCCAAGAAATTCCCACTTGCTTCTTAACATTGATTTCCTCAGAGCAATGGGCCTATAGCTGGATAATATCAGAGATATTATGACTTCTTTTCTTTATATATCTCGGATGTTCCCCTGTTATAATGTGCATGTATTATTTTAACTCATTTTTTCATAAGATTCATTAAAAGGCTAGTTTATTTGCTCATTGAGGGAGGACAGGAGGAAGGAATTTGAGATTTTGAGAAGCATGTTGGGAGACTGCAAAAAGCCAGGGAGCAATTTGAGTAGGAAACGTGAGGAATTTTGAGGACACATTGAGGGACCATTTGAGGATGGGGATCATGAATTAATGGAGACTACCAAGAAACCCTGGCATGGGACTCTCTCTAGCAAGGCTTTCCTGAGCCGTGGAGAAAGCAGCACCTTACAAACCCCAAATGGGACTACAAAAAGACACTGGGACAAGAGATTTAAAGCTTTTTTTTTTTTTTTTAACATCTTACTGAAATGAATGACCATTAGCTCTAAACTGATTTAGTATAAAAAGGAAGGAAAGAGGCCAACAATTTGGAGAAACCAGAGCAGTCAATGGATTGGTTTCAGTGAGACTGAAGAATAGTGGAAAAAGTTGAACATATATGTTTTAGGTTATGTTCATGGGTAGGGGTAATATTAAAAATATTTAATGACTGTAAAAAAAAAAGGTGCTGACCAATCAGAATGATGTCTGGATCATCGGAAGTTGGAATGATGCCTGGTCTATTGGCGCAGAGCACTCAGTTTGCCACACAGGGGGGTGCAGCCTGAATTGCACACCTCATACGGGATGGGCAGGAGAGGAGGAGTCGAGATAATGATCATTAGAGGTAAGGAGATCAAGGAACTGAGGGATCAGGATTTTGTCTGGATTGTCCTTGTGGACACTGAGGTCACATCACATGACAGCAGGAAATGAGATGTAAAGCAACTGTGAGCCAGTCGTCCAAACCTTCAATGAGTGAGTGGGATGGGCTGGAGGCTGGCTGGTGGATGACAGTGGCAAGGAGGGGAAAAAATGGCAGAGCCTTGTGCAGAGTTGTGTGAGGTAGGAGAGAACGGGTAGCCATGGTTGGGCAGGCTGCAAGACCAGCCAGGTTGTAGGTAAGGCTAAGAGGTGAATGCTTCCAAGGAATTTATACTCTAGTAAGGGAGACAGATGAGAAGGCGATAATAATATGGTATGTTAAGTGTAGGAGTGTAGGATGCTATGAGAGCATACAAGAGTAACTTATAGGCAGGGTGCAGTGGCTCATGCCTGTAATCCCAGCACTTTGGGAGGCCAAGGCGGGCAGATCACGAGGCCAGGAGATCGAGACCATGCTGGCTAACACGGTGAAACCCCATCTCTACTAAAAATACAAAAAATTAGCTGGGCATGATGGCATGCGCTTGTAGTCCCAGCTACTTGGGAGGCTGAGGCAGGAGAATGGCTTGAACACAGGAGGCAGAGGTAGCAGTGAGCTGAGATCACACCACTGCAGTCCAGCCTGGGTGACAGAGTGAGACTCCGTCTCACAAAAAAAAAAAAAAAAAAAAAAAAAAAGAGTAACTTATAACCAAATCTTAGGTGCTTCTGAATGAATGAGGTGTGAAAAATGAAACTAATAAAATATTATAATAAAATATACCTATAAAGTAATAATAATCACAATGATAGCTTAACACTTATTGAGGGCTTAGCATGTGCCTCACCAGGTACTGGGCTGTTTTTTTTTTCCTTAATTCTTATCCCTATCAGATAATACAATTATTCCTCCTCAATTCACAGACAAGGAAACAGAGAAATCAAGTGCCTTCCTCAATAGTACAGTGGTGTAGTGCTCGCTAAGATGCCCAGGTCCCCAGCAGGTTGGAGTGCTGCCAGCGAATAGCCAGCAACCAGAAGCTCTTTCTGGAAATTGCCCTCATCTGTAGAGAGGTGTCTGGCCTATGATCACCACCCACTTCAGAGCACTGGCTACATCCAATAACTGGTCCACATGTGAGCAGAAAGTTCTGGCCCCTTTGCTGCAACCTGGGACAACTCTGAAGGGCCATCCCAGTTGCTCCCTGTGGAGTTGGCTGAGGCCTTTTTTTGAGACTGCGTAGTAGACCAGCTTCTCCCCTTGTCCAATCCTGCTTCATCGCTTCTCTTCCAAGGCATTTACCTAGAAACCATCCTCTGATAAACTTCTGAACTCTAATCTTCATCCCAGTCTCTGCTTCCAGGTAACCCAACCTACAACCATTGGTGACAGGAAAGGTGAAGAAAGTAGAGGCTAAAATGAGATTGTAGAGCAGGCTCACCTGCCAGGTGTGTTGAAATGAGAACTCCATCGCTGGTGGTAGTGGAGAACATGTAGTTCCTGACACAAGGTAGCAAAGCAATAGTCATGTTTGGTGTACTGGGATCATATAGAGCTGGAAGAAAATGCACTTGTGGAAGCGTGTCTCAGGTACTTGAGAAATATGGGGAAATTCTATCCCCATACCCAATCATCAGAATCGGGTGTCTGTTGCTAAATGCAACTGATGCTTTGGAAGGACCTTATGAGTGACAAGGATGCTATCCTTGATAGTACCTTTCATTGAGAGAGAGTGAAGATTTGATGTGGAGCCAGACGAAGAGGGTGCTGTTTACTCTGAGATATTCAAGATGATGGGCTTGCAGGTTAACAGGAATCCTAGCACCGGAGATACAGATTTGGGAGTTGTCAGTGCATATACAGTAATTGAAAGCATAGCCAGGGATGAAATTTATAAGGGAGTGCATAGCGGGAGGTGAGCTTAGGGACCATCATAGACAGTTGTGTGAGCCTGCAGTACAGTGCTAGGGACCAAGCATGGGACTTGGAAACACCAGACACTAACAGATGGGCAGAGGAAGATGAGTTCATGAAGGATGTTTTCCTCTAACCTGAGAAGTCAGAGAAAAATGCCATTCAAGCTTTGGAAAGAAAATGAATAGAGTGAGGAATGGTATCAAATGCTCCAGTAGGATCAAGAAAGACGAGGGCTTAAAAGTATCTGTTAGTTTTAGAAACAGGAAAATCGTGAATGACTTGGGCAAGAGAAGTTTCAGTGGAGTGATGGGGTAGAATGCAGGGACTTTAGCTAGAAGTGGGTAGACAGTTAAGGAAGAGCCCTTTTTTGGTTGTTGTTATTTACTATGAGAGAGAACAGAGGGCCAAGTACGGTGGCTCACGCCTGTAATCCCAGCACTTTGGAAGGCTGAAGCAAGGGTTCACTTGAGGCCGGGGGTTCAAGATCAGCCTAGGCAACATAGGGAGACCTCGTCCTTACAAAAACATGTTAAAATCAGTTAAGTGCGGTAGTGCACACCTGTGGTCACAGCTAATCAAGAGGCTGAGGCAGGAGGATCGCTTGAGTTAAGAGTTCGAAGCTGCAGCAAGTTATGATTGTGCCTATGCATTCCAGCCTGGGTGACAGGGTCAGACCCTTTCGAGCGGGGGTGGTGGGTGGGCAGAGAATAGAGAATGCATGTTTATAAAAGGAGGTACTTAAAAGGGATAGGGAGATGGTGCATACGGGCAGAAAAGGATGAATTCTGGAGCTCTGGGGAAAAGAGTGAGGCCAAACCTTGCTAATGAGGACAAAGGCAGGAATGAACATAGGTACAGATGCCTTTGCAATGGCTGAATGCTGAGGGAGTTGGGACCTGATGAATGAGGAGGATGCTGAGAGGTAAGAGGTTTCAAAAAGCTGCTGTGGAGAACCACATAGAAAACTGGGAGTGGGGACTTAGAAGGGCCCAGTGGTTGTGATAGTTTGCTGAGAATGATGGTTTCCAGCTTCATCCATGTCCCTACAAATGACATGAGCACATCCTTTTTTATGGCTGCATAGTATTCCATTAACTATCGCAAGGACAAGAAACCAAACACCATATGTTCCCACTCATAGGTGGGAATTGAACAGTGAGAACACTTGGACACAGGAAGGAGAACATCACACACCAGGGCCTGTCATGGGGTTGGGGGAGTGGGGAGGGATAGCATTAGGAGGTATACCTAAAGTAAATGACGAGTTAATGGGTGCAGCACACCAACATGGCATATGTATACATATGTAACAAACCTACACGTTGTGCACATGTACCCTAGAACTTAAAGTATAAAAAAAAAAAAAAAGAAGGGTCCAGTGGATGTGGAAACTGAATGATGACTGGCACCTGTGTGAGTGGCTGTGTGCTCTGCAGCCCCGGGGGTGCATTTGCTTAGGGGCTCATGGAGAGGACGGAGGGCTGAGGGATTTGAGAATTTCAGGAGGAGTGATGCAGACATGATGGCTGATGGGGTTTGCAGGATGAAGTAAAGAGAAGAGGGAGCTGACAGGTTGAGAGACGGCACAGACACTTGGTGCGTCCCAAGGGAATATCATCACCTCTAATCAGCATGGCTTTTACTGTCAGCCTCCTACACTGTAAAGTCCTGGAGGCCAAGGATTCTTATTTTGAAAGGATTCTTATTTTGTGAGAACTAATAGTTTATAAGATGAATAATACTTACCTTAAATGGTTATCATAAGGTAGGGATAAGAATGCACACAAGAATATTTGGCATGGGGTCTCAGAGGTGTTAAATAAATGTTATTTGAATCAGAATCTGAATGAGGGTGGGGCACGGTGGCTCATGCCTGTAATCCCAACACTTTGGGAGGCCGAGTCAGGCAGATCAACTGAGGTCAGGAGTTCAAGACCAGCCTGGCCAACATGGTAAAACCCCATCTCTACTAAAAATACACAAATTAGCAGGGTGTGGTGGCAGGCACCTGTAATCCCAGCTACTCGGGAGGCTGAGACAGGAGAATCATTTGAATCTGGGAGGCAGAGGTTGCAGTGAGCCAAGATCATTCCACTGCACTCCAGCCTGGGCAATGGAGCCAGACTCTGCCACAGAAAAAAAAAGAAAGAAAGAAAAAAGAAAAAGGGAAAAGAAAAAAAGAATCTGAAAGAGTAGCTTTCAGGATAATTCAGAGCTTGGTGATTTTTCAGTACAGGAAAAAAACCCAGTATAAATAAGAGGAAATGATAAGAAGTGATATCAGTAAGCAGGGAATTAGAATAAGAAGACCCAGGTGTTTTGTTTTTTTTTTAATATACTTTAAGTTCTAGGGTACATGTGCACAACGTGCAGGTTTGTTACATAGGTATGCATGTGCCATGTTGGTTGGCTGTACCGATTAACTCATAATTTACGTTAGGTATATCTCCTAATGTTATCCCTCTCCCCTCCCCCTACCCCACGACAGGCCCCAGTGTGTGATGTTCCCCACCCTGTGTCCAAGTGTTCTCATTTTTCAATTCCTACCTATGAGTGAGAACTTGCAGTGTTTGGTGTTCTGTCCTTGGGATAGTTTGCTCAGAATGATGGTTTCCATCTTCATCCATGTCCCTACAAAGGACATGAACTCATCCTTTTTTATGGCTGCATAGTATTCCATGGTGTATATGTGCGACATTTTCTTAATCCATTTTATCACTGATGGACATTTGGGTTGTTTCCAAGTCTTTGCTATTGTGAATAGTGCCGCTATAAACATACGTGTGCATGTGTCTTCATAGCAGCATGATGTATAATCCTTTGGGTATATACTCAGTAATGGGATGGCTGGGTCAAATGGTATTTCTACTTGTAGATCCTTGAGGAATCGCCACACTGTCTTCCACAATGGTTGAACTAGTTTACAGTCCGACCAACAGTGTAAAATTGTTCCTATTTCTCCACATCCTCTCCAGCACCTGTTGTTTCCTGACTATTTAATGATCACCATTCTAACTGGTGAAGAAGACCCAGGTTTTGGTGCCTGAAGTCCAGTTTGGAATCAGCTCTGCCAACTGTAACCTGGCTCAAGTTATGAGATCTTGTTGAGGTTCTTAGTAGCCCTGAATGGGTAATTCACACTTATATTACAAAGGTGTGTGACAAACTAAATTACGGTGTAATTTGTAAACTGGGCAGTACAATAACAGATTAAATGAAAACACAGAATAGTTAAGATAGAATCTACATTGAACATCAATCTACATTTACTCTGCTCCCAACTTACAGAAGGACATAGTTTGCCTCCACTACATTTCCTCATTCTGGCCTCAGGTGACAGAGCACGGTGTTTAGCAAGTAGCAGCTTTTTAAAAAATTTTCCTCAAAGGATAAAGCAAATGTAGTGTAAGCTGGATATTTATTTATAACCCTCCTAAGCAACTAAAAATTAGGCAACATTGAGAGAAAGGATGATATTCTAGAAAAAATTCAGACTTTAGATCCTGATAGAACTGAGTTCAGATTCAGACAGATCAGGGTTTGAGTTCCAGAACTTCCACATAATAGGTGTTTGGACAAATTATTAATTGAAAGTTCATTTTCTTTACAAAGTAGGGATAATAATAGCTGTCTGCTAAAGCTATTATTCTGAAAAAGTCAGATAGTATACTATATATAAATTAGCACAGTGCCCTGCACATAGGAAGCATAATACACAATAAATGGCCGGGTGCAGTGGCTCACGCCTATAATCCCAGCACTTTGGGAGGCAGGCGGATCACAAGGTCACGATCGAGACCATCCTGGTTAACACGGTGAAACCCCATCTCTACTAAAAATATTTTTAAAAATTAGCCAGGTGTGGTGGTGGGCGCCTGTAGTCCCAGCTACTTGGGAAGCTGAGGCAGCAGAATGGCGTGAACCCAGGAGGCAGAGCTTGCAGTGAGCCAAGACCGAGCCACTGCGCCACTGCACTCCAGCCTGGGTGACAGAGTGAGACTCCATCTCGAAAGAAAACACACACACACACACACACACACACAACAAATGATAGCATCATAAGGCTACAGTCTGACTTGAAGGAAAGTTATGTAAAATAGTTGGTACATAATTGCTGTTTAATAAACGGTGGTTATTACATAATTATAATCCAAAAAAGGAGAAAATATTGACTCTTTTTCTTGTTCCTAATTGTCTTTGTTTGGCTGTATAACAAAATACCATAGACTGGGTAATTTATAAACAACAGAAATTTCTATTGCTTATAACTCTGGAGGATGGGAAGTCCAAGATCAAGGTGAAGCAGTGTTGTTGTCTGGGGTATACACCTGAGGTTTGTCATCTCATGCCAAGGAAATAGAGTATTTGAACACACGAAAAGTGGGTTTAGAAATAGAGGTTTAATAGGCAAAAAAAGAGAAAGGAAAACAACTCTCTCTCCTGTGGGAGAGAGGGGTGCCCAAATAGGACTTCCAGCCCGCAGTGGAGTGCACAGGGTTTTGTAGACAGGCTTGAGGAGGTGGTGTTTGATTTACATAGGGCCCAAAGATTGGTTGGACCAGGTGTGACATTTACCAGCTCCTGGGGAAGCTGGCCACCCCACCCTAATCTTTTATATGCAAATGAGGTCTTTGCCTGGGGGCAATGTTCTCTGCTCCTGACTGCACAGGTGGTTGTCAAGGGAAAGGAAGATGGAGACCCCATTTTGAACTAGCCCCCAGGTAGCCCCTTCCCTATTGGCACAGCGATCTGCATTTACCTGTGCAAGCTTCTAGCTTGCCTTTCTATGTCTCAAGCTTGATTTTACGGGCTGCTCTTTGTTAGAAAAGAAAATGCTTTGGGGGTTGCTTTTCATTAAAATGAAAACCTTACCAAAGATTTCCTACCCTCTCTGCTTAAACAGTTTCTTCTTAACTCATATATCTTGTATATCAAAGGCACCAGCAAATTCAGCATCTGGTGAGTACCTATTCCTCAGAAATGGCACCTTCTATGTGTCTTCACATGGTGGAAAGGACTAATGAGCTCCCTCCAGTCTCTTTTATAAGGACACTTATCCCATTGATTAAAGGAAAGCAAAGCCCTTATGTCCTAATGACCTCCTGATATGCTTTGGTTGTGTCCACATCCAAAATCTCATCTTGAATTGCAATCCCCATAATCTCCACTTTTTAAGAAAGAGACTAGGTGGAAGTAATTGAATCATGGGGGCAGTTTCCCCCATGCTGTTCTTGTGACAGTGAGTGAGTTCTCAGGAGATCTGATGGTTTTACAAGTGTTCGGTAGTTCCTCCTCCATTCATTCTCCTTCCTGCCACCTTGTGAAGAAGGTGTCTTGCTTCTCCTTTGCTTTCTGCCATGATTGTAAGTTTCCTGAGGCCTCCCCAGCCATGCTGAACTGTGAATCAATTAAACCTCCTTCCTTTATAAATTACCCGGTCTCGGGCAGTTCATTATAGCAGTGTAAAAACCGACTAATACACCTCCCGAAGTCCCCAACTCTTCATACTATTGCATTCTAGATTATGTTTCAATATATGAATTTGGAGGCAGGGGAAACAGAAACATTAACACCATAGCACTAATGTTTAGTTTTAAGTAAGACATCAAAGGTGCTTTCAGCTTGGGTGCTATTAATTGCATAATAAGGGTGGCTAGAGAAAAAAGTGCTTAATGAGATTCATTTTGTGAGTGTGTGTGTGTGTGTGTGTGTGTGTGTGTATTAGAGAGAGAAGAGAGAGAGCATGTGCTTAGCTGTGATTACAAAAGCTTAAGCTTTTAACTGGCAAAAATCCTTTAAAAAGCACTTGGATTGTTACTGCCTGAAATGTAGCAAAAACATCCTTTCTATAAGTTGTTCTAATTTCATGAAATGCAAGGTATAAGATGTTCTGGTTTAGGTGACCTACACAATTAGAGTCAGGTATTTGGCAGTCAGAAAGTATATGTTTAGTTTTTTTTTTTTTTTGACGTAAGTATTTCCCAGGGAGCAGTTACAGCATAACTCGATTGACTTTTTTTTTTAGCACAGCTTGACTGATTTTTAGCATAACTTGATTGATTTTTTTTAGCACAGCTTGATTGATTTTTAGCATAACTTGATTGATTTTTTTTTTAGCACAGCTTGACTGATTTTTAGCATAACTTGATTGATTTTACCATAACAGAATTGAGAAAAGAAAAATACTTAGTGAAATCCCATCTCGACTAAAAATACAAAATTAGCCGGGCCTGGTGGTGGGCACCTATAATCTCAGCTGCTTGGGAGGCTGAGGCAGGAGAATTGCTTGAACCCAGGAGGCAGAGGTTGCAGTGAGCCAAGATCATGTCACTGCACTCCAGCCTGGATGACGGAGCGAGAGTCTGTCACACACACACAAAAAAGATAATGTGTGTGGTGGGCAAAGCAGTGGGCATCATTTATGGATCTATATAGCTTGGCCTCAAAATTAGAACTGACTGGAATTTGAGGCGGTGTCAGTGCAGCCCCGTTTTCCTGTTCATCATGATGTCATTGTGCTTCTTTGGTCTTCTTGCAAATCTTCTAAGGCTTGAAGAGAGGTGCTTTGGAAATCTGATACTAAAGAAGTATTAAAGGGCCAGGCGGGGGTGGTTTATCACCCCTGTTATCTTAGCACTTTGAGAGCCCCAGGTGGGAGGACTGCTTCAGGCCAGGAGTTCAAGACCAGCCTGGGAAACATAGTGACACTCTTTCTCTACAAAAAAATTTAAAAATTAGCTGGACGTGATGGTTCATGTCTGTAGTCGTAGCTACTGGGGAGGCTGAGGCTCGAGGATTGCTTGAGCTCAGGAGTTATAGACCAGCCTGGGCAGCACAGCCAGACCCCATCTCTAAAAAAAGAATGAAAGAAAAAAAGGAAGTCTCAGGAATGTTACACAAGTCAGACATTCTTCCAGAAGCTTTCAGAGGAGGTTGCTCACACGGCCGCGGCTGCCTTGCATGCAAATTCGGATTTCTACCCCTCAGTAAGCCCCTCTAGGCTGAGTAGTCAGGGCTGCAGAGGAGGATCTCGCACCCCTGCAGACACCACTACCTTCCCTGGAGAGCCTCAGCTGGGCTGGCGGGACACTAGAGGAACTAGAGAAGTTCTCAGACTGTGGATGAACAGACAGGAAGGAGACATGGGGAGGGTGGCGTCCCCAGACGGCGCCCCTGAGAGGGGTGTGTCAGCCTAGAGAAACATCTCCAGGCTCCAAGAACTCGGTTTCCCAGGCAGAGCCTGCAGAAAGTGACCCACGAGGCGCTGCTTCTGAGCCACGCGGCTTGGTAGCTTTCTTGGCTGAACCAAGAGCTAAAGGGATTCGCGAGTGGGTGTTTGGAGACAGGAACATCCCTGGTTTCTGGGCACGTGGTGGTCTGTGCTGCCCAGGGCTCACTGCCACTCCTCCTTCAGGTGGCCGCGATGCTGGACTCAAGGCCCACATGAGCTGACGCGGCCAGGCGGTGGCTTTGCCTACCTGGGTCTCTGCTTCCTGGGGCTCGGAGACTGCAGCGCGCCCGCGGGCCCGCGCGACGCGGAATTTGCCTGCAGGGGGCTTCAGGCAAAAAGCCGGAGCTGCGGGGAGCCGTTGCCCGGGTACAGTCTGCCCGGTGAGCAGGTGGGGGCCGACTGGCCTCGCCCTCCACCCCAGGCCAGATCCCGGCCTCCCGGGGTCCCCAGGGCCCGAAAGTGTCGTGCGCTCCAGGGACGCATGGCACCGCCCGGGGACTCCAGTGCCGCGGAGCTCGGGGGGCGGGAAGGGGCTGGTGGCCGAGCGGCCGCGCTCCGCAGAGGTAGCCGCGGCGTCTTGACGCGCCTGGGCCTGCCCAGGACCGGGAGCGGGCCCTGCTGCGAGCTTTCCAGCAGGTATCCTAGACCCTGGGGGAGGCGCCTGCCGAACTGGTCCCCGCTGGGCCTGCCCCGCTGGAAGGCGCGGGCCTGGGCCATCAGCTCCCTTATGTCCGGGTGGATTGGGATAGAAGTTCACGGGTGGTTTCCAAACCTCGGTGTGCGGCACATTCAACTGAAAAACGAGTTTAAAAATGTCTGTCCGGTGTTTAAACTCATCAAATTGTATACACTAAATATATGCAGGGTTTTTTTGTTTGTTTTTGTTTTTGTTTCTCCTGTATGTCAATTACACTGCCATAAAGCTGTTAAAAAACAAAAACTACCCGGTTGTCTTCAGCTGGGCCTGATGGAGTCTGCATTTTCCCATGAGTTCTAGGTCATTAGAGACCTCTCCGCAGTCAACTGCCTTTGGATGGGGGTTTTAGTTATTTTTCTCTATGCAAAGGAGAATTTTGTGTCTTTGCCTCCAATAAACATAAGAATAAAGAAAATGTTATGAGTATGACCTCCGCGCTGTTTAAGGCAAGCTGGCTTGTGTTAAATTAGCCAAAGGGGATGCCCAGGATAGACCACTTTTAAGAAGCTGAAAGTTGTCTAAGGGATTATTTTGTGTGGACAGTTGACTTATTTAAAAAAAAATGTTTTTTTGAAAAAGGGTTTCACTCTGTTGCTCAGGCTGGAGTGCCCTGGTGCAATCATAGCTCACCGTAGCCTCGACCTCCTTGGTTCAAGTGATCTTTCTGCTTCAGCCTCCCGAGTAGCTGGGCTACTGGCATGTGCCACCATGCCTGGCTATTTTTTTTATTTTTATTTTTATTTTTGTAGAGATGGGGGTCTCAGTGTGGTGCCCAGGCTGGTCTCGAACTCCTGGCCTCAAGTGATCCTCCCACCTCAGCCTCCCAAAGTGCTGTGATTACAGACATGAGCCATCTTGCCAGGCCTAGTTTTAAAATTGATATGTAATATTTGCAGGTATGTATGGGGTACATGTGACATTTTCTTACATGCATAGAATGTATAATGATCAGGTCAGGGTATCTGGGGTATCCATCACCTCAAGTATTTATCATTCCTATGTGTTGGGAACATTTTAAATCCTCTTTTCTAGCTATTTTAAAATATATGATACATTGTCATTAACTATAGTCACCCTTCTCTGCTACTGAACATTAAGATTTATTCCATCTATCTGTAGGTCTGTAGTTATTCCTTTTAACTGTATGTTTGTACCCATTAACCAACCTCTCTTCATCCCCTCCGTCAACCTACACACCCTTCCTAGCCTCTGGTATCTATCATTCTACTCTCTACCTCCAGGAGATCAACTTTTTTGCTCCCATATATGAGTGAGAACATGTGATATTTGTCTTGGCTTATTTCATTAGCATAATGATGAAATTCCACCTATAATTCCATAATAACATAATCCCATCCATATTGCTGCATATGACAGGATTTCTTTCTTTTTTTTTTTTTTTTTTGAGATGGAGTCTCACTGTGTCACCCAGGTGGAGTGCAGTGATGCGATCTTGGCTCACTGCAACCTCCGCCTCCCGGGTTCAAGCGATTCTCCTACTTCAGCCTCCCACGTAGCTGGGACTGCAAGCACCCGCCACCATGCCCAGCTAATTTTCGTATTTTTAGTGTAGACAGGGTTTCATCATATTGGCCAGATTGGTCTCGATCTCATGACCTTGTGATCTGCCTGCCTTGGCCTCCCAAAGTGCTGGGATTACAGGCATGAGCCACCATGCCTGGCCAATTTCATTCTTTTTTATGGCTGAATAAGTATTCCATTATGTATAAATACTGCATTTTCTTTATCCATCTGTCTGTTGATGGACACTTAGGCTGATTCTCTATCTTTGCCATTGTGAGTAGTGCTGCAATAAGCATGAAAGTGCAGGTATATACTGATTTCCTTTCCTGTGGATACATGTGGAATTGCTGGATCGTATGGTAGTTTGAGAACTCTCTGCACTGTTTGCCATAGTGGCTGCACTAATATATCTTCCCACCAACAGTGTATGAGACTTCCCTTTTTACCGCATCCTCGCCAGCACTTGTTATCTTTCATCTTTTTAATAACAGTCATTCTAACTGGGGTAAGATGATCTCTCACTGTGGTTTTGAGTTGCATTTCCCTGATGATTAGTGATGTTGACTACATTTTCATATACCCATTGGCCATTTGTATAGGGACAGTTGACTTATTGACAATTTTTTGTTTAAGCATTTTTAGATATATTCTAAATGTAAATAGTTGTTATTCTGTATTGTGTAGGAAATAATAACCAGAAATAAAGTCTGTATGTGTTTAGTACAGATATAACCATCCATTTTTTATTCTATATTTTCTGAGGTTGGTTGAATCCACAGATGCAGAGGGCCAACTATACTTTGTGCAAAAAAGTCATTGAGTTTTAGCAAAATATAACCATCTCCTTAGTGTGAAAAGAAAACCTTTAAAGAAATCTTCATCAGAGAAACTTCAAAGTATTTCTGATAGGAGCTCTGGCATTTTTTATTGTCTTCTACTATTTAAGTGCGTGCTTTCTATGCTATCAAATGGCAGCTTTGAGGATAGAGATTTGTTACCCCAGATGTTATTATATAATTTATTGAGAATCTCTGGGCTGGCTAAGTGGTTTCATAAAATGTTTTATAGAAAACTTATGTACAGAACTCCTCAGGTAGGCTTTTCATTGAAAATAAATCTGTGGGTGAGATAATGAGACTTTTATTAGGATACATAGTAAGTTCTCATATTGCCGTTTCTCCTTCCCGTAAAAGGCCTATTAAATCTCTGTACATTAGTTCTGTTGTTAGGCCCAGTTAGTTGTTTCCTGATATTTCTGTAGAATTGGTTCATAAGCATAGTTACTGGTTACTTTACATCTGTAAGTATTAGGCACAATCTCTCTCTTTTCTGAAATAGAGTGATGTATTTTGGCCATACTGGTCTGAAACATTAGCAGTCAAATGGCCAGCCATATAGTTGCACAAATAAATGTTGTGGGTAGAAAAAAGAGAGAATGGTAGTATGCTATGGTTATTACATTAAATTCATCTTTTTAGTTTAACTTCCTAACTCCTTTCTAGGTTGTTTTTAGCATCCACTAGCTGTGTGCTTTAAAAAAATTCCAGAAACAAGCCATTTATTTATGAATAACAAATGAACAGAGGATGTCTTATCAGATGGGTCACTCTCTGGAGGAGTGCTTCAGTGAAACATACACACACACACACACACAACCACTCATGGGCACACAAATAAACACATACAAAAGCTATGATCCTACTGTCTTTCTCCCCTAAAGGCTGTGGTTAACTACAAAGTTGACATTTTCTGCATAATAATTCAATTCTGTGCATAGCTTTGGGGACTCACAGGCTAAATGGCATTGTGCTTTGACTATGGTTTTGTGTGGAATTTAAAAAAAAAAAAAGCACAACCAGACAGTTTTTGTATCAAAAAGTCTATTACCTTTGATTTTAAGAAGCATCTATTAAATTTTGATGCTCTAAAGCCATAAGTAGTCTAAGATTGTTGTACATGAAATTAAGCAGACAGCCTAAACTTTCATGTTGGTGCACAGGTGAAATGCTTAAGATTTTTTTTATTATATAATTTTTTTTTAATTTATTTATTTTTTGAGACGGAGTCTCGCTCTGTCGCCCAGGCTGGAGTGCAGTGGCATGATCTCGGCTCACTGCAAGCTCCGCCTCCCGGGTTCACGCCATTCTCCTGCCTCAGCCTCCGGAGTAGCTGGGACTACAGGCGCCCGCCGCCACGCCTGGCTAATTTTTTTGTATTTTTAGTAGAGACGCAGTTTCACCATGTTAGCCAGGATGGTCTCCATCTCCTGACCTCGTGATCCACCCGCCTCGGCCTCCCAAAGTGCTGGGATTACAGGTGTGAGCCACCGCGCCCGGCCTTAAGATTTCTGTAAGCTTAAAGTTTCTGAAATAGGACGTTATGTTGTTAACATGGTCATTTTAAATTTAACATATAGCGTTTTACAGTGCTGAAGCTGGAATGGAAGATGAAGAATTGTTATACTGGAAACATCTTTTTTTTTTTTTTGGTTTGTTTGTTTTTGGAAACAGGGTCTCTCTCTGCCCTTCAGGCTGGAGTGCAGTGGCGCGAACAGGGCTCACTGCCTCGACCTCCTGGTCTCAAGCAATCCTCCCACCTCAGCCTCCTGAGTATCTGGACTACATGGCACATGCCACCACGCCGGGCTACTTTTTGTATTTTTTGTAGAAGTGAAGTTTCACCATGTTTCCCAGGCTGGTCTCAAACTCCTGGGCTCAAGGGATCTGCCTGCCTCAGCCTCCTAAAGTGTTGGGAGTACAGATGTGAGCCACCATACCCGGCCCAGAGACATCTTTGTTGTTCCTATGATGTTATAGGAGAAGATGAAGACCCATCTGGGGTGCACTAGTCCTATATCTGGAACTTGCAAAGGGATAAAAAAACTGGTTGAGATACAAAAGAGTCAGCACATAGTTATTGCTGATTTACAGCAAAAACTCACAGAAATATAGCAAATATTGATTAGCTAGCAACAAGCTATTCTAGACCAGCAAAAGAAAATATATGAGCAAATGAATTGAAAGAAAATCCAGTATAGTATGCTCTTTGATACTGTGAAGCAGGATATGTCTTTCTGTAGCTTGCAGGAGGACATTGAATGTGATTTTGCAACTCCTCTTTATGGACCACAAAACCAGATCGGAAAGTCATCTGTAGAAGTCATACTCTGTGCAGAAAGCTGAAGGTGATGTGAAAGTGATTCATGATGGAGCAAGCTGCCTAGACTGTGGCCTTTGTGAAACCGATGAATTTTGCAATTTCCAAAAGAGAATATCACAGGGTGAAAAATGTACTTTATGCCCTGCAGGGCTCCCCCCGCCAACTCCGCCCCATCACATGTCTGAATGTTCCACAAATGCAGATTGGATTTGTCTGGTCAAATATTATAACTTTTATCTATTATAGTTAGTGATTTTAAAATACCTCCATAAGGCGGTGGGCTGCACTGTGAAGTAATTATGACTCTTAAGTTCAATTTTATATGCGATTTTTAAAAAGCGAATGTAAAATCTATTGCATTAATGTTTAAGTGGTATATAATGAGCAATTTTAAAATTTTTATTTGCCAAAAATGTAGTGGTTGAACTAGTGTAACCTAAATAACCTCTTATGTTCATATTTGCAAACAGAATATTTCTAAACTCCACTGGTATTTCCAATTCTAAGTTTATCTTTCCATAATTTAAAAAGAAAGGTACACAATTTCCTCCAAACAAGCTGACCAAATCAACATTATAGTGTCTTTATATAATTTCTGTTTTCGTGACTCACAATGTGATTATACTTTTCAGGATAGAGACAAATGCATGAAATCTCCAAATACATGTGGTAAAAAGATAAAATATCTGAATAGCCTATATAATATATTTAAGAAGTATCTTTTTTTTAATAAAAACATGAGAAAGGATAATAGGCCTGGATTTGATCACTCAAGGTCTTTTCAAACACATATACTCACATGAACTCAAACATATAAGCAGTTAACCCTTGCTTATCTGTGTACTGGTTAGTAAATTTCTAGACTTTCTGGGAAAAATTGTTGTTGCAAATTACCTTCCTTTAACCTCTGAGGGCTGATTTCGGAGGCCGAGGGGGGTGGATCACATGAGGCCAGGAATTTGAGATCAGCCTGATCAACATGGTGAAAACCCATCCCTACTAAAAATATAAAAAAAGTAGCCAGGCATGGTGGCACATGCCTGTAATCCCGTCTACTAGGGAGGCTGAGGCACAAGAATTGCTTGAACCCAGGAGGCAGAGGTTGCAGTCAGCTGAGATCATGCCATTGCACTCCAGCCTGGGCTACAAAGCAAACCTAGGTGTCAAAAAAAATTAGCCGGATGTGGCAGTGGGCAACTGTAATCCCAGCTACTCGGGAGGCTAAGGCAGGAGAATCACTTGAACCCAGGAGGCAGAGGTTGCAGTGAGCCGAGATCAGTGAGCGAGATCGCATCACTGCACTCCAGCTTGGGTGATAGAGTGAGACTGTCTCAAAAACAAAACAAAACAAAACAAAACAAACACACAAAAAAAACCCAGACACCTCTGAGAATTCCTTTAGGAGTTCCCCTATCATCTGCCTGTGACTTCTCAGGAAACCCAAAGATGTTTTAAGAGTTATCAAGTCAGAATGCAACTCAGAAAGTAAATTGGAGTCAAAGGAATTTAATAGTGCATGTGAAAGTCAAAAAAAGGAGTTAGGGGTTTTTTTTATTTTTTAATTTTTATTTTATTATTATTCCTGGAGGTTTCTTTTAATAAATGTAGGTGACTGACACCCAGCTCAAAAAGTTTAGGACTAGTTCTTTTTTTTTTTGAGACACAGTCTCTGTCGCCCAGGGTGGAGTGCAGTAGCTTGATCTCGACTCACTGCAACCTCCGCCTCCCAGGTTCAAGTGATTCTCCTGCCTCAGCCTCCTGACTAGCTGGGATCACAGGCATGCCACCACGCCCAGCTAATTTTTGTATTTTTAGTAGAGATGAAGTTTCTTGGCCTGGCTGGTCTTGAACTCCTGAGCTCAAGTGATCTACCCACCTTGGCCTCCCAAAGTGCTGGGATTACAGGGATGAGCCACAGCACCTGGCCAGGTTAGGACTAGTTCTGTGATTAAGTGGGAACTTCCTCTTGGTAGATAGCAAGAATTCATTAACAGGGTTAAATGTCTGTACTATTATATTTTCTCCCTGGGGCAGAGTCCAGTTCTCAGCAACAGAAAAGGTGAGTGAATGAGTGTTGTCCTGGTTTCCCTCCCTTTGCAGAATGAGCTCATTGAGCTGATGGAAGAGACAGTAGGATTCTGCTTCCCCGTTTTACTTCATGGACTAGTGCGAAAACCTCTGCCCATGGTTAGTTGCTAGGAAGCAAGGTAGAAAACCACAAATGTGAGAGAGGAGCGCATTTCCATTAGAGAGAAGGCTGACTAGGGCTTGCAGTGAATGTAGACTGATTGATGCCTTGAGCTTCCTGTGACTCTTTTCCCATTTATCAACAAAAGACCTGTGAATTACCTGACCTTACAAGCCCACTTTGGGAGTGGACAGCTGTGACTGTTTAAGCCTATTGCCTGATTAGATGAAGTTGTCCAGTGGGCTGTGTCTGCCATTTTTGGAGTCTTGTCTGAATTTGGAAGCATATTTACTTGGAATCAGGATACATTTAGAAGAGTTCACTAGAATTTACAATATGGTTAGCTCACAGATTTTTTTTGCATAAAAGAGATTGGTGTTTTATGCTTCAGAAATTTTGTTGTTTTTGATTTTACTTCTGTTGTTTGTTTTCTTTCCCTGTCTTTGGACTCGTCTTTCAGACTAGTTAGTAGTTTTAGAATCTTTTGGTTAAAAAAACTCAAAAAAGGAGAGAAAGGCTAGATCTTGGTAATTCAACTATTGCACTTTTTACAAATATTTAATAAGCAATAGAGGCTAAGGAGTAAAGGACTTGATATGTTCTGAAGGGATGCTGTTTATTATTTAGTTAGAGAAGAGTAAGATCAGTTCCCTCATTCATCTGCCAAGCCCAGGCCTACCTCCCATTGATGGTGAAAGGAGCCACGAAGAAGAGACTAGAAGTAATGAATAAAATACAAATGGGGATGTGGGCATCTAGTGTACTCAATTATTAGGGGGGGTCAGGGTAAGGTTAAAAAACATCTTTCCTGACAAGCTTTGCTTCCAAATGTTGTTTTATCCTTTTTAATGAAATAGGAATATTAAATTCTTTATAGTGGTCAGCCCTTGTGGCTACAGTCACATCCAATACTTTTAAATTGAAAGTAGGACCCTTATCCTCTGACTTATGATAAAAGAATGTTAAACATATGAGTCTCTATGGATATGATTTGCCCAGAAAGATAATGACTGTATTATGTAGCCCTTCCATAAAACTTTGTTGGGCCGGGCACAGTAGCTTACGCCTGTAATCCCAGCACTTTGGGAGGCCAAGGCGGGCAGATCACAAGGTCGGGAGATCGAGACGAGCCTGACCAACATGGAGAAACCCCATCTCTACTAAAAATACAAAAATTAGCCAGGTGTGGTAGCACGTGCCTATAATCCCAGCTACTCAGGAGGCTGAGGCAGGAGAATCGCCTGAACCTGGGAGGCAGAGGTTGCAGTGAGCCGAGATCATGCCACTGCACTCCAGCCTGGGCGAAGGAGCGAGACTCCGTCTCAAAAAAAAAAAAAAAAATGAAAAAAACTATGTTGAACTTGTGAAGGCTAATAATTAACCACCTCAGGATAATACATTTTTCTCAGATTTGTTTACTTTTCCCTAAATTTAATTGTAGTGCGTTAGATAATGCTTTAGCTTTCTTTATGCAGATTTAGATAATTTTATGTTAACTCAGAGAATTTTAATTAATATATAATGTCTCTATTTTATAGTACTGGAAATCATTGGTTCAGCCTGTTTTCTACTCTTTCCCTTGCATACACATATAAAACACATATGAGCATAAAATACATAAAGCACATATGTACACTTATATATGAAGGTGCATATATGGCTTTCAATGTTTGACAGTAGAATAGTATCTTAAATTTAGAAATGTCGAGATCATTTTTTTTTCTGAATTTCTACTCTATCCAAAAATTCTTCCAAAACATTTTTAAATTATTAGGGTCAAGAGAGTCATTACCTTTCAAGATAACTGTGAAAATTTGGGGGATGGTGCACTGGAGAATTAAGCTTGAAACTCAGTGTCTTAGTCTATTTGGGCTGCTGTAACAAAATACCATAGACTGGTGTATCCATCTGTTCTCACACTGCTGTAAAGAACTACCTGAGACTGGGTAATTTATGAAGAAAAGAGGTTTAAGGGACTCATAGTTTCACAGGCTTAACAGGAAGCATAACTGAGAGGCCTCAGGAAACTTACAATCATGATGGAAGGTGAAGGGGAAGCAAGCAGCTTCTTCACATGGCAGCAGGTGAGAGAGTGAGGTGGTGTGATGGTTAATATTGAGTGTCAAGGTGATTGGATTGAAGGATGCAAAGTATTGCTCCTGGGTGTGTCTGTGAAGGTGTCGCCAAAGGAGATTAACATTTGAGTCAGTGGACTGGGAGATGCAGACCCACCCTCAATCTGGGTGGGCACAAACTAATCAGCTGCCAGCATGGCTAGGATACAAGCAGGCAGAAGAACGTGCAAAGACTAGACTGGCTTAGTCTTCTGGCCTCCATCTTTCTGCTGTCCTGGATGCTTCCTGCCCTCGAACATCAGACTCCAAGTTCTACAGCTTTAAGACTCTTGGACATTTGACCACAGACTAAAGGCTGTACTGTTGTCTTCCCTACTTTTGAGGTTTTAGGACTCAGACTGGCTTCCTTGCTCCTCAGCTTGCAGATGGACTATTGTGGGACCTCACCTTGTGATCGTGTGAGTCAATCCTCTTTAATAAACTTCCCTTTATAAATACATCTATCTCATTATTTCTGTCCTTCTAGAGAACTTTGACTAATACATGGGGGAAGTGCCACACATTTTTAAACCATCAGATCTTGTGAGAACTCCCTGACTATTAAGAGAACAGCAAGGGGAAACCACCACTATCATCCAATTACCTCCCACCAGGTCCCTTCCCCCAACACTGGGGATTACCATTCAAGATGAGATTTGGGTGGGCACACAGAGCCAAACCTTATCAACTGGATAATTTGTAGATAACAGAAATTTCTTGCTTACAGTTCTGGAGGCTGGAGAGTCCAAGACAAAGGCAGTAGCAGATTTGGTGTCTGGTGAGGGCTCCCTCTCTGCTTCAAAGATGGCACCTTCTGAGCTGTGTCCTAGCAAGGCAGAAGG
Source organism: Homo sapiens (assembly GCF_000001405.40). NCBI lineage: Eukaryota > Metazoa > Chordata > Mammalia > Primates > Hominidae > Homo > Homo sapiens. The sequence goes on along the minus strand of NC_000010.11, from coordinate 26,381,886 downwards.
AAGGGGCAAACAAGTTCCTTTAAGACTTTTTGATAAGGGCACTAATCCCATTCACAAGGGTGGAACTCTTATGATCTAATCACCTCCCCAAAGTCCCACTTCTTAATATTATTGCACTGGGGATTAGGTATCAACATGAAAATGTTGGGGTAACACAAGCATTAAGACCATAGCACCTAGTTTGAGCTATATTCTGGATATCAAAAGAATACTATTATTTCTTGGATGACTGTCCTTATTGGTAAGAAATACCTGGAGAATTGTGCTAAGAAGGATCCTTAGGTAGTATGTGGACTCAGAGGAGAAGGGCCTTGGTGGATTAGTAGTAATAATGGCATTTGGGCTCAGTGTCTGTCTGTCATGAGCTATCTGGTGGCAACAATGAAAATGGCTTGGTTACAATTAGTCAAGTTGTGTTTAATATAAGATAACTTGATTGAGAAAATTAAGTATTTTCTCATGTTATTTACTTTCTGCTTTCCCTCCCACTAGAATGAAAGCTCAATGAAGGCAGGTTTTTATCTATTTTAATCACTGTGGAGTCCAGTACCCAGTCAGCATCTGGTATGTGGGAGGTACCTGATAAATATCTGTAGAATATGAATGAACTGTTTCTGTCTGGCAGGGCTTCAAATCTACATTTATTCTCTTCTGATGTTAGACTACAACTTTAACGTCATTCTAGTGATCTGACCTAGAGGGATGTCTAGGCATCGGGGCCAGCCAGGTCCCTCAGGAACTTATATCATCCCTGGGAAGAAAAGACAGTGAAAGAGGAGGAGGAGGGAGGGAGGGGGATTGTTTTGAAGTGACTGAGTATTTACCCAAAGTTTCAAACTGGAAGTGACCATTTTTACCTTGAATTGGCAAGCGCATTTTCAGTGACTAAGCTAAAAAGGCTTTGTATTATCTCACTTATACATGCTGTGTAGCTAAGAGGAAGCTTTCAGATAGGCCTAGGGATGTTACCCCCACCCCTTCCCACCGGATGCAGAGTAATGATTCCCTGGAAATTCTCCGAGAAAGCAGAGCAGAAGCCAGCACAACATTGTGACTTGGCACCATCAGTTTTCTCAAGCACTTTTTTCTTATCAACAACAGAAAAAAGCGCAGTATTCAAGTCCTGGTAGGTTTTTCTTAACTTTTCTCTGTCTGGATTTGCTTGCAGAAATATAATCTCCAACTCTTCCAAACCCTACGACTTCTTTACGCCTTCTATCTAAATTCTTCTTTTTTTCTAATATATTTTAATACTTTCTGCAAGCAAGGTTGTTTATAGACCACTTGTTCTTTTAAATATTTTATTTCCTCTCACATAAATGGTAGTAAATCTTTTAATCTAACTATGAACTATTTTCTCAAAAGTTATTTAAAAGTATAGATGCTATGCATATTATTTCCTTTCTAAATAGGTGGCTTCCAGTGCCTGGGTGTTGCTGAGAAAGATGCTATACTGGGATTGGGTGGTGGTGGCTATTTCTTCAATAAAGAAGTGCAAGAATGCCAGACTTGTCAGGCATGGCTTGTTCAGAACCTGGTGGAAATCAGCTTGCCAAGACCTGGGCTGCAGATGTTGAGTGACCCTCAGCCAGGTCTTCTTCTGCTTAAACCTATCCTGGGCTAAAACTCAAAGTAAAAGGAGAGGAAGCTGGTTCTGTAGCATCCAGTGAGGATGGCATTCAGGCAATGCTGTTTACTATGGGCTGACCTCAATTATGCTGTAAAACACAACTGCAGAAACTCTCTCTAGTTCTCCTTAAATTCAAATTACAGTGCGGAAGTATCTGAGCTCAGTGGAGCTGGGAATGAGCCCCCTAGGAGGAGGTACTCTTGGAGCACTGGTGTCAGCAGCTTGCCCAAGTGAGGCCTGGTCATGTCCTCAAAGTAAGCCTCAGAAGTCCTCATCAGCTTTGCAGCCAAAGCAAAGACTACCATTGGTATGATCTTCACATACCTATTCAGCTTGTTTTGGATGTCTCATGACATAGAGCAGTGGCCACGAATGCACAGATTTCAACAGCAATGCAGTGTCAGTAACTGTCATCCTAGTTTAAAATGAACCATATCTTATCCACACATGACCAGCCTATTCCATGTTGGGAGGGCCGTGTGGTTCATGGAAGCTTACCAATAACAAGTTTGTTTTTAACCAGATTTTCTATTCCATGGGTGCCTCTGGTGGCCATGAAGGGTTTCCCTTGATCTCTTATATCAGCAAGAATGGTACAAATGTAAAACTGATGAATGTATGCAATCAGGTATCAATTACTCAGCCACAGTACTCTCTACTTTTGGACCAGTTTGGGGTCCAGGCCAGAGAGCTGATGGACGTTGAGATTCTCTCCCCTGCCGAGTGTCTTGTGTGCTGTTTTGGAGACAGCTCTGACGTGAGCATGTTTAATCTCCTCTGGATCCCATCAGCAATTTCTATGACTCTTTTAGCCACTGTTTCCAGGACAGAATTACCTACTGGACTATGTCCTGACAAATTATTGTGTTTCAATCTACTTATCTACTTAAATCTCAAGAGAAACAGACACATCTGGTCTGTTCTGGTTGATTTGCTTAGAAGTATGTTAGGTTTGCTGCAAACGGTGTTGTTAACATAGCTGATCCACTAGCGTAATATAGTTAACATTGCCTTAAATCAGTTGGCTCATGATGATATCCAGCCAGTTGCAATTGCGCAGCAAATGTGGTCAGATGCCCAAGGGAAGCCTGGAAGATGATGTAAGTCTTCTTTCTTCTTTTGAGACTCACAGCTGCACCATGATCACTGGTTTTCCTGGTTGTGTTCTTGGAAGAACCTATCAGTTTGCTCAAGACATGGGACTAGCATGTCTATTATACGGATTGCTACCCAATGTCCTTGGAAACTAGTAAAACCCTACTGAAATATTTTGAATTCTCCCGAAAGAGCACTACCCAGTGTTTACATATTGTGAAATCAACACTTAATAGGACTGGGCTTTTGAAATATATTTGAGTCATTGTCAGTGGGATCAACTCCATAAAAAGAAGACCAGTCTTTTTAAAAAAACCTATACAAAATATAGTCTTATTTCCTGAGAATTACAGCTAAAGAGATTTGGATTAAACATAAGCTCTAACTTCAACTAGTACAGTAAATTCAGGACTTTCTTACATTTACTGAACAAAAAAAAGTTACTAAATAAATGCCACAGAAATTATGTACACCTAACTTTGAGTCAAGCCAACATCTACTTGTATTTGTTTAAGCAAAGCTCATAAGAACACTTTAGCTGTAAGACATGTGGATACTTCTCACTTGTTCAGTTAACTATGATATTAATAAAAATGATAAGGCTTTTTATAAACTAAAGTTGTATTTACCAATGAAGTTCAACATGTAAATGCTGAAATGATTGATATTTGTTATGCTTTTATTTACTTTTTATCCCATTTATTTATACTCTCAATCTTTCTCTACTTTTTAAGAGTATTTTGGGCTTTCTTTCAAATATTTGGTTATATTTTATTATTTGCTTATTCATAGAACCCTCAAGGACTCTTGCCTTTTGCTGCTTACCTTTATCATTTTCTTTGCATTTTTTCCTCCCTGTAAGTCAGTCTTCAGAAGTTAGTGTTTAGTATACAGGTGGTTATAATAATTGCCATGCTTTTTTCTTTCTATTGAATCTGCCCTATAGAATTCCATTGTTTCTTTAAAATTCATAAAACTTGCAAATTTGTCATAAGGCTGGTACTATGGAGAAAATGTAGTATCCAGCTTAGTTGTGCATAGATCAGATTATTTGAAAGATGGTGGTTACTTATCACTGATGTTTTCACAGTAATGTGTGAGCATTCCTGTTTGCCTCTACAAACTCTGACTTGTTTATTGTTATATAACACTTAGGGAATCAGCAAAGTGCCTTTTTTCCCCTAGTCCTTAAGTCAGATAATGAGCAAAAAAGGCAGACTTCGTATCCGTAGAATAATCAAAGGAGCTTTATATGCCAAACTGAAATGTTTGGTACCAAAGCCTAGTTAAAAAATTATTCCTGGTTTCACCCATGAATGTGGGGAAAAGAAAGAGAGATCAGACTGTTACTGTGTCTATGTAGAAAGAAGTAGACATAAGAGACTCCATTTTGTTCTGTATAAGGAAAATTCTTCTGCCTTGAGATGCTGTTAATCTGTAACCCTATCCTCAACCCTATGCTCACAGAGACATGTGCTTTGTTGACTCAAGATTTAATGGATTTAGGGCTACTCAGGATGTGCTTTGTTAAACAAGTGCTTGAAGGCAGTATGCTTGTTAAAAGTCATCACCACTCTCTAATCTCAAGTACCCAATACGCTGTGGAAGGCCGCAGGGACCTCTGCCTAGGAAAGCGAGGTACTGTCCAAGGTTTCTCCCCATGTGATAGCCTGAGATATGGCCTCATGGGAAGGGAAAGACCTGACCATCCCCCAGCCCGACACCCGTAAAGTGTCTGTGCTGAGGAGGATTAGTAAAAGAGGAAGGCCTCTTTGCAGTTGAGATAAGAGGAAGGCATCTGTCTCCTGCTCGTCCCTGGGCAATGGGATGTCTTGGTGTAAAACCCAATTGTATGTTTCATCTACTGAGATAGGAGAAAACCGCCTTAAGGCTGGAGGTGAGACATGCTGGCGGCAATACTGCTCTTTAATGCACCGAGATGTTTATGTATGTGCACATCAAAGCACAGCACCTTTTTCTTAACCTTCTTTATGACACAGAGACATTTGTTCACATGTTTTCCTGCTGACCCTCTACCCGCTATTACCCTATCATCCTGCCACATCCCCCTCTCTGAGATGGTAGAGATAATGATCAATAAATACTGAGGGAAATCAGAGACTTGTGCCAGCGCAGGTCCTCTGTATGCTGAGCGCTGGTCCCCTGGGCCCACTTTTCTTTCTCTGTACTTTGTCTCTGTGTCTCTTTCTTTTCTCAGTCTCTTGTCCCACCCGATGAGAAACACCCACAAGTGTGGAGGGGCAGGCCACTCCTTCAATGAATAAGCAAGATCTCAACACTGTGCAGTAACTCTGGACTGAACACTACAGACATATAAGAGAGGGCTTGCGTCCTGGATGTGGCTGTGAAATAAAGGCTTGAGATGGAGCTGGAGGGTTGATAAGAAGTCAGTCTCTGATCTGTGATGCTGTGATTCTTAAGCCCGCTGCAGATGATGCTGTTGGCTCTGTGTGTGGCTTATTTTCAGCCACATTCAGTGGCAATGTGCCTGCCAGTCATGTTTGACATCAACTAGCACACTCAAGCCATGAATACTGAAGTCACTAAAAAACTACACATGTTTTGAAACATCAAAGATAGGAATATAGGATGTACCTGAAGTAGTCTAGGGCATTTTCATTCAAAAGACATAATTATTGTCTTGAAACTGGCTATTTAAATTCTTACATTTAAATATTTCTTAGTGGTTTTAATGCAATGCCTCCTATTCATGTATTTAATCTTATAAAAGCCAGTTTGCCATCAAGCGGTTTCTGATTAAATATATTTCAATATTTCTAGCCTTTTAGTAATGAGAGGCATTTATTAGGGTTATAAACAGTAAATTATCTGTTGAAACATCAGGAATGCTAAGTTGTACATGTTATGCATGTAAGTGAGCTCAACCCCTATATGTAAGAATTAAAGATACTCAAGGAATATATAATTTTTTTCTGAGACTTGTCATTCTTTCAAGCACACTTTAGGAATTGACTGGTATCTCAATCAGCTTGGGCTGAATTTCTTGCAGTTCTGGAGGCTAGAAAGTTCAAGATCAAGGTTTTGGCTGATTTGGTTTATGGTGAGAGCTCTCTTCCTGGCTTGCTGGTGGCTGCCTTCTTACTATGTCCCCACAGGGACTTTTCTCAGATGCATGAATCCTTGGAAGGGGAGGAAAGAGAGGAAGCTTTCAGGTGTCTCTTCTTCTAAGGACACTAATTCTATCAGATCAGAGCCCCACCCTTTTGACCTCATTTTACTTTAATTACCTCCTTAAAGTCCCTGTCTCCAAATATAGTCATACTAGGGGTTAGGGATTCAACATATACATTTTGGTGGACAAGAGGTGATAGATATTTAGTTAATAACACTTGGTAAACCACAGTTTCGCCTACAGAAGGCAAATTACCCTATAGACTGTTGTATGGAACTTTCACGTATGGTTGGGAACATTGACTTATGAGATAGTGTCATACTTGATGTTTGAATGATGACAGAGACATACCACAAATTTATAAGAAGTTGCTTTTGTTTTTTAGCCATTTACACCAAATGCGATAATATCAATGCCATTCTTTCACTGTGCGTGAGCTCATCAACTTTAAAGACAGTGCTATATCATTTCCTCTCATCACACTCCTAATAACCATTTGTTCAACAGTTAGCATGTGCCAGGAATTGCCTACAAGTTTTATCTTCCTTATTTTAACCTGTATGATAACTGTGTTTGGTAGGTAGTATTTTGCCCTCTTTATGGTGGCCTAGAGAAGTCAATGATTTGGCAAACTCATGGTGCTTTTTCTGATAGAGGCCTGATTTGAACCCTGTTTGGCCATCTCAAAGTCTATGCCCTTTTCTTCGTCTCATAGGGAAGTATTATGTGTCTGGGGATGTAATGGAACAAAAGGAGGTACTGCATTGAGATACTCCTACTTTGGGATTCTGGGCTGTATAGCCTTGTTCCTATTAACTGGTCAGGAGAGCCATAAGACTGCTCTATTTAACAGATGCCCAACACTGTTATTCTAGAGAAATTTTAAAAATAAATTTTTTAAATTTTTCAAGGAGTCATCTTGAGAATTGTAGCCTGTGTACAACTTCAATGATAGCATCATGGTAATGAAGGTCAGGCTGTGTTTCTGCAGAGCAATCTGGAGCTTAGTTTGAATGCCTTCATAGCCATGTTCACATTGACCTGAGAGTAAAATTTTGATGCTTTATTTTTCACTTGAGTAGCCCAGGTTAATGGCTTCTTAATAATTATAGTCAGTTTTTTTTTTGGTATCTGGTGGTACCTCAGGGCTACAATGCTGTAGCATGGACATTCACATCAGGATTTACCAACAATTATATGTTGAATAGAAAGTATCAAATGAACAACATAAAAGCAAAAGGTCAGCAGGTGCCAGAACAAATGCTGGGTATTGAGCATGGATGTGGACTTCTGACATGATTTAAGGCAGCTTTAAGGAAGTAGCAAGATAAAAATAAATTAGAGAAGGATGAATAGAGTTCCATCCAGTTTGGGGCCGTGCCTACGCCAGACTGGTTCGCTATAAACTTGGCAGTTCTAACTGATGACAATGCAGAACCACTTCCTTAGTTTCCATTATAATTTGATCTTAATGGCTAGAGAAAGCTCTCCTTAGTCCATTTTCTTCTGTATCATAAGCAAGTGCTCTCATTTCACCTGTAATTTGAAGACAGATCGTAACCTTTAGACTGAATGTGATAGAAAGTAGCTGCTAAAGGGACACATATATTGCAAATACATGAAGCAGCTGATTCCAACTTTTGTTTTTGTGTTGGACACATGTGTTTGCATTTGTTTCAAATGATAGCTGATTAAAATTTGAAAGTAAAGTATCATATAAAACTACAGTTTGTTCATTGAAATGATAACAATTCAGCAGTTTTAGAATTTCCCTTTATAATTTTCTTTTTACAATTGTTTACTAGATATTTTTACATTATGATCCTGTGGAAAACTTGTAAAAGTCGTTTAGACCACATTACAATGGTAGTTTAATGCACCTAAGTTTCTAAAAAATAATTGAACTCTGTTTTAGAGTAGTGCTGATATGATTAATTTAAAAAAATGTTGCATTAAAAGATGGTGAATCTTATATCTGTCAGGGTCCAGACAGGTAATAGAGATCACATCAGTAATAGAGATCACATCAGTAATATATACAAAGGACTATTTAAGAGAAAGATGATTAACTAGGGCCGAATGAGGTGGCTTGTGCCTGTAGTCTCATCTACTCGGGAGGCTGAGATGGGAGGATTGCTTGAACCCAGGAGTTTGAGGTTGTAGTGTGCTATGATTGTGCCACTGCCCTTTAGCCTGGGCAATAGAGTGAGACCCCATCTCTTAAAAACAAATATTATTAACTAGGAATTACAATTAGTAAAAGGGAAAAAGGAAAATTCCAAACAACACAGCAATAGCAAAGATAGGCGACAGTTACTCCCTTTAGGGCTAAGGGAAAGAGAATCCACGAAGGACAAACTTGGAAGAGGGATCCCCACCAGCTGCGGACCAGCTGTGGCCTAAGGCACTGGTAGCCTATGCCGATGAAGTTCCTGAGCTGTCTCTGACCCGAGCTGGTCTGCAGTAGGTGGGGAACCCTCTTCCAAGTTTGTAGAGTTTGGGGCTGGTGAGAAGGAAGTTGCCTGCCTAGGAGCCAGCCAAACTTGGAGGAAGGTGAACATCAGTAGGTCTCTTGCATGCCACTAGCAGCCTTGCTTTAGGAAAGAGAAGAAAAGCATACCAAAATCAGGAAGAATCTCCTCCCTCTTCTGGCATCCCTTCCACAGCCTATACAGAAAAGTTTCACTTCGTGGCAGCAAAGAAAAAAAAATGCTGTGTCTCACAGAGCACTGCAAAGAAGGGTGGATGCTACAATAAGATACCACTTCACATGTACTAAGATGGTTGTTACTGTCCAAAAGGTGTCAGAAAGACAGGTAACAAGTGTAGGTGAGAGTGTGGAGCAGTTGGTGTCCATACACTGCTTACGGGAAGGGAAAGTGGTGCAGCTGCTTTGGAAAATAATCTGGGAGGTCCTCAAATGGTTAAACATATAGTTAGCATATGATGCAACAGTTTCACTCCCAGGGATAAAAATAAAAACAAAAAAGAGAAATGAAAACGCACATCCACATAAACACCTGTACAGAAATGTTCCCAGCAGCATTATTCGTAACAGCTACAAAGTAGACACAACACAAATGTCCATCAACTGGTAGAATAAATATAATGGGGCATATCCATACAATGGAATGTTATTTGGCAATAAAAGAAATGAAGTACTGATATATGCTACAACATGGGTGAAAGTTGAAACAATGATGCCAAGTGCAAGAAGCCAGTTGCAAAAGACTAAATATTTTATGGTTCCATTTAGATGAAGGGTCCAGGATGAGCAAAACTATAGAGACAGAAAGTAGATTAGCAGTTGCTGAGGGCTGATGGGGAGAGGATGAAGAATTGAGAGGTGATTACTGAAAGGTATGGGGTTTCTTTTTGGGTTGATAAAAATGTTCTAAAGTTGATTGTGGTGATAATTGTCAACTCTGTGAGTATTAAAAACTATGAAATTGAAAATTTTAAGAGGGTGAATTGTACAGTACATGAATTACATCTCAATGCAGTGTTACAAAATTTTTTTAAATTAAAAAAGGGTGGATTTGGAATTGAGAGGCAATAAATTGATAACTGGCAAAAATCTCAAAAAATGGACAATAATGTAGCAATTTTACTTTGTTAAATTTAAATACATTTTTTTTCTACGGAAGCTGATAAAAATATCTGAAGCCTAGACGTGTTAGGTGAGTTGCTCAACATGTGGTTTTCCTGACTCCTAGTCTATTATTTGTTGTACAGGACAATACAATTTCAAAGGAGTCTCTAAGGAAAGCATTCTAACAACCTCTGTTCTTCCCAGAGAGACATTCCCTGAGAATGGTGTGGCAGAACTTAGTTATTTCTGATTTAGAAGTGTTAAAAGGGCAAAGTATCGAGCAAGGTGAAAAATACAGGTCTGGATGTGAACATGACCTCAGGCCCAGTTATGAAAAACAGTTGGTTGGAAAATATCTTACCAGTCTGAAGATGAAGGGACAGCTGATGGGTTGTAGGAAGCATTTTGAATTAAATTACCAGGAAGTTTTTGAGTTTCGATAAATATAGACTTCTTTCTTAATACAAAAGAAACTCCATTGCTTACACGTACAACTCTTGCAATGCCTTACATTTTAAACTCCCAAGACATAAACCAGTACAGAAGTGATTCTGGATTAGACCTTGAATAACTTTTCTGTCTTTGATAATTCACACCCCATATTGTTTAGTTATAAATTTTATGTTTATCTGTAGATGATTTGTAATGGTCTTTCTCATTTCCATTTCTCTTCCAGCATTGTTTCTTCTGCTTCTATTTTGACAAAGCAGGACATGGAAGCCACATGTCACAATCTTTAGTAATATTAAACAGGTTGCTTCTAGTTGTATTTAAGAGAGGATTTTCTTCCGTGAACAATATAAATACCTTAACTAACAAAGATTGTTGGTTATATTTTGGAGATTAACCTTTCTGAAAAGATCAGGCATATGGAAAATATTTTTCATTTTAATGGAAGAAAATATAAATTTTGTACTAACTAAAGTAGAGATATACTTTAAAATAATTTTTATCTTTTTCATCATGGTGTCAAATAAACTGAAATTTTCAGTGTATCACCTAATGTTATTTTTAAAACCAATGATAATTTTTAGAGTTTGATCACCCTCCTGCAAGAAAACAACTTCATACCATATTAGTTAGGGATTCAAAAATATTAATAAGCCCTAAATGCCTTCATCAAAAAGTTAAAAAATATCAAATTAACAATCTAACTTTTCACTTAATAGAACAATAAGAAAGAACAAACCAATCCCAAAGCTATCAGAAGAAAATAAATTACTAAAATTAGAGAACTAAATAAAATTCAGATGCAAAAATCCATAAAGAGCAATGAAACCAAGAGTTGGCTCTTTAAAACAACAAACAAGATTGATAGGCTGCTAGCTAAATTAACACAGAAAAAAAAATATCGAAATCAATACAATCAGAAATGACAAAGATGACATTACAACTGATACCACAGAGATACAAAAGATCCTCAGAGAATACTATGAACCACTCTATTTATACAAACTAGAAAGTCTAGAGGAAATAGATAAATTACTGGAAGCAGTAATTTATTGAATCAGGAAGAGATTGAAACCCTGAATAGACCAATATCAAGCAATAAAATTGAATCATTAAAAAAAAAACTACCAACCAAATAAAACTCTGGACCATATGGATTTACTGCTGAATTCTACCAGATGTATAAAGAACTGCCACCAATCCTATTGAGACTATTCCAAAAAAATGAGGAGGAGGGACTGCTTCCCAACTCATTCTATGAAGCCAGTATCAGCCTACTACAAAAATCTGGCATAGATTCAATGAAAGAAAACTTTAGGCCAATATCCCTGATTAACACAGTCCCAAAAGTCTTCAACAAAATACTAGTAAACTGAATCCAACAGCACATCAAAACATTAATTCACCATAACCAAGTGGGCTTTATTCCTGGAGTGCAAGGTTGGTTCACCACAGGCAAGTCTATAAATGTAATTAACCACATAAACAATTAAAAGTGAAAACCATTTCACTTTTACTTAAAATTTTTTCACTTTTTACATTAAATGTAATTAACCCATAAAAAATCAAAAGTGAAAACCATATGATTATCTCAATAGATGCAGAAAAAGCTTTTGATTAAATCCAACATCCCTTCATGATAAAACCTTCAACAGACTTGGCATCAAAGGAACATACCTCAAAATAATAAGAGCCATCTATGACAAACCCACAGCTAGCATCTTACAGAACAGGCAAAAGCCAGAACCATTCCCCTTGAGAACTGGAACAAGACAAGGATGTCCACTCTCATCACTCCTATACTATATCATTCAATATACTATTGAAAGTCCTGGCCAGAGCAATCAGGCAAGAGAAAGAAATAAAAGGCATCCAACTAGGAAAAGAAGTCAAACTCTCTCTCTTCACTGACAACATGATTCTATAATGGAAAGCCCGAAAGACTCTGCCAAAGGGCTAACAGAACTGATAAATGATTTTAGCAAGGTTTCAGGAGAAAAAAGTTAACGTAGACAAATCAATAGTATTTCTATACACTAATAGTGCCCAGGCTGAGAGTCAAATCAAGAACACAATTCCATTTACAATAACCACAAAGAAAATGAAATACTAAAAATATACCTAACAAAGGAGGTGAAAGATCTCTACAAAAACTACAAAACTCTGCTGAAATAAATCAGAGATAATACAAATAAATGGAAAGCCATTCCATGCCTATGGATTGGAAGAATCAATATCATTAAAATGGCCATACTGCCCAAAGCAATTTACAAATTCAATGCTATTTCTGTCAAACTACCAATGTTATTCTTTGTAGAATTAGAGAAAAAATATTCTAAAATTTATATGAGACCAAAAAAGACACAAAACAGTCAAAGCAATCCTAAGCAAAAAGAACAAAGATGGAGGTATCATACTACCTGGCTTCAAACTATACTATAAGGCCACAGTAACCCAAACAGCATGTTACTGGTACAAAAACAGACACATAGACCAATGGAACAGAGTAGGAAACTGAGAAATAAGCCTTCACACCTATAATCATCAGATCTTTGACAAAGCTGACAGAAACAAGCAAAGGGGAAAGAACTCCCTATTCAATAAATGGTGCTGGGATATCTGGCTAGTCATATGCAGAAGAACGAAATTAGACCCTTACTTTTCAGCATATATAAAAATTAACCAAGATATATGAAAGATTTAAATGTAAGACCTTAAACTATACAAATCCTAGAAGACAACCTAGGAAATAGCCTTTTTGACATCAGCCTTGGCAAATGATTTTTGGCTGAGTCCCAAAAGCAATTGCAATGAAAACAAAAATTGATAAGTGGAACCTAATTAAACTAAAGAGCTCCTGCACAGCAAGAGAAACTATTAATAAAGTAAACAGACAACCCACAGAATGAAAGAAAATACTCACAAACTATGAATCTGACAAAGGTCTAATATCCAGAATCTGTAAGAAACTTAATCAAAGAATAACTTTACCTGTACTATTACATCATGAGTGGGAGATCAGCAGGTATCAGAATAAAGATGCAGCTCCTGCTGATTTTCATTTTACCCAGCTGAAAAGATTGGGTCCTGTTGCTCATATGAACCAGGGCAGCTGGAGCTTTCTTTCCCTTCCACATGCTTAATTCCTCCTGTAGGGATATAGCAGAACTTATAACTAACTGTAGAAGAAATATTTCATGCCCTTGGAAATCACCTGTGCAAGCTGTCCCCCTACTTCTTTACATATGTCAAGTCCACACCATCAGAATTCTCTTACTTTCTGTATTTCTGGTATTTCTGGGGAAGCACCTTTGAGTTTGCTTTCGCTTTTTTTTCTTTTTTTTTTTTTTGAGTCAGGGTTTTTGCTTTGTTGCCCAGGCTGGAGTGCAGTGATTTGATCATAGCTCACTGTAGCTCTGAACTCCTGGGCCCGAGCAATCCTCCTGCCTCCGCTTCCCTTACCATTATGCCCGGTTAAGTTTTAAAATATTCTGTAGAGACAGGGTCTTCCTATGTCCCCCACGTTGGAGTTTGCATTTTCAATAATCTCTTCAGATCATTCTGATGCAAAGCCAGGGTGAGAATTGATGTCTGAAGGAGTAATAACAAATATATTATTTTTGCTTCCTTGCAAAATTGTTTTATTTGTGTCTCTTTGGATTTTAGTCTCCTTTCTGAAATATATTTGTTAATTTATTGAGTGATTGATTCATTTATTAATTAATCTAAAATTTATTTAGCCTACTATGCCCCAGGAATTGTACTAAGTGAGGGTAAGGAGGAGGAACGATAAGGGAGATAAATAAGAAACAAATTTCAGCATAAAGTGAAAATGATAATACAGTTAGTCTCAGCAATGAGGAAGGGCACTTAATCTAAGACATAATCACACAGCATGACTAAAATATACATGAGGTGGAGAAGGCAGGAAAGTAAGCGGGCCCGTGTGCCCCTGTCCTTGGTGCTGAACCATCCCTTCACCTTCTGTGGTAAGGAAGTCTTTCCCAATACCTGGCTGCTGGTGATTTCTATATTACCACCACTAATTCTGAACCAGACGAGGAAAGGGCCAGAGGAAATGGAGGAATGTAGATGTAAGCAGAATAAACAGACTGTTGGAGAAAAATCTGTTGAATTATTGACTCAGTGATGCTAGGAATTTGAGAGAGTAGTGAATGGGGATTTTGACTAATAAATGTGGAAGAAAGTTTTCTCGTTTGGAAAAGTAAGCTCTCCAGTACTTTCTATAATGCTATACTTATGACATTAGAGACTTTCAGGAAGTGCTAAAAATCTGAATTGACCCCTGAAATATACCTATTATTGGGGGAACAAGCCCCCAATATTTCAATGTAGGTTATTTCTATTTTCCATAAGTGTCCGCCAGCTGAGAAATAAAGAGAGGCAGTACAAAGAGAGGAATTTTACAGCTGGGCCACCAGGGGTGACATCACATATCAGTAAGACCATGATGCCCGCCTGAGTCTCAGACCAGCAAGTTTTTATTAAGGGTTTCAAAAGGGGAGGGGGTGTAAGAACAGGGAGTAGGTACAAAGATCACATGCTTCAAAGGGCAAAAAGCAGAACAAAGATCACATGCTTCTGATAGAACAGGACAAAGGGCAAAAGCAGAACTACTGATAAGGGTACAACAAAATCACAAGGTAAAGGGCAAAAGCAGAACTATCGATAAGGGTCTATGTTCAGCGGTGCACGTATTGTCTTGATAAACATCTTAAACAACAGAAAACAGAGTTCAAGAGCAAAGAACCGGTCTGACCACAAATTTTCCAGGGCGGAGTTTTCCCCACCCTAGTAAGCCTGAGGGTACTGCAGGAGACCAGGGCGTATCTCAGTCCTTATCTCAACCGCATAAGACAGACATTCCCAGAGCGGCTGTTTATAGACCTCCTGCCAGGAATGCATTCCTTTCCCAGGGTATTAATATTAATATTCCTTGCTAGGAAAAGAATTTAGCGATATCTCTCCTACTTGCACGTCCATTTATAGGCTCTCTGCAAGAAGAAAAATATGGCTCTTTTTGCCCGACCCTGCAGGCAGTCAGACCTTATGGTTGTCTTCCCTTGTTCCCTAAAAATCACTGTTCTTTTTCAAGGTGCGCTGATTTTATAGTGTTCAAACACAGGTTTTACAATCAATTTGTACAGGTAACACCTCAGTGGTCCTGAGGTGACGTACATCCTCAGCTTAGAAAGATAACAGGATTAAGAGATTAAAGTAAAGACAGGCATAAGAAATTATAAAAGTATTATTTGGGAACTGATAAATGTCCATGAAATCTTCACAATCTATGTTCCTCTGCTGCAGCTCCAGCCAGTCCCTCCATTTGGGGTCCCTGACTTCCCGCAACAACCTATAAATGAAGGGGGCCTGAGAGACATTCCAAGGAGAGAAAATCTTATTAATAATAAAGTGCTTGTTCAAGGATCTATACGTAGTTCAATATGGCAAGAACATAGAGTGTCATAGCAAGATAAAATGGTGAAAATGTAGCTAAGGAGTTAGATCACCACAAAGTATCTTGTACATAGAATTTATAAGAAGGTGCTGGCTGGCTAGGTCATTCTGATAAGAGTCTGAAACTAAATGGAGTCTAAAATTTTGGCTGTTCAGCAGTAAATGTGGGTAGAGGAGGAGAACGAGTTTCTGTTATGCATGTTGATTTCTGCCTAAAAGTATCTACACATATATGCACATATATATGAGATACATACGAATACACAGATATAGACAGATTTAAGAGCCAAATGGTTGCTAGCCACAGCTACTCCCAGTCACACATAGAAGGTGAGCTAGCATTGTGAGTGAGAAACAATGTTGCTTAGTCCTCACTTTAATAATATTGGGTTTGATTATGAGTGTTTCTTCTCACAGAGTTAATGTTTAGCAAACCCAAACATCTTCTAGGGATCCTCTAGGTGTTGAAATATCAAACTAATTCTGTACTGATTCATTAAGAGCTGTTACACAGAGCTTCCAAGTGACTCCTGCTGGCATTTTGGCACTTCCTTGCCCAACCCAGGGCTTCTTCCTTGTCAGTGAATAAATGGGTCCTGCCCAGCCAATGAGGAACCTCCAGAACCAGGTCTGGCACATGTCCTTCTAGTTGGTTGATTATTGAGCCATTGCTGATGTGTTTGAACATCACCCCTGCCTACTCATGCTGTGACTCATTGATTCCAGAGGGCACTGTGAGATGTTCTCTTGGAAGGTCATCCACACTATTCTTATCTGAAAAAAAATGGTTTTCTGATTTTTGGCACATCAATGGGTAAGCACATTACTAATGAAGTATCAATTAAATTTCTTCATGGTAACTTTGCATTTCTGCATTTCACTTCTTTTATAAATTGTCCTTGATCATTTAAATATTTTTATTTTTTTTTGTTTATAAGTTTTACCAATTGTACTTAAAATACTAGCAAGCTGTCAGGGCTCATGCCTATAATGCCAGGGCTTCAGGAGGCAGAGGTTGGAGGATTGATGGAGGCCAGGAGTTCTAGACCAGCCTGGGCAACATAGCGAGAACCCCATCTCTACAATATAAAATAAAATAATTAACCAGGTGTGGTGGTGCATGACTGTAGTCTCAGCTACTCTGGAAGCTGAGGTGCAAGAATTGCTTGAACCCAGGAGTTTGAGGTTACAGTGAGCTATAATTGTGGCACCATACTCCAGCCTGGGTGACAGAGGGAGGCCAGGTCTCAAAACAAACAAACAAACAATTAAGCTGTTTATTATCAGTATTCCTGTCCAGAACACATTGTTTTCATTTTAAATCTTATCTGATGGTGGTACTTTTTAGATTAATGTGTATTTTTAATAGCCACACTCTTTTTCTAGATAGAGTTTCCTGAATTTTGGCCTTGTTTGGAAAATGATTTAGATAACATCATATTATTTTATCCATAAGTATTTCAGTGAGTATTTCTACAAAGCAGTATGACTAAAATACTCTTGTCACATCTGAAAGAAATAACAGTAATCTCTCTCTCTTTTTTTTAGAGACAGAATCTTGCTCTGTCACCCATGCTGGAGTGCAGTGGTGTGATCTCGGCTCACTGCAACCTCTGCCTCCTGAGTTCAAGCGTTTCTCCTGCCTCAGCCTCCCGAGTAGCTGGGATTACAGGCACACACCACCACGCCCAGCTAGTTTTTGTATTTTTAGTAGAGAGGGGGTTTCAACATGTTGGCCAGGCTGGTCTCGAACTCCTGACCTCAGGTGATCCACCTGCCTCGGCCTCCCAAAGTGCTGGGATTACAGGGGTAAGCCACCACGCCCAGCCAATAATTTCTTAATACCACCAACTATTCAGTCAACATTTGGCTTTCCCTAATTGTCTCTTGGATGTTTTGCTAAATTCACATGTTGGTTTATATCAGTTATTTTAGTATCATTATGAATAAATGGGTTTTAAATATTGTTTATGTATTATTATTATTATCATTGAGATGGAGTCTCACTCTGTCGCCCAGGCTGGAGTGCAGTGGCACGATCTCAGCTTATTACAAACTCCACCTCCTGGGTTCATGCCATTCTCCTGCCTCAGCCTTCCAAGTAGCTGGGACTACAGGTGCCCACCACCACCACGCCAGGCTAATTTTTTGTATTTTTAGTAGAGACGGGGCTTCACTGCACTCCAGCCTGGGCGACAGAGCGAGACTCCATCTCAAAAAAAAAAAAAGAAAGAAAGAAAGAAAGAAAAAATCTATAAGCAAAGAAACAATAAACACAAATTTTAAAATGATAAATTACCAGTGGGAGTGAAATGGATGAGCAGGAAGGGCAAAGAGATTAGGAAGGAGCCCACAGAGAGCTTCAAAAAGGTAATGTTCACGTCTTAAGCTAAGCATGGGATGCATAAGTTATTTTTATTTTGACTTATGAGTCCTTTTGACTTGTAACTCATTCACATAAACATTTTGCATTTGTTCAATATTTACTATATTCTCTGAAGAATCATGCATCAAGTGGTAATGTTTAGACATCAAGAATATGCATCAATGGGCTAGGTGTGTTGTCTTATGCCTGGAACCCCAGCATTTTGGGAGGCCTAGGTGGGTGGATTGCTGAGCGCAGGAGTTTGACAGCAGCCTGGGAAACATGGCAAGACCCCAACTCTACAAAAAATATAAAAATTACCTGGGCGTGGTGATGTGTATCTGTGGTCCCATCTACTCAAAGGCTGAGGTGGGAGAATTGCTTGAGCCTGGGAAGTTGAGGCTGCAGTAAGCTGTGATCATGGCACTGCACTCCAGCCTGGATGACAGAGTGAGATACTGTCTCAAAAAAAAAAAAAAAAAAAAAAAAAAAAAGCCTCTGTAAGATGAATGAAGTAACTAACTGACAATATTCTGTGAATGCTTATTTGTGGCTTAGAATAAAGATTGCAGAGCCAGAATCATACATATAAAATGTGGACACTGTGCTCAGTGATTCCAAAGTGATGGTGACAACAGTGATGTCAAAGGTACATGTGGATAATTTAAATACAATTTTTTTTTTGAGATGGAGTCTCCCTCTGTCACCCAGGCTAGAGTGCAGTGGTGCAATCTCAGCTCACTGCAGCCTCTGCCTCCTGGGTTCAGGCGATTCTCCTGCCTCAGCCTCCTGAGCAGCTGGGATTACAGGTGCCTGCCACCAAGCCCAGCTAATTTTTTTTTTTTTGGTATTTTTAGTTGAGATGGGGTTTCACCGTGTCAGCCAGGCAGGTCTCAAACTCCTGACTTCAGTTGATCTGCCTGTCTTGGCCTCCCAAAGTGCTGGGATTACAGGCATGAGCCACCACCCCCGGCCTGAATACAATTTTTTAATGGAACATGAGAGTGGAAAAAAATCGACATTGTTAAATTAAAAGATGTTTTAATCATATGTGACTTACGTATATATGTAACTAGGTTAAAAAATGAAATATGATTGGCAGGTAGACATTTGACTACTGCATACACATCCTTCAACATTTATGTATCCAAGTTGACCGAACGTCTTCGTTAGAAAACCTCCTCTGCTGTAAGCATAGCATGGCACTGTGGTTACAAGAGGCTCATTCCTCCTCTCTTCCCTTTCTCCCTCCTCTTCCCACAGGGCAAAACTTTCTTTCTTGGTAGCTGCAGTTATTTCTAAATGCTGTCTCTTGTCACTTTATTATTCATGATCTAATGCTAACAAAGGATCACAGACTTCCAGCACTAACTAAATCCCAGGGCTAGAGTGTGGGTGTGAGTAGTGGAGAAAAGGCTTCAAGATCCGTACATTTGTTGAGCCTACCTAAGGGTCCTGGAGGCCTTGCTCAGTTGGCTTTTTAAAAGACTCCTTTTGGCCAGGCGTGGTGGCTCATGTCTGTAATCTCAGCACTTTGGGAGGCCGAGGTGGGCTGATCATGAGGTCAGGAGTTCTAGACCAACCTGGCCAACATGGTGAAACCCTGTCTCTACTAAAAATACAAAAATTAGCTGGGCATGGTGGTGCGCACCTGTAATCCCAGCTACTGGGGAGGCTGAGGCAGGAGAATGGCTTGAACTCAGGAGACGGAGGTTGCAGTGAGCCAAGATCATGCCACTGCACCCCTGCCTGGGTGACAGAGCAAGACTCTGTCTCAAAAAATTAAAAAATAAATAAAAATAAAAACAAAAAAGACTCCTTTTGTCCTGAGTGACAAGAGAAGACAAGGAAAAGTTTTCTGAGCATAGCTTTCTACCATGTAAGTCACTGTAGTTCTTAGCTTCATGTGCCCAAACTTGGCTACTTCCCATCCTAGTGCTATTCAATTTCACAAGGCCTATTTTTAGAATACCTCGTTTTCCCAGCTCCCTTTTTACTTCCTCTTCTATTTTGGCATTTCTATGTTGACTTTCTTTTCTTTGTCTCCTATCTGCTGGTATGGTCCACTTTATACAGTCATCAATTTCCTCTTCCTTGTTATCATTTTCTGTGAGCACTCAACTGATTTTTTTTTGTATAGTCAGATATTGCTGTGGAGCCTCTAAATTACCCAGCCAGGTCCTCAGGGTGGTCACAGATTTTCAATAAATTCTGGATAAGCATTTGTTGACAAGAAAAGATACAATACAAACAGCACTATTTTAACTACTTATTATGCCTGTGCTATTCAGGCACCGTGTCCAGCACCTTCAACTTAGGAGGAAACTACATGATGATATAATGTACAACTCAGTTTTACCTTAAGAAATGAGGCTTTCCAAATTCCCGCTTACCCAAACCATCTCTTTCTTTCAAATGAGCAAAAGACATACTGAAAATGCATGCAATACAAAATATTGATACCCTTAGTCTCTTGGATTCATTGTTCCATAGATTTCCAAAACCAGAGCTGATACTGACAGGTACGTACTATGGCATCTGGTCTGACTGGTTAGGCTACTACCATTCTGAGCAGCCCATATCCCCACCCTACCAGACACTAAATATTTTGATTATCACGTCTGCCTATGATGCTGTAAATTCTTTCCACACTGGATTTTACCTAGAAATGGAAATAATGTGGAACAGTCTAAGCACATTTTCAGTGGCAGGTAGTTATGAGGCTGAAACATTCCTCCCTCTGAAAAGCTGGTACCACCTTAGTGGAAGGGAGGGTCACAGCTACTCTCTGCTTCTTGAATTTCTTTATAAGGTCATTTCTCTTGACTGGCAAAATTTGGTGCAAAAACTACAGAATCATTTCCCTGTACATCTAAGAATGCTCATGCATACATTAGATACCTTAGAATAGCCTTGCCACAATGCCACTATAACTTTCATACTAAAACAAATTGCCATGAATCTTTTTCTCAAGGATTTTCAGAACTGAATTGTATACCTTAAAATGTTTCCATTTTAGAATGCTATTTTTTAGCATGGAATTTCCATTTAAAAAGTTCTACAAGCTTTGGAAAAATAGATGTAGTATTAGATGTACCAAGAGTAGCTCAGTCCCAAAAAGTAAGTGTATAAAAGGAAAATAGTTTGCATAGCTGAGGAAGTAGATGTTACTAATGTGAATTCGGTGGTATGAAGTCAGGCTCCCTGCCTCTCTGCATGGATGTTTCCAGTATCGAGGGTCAGTGAGGTTTTCACGGAGAATCAGAACAGAGATGTGTAGAGGCCCAGAGAATAACCTAGGATGCTGGTGCAAGGTCACTTCATAGTAGGTTGCAGCAAACCTCACTTAATTCGAAACCATTGTGAATGTCTGGTATGTTCTCAATCGGTTTCCCAGAGAGAAGGCTCAAACATGGGGTCTATCTGATTCGAAGCCACAAACTTGGCAACGCTCATTGCCTGGCGAGTATTTAGGTTAAAGCTTTGGTTGTAACAGAAAAGCTGGTGAAGGGGAAAGAGGAAAAAAGCTGGGAAAAAAATAGAAGAGCGTAAAATGCAAAGAAGAAACAGAAAAAACAAAATACAAACAAACAAACAAGCTAAAAAGCAGAACAAGAGAAGGAGGACCAGAAGACTGGAGGCCTCTTATATACTCCTCTGGAGTCAGGAACTAAACCAAGGGCTGAGCCTGCATGTGAAAGTAGCTTACAGGGTGGAAAATATGGGATCCAAAATCAGAGCATATTTAGACAGTCTTCCATGGAGTATTACTTCTCCTGGAAGTTGGGTATTGATCCTCGTTGAAATGAATCCATTGGAAACTTTTTGTCACTAAGAAGAGATTTAAAAATAGTTGTCTCTGACCACGTAAGTGTAGCAGTCATTAAGAGTAAACTGCTTTATTGACTTAATTGTATATTTTAAAATTCATATTTTAAGAGATTTAGGACCAAGGCAGTAAATGTAGTATGAATATTTACAGTTGTGTGAAATTCTATGTAGAATTCACACTCCACTGGGTTCATGTCTTAAAGAAAAGTGGGTTATATTTAGAATTCAGGCTGCGATGAGACTGAAGGTACAAGCTGAAATGAGCAAGTTTTAAATCAGACCAATAGCCATATGTCAGGAAAGGCTGTGCTTGTGTAATTAGAAGTTTTAAAGGAAGCAGAAACTGATGACTATCTTCAAAGACCTTGAATTCAAATTGAACCAGAGGTTTAAGTCTCCTGAAAACCCCACATAAATGTTTACAAGTGTTTCAAATAGCAAGATAAAGAGAAACCATAGAGGATTTTTTATGACCTTTCATCTCATAAATTCTCTGAGGAATATTTCTCCTGGATAGGTCTGTCTCAGAGAGAGCTCATAAAAATGCAGAATGGTAAGAAATGTTTATTATTTCTCCAATTTTCAACATTGGTTATGGAGAGATTGGCCATTTTTTTTTGTCCATATGTAGAGGTATTTTCTGCTTCATCATACCAAATAGTTTTATCTTCTATATATTAGAGACTTGTTATTAGCTAAGGTCTTCCAGAAAGAGAGGATTGATGCTCATTGCTTTCAAGCTCATGCACTCCCACCTAAAGACAGGTGGATGTCTGGGAGAGGGATTCTGTGAATCAGAAAAGTAGAGATAGAAAGACAGGAGAAATTCCTCATCACAAGACCTTCCCCTAAAACCACCTTGCTGAAGGGCACAAGACACTTTCTCAAAGCTCTCAACTCAGATGTGTTCACCAACTACTTGAAAATCTCTCTCATGTTTCCATTTTCCATCATCCTAAAGATAGGTCTTATATCCCCAGAAGATCTTCCAGCCCCCATCCTTTTAAAAGAAACTTTTACACATAACAGAGCTCTTGGTTTAGGACACCTATTTTCCCTCCAAAAACCAGAACAATACATCCAAGAGCAAAGAATAACAATGTGCTTTTTTTTTCGTCTGAGAGAAAGGGCCCTTTTCTTTACCAATTAGACAATTGTTTCATCTCTGGGACTTCTTGGACTCATCTGTAGGATTCTAACACTCATTTCTCACCCCAAAAATATTCCCTTGGGCACACTCTGCTTCTTCGCAAATATAAGTTCTTGTTAAAGCTTAGAGAAGTCATGACTATAGGATCACTCCATATAAGAATACTCCAAATAGATTTTTGTCTGAGGATCATCGGATCATAAATCAACCAAATATTCTTTCATCAGATGAGAAGAATACAAAGTTGTATCCATATAAAATATATATCCTTAAGCTAGATTTAACTATCCACTTCAGCCATTGATCTGTTGTAATCTGTTGCCTTGATGGAAGCATATGAAGAAAATCTGTCCACACATAGATACCCAGTTGGCAATGGAAGAAGTATTTCTGTAGCCTTTTCAGATGGTGAATCTTATGTCAGTGAAGTTTTACCTCTGCTACATTAAATTCCATTGGTCTATTTTATACTTTGAATGAATCACTTGGCTGTGTATAATTTTGTAACAACCTGTATTGGTCATCTAGAAAATATTGATTTAATGAATTACACAGATATTCTAAATAGGAACATATGATCATGTATTATAAAAACTTAATTTGTTAAAATCACCAGTGATATTATTTTAAAGGTCTTGAAAAGTTGTCAGGTTCAGGATGGTGGATACAAGTTTTCTAAAATTCTAATTTTTGTTTGAAAGCCTGAATTTTACATTTGGCAAAAATATACTGCCAGTTGTTTTCCTTGAATTGACAGATTCCTTTTCTTCAGGAGGAAGAAAAACTGCTTCATATCTAAGTGTGAATAACCATAGTTTTTTTAGTTTTGTAAGACCCATCTGAGCACATCTAGACTCCTGACCCAATGAAATGGTGAGGTAATAAACGTATGTTGTTTCAAATCACTTAAGTGTGGGGCAATTCGTTTCTCAGCAACAGATAACTGATACATAGATGTTACCTAATTTTTCTCCTTAGTGGTTCTACTGATTTATACTTCCAAAAGCAGTAAATTAGAGTTGATATTTTCAGACCTTTTAGATTTTGCCAATGTAATGGCTGTAAAATGGCATTATACTGTGCTTCTAATTTGCATTTTTCAGATTACTAATGTATTTGACCATCTTTTTGTGTCTTTACCGTTTTAGTTTCCACTTCTGTGAATTATTTGCTTATATCCTTTGTCCAATTTTTATTGATCTTTGGGGGCTTTTTATTCTTCTATTTTGTCAGATATATGCATACGTGTGTGTTGAAAATACTTTCTGTGGTGTGTGGCTTGTATAATCACATTTAAACATATTGATACATTTTATTTTTTAGAGCAGTTTTAGGTTTGCAGAAAATTGAGCAGAAAGTACAAAGAGTTCCCACATATCCCCTTTCACTCTTCATCTCCCTTAAAGTTCCCCCATTATTAATATATTGCATTACTGTAGTACATGTTACAATTAATGAACCAATATTGATACATCAGTATTATCTAAAGTCTATAGTTTACATCAGGATTCACTCTTTGCGTTGTGCATTGCTGTGGGTTCTGACAAATGTGTAATGTTAATATTCGCCATTATAGTATCATAAAAAGTAGTTTCACTGCCCTAAAAATCCCCTGTGGTTCATCTATTCATCCCTCTCTTCTTCACCCTGAGCCCCTGGCAACCACTGATTTTTTTACTGTCTTTACAGTTTTACCTGTTCCAGAATGTCATATGCTTGAATCATACAGAATGTAGCCTTTTCAGACTAGCTTCTTTCACTTAGCAATATGCATGTAATGTTTCTCATGTCTTTTCATGGCTTGGTGACTCATTTCTTTTTACTGCTGAGTAATATTCTGTTGCTCTGCTGTGCCACACTTTGTTCATTCATTCACCTACTGAAGGACATCTTGATTGCTTCTAAGTTTTGGCAATTATGAATAAAGCTTCTATAAACATCCATATGCAGGTTTTTGTGTAGATATAAGTTCCCATTTATTTGGGTAAATACCTAGGGGTGTGACTGCTGGATCCTATGGTAAGACTACATTTAGCTTTGCAAGAAACTGCCAGTCTCCCAAAGTGGCTGCACCATTTTGCA
Source organism: Homo sapiens (assembly GCF_000001405.40). Taxonomy (NCBI): domain Eukaryota; kingdom Metazoa; phylum Chordata; class Mammalia; order Primates; family Hominidae; genus Homo; species Homo sapiens. The sequence continues at coordinate 26,357,059 of NC_000010.11, read as the reverse complement.
ATCCCACCAACAATGAGAGTAATATAGCTTTTCATATCCTTTTTGGTCAGTGTGTAATCAGTCTTGAAATCCAAACCAAATTTTGAGGGGGAGTCCATAGTACGTATTTACATATAATTAATCCTTGGGAACTATTATACCAGAAGACATAATGGAATAGTCACATGCTTGTACTTAGATATAGAATCGCCATCAATGGCAGCTATAGACTGATGGAGATAGACTACATATGAGCAAAGTTGCCATTGGTTATGTAGTTTCCTGAAATAGTGAACATTTTGGATAAATTTTCAAACACAAGAGCATAATTTATACTGTTCCAAGTATTCCTGGAAAGTTCAATGCATATTAAAAGCCTGCAAAAATTACTTATGTCTCTATGTATAATAGAGTTAGCCTTTAATTTCAGGTAATTATATCCAGGTATTTTGCCTACATAAATGCCTAGAAGAACATTTAAAAATTGTGCTGTATTCTGTCATGCAGGAGGGTGCCATGCATTCTGGAATGTCTAGAATGTGACTGCTCCCTTTCAAAACCATGGCTAAACCTTAACTTGATGTAGTATGAGACTAGGGAATCCACCTTTCCCTGTAAAACTGCTAAGGAGGGCTTCTCTCTAGCACCAGGGCGAGGGCTGCAGAAGTTGGCCATTTGCCACCACTATCTTCTGGACTGTCCACAGGACAGCTGGGATGCACAAAGCACCTCTCCTTGAAGTTTATGTTGGCTTCCTTGAGACCCCACCACAGCCACCATTCCCAGTGCGCACTGTGATATGTGAGTGGTGCCATGTGCCCAGGAGCTGAAAACTCTGCACTCAGGACAATCTGGCATTTGCTTTTCTTTTTTTCCTTTTTTCACTATGTACTAGACTTGTAATAACGTTGCATTTTCTATCACACTATCTCCAAATTCTCCCAGCCTCTGCCCATTGCCAAATTTCAAAGCCACTTCTACATTTTTAGGCATTTGTTATATCAGTCTTGGTACCAAAATATTAGTTTTTGCTATGGTTTGAAAGTCCCTTCCAAAATTCAGGTGTTGCCAATGTAATAGTATTAAGACACGGGACCTTTAAGAGGTGATTAGGTCATGAGGACTCCTTTCGGATGAAGGGAATTAGGTGCCCTAATAAAAGGGTTTGATGGATGGAGTTGATGCTTTTTGTCCCTCTAACTTCTGCCATGCCAAGACATAAGTTCCTCCCCTCCACAGAATGCAGCATTCAGGGCACCATCCTGGAAGCTGAGACCACACTGTCCCCAGACAATAAACCTGCTGGTGCTATGATCTTGGCCTCCCCAGCCTCCAACACTGTAAGGAATAAATTTCTCTCTTCATGAACTACCCAGGCTCCAGTATTCTATTATCACAGCACAAACTGCTGTACAAATTGCTGTTGTAACAAGTTACCACAAACTTAGTGGCTTAAAACAACACAAATTAGTTCTGGAGATCAGAAGTTCAAAATTGGTCCCACTGAGCTAGAGTCAAGGTGTGGGAAGAGCTGGCTCCTTCTGGAGGTTCTACGGGAGAATGTTTCCTTGCTTTTTCCAGCTCCTAGTGGCTGTTGCGTTCCTTGACTCATGACTCCTTCTTTTATCTTCAAATCTCCGTCTGATTCTGATCTTTCTTCTGCCTTATTTAAGAACCCTCGTGACGACATTGGGCTCATTCAGATAATCCAGGATAATCTCCCGAATTTACAGTCAGCTGATTAGCAACCTTAATTCTTCTTTGCCATGAAACCTAACATATTCACAGGTCCCCAGTAGCAGGATGTAGTCATCCTTGGGGACCATTATTCTGCTTGCCACATTCTACCTCTTCATATTTATGAGATGACAGGAAATGTATAAGTTTTAACCCTAAATTTTCATGACCATTTTCATGGAGTGACTTCCCTGGGCACATCCTCAAGAGAGGTGTGGGGAGAAGGGAAGCTCAAAGATAAGCTGTCGTCAAGGAGACTACTGCCCCAGCACTGCCATCATCATGAAGGCTTGGGGCCAACCAGATTCTCCAGTTCACATATGACTCCTGCAGACCAGCCTCGTATACACTGCCAAGGCATCTCTGCTGCTGTTGATCCACTGAGTTAAGACTGAGTCTGAGTCAGCCTCAGCTCCCTGAGCTCCTTCCCTAAGATTCTTACGAATCAAAAGGGGACTCTTGGTCCTTTAATGAGGAGGGGTCAGCATCCCTGGAGGAAAACCAGAATGGATTTCTAGATCTCTGTCACTAATGGAAGTTGGGGGTGATGGTGGTATAATTTACATTTTTCTAAATTCCCAGGGCCAAGCAGTTCCCAAATCTGATGGACACAGTTTCTCTCCAGATGTTATTGCATTCAATACATTCAGTCATGTTATAATCAAATTGTTGGCATACGAACCAGGCCAATTTTTTATAAATGATGCTTTGGTGTGTATTTATTCTGATCCACTGTGTACTGATTTTATGTTTTATGTCTTCAGAGGACAATCCCATTTGACTGCTTCTTATGCTGTTGATATACTGATGATAGGAGTGGCTAACTTCTTGATCTTCTCAGTGGTATGCAGGGCATTCTTCTGAAATGCATCTTGACCTTTAATTAAAACAAGGTAGCCTCTGTTGGAAGCCTTCTTGGAAATCCTCCCTGACATGGTACAGTTACAGATTAGGGTGTGTCTGCAGAACCATCCCAAGAACCATATTAATTGCAACTCTGTCGAGCAACAGAATTCCATTTAGGTTGACTGAAAGCAAAAGTAAACAGGTAGCAGAAGGGAATTTACTATGTGGACACAAGGGGTCTCCTATACCCCAGGATTAGAAGTGAAGTCAGACTTAGTAAGGAACTGGAGCTAGGAACTGTCAAGCTGTCTAGACTCTCTCTGTATAACCACTGCGTCCTCCTTTCTCTCTCAGTAGTCTGACTTTTTCTCTTGCTTCTTGAGTTCAAAAGGCAGAACAGGCCACCCTACCTTCTCCAATTACATCTCCCAATCCCAGCCTTGTGGGATCCCTATCCTTCTCTTTCTGGCTCTCTAATCACAAATTCTGGGGAGAAAAAAGAATTGATAAAGCCAGTTTCATTCTGATGCCAAGTGCTTATTCAAATAGCACTGCCAGGTACTGCGCTAAGTGTCTATACATTTTACAAATTGGCTCTGTGTCAGTTTGGAAAATGAGAACGGGATTGTGATTGAGTTGCAAATTACAGGCTATTTGTGTTCTTCATGTAGTTGTGTAGTGAAGGTCATGGAAATGACTTCATTTAATGTGGCTTCATTTAATGTAGCCTTTGGATACAACATAATTCAAATCAAAGAGGCTATCTGATTGGGGTAGTTTTGTGATTTAAATAAGTCTAACAAAGCAGGAGCCAAGCTTGCAACAGTTTTGTTAGTTGTTAGAGGTATTTCACTGAGGGAAACATCAGCATAATCACTGAATTCATGCTGGGCTGACGAACAGCATCTCTCTCTCTCTCTCTCTCTCTCTCTCTCTCTCTCTCTCTCTCTTTCATTTTCGGCCTCTTCTTCTCCCTCTTGTTACTCCACACTCTACACAGCTATTTGATAAATCCTTACAGGTGCAGATGCCAGTGATGTTCTATATGACCTCTCTCAGAAAAAATGACACTTTCAAAGAGGTCCCCTGCGAAGCACAATGCTTAATCCGAAAGAGTAGCCCTCTAATGGTAAATTTACCTGCACCTTGGAAGGACACAGCAGAGGATGAAATATTTTGGAGTGTGATGGGCAGAAAATTCCATCCTAAAGCAGACTATGTAGGTGGGTGTCCAATGGACAAGACGGAAGAGAATTTGAATATGTAACTGGAGATTTCAAAGCTGTTCTTTCAAAGATTATGCTTAAGTTTGGCAAGCATCGAGTTCAAAACTCTGGAGTTCCTCCTTGTAAAACATACAGCTATATACTGTTAGCATTCAGTCTGATGAACCATTAAATGTCCATGCACACCTCCATCTTACTCTCCTTTATTTATTTAAATTTCTAGCTCTGTGTAGTGAGAATGATCCAGCTGCCACAGGTAGAAGGAGATGCTTTATCTTTCCAACAATTAATAAAATCCCTATCTGCACTAAAGGAACCCCTGAACAAGGGATCTGTTCTGAATCTTCTGGAATGGTGAGTGCAGAACTTCTTCATCACCATGACTTGCAATGAAAGTTTGATAGTCAAATTGTCATGTGCGTCCATGTGAAGAGACCACCAAACAGGCTTTGTATAAGCAATAAAGCTTTTTAATCACCTGGGTGCAGGCAGGCTGAGTCCAAAAAGAGAGTCAGCAAGGAAGATAGGGGTGGGGCAATTTTATAGGATTTGGGTGGGTAGTGGAAAATTACAGTCAAAGGGGGTTTTTCTCTTGTGGGCAGGGGCGGGGGTCACCAGGTGCTCAGTTGGGGAGCTTCTGAGCCAGAAGAAGGAATTTCACAAGGTTAATCAATCAGTTAAGGTGGCGCAGGAACAAATCACAATGGTGGAATGTCATCAGTTAAGGCAGGAATCAGCCATTTTCACTTCTTTTGTGAGTCTTCAGTTGCTTCAGGCCATCTGGATGTATACGTGCAGGTCACAGGGAATATGATGGCTTAGCTTGGGCTCAGAGGCCTGACACAAATCTCTGAATATTACTGGAAGCAGAATGCTGATTTTATCAAAATGAACAGAAATAGCACCTCATTCAAATGCAAATATACAACTTAATTTCAAATGAGTTTTTCTAAGTTGGGATATTTTCTGATCCTTTCTAAAAATGCTTCTCCTTAAAAAAGGCCACATCATTTCCCCCCAAAAAAGACAACACATTTTATTTCTTATTTCTGAATTGTTTTAAGGGAGTCATAAAATTTTCAAAGCTAAAAATCTATGCACATTTACTTTCATATTTTACCCCTGAGAAATTAAAACAATATGTCACTCCTGAATAACAATTAGTACTACCATCTGTTACTAAAGACAGATGTAGTCAATAACCTTGTGCTTTTTGGCTTCCTGATTTATAAAAATGTTTTTATTCTAAACCTAATTTTTTTTTTTGGAAGAGCGCTGAGCCTTCTGTGACTACTGTAGAAAGCCACATTTCTGTTTAAATTATAGTATTTCTACAAGTAATCTGATAAAAGAAAAGAACATGCCTATCAGATGATACTGAATTAGCTGAAATTTTAAAACTACCTTAGTTATAACAGTCAGCCCTCCAAATCCACAGATTTCATGAAATACACATAGAAAATATTTAGGAAAGAAACCTAATAAGAATAACAATCAATACAATAATTAAAAAAATAAAACAATACAATATAACAACTATTTATGCATCATTTACATTGTATTAAGTATTCTAAAGAATCTAGAGATTATTTAAAATATAAGAGAGGACCAGGCTTTGGTGGCTCATGCCTGTAATCACAGTGCTTTGGGAGGCCAAGGTGGGAGGATTGCCGGGAGTTTGAGACCAACCTGACACACATAGCAAGAACCCTGTCCCTACAAAAAAAAAAAATATATATATATATATATATAGACGTGAGTAGGGGTTATATGCAAATACTATGCCATTTTACATAAGGGACTTCAACATCTTCGGATTTTGGTATCTGAGAGGTCCTGGAACCAATTCCCTGCAGATATAGAGGGTGGACTGCACTGATTCTTTGTGATATTAGAACAAAATTTAAATACGAATTGAAAAATTAGAAATATGGTCACATAACAAAAAGGAGAGAATTTGGGATAGAAGAGCTAATCACTGATTTGATGTCTACACCTGCATCTCTGAGAGCCTGCTTGTCCCCCTCCCCCTGAGGAGGCTCTCCTCCTTTCTATGTGACATTGACCCTTGTCCAAGCTGATTGGAATGAAGGTGGTCACCTGACCCTCAAAATGAGTCAACCAGAGTCTCTCTGATGGGAATCTGGAACTGCAGCATAAAGACTAAGGGAGGTTTACTTTATGCTGTTAAAAAGTATCACTGAGGCTGGGCGCAGTGGCTCATCCCTGTAATCCCAGCACTTTGGGAGGCAAAGGCAGGTGGATCACGAGGTCAGGAGTTCAAGACCAGCATGGCCAACATGGTGAAACCTCATCTCTACTAAAAATACAAAAATTAGCCAAGTGTGGTGGCACACACCTATAATCCCAGCTACTTGGGAGGCTGAGGCAGGAGAATCACTTGAACCCAGGAGGTGGAGATTGCAGTGAGCCAAGTTCGCACCACTGCACTCCAGCCTGGGTGACACAGCAAGACTCCCTCTCAAAAAATAAACAAACTGGCCGGGTGCAGTGGCTCATGCCTGTAATCTCAGCACTTTGGGAGGCCAAGGTGGGTGGATCACAAGGTAAGGAGATCAAGACCATCTGGCTAACATGGTGAAACCCCATCTCTACTAAAAATACAAAAAATTATCCAGGCGTGGTGGCAGGTGCCCATAGTCCCAGCTACTCGGGAGGCTGAGGCGGGAGAATGGCATGAACCCGGGAGGTGGAGCTTGCAATGAGTCAAGATCGGGCCACTGCACTCCAGCCTGGGTAACAGAGCAAGACTCCATCTCAAAAACAAAACAAAACAAAACAAAACAAAAATACTATATATGTATGTGTATGTGTGCGTATATACTACTGAGACATGATGTCAGGAATAAAGGTGAGTTCCATGATAAGACAGAGCCATACGCAAGAAAGTTAAAGAAGAGCAGGAACTCAGAGGCTCACGGAAGTGAGTCTGATACACAGAAAGAAAAAGATGAGAGATCATCTCTCGAGCCATTTCATTCCTTCACTCTGCCTTCAATCTTCCACCATTCATCAGTTGCAAGGGACAGGGTTATGAGAGATGAGGCAGAGAGATACACTAGACTTGACTATAAAAGTGGACAAAAGCTAAATTTAGGATTTTGAATTTTATCCTCAGCGTCCTGGAAGATATGAATCTGAAGTGGCCTGAATAGATTTGTTCTTGAAAGTTCTCTCTGGGTGCAGAGTGGCAAATCTGTTGCAGTGAATAGAGAGTGGATGCCTGTGGCTCTCAAAGCCCATGAGGGTTGAGAGGTGGGTAAAAGAGAGAGTAAATTCCCGCTAGCTTTTACTTCTGGTGTGCCTCAGCTTCCAATGTCCTTCAAAAGAACCTCCCCTTTCCTTGAGATTTTTCTGTTCCTTTTTGTTCAGCAACGAAATAATCCAAATTTCTAAGCAGAACTCCTAGGTAAACATTTCCACATGGTGTCCACAGTCACCTTAAAGTCACCACAATGGAACCCCAAGCCGCCTAGTTCCTCATCCTGTTCTTACTTCAATGAGTCTCATAAAACTGGGATGTACCCTTGGCTCCCGTGTCTCTTCAGCCCCCTACATCTAACTGGTCTCTAGGTTCTATTGATTTTTCCTCCTAGTACATTTTAAGTCCGGGCTTCCTCTCCTTCCTCTATCCCTCCTGCCCGCTGTTCTCACCGCAGCCTTTTCCATCCCTCTCCTGAACTGTTTGTTATTTCTGGTCTCCCCACCTCTCGTCTCTTCCATCCCTCATATACATTTCCTATAGATGCCAGTATTGGGGGAACCTGCCCCCAATATTTCGACGTAGGTTCTTTGTATTTTCCATAAGTGTCAGCCAGCTGAGAAATAAAGAGAAAGAGTACAAACAGAGGAATTTTACAGCTGGGCCGCCAGGGGTGACATCACATATCGGTAGGACCATGATGCCCACCTGAGCCTCAAACCAGCAAGTTTTTTATTAAGAGTTTCAAAAGGGGAAGGGGTGTAAGAAGAGAGAGTAGGTACAAAGATCACTTGCTTCAAAGGGCGAAAAACAGAACAAAGATCACATGCTTCTGAGGGAACAGGACAAAGGGCAAAAGCAGAGCTACTGATAACGGTACAACAAAGATCACAAGGCAAAGGGCAAAAGCAGAACTGATAAGGGTCTATGTTCAGCGGTGTACATATTGTCTTGACAAACATCTTAAACAACAGAAAACAGAGTTCAAGAGCAGAGAACCGGTCTGACCACAAATTTTCCAGGGCAGAGTTTTCCCCACCCTAGTAAGCCTGAGGGTACTGCAGGAGACCAGGGCGTATCTCAGTCCTTATCTCAACCGCATAAGACAGACATTCCCAGAGCGGCCATTTATAGACCTCCTGCCAAGAATGCATTCCTTTCCCAGGGTATTAATATTCCTTGCTAGGAAAAGAATTTAGTGATATCTCTCCTACTTGCATGTCCATTTATAGGCTCTCTTCAAGAATAAAAATATGGCTCTTTTTGCCCGACCCTGCAGGCAGTCAGACCTTATGGTTGTCTTCCCTTGTTTCCTAAAAATCGCTATTATTCTGTTCTTTTTCAAGGTGCACTGATTTCATAGTGTTCAAACACACATGTTTTACAATCAATTTGTACAGTTAACACAATTATCGCAGTGGTCCTGAGGTGACGTACATCCTCAGCTTACGAAGATAACAAGATTAAGAAATTAAAGTAAAGACAGGCTTAAGAAATTATAAAAGTATTATTTGGGAACTGATAAATGTCCATATTAAAATGCAATCTTCACAATTTATGTTCCTCTGCCGCAGCTCCAGCCGGTCCCTCCATTCAGGGTCCCTGACTTCCCACAACATGCCAGAAGAGGCTTTTCAAAATGTAAATCCATTCATGTCACTCCCTGATGAAAAGAAAGCATGAAATAAAGCAAGCCTGGTTTCAAAGCTCTGCACCTTCTGGCCCTAATTTATTACTCAGACTTACATCCTGTCATTCTCCAAACCAAACCTTGCAAATCCATTAACTTTTCATTAGACTTGCTTTCTGTTTTCTTGTCTCCCTTCCTTAATTCATCCTATATCCTTTACCATGAAGTATATTTCCTACCACACATCAACTTCTAGTCTCCTTCAAGTTCAGGAAGAAGAAAACTTTATTAGATCGTAGAGCACAGGGCAAGTGTGGGTATAGATGTCATCTGAGAATGTTGTTATTACTGCTAAAGTGCATCATTGTTGAGGATTTTATGTGAGATTTGGAAAAGTGGACAAAAGTCTAAAGGATATTAGACAATTATTTTTAGGTTATCAGGTCCGCTATGGAGCTTTTGCAATTATATGAGACCTGGAACCAGCTTCAAGAAGATCATGATCTGGCAAGTATGCAATGATTACTTTGTTCATATAGTGTATTTTCCAATATAGTGTATTTTCTTGGAAACGACTCTCTTTATCTTTGACAGGTAGATGTACACACACCCCAGACTGTTCTACAGGTTGCTGGCTTGAGACCCAGAGGCTTCTAGAAAACTAATCTTTATTCTGGTTCTCAGCACAGAGTGAGAAGTGAACTTGAAGCACGCTGGGAGAGCCTGGGGAGGAGGAAGATAGTGCGTTGGTCCTTGAGGTTGTATTGTTGCCTGTATAACTATGATGAATGAGGTGCCCCAGCACAGGTGAGGTGATCTCTAACACACTCCACATGAGGACTGCCTGGGAGGAGGGAGTTAGGCTTCTAGGGCCATCTGCAGTTGTACATCCGCTGGTCAGGATTTTTGGAGTCCAGAAGAGAAGCTTGCACCTCCAGCTGTCCTGGATGATATTGCCGATCTCTGCCATATGTCATGACTTTACTCTGTGTCCTTTCTATGAATAACCTTTTTCACTTACCTAGGTCAATCTCTTCCCAAACTGTGGAGATCTGAGCCAACACAGATATGTGTCAACATGGTATCAGCTTTCTTTATTTATGTATTTGATCCCTTCAGGTTTTCTGAAAGCTATGCCTTTAAGAAGTGCTGAGCTCTGATGTTTTCCTGAGTGAATTCTTTCAAATGTTCAAGAAATTAAGATAATTATGATGCTTTTATAACTGCACCAGAGCACAGAGCATGAAAAGACTTTTATAAAACCAGCATATACATTTTGATAAAAATAGCACGAAAAGAAAATTATAGACTTCTCTCACATGTGAATATCTATGCAAAAATCCTAAATGACAAGGCAAATAGAATCCAACAATAAACTAAAAGAGTACACAAAGCCAAAAGGGTTTATTCTGAGACTTTAAGAAAGGTTTAATATTAGGATATTTATTAATGTAACTCACCGTATATATAGGTCAAAAGATAAAAATATATAATCACATTGACAGGTATAGAAGAGGCATTTGATAAAAGTCAATGTTTATTCCTGACTTTAAAGAAATCATAGTAAAATACGAATAGGTGAATACTCCTTTAACATGATAAAAGTACATCTTTCCAACCGAAGTGTAGGATTATACTTATGGCAAAATACTGGAAGCAGTCATATTAAAGTCACAAATAAGGCTAAGATACCACTATTACTACTACTATTTGACATTAATTTACAAAAGTTAATCTTTTCTTATATCAGCAGTAATTAGTGAGGAAATAAAATGAACAGATCAAGTCTTCTCACCACAAAGATGTTTGCAAATATCCCTACAGAGGGATTTAAAAGAAGACAAATAGTGAGGTATTCTCTACTCAGGGATAGGAAGACTTATTGGACATACCAATTCTTCCTGAATCAATATGTGCATTCATTCTTCTTCTTCTTCTTTTTTTGGATGGAGTCTCATTCTGTCCCTCAGATTGCAGTGGCACAATCTCGGCTCACTGCAACCTCTGCTTCCTGGGTTCAAGCAATTCTCCTGCCTCAGCCTCCTGAGTAGCTGGGATTACGGGTGCCCACCATTACTCTCGGCTAATTTTTGTATTTTTAGTAGAGACGAGGTTTCACAATGTTGGCCAGGCTGGTCTCAAACTCCTGACGCCAAGTCATCCACCCGCCTCAGCCTCCCAAAGTACTGGGTTATAGCCACCACATCCAGCCCAATGTGTACATTCTTTAGGATCCCCATGTAAAATTAGATTTGGGGTGGAATTTATCAAAAATAATTCCAAAGTTCATCTATAAAAATAAGTATAAAATAATATTAAGGAAAATTCAGAAAGAGAAGAGTCACGAGAGTAGAACAGTCTTATAATATTAGGCTGTGTTATGAGGCAGTTTTTTTTTTGTTGTTGTTTGTTTGTTTGTTTTTTGAGATGGAGTCTTTCTCTGTCGCCCAGGCTGGAGTACAGTGGCGCGATCTTGGCTCACTGCAAGCTCCGCCTCCCGGGTTCACGCCATTCTCCTGATGAGGCAGTTTAATGTAATGGCTAAGGGATAGTCACGAGGGCCAGACAATCTAGGTTCAGATCTTTACTATTCCACTTAATATGTGTGTGCACTTAGGTAAATTACTGAAATTCTCCATGCCTATGTTCTACTTGTAAAACATGTAAAATAGTGCCTGTATATAATAAGCATTCAACAAAACTTAACCATTGCCATTATGGAGTGACCTTAATTAATAACATAGGATATTTGCATTGTAATAGATGGTGTAATCAATGGAAAGGAATAGAGAATTCAGAAAAAAATGCAAGAACTAATAGGATTACAGTATATAAATAAAAGTAGCATTTCAAATCAGTAGGAAAGGTGAATTACTAATAATGTGGGACCAAGTGGTTAGCCATTAAACATGGATTCTTATATTACTTACATTGCACTTTATTAACACACTTACATTATATTATAGCTCAGAACAATTTTTGGTTACAGTGAAGACTTAAATGTAAGAAATACAATCACAGAAGTACTAATAGAAAACATGAGTAAAAATCATTTTTATAATCTTGGGATATGGAAGGTCTTTACAAGTAGTCATAAAACCAGAATCCATAAAGAAAATGCTAATAAATATGCTTGTGTGAAAATTTAAGCTTTTTTGTGGTGAAAAGAAAACCAACAATCAAAATAAAAATAAAAGCAGCCGGATGCAGTGGCTCATGCCTGTAATCCTAGCACTTTGGGAGACCAAGGCGGGCAGATCACGAGGTCGAGAGATTGAGACCATCCTGGCCAACATGGTGAAACCCCATCTCTACTAAAATACAAAAATTAGCTGGGTGTGGTGCACCTGCAGTCCCAGCTGCTCGGGAGGCTGAAGCAGGAGAATCGCTTGAACCCGGGAGGCGGAGGTTGCAGTGAGCCGAGATTGCGCCACTGCACTCCAGCCTGGGCAACAGAGCGAGACTCCGTCTCAAAATACATACATACATACATACATACATACATACATACATACATACATACATACATACATAAGTAATAAAAGCAAAAACAAAAAGTCCTCTGTAGCTATAAAAAAAGAGGACATTGACAAAACTTAAGATTGACCAAGTTTCTGGGCCTGAAAAAAGAAAAAAATAATTGTTTTTGTGCTAGGGAGGAAGATGAAGAAAAGACAAATGTGGACAAAGAGGGAGGACAGGGCTGACCCTGGGCCATGTCACTGTCTCTACTCCTCACGTAGCCCTAGCCAGGAGGCCTCCCTTTCCCCCAACCCTTTTCTGTTTTCCTGTCTCTTCTCTTCCCATCCTCCTTGTGGCAGAAGCAAGTTTTCCTCTTTTACTCCTGGGCATCAGTTTGGTCATTTTAGAATAGGACCTGACCTATAGTAGGTACTCAATAAACATTAGCCATAACAGCAATAATAATAATTTAAAAATTATCTGGTGTGTTACTTCATCTCCTGCAAATACCCATGTCCTCAGTGTCTCATCTCCCATTCCAAAAGGCCCTGCAAAAGGATTTTCTTTTTTAGTGTTCATTTTTTATCGATGTATCATAGTTGTACATATTTTTGGGGTACATGTGATATTTTGGTACATGTATACAATGTGTAATGATAAAATCAGGGAAACTGAGATACTCATCGTCTCAATCTTTTTTCTTTATATTGAGAACATTACAATTCTCTTCTAGCTAGTTTGAAATATACAAAAAGAGTTTTCTTAAACAAATGCAATTACCATCCTGAGAGGAATTATGGTGCCAGAGTTAACAGACAAATGCGTGTATGTCTATGTGACTCTCACATTCACACAAACACAATACTTAGAAATATAGCCTCACGCATTTGTATATTTCTCAGATTTTGCCCTGTGTTTGCCTCCATGTTCAATCACATATGTAAATACAGAAACATACACATATACCTCAAATATGTTTATATAAGTCAAATTTTTCGATGCCTCTATAAACCTGTATCTTTCTACATCTATATGTTTGTGAATGTATAGAAAGACTCCAGTGTGATGGAACCAAACCTCTTCATGGAGATTATCTCTATGGAATGGGGTTGTAAAAGGGCTTCCAGCTTGATTTTCATCTTTCTGCATTGGCTGGATTCTCCACGTTTTATTATTTTGGCAAAAAAAAAAATAGACTTAAAAATAAAACAGAGTGTTGAAAGAAAGGAGTATAAATGGTAAAATGAGGACTGAACATATTCCCAGGTTTTAAATTTTCAGCAAAATACATGAAATGATTTTATCGCTATCGTATGAATGCAGGATGGTTTCTGGAATCTTGGACTCTTTACTTAAAAACAAACCAACAAATAAAAGTTGCTGGTGACCCTCCCTCCTTAGCACAAGGGCACGGAATGAGTGGGCATCACGTGGAGAAACACGCAGCCAGTGCCTCCATCTCTCAGGAGCCCATGATGCAATTGTGGATTATCCAGTCTCCTGACTTTCTTCTCCTTGCTCTTTTTTAACATGTTTACTGTTTCTTCTTATTTTTAGGGGAAGGGGAATGAAAAGAGAATAAATGTAGAACTTAAAATTCTAAATGTCTCTCTCCCTCGTCCCTCCCTCCATCCTCCCTGTGTGTGTGTGTGTGTGTGTGTGCGCCAGCGTGCACGCGCGTGTGTGTGTGTGTGTGTGTATTTTTCCTAATTTATATTGTTAGGTGTTTTTAGTGGAATCTCACAGAACCTGTGAATACTGGCAAGTAATATAACACCCTGCTTGTAGCATGTAGAGACAGACTGTAGAGCATTTTATGTTTTGAAAGTTCTGTTAATTACGCCTTGCCCATCTCGGTGATAGCATTCATCAGCATGCTGGCAGTGTGGCTCAGAATCTCCTGTCTCTTGATTTAAACATGCTCAGGTCCAAGCTCTGCTTGTGAAAGGAAGTTGAGGGGTCTAATTATACATGAAGAATCGATAAATTGCAAAAGAAAAGATTTGCCCCCCAAGAGCCACAATAGATAATTAGAAATGGAAGATGAGAAAATGGCAAGAATACCAAATAATAATTTTTAGCATGTCCTGAGAAATTGAGGTGAAAGTCTTTATGAGCCAGAAATTTACCAATGATGAGAGCACTCACAGAAGCCACTTGTTACTGAGGGAAGATGACCAGCTCTTCAAATAAAAATGTCATTGTGCTCCATGTTTCTGGTGGTGTAAAAGGAGCAGAAGAAAATAAAAATGAAAACTCAGAAAACATAGTTTTCCTTAGACCAGATGATTCCTAAAACAGCTAAGAGAATCCATTCTTTTTAAGTGAACATTGGAGGGAAAGAAGAAAAATGTAAATGCTGTCCGAATTAAAAGACACATGCAAAATTGGGGGAAAATCATGACTTCCTTGAAGAAAATACTGCTACTGCCTAGCACTGCCATGTTGACAGGTTGAAACTATACTGATGACAGTAGGCGTCTAGATGCCAGAACAGGTTCCCTGAGATAATAGTATTGGTGCTGGCTTTCAGGCATTAACTAGGTGCCAGATGTGAGCCCTAAAGATGATGATGAAAAGGACAACTTCAGGTGGCTTCATCTTTCATTGAACGGTGAATCTGTACGGCACTACTGGGACTATTGCATGTGGATGTTGAAGTTTTAGAAACTGATTATGGGGTGAAAGAATTGGGAAAGAAACCCAAATATTCAGGTGTCCAGTTCAATGTTGAGTTCATATGTCTCCCTCAAATTCCTTTCTTCCTTCCTTCTTTCCTTCCTTCCTTCACTCCTTCCTTCCTTCCTCCCTCTCTCCCTCGCTTCCTCCTTTCCCTCATCCCTTCCCTCCTTCCTTCCTTTCTCTCTTCCTTCCTCCCTCCCTCTACTCCTTCCCTTCTTCCTTTCCTTTCCTTTCCTTTCTTCCTTCCTTCCTCTCTCTCTTTCTCTCTTCCTTCTTCCCTCCACTCCTCCCCTTCCTTCCTTCCCCCCTTCCTTCCTTCCATTCTCCTGTCCTCTCTACTTTCCCCTTTCCTTCCTTTCCTTTCTTTTCCTTTCTTCCTTCCTTCCTCTCTCTCTTTCTCTCTTCCTTCCTCCCTCCACTCCTCCCCTCCCTTCCTTCCCTTCCTTCCCTGTCTTCCTTCCTTCCCTCCTTCCTTCCTTCCATTCTCCTGTCCTCTCTACTTTCCCCTTTTCTTTCCTTTTCTTTTCCTTTCCTGTCCTTTCCTCTCTTTCTCTTTCTCTTTTTCTTTCTCTTTCTCTCTTTCTCTTTTTCTTTCTCTTTCTCTCTTTCTGTTTTTCTTTCTCTTTCTCTCTTTCTCTTTCTTTCTCAGTCTTGCTCTGTCACCCAGGCTGGAGTGCAGTAGCGCATTCATAGTTAACTGTAGCCTTGAACTCCTGTAATCAAGAGATCCTCCCACCTCAGCTTCCTAAAGTGAATGAATTATAAGTATGAGCCATTGTACCAGACCTCTCCCTCAAATTTCTGTTTGCTTTATGTGCCATCAGGTATTTGATGTTTCCCACTTTTTGTTATACTATTTACTAAGGTAAAGTAGTTCACAGCACTAATATATGAAGTATTGGTAGCCATGTTGGAAGACTCGAGGGAATAAATTGTAGTTGAAATTTTAAAAGCTCTGGTGAGAAGCTTTCTATGAGAAAAAAGATGGTGTTTTTCTCAAGTACCATGGCAAAAAGCTAATGAGGCTGTCTGAAATTTTCTTGTAGGAATTTTAAAACATGTCATGGAATATTCTGCATGGGAAGAAAGACGGAAATACAATTTTAGATGATGCAAGTCTCAAGTTACTTATGACAATTCTTAGAATGTTTTGGGAACGTCTGGAATAGTTGACAGTTGAGTTTTGCTTCACATGGAGTCATCCTGTCTTCCCAATGTGAGTCTCTCCGTGTCACTATTGGATACACAATCTTGGGCAAGGTCAGGAGGCAGTTCTTGTTTCAGTCAATATGTGCCATAGTTTCTCCATGGTTCTGAATCCAGCTAGTGTCTAACAGGCCAGATTTGTCAAAAATGGGAGTCACAACAGGGTGGAGGTGGGGAGGGATGAAAGAGGTGACAGAAGAGAGTTGGAAGAGACATGTGTCGCCATTACTGACTGTGAGTTGCCTTGCACATTGGTGGAGGTATGAGGCCTGTTCATTGCTGTAAACTGAGAGACATTTGTGGGGATGTAGATTGCTGACTGAGATTTCCCTTGAAATCCCAGAAAGAATTCTCTGTAAGTGGCACTGGAGAATTTGTGAGGGAATCCCACTGAGCAAGCAAAAGCTTGGAGCAGGGATCCTGGGTTTTCTTTTTCTTTTACTTGAAAGATTTTTCTTATTTTTTTTTATTAGATGATCCAACTGTATTAGACTGTTCTCATGTTGCTATAAAGAAATACCTGGCCGGGTGCAGTGGCTCATGCCTGTAATCCCAGCATTTTGGGAGGCCGAGGCGGGTGGCTCACCTGAGTCAGGAGTTTGAGACCAGCCTGGGCAACATAGCAAAACCTCATCTCTACAAAAGTACAAAAATTAGCCAGGCATGGTGACACACACCTGTAATCCCAGCTCCTTGGGAGGCTGAGGTGGACAGATGGCTTGAGCACAGGAGGCAGAGGTTGCAGTGAACTGAGATTGCACCACTGCACTCCAGCGTGGGTAACAGAGACAGACCCTGTCTCAAAAAAAAAAAAATTCCCGAAAAGAAATACCTGAGGCTAGGTAATTTACAAAGAAAAGAGGTTTAATCAGCCCACTGTTCTATAGGCTGTATAGGAAGCAAGGTGCTGGACTTCTGCTCAGCTTCTGGTGAGACCTCAGGAAGCTTCCAGTCATGGTGGAAGGCAAAGGGGGAGCTGATGTATCATCATGCAAGAGTGAGAGCAGGAGAGGGAGTTGGGGAAGGAGATGTCACACACTTTTAAACAACCAGCCCTCATGAGAATTTAACTCTATCACCAACCCTTGAGCTATACATCTTGTATTCCTTTTTCTCTTTGTGCCTGTTTGGAATTTGATGAAATATGATGCAGCAGTAAAGCAGCTGATAACTGTTGGCCACCGTTGGGAATATGCATTAATCAGGTAAGACAGCAATTAAGGGAAAAAAGTCATGTGAATATTATTTCAGAACCCATTAAAATTCAGAATGGCTCAAACTTGCTTAAGTAAACAATAGGAACTATCTGGGGCCAAATAATATGTTTTAAGAATTTTACAATATACTTTCAAAGAAGGAGATTGTAAACTTGAGAGAAAGCTTGCTGAGCTATGCCAAATACATTGTTCCAGGAAACCTGGGCCACCAGGCCTCTGAGGCAGTAAGTGTGTGAGGAAAGAAAATTTAGGGAGATGGCTAAGATATTAAGTATTCTCCACATTTCTCAGGTGGAGAGTAGCAGACACAGGGCTATGTCCTCCATTAAGGGAGTTTCTGTCTGACATTTCTCCTGCAGGAATACTTTTGCCCAAGTTTCTTCTCTAAGTGTTTATTTTTTAAACTTTTATTTTAGGTTCAGGGGTACATGTGCAAGTTTATTATATAGGTAAATTTGTGTTATGGGGGTTTGTTGTACAGATTATTTCATCAGCCAGATACTAAGCCTAGTACCCAGTAGTTATTTTTTCTGATTCTCTCCATCCTCCCACCCTCCACGCTCAAGTAGGCCTCAGTGTCTGTTGTTCCCCTCTTTGTGTCCCTGTGTTTGCATCATTTAGCTCCCACTTGTACGTGAGAACATGCAGTATTTGTTTTTTCTTTTCCTACATTAGTTTGCCGAGGATAATCCTCTCTAGCTCCATTCATGTTCCTGCAAATGACATGATCTCGTTCATTTTTATGGCTGCATAGTATTCCACGGTGTTTGTGTACCACATTTTCTTTATCCAGTCTGCCATTGATGGGCATTTAGGTTGATTCCATGTCTTTGCTGTTGTGAATCGTGCTGCAATCAACTTACATGTGCATGTGTCTTTTGGTACAATCATTTATATTCCTTTGGGTATATACCCAGTAATGGGATTGGTGGGTCAAATGGTATTTCCATGTTTAGCTCTGTGAGGGATCGTCATACTGCGTTCCACAATAGTTGAACTGATTTACACTCCCACCAACAGTGTATAAGCATTCCCTTTTCTCTGCAACCTCACTAGCATCTGTTATTTTTTGATTCTTTAGTAATAGTCATTCTGACTGCTGTGATATGATGTCTCATTGTCATTTTGATTTGCATTTCTCTAATAATCAGTGATATTGAGCTTTTTTTCACATGCTTGTTGGCCACATGTATGTATTCTTTGGGAAAGTGTCTGTTTATATCCTTTGCCCACTTTTTAATGGGGTTGTTTGCTTTTTCTTGTATATTTGTTTACGTTTCTAATAGATGCTGACTATTAGACTTTTGTCAGATGTTTTCCAAGTGTTTGATCCTAAGCTAGGAGTAAGTGCTGTGTTTACTTTCATCCTCTGTTATAACAAGTTCTAAAATATATTTTGTAAAGGTAATAGTTACCTATATGTGAGATAAAATGTATGTATTTTAACTCAGGTTTTCAGTTTGTGATCAAGCCTCCTTTAATCTAGAATGATTTTGAAATAGCATAATCTGTATAATATTAATATAGAAATTAAAAAGAAATTATTCAGGCAGATAGTGAGGGTAAGGAAGTCCTCGGTAAGGTTTTCCTTTTAATGAAAAGCAGCCCCCAAATCATTTCTTTTCTAACAAAGAGCAGCCTTAAAAATCGAGCTGCAGACATAGGCAAGCAAACTGGAAGCTTGCGCGGGTGAACGACAGCAGCTTGGCCAACAGGAAAAGGCTACGTGGGGCCAAGTATGTTCAACATGGAGGCTCCATCTTCCCTTTTCTTTGTCAACCATGTGTGCAGTAAAGAAGCCGACATGGTGCTGGCCAGGTAAAGAGTCTATTTGCATAATAAAATATTAGAGTGAGGCAGCCAGCTTCTTCGCATGCTATGTAAACAGCACACCTGGCCCAACCAATCTCTTGAGTCCTATGTAAATAAGACACCACCTCCTCAAGCTTGGCTATAAAACCCCATGCATTTCACCTCAGAACCAGAAGACCCACTCTGGCACCCCTCTGTCTGCAGGAGACAGAACTATTCTATTTTTTTCTTTCTTTTGCCTATTAAATCTCCACTCTTATACTCACTTCTTATGTATTTGTGTCCTCAATTCCCCTGGTGTGAGATGATGAACCTTGGGTATTTACCCCAGACAATGATTCTGCTTCAAGAGTTTCCATAAAGGCAATACTTTTATAAGTATTGACACATTTTATTAAATGCAATATAATGCATCTACCAGTAATGTTTTATTTTGCTCAATATGTGGCTTAAAGACAGTTTTCCATTTTTTAGATCATTCATCAACATTTGAGGATCCAACTGTGTTAATGGTCACCTTTACTAACAGTAATGTACAGCATCAAATAAAATTCCTGTCCCTTATGAGTTTCTGAGTATTGTCTTCTGTGTAAACATTGGTTATTCTTATTTATTTCAATTATTTCAACTTTTATATTCATAAAATATTTATCAGCACCTACCATGTGTCAGGCACAGTGTGGGTACATGAATATAATAGAGCATAATCCCAGGCCTCAAAAAACCCACAGCCTGAGGAGGGAAACAGCCAAATACACAAATAAATTGCTCACATGCTTAGGTGTTTGCAACCATTCAGGCCTAGGCACAGAACAGGCCACACCCTGTACTAGTATACTCTGTGTAGTGCGTTGGGGAGTCCAACATAGTTGGAGAGGCTGGAAGAGGAAGTGGTGGGTGACTTGGGGCTTGGAAAGGAGAAATTGTCAAGAGCTTAGGTTGGAGAGATAAGAAAGAACTGGATCATAAAGGGTTTGTATGTCATGCTCGGGAATTTGGACTTAGTTTTGCAGATGTAAAAAGTTTTAAGGAGGGCAGTTATAGGACACTTTGGTGAGAGAGTGGGAGATGGTGTGAAAGGTGGAATGTTGGACCAGGAGATTAGCTCTTTGAAAGTATCATTATTCAGCCAGGTGCGGTGGCTCACACCTGTAATCCCAGCATTTTGGGAGGCCGAGGCGGGTTCATCACCTGAGGTCAGGAGTTCGAGACTGGCCTGGCCAACATGGTGAAACTCCATCTCTACTAAAAATACAAATAAAGAGATAAAAAAAACTAGCAGGGTGTGGTTGCGTGCACCTATAATCCCAGCTACTCGGTGGAATCGCTAGAACCAGGGAGGCGGAGATTGTGGTGAGCTGAGATGGCACCACTACACTCCAGCCTGGGCTCTGTCTTAAAAAAAATAAAAATAAAATAAAGAATCATTATTCTTTTTTTTTTTTTACATCTAACTTTATTGCACAGGCTGGTCTTGATCTCCTGGCCTCAAGTGATTCTCCCGCCTCAGTCTCCCAAAGTGCTGGGCTTACAGGCCACTGTGAGCCAGACCAGTATCACTATTCTTGATGGTTAGAGAAGTGGGAACCAGTAAGAAACCTATTTTGATATGCATAAAAACACATACTCCATTGATATATTTATGAAAATTACATAGAGTTTTGGAAAAGGGTATTTTAAAGGCTGCAGTGAAACTCTTAGGAGAAACTAGAAGTGAAACCTTTTAAAAGCACATTTTGAGTTCTTTCATAGTAAAATGTATTACTCAGATTAATTATGTGAAAATTTGAATTTTTAATATTCATGGATTTCAATTTTCCCAAAGCAGGGTTTGGATGAGTAAAAGCAAAGTTGGAGCAATTCAGGCCTAGAAACTCCAAAGCAACTACCATTACATTCAATCCCATTCAAACAAGGCACATGCTTAGAGGGTTTAAATGTGCTTGTTAAGAAACAAAAACAAAACTCTGGATTTAATATAATTTTTAAAAGATATGATTTTACAACTCCTTTTTTGGGGGAGGCATTTAAAAAAATCTATTTTGAAAATATATAGGACAAAAAATGGAAGAATTTAAGCTTTCCACACTGATGTGAAAAAGTATAAGGGTTAAGGTGATGTCACCAAAATGGCAGAGAAGAAGTAATCTGACTTCACTCTCCCATACAGAAAATGAAACAGAACTAGCCAGTGTAAAGATCATCACCACCAATATCCAAGAACTCAAAACCGAGGCTGTGACAATCCCTGGAGACACAAAGACGTGAAAAACTGCAAGCAGAACATACGATAAATTGATTTCTCTATCCATAATAGCCTTCCTTCAAACTGCGAGGCACTTCCTGGAAATGTCACCCAGCACTCACGCTTTCAGCACCGGAAAAAGGGAGGTCAAGGTGGACAGCCATCTTCCCCAATATCTTGAATTCCTATGCAGGAAAGCTGTTCCTGTCTCAGCCCATGGGAAGCATCATGAGTGTCTGCAGCCAGAAGGACCCTGAGGGCATCTGGGAGCTAGACAGAAGAGGTGGGGCAAGCAGCCCCAGTGCATACAACTTGGGAGCTGCTCTCCATCCCGGGCAAAGAGATGCCAAATCAGAGAGGCAGTTTGGCAGCACCATGCTGTAGGAGGTGCACTGCCTGGATCCTTGAGGGCACAAACCCCTAGCCAGCTTTCCCACCCAGCCAGGGAATCCCCTCTGGGACACCTTCTTTCCAAGATCGGCAGTGCTTTGAAAGGCTGCAAAAGCTGCGGCAAACCTGGTCTTAGGGCACCATCTAGTGCCAAAAAGGAGGTAGTGATCTAGTGCTAAGGGAATTAACAGGCAAATTTCACGGGTAACCTCTAAACACACATATGCTAGTAAGAGCAAAGTAACACAGACAGCAAAGACTGGAAAAAATAACGAATCCTTCAATGCGAAGACATAGTTGTATGTTTATAATAAACAACAGCAAATAGGGAACCATGACCTCCTTAAACGGACAGAGCAAGATTCCAGTACTGACCCTAATGAAATAGTGATATGTAAGTTCTCAGATGAAGAATCCAAACTAGCAGTTTTGAGGAAACTGCAAACTCCAAAATAACATATAAAAGCAATTCAGAAATGTATCAGAGAAATTTAACAAGCAGATTGAAATAATTTTTTAAAAAATTAAACAAATTTTAGAACTGGGAAATACATTGGCTGAACTGAAAAATGCATCAGAAGGTCTCAACAGCAGAACTAATAAGGCAGAAGAAAGAAGTAGTGAGCTCAAAGACAGACTATTTGAAAATGCATAGCCAGTGGAGAAAAAAAGAATAAAAGGAATAAAGAATTCCCATGAAATCTAGAAAATAACCCCAGAAGAGCAAATCTAAGTCATTTGCCTTCAAGAGGGAGTTGAGAAAGAGCAAGCAGCAGAAAGTTTTTTCAAGGAAATTAGAACTAAAAAAGAATGTTTTCCTACAATGTATTTTATTGGAGAATACCCAAATAATGAAATATCCGTTGTTTAATTTAATATAACTTTAGATTCGAAATTATGGCAAGTTTGTTTATGAGTATTCCATTACATTTATCTACTTATTTTAATCATTTACCTAGATTATTTATGAAAACTGCAATAGTCATCATTTAAAGTTATGAAACCGCCATTGCAAAATTGTAACTGAGACAGTGAAAACGACCTGACCTAACTGACTTGTTTCTAGCCTCCAAGCTATTCTTGTTCATTAACTTAGCTTATAGTTTAGCTTTGAAACAAAGATAACAGTCCTTTCCCAGAACAAACTTCCTTCATGTCTGTGGACTAGACTGCCTAAGGCCACAAGATTATAAGTTAGGATATTTTTACTAAATAATTCAAGATTTAGCTATCTCCATTAAACCAATATTAATGTTTCATTTATTAGAAATTACACAAGCAAAGATCATTCTGTTTTGGGATAAATTATAGTTTTGTAGCTTCTATGCCAAATTTTGACACCTTATAGTATTTGGTAGAGATAAGTATGAAATTGTGTGATCAATAAATGCAAACAAAAATGTATGTCGGCAACTCTTAAGACATCTCTAATATTACTTTACCAATAATTTTTAAAGCTAGCTTGTTTATTAAAGATTTTCTTTTAGTCACATAACTTGAAAAAGCATTTGACTAGTCTTTTCTATTTTTCTGTTAAAATATTTAAGCACTTTTATTTTTCTTTGAGCCAATTAATCAGAACTCTTTTATATATTTTCAATAGTGAAACATGGTGTACACAAGACATAAATACATAGACATATTAGGCATGCCAATAGAAAACCATTTTATAGATTTGTAAGACCTCCTTTCTCCTATCTTTTAACTGTATCTTTGAGTTCCGGGCAGAGCCCACACTGAATCCTGGGTTTTCAAAAAGGTAGAAGTATTATGAGGTTAGACCATGTGATGCTTTTACAGTGCACTTTAAAAATTTTTTTTCCAAACAAAGACATTTCTAAGTGTCTAAATTACACTTTCTCTTAAAAGCCCCAGAGTAAGATCGCGCCACTGCATTCCAACCTGGGAGACACAGCGAGACTCCGTCTCAAAAAAAAAAAAAAAAAAAAAAAAAAAGCCCCAGAGTAGCTTCTGTTGAAATAGCTATTAATGAAGAAAACAGAATTCAGTTAACTGAGAAGAAAAAACTTTTGCTCAAAAAGACAAGGTCCTAGGAGAGAAATAAACAAAAACAAAAACAAAAACATGAAGGCCTTTTAAATACAAACACACCCACATACATATACACATCTTAGATGTTAGCTTTCAGTTAAGCTGACTCTCAACCACTGAGCTTCTAAAAAATATTTTTCCTTCCCAGAGGCCTCCCAGCAGGAATGGACCCAATACCTTCCATTTTCAAGTTTACATGATATCAAAGGAAATAAGACCAATACACAAATAAGTGGAGGCAAAGTTTGGACAACATAAGGGGGAGTGCACTGGGCAAAAAGACTCAAAACCAACTCAAAACCTGATCTTAACCAAAATGCAAAGTGGGTGTACGAGCGAGCCCTATTTCTTCCCACGGTCGTACCGGACAAATGGCTTATCAATCCCAGATAGGAAAACAATAGGCTCCTGTCATACAATCTGGTTAACTCACCTTTTGAGCATGTCTGCTCTTGATCTCCGTTCTTCCCCAGTAGTGAAAGAGATGTGCATTTTTTACCCACAGGACCCTTCAAAAGGGTTCCCGGGAAAATCTCACTGGCAGCTGCTGGGATCCTCCTGAACACTGTCTGGTCACAAGCCTCTGGCTGCTGGACACAGCACCGTCCTGGTCTCTCCTGGCTGGCATGCCACATTCTGTTTCCAGGCCAAACTGAGGGTTAGGCTGCTGTTTCTTGCGGCCCAATAACAAGATGCAGATGAACTGGGAAGGAACAGAGTTTTTATTTCTGTAACCAGTTACAGGGAGAAGGCCTGGAAATTATCACCAGACAAACTCAAAATTAGAAAGTTTTCTAGAGCTTATATGTCTACGTGTAAGTGTGCATTCATCTAAAGACATAAGTGATTAACTTTTTTTAATCTATAACTAAGGTCTAGTCCTGAAGACCTTCGTCTGGAGCCTCAGTAAATTTACTTAATCTAAATGGTTCCAGGTGGTGGGGTGATTACTCTTGTCTCCTGCTAAATCACGGAGGTCTGGGGATTTACTTCAGACCCGCAGTAAACTTGTTTGTCGAAGCCTGGAGAGTTTCTCCAGACCCACAGTAAAACTTGTTTAATCATGCTTTAAGGCCCAGAAAAAAGCCTAGGCAAAGCTCTTGGTAGGCTTTTGTTACATTCCAGCCTTTATATAAGCGCACTGGCTTTTTTAGCTTTCAATATTTAACTTAACCACTCAGTCAGTACTGAAACTGTTGTTACGGAGGCTTGCATTAGTGACACCTGGCCTGCCACACTACTGCTGCCTTCAGGGAGCTTACAGCCTAACACATTTGGTTTGCAGTGGGAGAGAACCCCTGCCCTAGTTTTCAGGCACTTGGCATTCAGTAGATGTCTAAGTGCAGTGGTGGAAATTTTCTCAGTGCATGAAGCAGTTTTTATGTTCCCAAAATTTCACTACTATTTTTCTTGAAGCACATATTTTCCTCATACCTTTAAGACCCCAGGGCATACAGCAGTGATGGAAGCAGGTGAGGAAGAAAACGTTGCTAGATAGAGATGGGCATTAGTAGCATTGTTGAAGGGAGGTATCAGGGAACCTGACTGCTTGGAATAAGAAAGAGAGATGATCACAATTTTGACAACCAGGTTCTATATTCAGCTAGGAATAGAAAAACGTCCTAGGAAAGAATAAAATGGTCGAAACATCAAAATGCTTACAGAATTTCTGGCAAAACTTTGGTAACATTTTTTTCTCTTCTACATTCTTCCAGAAAATTCCATTGTAACTCACTGAGGTCACGGCATTCTGATAGCTGCCAAGCAGAGTCATGGTTCTTTTGTAATTGCTAATAAATCATTCACTTTGAAAATTTCCTTAGAGAAATGATTTAATTCTGTGGAACCAGTTTTTGAGCAGGGGCAATGAGCAATGATTGGGGTCAGTTTTCCAGTTATTGAATTACTGATTGGAGGCTCTGTCAAGGTCTGGTTTACCCAGAGCTATAATAGTTTAACTATCATTGACCATGAACATATCCAGGGGTTGAACTCTCCTGACTTGTGGTAGACAGCCCTAAATCAGATTTCAGACAGATGTTTTTTCATTGCACAAATGTTTTCATCCCACAGATGTTTTTCATTGTAGGTGTGTGTGTTTTGGACTATTACAAAAGTCCAGAGTTAAATAGTCCCTGAAAAGAAGAGCATCTGCTGCTATAATGAATTTGCCAACACATTACAGGTTGGCCAGGGTGAGAGAGAGAGAGAGAGAGAGAGAGAGAGAAAGAGGTGTGTTTTGAGGTGTTAAGGTTGTGGCAGGGCAGAGAACAGGGGAAGCCATGCCTTGAATATAGTGATGTATAGAATTTGTTACATAGAGTTATCGGACCTCAAAATACAAACCTCTGAGCCTCCCAGTAGGTATTTTAAGTACAATTGAGAACAAGCATAGGGCCCTACAAATAGCTGTGTAGGAGTGCACGGCACAACTTCAGAGGTCACGTTCACATAAACTGGGATGTGTATGGTGCCCCCTGGAATTATGCAAAACAGGAGCTCTGGTGTCTTTAAATTCTCGGTGCCTGAAGACCTGAGGTACACAGTAAGTCTTTGTTGAATCAGTTTTGTGTGGGCCTTTAAATTTCTCAGCAATGTTGTCAACTCCTTTTTCTCCCAAACATTTGGCCCCTCGGAGGAGTTTCTGATGCAGTCCACTGAGGCATTTTAATATATATCTCTCAAAAATTGACATGCAAAGTAGAAAATAGATGGATATTTAGCATTCATTCCGTAAACATCTATTAGATGCCTACCATGTTCCAGAAACTGTTTTTCATACTGAGGATTATAGCAGGGAAAAAATAAACAAAAATCTCTGCCATCGTGGAGTTCTATTTCAGTTAACATACAGGATTCAAGTAGCAAATTTTACAATTAGATTATTTCTACGTGTATATATAAATCATACATATATAAAGCTTAGAAATTTTGGATATATATAAAAAATGAGAATTTTATACGTACATATATGTGTACATATACTTATATATGTGTGTATACATACCTACATATGCACACACATAGAAATTTACATCCAAATAAGTGATATTGAATATTTACAAAAATTAATCATATATTGGCCAGAGAGTAGATGTTGCTAGGTTGCATTATACAGGCCATATATATATCTAGGTGATGTAACTTGTTTTATTTTGTTTTTCAATTTTTATTTTAAGTTCTGCGGTACATGTGCAGGATGTGCAGGTTTGTTACATGGGTAAACGTGTGCCATGGTGGTTTGCTGCACAGATCAACCCATCACCTAGCTATTAAGCCCAGCAAGCATCCATTAACTATTCTTCCTCATGCTCTCCTTCCCCTGGCCTCCCCCAACAATAGGCCCCAGTGTGTGTTTCTCCCTTCCCTGTATCCACATGTTCTCATAGTTCAGCTCCCACTTGTAAGTGAGGACATGTGGTGCTTGGTTTTCTGTTCCTGTGTTAGTTCGCTGAGGTTAGTTTTGGTTTCCTGTTCCTATGTTAGTTTGCTGAGGATAACGTCTTCCATTTCCATTCATGTCCCTGCAAAAGACATGATCTTGTTTCTTTTTATGGCTGCATGGTATTCCATGGTGTATGTACCACATTTTGTTTATCCAGTCTGTCACTGATGGGCATTTGGATTGATTCCATGTCTTTACTATTGTGAATAGTGCTGCAATGAACATACACATGCATGTATCTTTATAATAAGATGATTTATATTCCTTATATACCCAGTAATGGGATTGCTTGGTCAAATGGTATTTCTGCTTCTAGATTTTTGAAAATTGCCACACTGTCTTCCACAATGGTTGAACTAATTTGTATTCCCACCAACAGTGTAAAAGCATTCCTTTTTTCCCCACAACCTCACCAGCATCTGTTGTTTCTTAACTCTTTAATGATTGTAATTCTGACTGTCATAAGATGGTATCTCATTGTGGTTTTGATTTACATTTCTCTACCAGTGATGATGAGCTTTTTTTCATATGTTTGTTGGCTGCATGAATGTCATCTTTTGAGAAGTATCTGCTCGTGTCCTTTGCCCACTTTTTATTAGGATTTTTTGTGTTTTTTTTTTCTCGTAAATTTGTTTAAGTTCCTTGTAGACTCTGAATATTATACCTTTGCAAGATGGATAGATTGCAAAAATTTTCTCCCATTCTGCAGGTTGTCTGTTCACTCTGATGATAGTTTCTTTTGCTATGTAGAAGCTCTTTAGTTTAATTAGATCACATTTCTCAATTTTTGCTTTTGTTGTAATTGCTTTTGGCATTTTCGTCATGAAATCTTTGCCCATGCCTATGTCCCGAATGGTATTGTACAGGCTATATTTTTAACTATGCTTCACTACAACTAGAAAATAAAAGCAAGAAAATTTAAAAAAAAACTCATCTCATGAAAATTAAAAATACTGTTCTATATGCTTTATGTGTTAAAAAGAAAATCAAAACCTAAATTATAGACAAGAAGTAAATAATGACAATTAAGAAATAAATGACAATGAACGAACTTAAATTAATACCTATGGCAAGAGGGAGAAGCAGTACTCAGAGGAACTTCTATCGACTTAAATGCATGTTCTAGGAAAAGAGAAAGGTTCAGAACTGGAGCAGAGAGACCCATGAGAAGGCGATTGTTGCCTGAACTTTTCAGGTGAGTGTGTTAAGTGTTTGGATACAGGCTGTTTCGTAGGTAAAGCTGATAAAATTGCTGACATACTGGGTGAGTTGGTGAGGAAGAGAGAGCAAATTAGCCATTGCTTGATAACATTTCAGTGAAATGTATACCAGCCAATATGACAATTAAATCAAACATTTACATTTTAAGCTCTTGCCTATCCCCATTGGAAAAGAAAGTTTCTATTTCTAATGGAAGGAATTTCAGGAATCAGCAAGAAAAGGAGTAAAACTTTGGGGTTGGGTTGGGGAGGAGCAGAAACTCCCTGAGATAATTCCACACACTTACAAGACCTATTGGGGAATCAACTGGACTGACTTCTTTTGGGATGGTCTTGGTGGCTGTGGAGGGAGGGAACAGGGGTAGGTGACGTGTGGGTATGGGTAGAAGAGGAAGGAGGCAAGTATCAGAAGGGCTGGTGCACAGGCAGCCCTTCGGTATCCTCTACCACTGAATTAGGCATGTATCCAGCCATGGCTATGTGAGACCTGGTGGCCGTGAGCAGTTTCCTGCATGGGGTCTTCCATGGGTTCTCCCTGGACAAGGAGCCCTTCTGGCCAAGGCCTTGCTGAAGGCTCCCTCCCTCCAGTTGCTTCCCTGCCTCTTGCTTCCTTGCCTGAATACACACTGGCCATCTGCCCTTCCAGGCCTCTCTCCTGTCCTTCCAAGCTTCACAGATTGTATCATCTGCTTTCTTGCAAGTCTGCATAATTTAGTCAGTATTTAAAAATGTTCTATACTATAACCTCACTGACAACTGCAAGAAATGGCCTGGGAGGTTGTGGCACGGGATACTAGTTTAGATGCCGCCACTCACTGGCTTGGCGACATTGTTTGTCTCCCTGTGCCTCAGTTTCTGCATATATCAATAATGGAGTTGAATGAGATGATGTCCTCTAGCTCCTTTGTTTGGAATCCCTAACAATATGTCAACTTGGAACACATATCTCAGAAATAAGTGGTTTGTTAGAAAGCTTCCTATTTGTGAGTACTGTGTGATGTTACTATAACTCTTTTTAGTAAATTTGACTTATTTTGATAGCTATTTTCCTTAGTCTTAGTCTCCATTGACCATGGTTCATGATTTTCCAATTTAAAAGCCTAAGTGTAAAAATGGGAGAAAAATCACAGAAGAGGTTTGGAAAAAAGGGTTTTGAAAGCAAGTTTATTTAAAGGAAGAATAAACACTTGGATTTTCATTGTTTAAGGGAGAACAATTCTGAAAATAACTATTCTTGTGCCATTTCTTTTTGTGTGTGTGTCAGCCAACAGGAGGTAAATATCATGTGCCATTTCTTAACTGTTTAGCACATAGATCGAATAAACCAGAGATCAATTAAACCTATAGACAGTATTTTAAAAAAAAAACTCTTGTCTGGAAAGTCTGGTAAATCAAGTTTATCCTAAAACTGCCTCCGTATATATTTTAAGTTCAGCCTAAAGATTTCTCCGTACATTGTGAACTATGATCTAAATGGAGTTATAAACAGACTGTAATCTATTCTGTGCTAATCACCAAGTTTTGGCCAATCAAAAGTGGCTAACTGTTCAAACTTTGTTCAAATAAGGCAAACGCTGAGCTGTAACCAATCCGGCTGTGTCTGTAACTCACTTCCATTTTCTGTACATCACTTCCCTTTTTCTGTCCATAAATATTCTTCCACCATATGTCTCTGCTGGAGTCTCTGAGCCTTCTCTGGCTCAGGAGGCTGCCTGATTTGCAAATTGTTCTTTGCTGAATTAAACTGCTTTAAATTTAATTCAGCTAAAGTTTTTCTTTTAGCAAGTCCTTTTTATTTTTTAAGAAAAAACCCAGCATATTTATATTCATCAAATAGATGCTACCAAATGAGAAACAATTTGTACAATGTTTTTTATTTAGCCAACAAGACATCTTTTCTCTTGTTTTATCTTTAGGATGATGTTTATCCCAATCTTCAAATTATATCCTATCTCTTTATAAATTACTCTGTTCAGAACATGTTAAAAATACACTTGATTTCAT
The DNA here is from genome assembly GCF_000001405.40 of Homo sapiens. Classification (NCBI taxonomy): domain Eukaryota; kingdom Metazoa; phylum Chordata; class Mammalia; order Primates; family Hominidae; genus Homo; species Homo sapiens. The sequence goes on along the minus strand of NC_000010.11, from coordinate 26,326,683 downwards.
GACAGCACATTAAAGAAGAAGCCTGCAATCTGGGTTTTCTTACTTAAGAGGTAAACAGTATAGTTTTGAAAATTATATTGAATAAAATATATTTTGGAATTTCTTGTCACCATCTGGAACACTTTTATAAGGAAACTCAGTAAAACACAGAAATGAATATATATACAGATATATTTATATATTGAATATTTATATACATATTTGAATATATATATATATACACACATATATGAATATATATAGTGGTTTCCACTTTCCCAAAAGAAATAGTAGCTGGGAGCATGCTTTTGCTGAGTTCCTATTCTAGACTTGACACATCATCATGAGTAAGTGACATTGTTGTCCACTCTCAGGTGCCTTCCACTCAGTTTTGATGTCTGTCATCCATGTCTCTTAACTTTTCTTTCATTCTTTTATCTTTTATCCTTCAAGGCCACTGGTTGGTTCTTCATTCCCACTTTGCTCTTTAATTTATTCTGGCGAATGCATTCCTGCAACTATGATATTTTTCATGCCCTGTGTCACCAGTTGATCTCCCTTCTGTAACTTTTTCTTCTTGCCTCATGTTTTCAATACCTGTCTTTATCTCTTTGAGGATAGTTCTAGGCTTATGTTTAAGTCTTAGTCTGCCTGGGGTATTGATTTTTCATTTTCTAATATAGATTGTCCCATTTAATGTTTTTTTTTCCTAGTGCCCATGCTCCCCAGTGTCTCATTAATTTTTCTTAGGAGTTTTAAAGTCAAAACTAGCCACCTTGGTTTGTCAAGGGTTCCATGACCTGGGATCTCCTAGACTTACTCTTTTATATTAAATGAATGATAAACAGATACTTACATGAATAAGATATATGAATTAACTTTTAAAAAGCAATAAAATAAGGTCAAGGAAGTGTTGGTGATGATTTGGGAGGTGGGGGCAATCCCTGCACAGAGTTCAAATCTGTATCAATTTGTACTCTGCTTATCTGAGTACAAATTGATACAGGTTTTCTGTGGGGAAATTTGGCCATGTGTACTAAAAACTTTAAAGATGCACCCACTCTTTGATTAAAAATGTCTTCTTTGGCTAGGAGTGGTGCCTCCCATCTGTAATCCCAGCACTTTGGGATGCCAAGGTGGGAGGATCACTTGAGCCCAGGAGTTCAAGACCAGCCTGGGCAACATAGGGAGATTCCCCATCTCTATAAATAATTTAAAAATTAGGCCGGGTGCAGTGGCTCATGCCTGTAATCCCACAACTTTGGGAGGCCGAGGCAGGTGGATCACCTGAGGTCAGCAGTTCGAGACCAGCCTGGCTGGCCAACAAGGTGAAACCCTGTTTCTACCAAAAATACAAAAGTAGCCAGACTTAGTGGTGGGCGCCTGTAATCCCAGCTACTTGGCAGGTGAGGCAGGAGAATCATTTGACCTGGGAGGCAGAGGTTGCAGTGAGAGGAGATCACACCATTGCACTCCAGCTGAGCAACAAGAAACTCTGTTCCAAAAAAAAAAAATTGCTAGGCATGGTGGCATGCATCTGTGGTTGCAGATACTCAGGAGGCTGAGGTGGGAGGATCACTTGAGCCTGGGAGGTTGAGGCTGCAGTGAGCTGTGTTAGCGCCACTGAACTCCAGCCTGGGTGGCAGAGTGAGACTCTGTCTCCAAAAAAAAAAAAAAAAAAAAAAAAAATCTGCTTCAAGAGTTCACATTAAAAAAGTAATTAGTCCAGTGTGTGAATGTGTGCAGGCAAGGATATTCATTGTAGTATTCGTTTTCATAGAGAAAGATTGCCCAGATGAATTTCAGAAGGGAATAGAGGAATCTGATTCATTGATTCTTCAATGAGCTCCCTCTCCTCTGTGTGTCCTTGGCCATTAAAATATATATATATATATATATGGTGGCTTTGAGAATGAAGGAGGTCTTTCTCTCTGAACTTGAGCTCCTTTGTAGTTTCAAATCAAAACTTATCCCAGGATCAAAAGTTCTAAACCTGTGATTCTATGACCCTCTGAGGTCTATGACTCAGCTTCTAGGACTCTGTGAAGTAGGCACAGGATACCTGTCTTCATTTTATTACCGATGTTTTGAAAATCATAAAATGAAACAAAACCAAAAACTTGCTTTCATCTCAGCTACATGAAGAAAATTAATATTTGGTGCATTGAAATATTTTGTTTATATCCTTTCTCTTAGAGAGGGCCTCATAGCACTAATGTCAATCTCAAAGGGGTTCATGATTCAAAAACATCAGGAATTCATGCCATAGACCATCATGGCATGTCTAGTACTTACTGAATTCATATATTACCAATTTAGCTATCTCTAGTGGAGACCCTTCAGGGCAATGTTAACATAACTTTTGATGTGGAAAATTAAAAAAATCTCTCAACAAATTGCTATGTTTGATCAGATTCGTTTACATTTTTGCTAATTGTATTCTTGTCATATTTTTTCTGTCTGTCTGGATTTGTCACTCAGTTTTAAAAAAACGCTTACTTTCTCCCTTTCTTTCAAATGTGATGATCGGCAGATTTTATATCCATAGTTGTATGATCTGGACACCCTAGGGTTGAGGTGAATTCTGAGCCTAAGATTTATTTACATATTTTCCAGTTTTCCACCTGCACTATATCCAAGCAAACCTTTCAGTTTCCCATATTTAATATACTTAGTGATTAAGACATTTTCAAATAAGTTGGTATAAATACTCCTTTGGTTCCAACAACTCAAAAGGCACTCATTTTTGCCAGCAATCAATATTTCTAATCCGATGGGTCCATATGTGCATTCAGAGTTCTCTTAGGTGTACTTTTTCTTTTTTTTTTTCTTTTCTTTTTTTTTTTTTTTTTTGAGATGGAGTCTTGCTCTGTCACCCAGGCTGGAGTGCAGTGCTGTGATCTCTGTTCATGGCAACCTCTGCCTCCTGGGTTCAAAGGATTCTCCTGCCTTGGCATCCCAAGTAGGTGGGATTACAGGCATGTGCACCACACCCAGCTGATTTTTGTACTTTTAGTAGAGATGGAGTTTCACCATGTTGGCCAGGCTGCTTTTGAACTCCTGACCTCAAGTGATCTGCCCAGCTGGGCCTCCCAAAGTGCTGAGATTACAGGTGTGAGCCACCATGTCCAGTCTCCCTTAGGTATTCTTGAAATACAACATAGCCAAGCTGTGTTTACTCAAACCTCTTTATTTTTCTTGTTGCTTCCTTTCCATTTAACATTTCTCCACAGAATCAAAGGGCAGTAGCTAGAGAGGCACGAATGAAGCAATGTAAGTACTTGAAGATCTGCTGAGTCATGAAAAGACTAAAAGATCACATTGTACCTCCCTTGTCTGGAATTCATTCCAAGCTTGTGCATTATAGGAACACATCTTTTCCAGTCATTGCTCTCCCACCTGTGGAGATCTTACCGTCTACCTGACATATATATTTTAGTTTGTCTTTGAGAATGCATCTCGTTTCTTCAAAATCAGATTTACATTTTACTTAAAGAGGCTAAGGAAGAATTCAATTTAATTCAGAATAGTAAAATAATAATTGAAACATGTTTGATGGGATCACTTCAGGAATGGGGCTGGATACTTGTAGGACTATATTCCCAGGCTTAAGTTGGAATCTCCAATTAACTTACAGTTAGTTCTTGCAGTCATTATACGAAAAAGATACTTGCACACACATGTTTCTAGCAGCACAATTCACAATTGCAAAAATGTAGAACCAGCCCAAATGCCCATCAGTCAACTAGTGGTAAAGAAACTGTGATATATATATATATATGCACACACACACACACACACACACACACACACACACACACACACACACACAATGGAATGCTACTCAGCCATAAAAAGGAATGAATTAATGGCATTCACAGCAACCTGGATGGAATTAGAGACTATCATTCTAAGTGAAGTAACTCAGGAATGGAAAACCAATCATCATGTGTTCTCACTCATAAGCAGGGGCTAAGCTATGAGGATGCAAAGGCATAAGAATGATACAATGGGCTGTGGGAACTCAGGAAGAAATGGTGGGAAGGGTGTAAGGGTTAAAAGTCTACAAATCAGGTTCAGTGTACACTGCTCGGGGGATGGGTGCACCAAAATCTCACAAATCACCACTAAAGGACTTAATCATGTAACCAAATACCACCTGTTCCCCAAAAACCTATGAAAATAAAAAATAAAAAACAAAATACCTTACAGTTAGTTCTTGGAAGTAATCTAGTTACTGAAAGGCAGGATATTATCCCTGTTAATTGCCTTGAAATAATGATGACTGTGATCTTATTGAGTTTTATAGGTGAGAAGACAATTATTTTCCAATTTTTAATGTCTCTATATGTCTGATGGTGGGTGGAGAGAATGGAAGAATTTGTGGGGAGTAAATGTCTTGTCAATAGAGTGACTAAACCCTTTCACTGCATGTTTAGTAGATGCCTATTAACAAGACATTGGCTTCTTCCTTAGGGACTAATTACTCTCGTTCTCTTCATCTCCTTGTGTGTCCTCATCACAAGAAGCCCCAGACTCCCAGACCACCCCTCACCACACAGACTCTTACTCCCATAAGGCTTTGTGCACACTCCAGCCCCATCCATCTTCTACTCCTGAAGCCTTTCCACTGGGCAGTCTTCACCTAAATTCCCCACATCCCCAGTGTCTTTTCTGAAAATGCACTTCTTCTTGCATTAATTCAAACCTGGCTTTTCCTCGGCACTCTGCTTCTCTGAAATCTATGCAGCTGGTTGCTGGCTAGTTTTCACTCTCACAGACCTGGAACCAGCAGGTTTGAAAGTAGGGTTACTCTCCTGGGCCCCTTCTGTTTCTAATTCCATCCTCCTCCTCTCCAATTCCCTGCAGACCCCTGTCTTTGAATCTCATGCCATTGGACCATGCAACCCACTGCCCTTCCTTTCTGCAGGCATCTATAGGCACTTTCAGATACTTACTCACTTTTCGTCGATTGTAACATCTGATTCATTGTCATCCCAACGCAACTCCTGCTTTATTCTTGGTGATTTCAATAGCCACACGACTGGTTCTTCAGAAACCTACACTGAGGTTGTAGCTATGTGAGGTATCAGCCTTATGGGGGAAGAGTCTCTGTTCAGCAGGCATGGAGCTTGGTCTCCTTTCTCCCAGGAAGCCATGAAACCAAAGCTCAGATCCACAAAGTTTGGCAAATAAACTCAAGGTGAAAACTGGCTTAGTGCTAGGCTTATTTCTCTGGATTTCTGCCTTCATGAAGCTCCTAACCTGGAGTATTTTTTATTTATTGCCAGATCATTGATGTTTTTAAGAATATGTTTAAATATATTATCTAACAATTTTAGCTGGTTTCAACCAAAAGGAAGGTAAGGGAATCTAGTCCACAATATTACCAAAAAGGTTTCATTATATCTGTGATGATTTTTTAAAAACTGGCAAAATGTTTTATCATTTCATAACATGGGTTTACATCGATGATACAAACATTTTTCAAAAGACTTTTTTTTTTTTTTTTTTTGAGACAGAGTTTCGCTCTTGTTGCCCAGGCTAGAGTGCAATGGCACGATCTCGGCTCACTGCAACCTCTGCCTCCTGGGTTCAAGCGGTTCTCCTACCTCAGCCTCCTGAGTAGCTGAGATTACAGGCATGTGCCACAATGCCCGGCTAATTTTTTGTATTTTCAGTGGAGACAGGGTTTCTCCATGTTGGTCAGGATGGTCTCGAACTCCTGACCTCAGATGATCCACCTGCCTTGGCCTCCCAGAGTGCTGGGATTATAGGCGTGAGCCACTGCACCTGGCCCAGAGGCCTTTTTTGGCAGGAGGGCTTGCTATGTTGCCCATGCTGGCCTTGAACTCCTGGGCTCAAGCAGTCTCCTGTGTCAGCCTCCTGAGTCGTTGGGACTACAGTCATGTGTCACTCAAAGATCTTTTTTTTTTTTTTTAATTACAGATTAAAAAAATTTTTCAATAGCTTTTGGGATACAAGTAGTTTTGGGTTACATAGATGAATTATAAAGTGGTGAGATTTTAGTGCACACATCACCAGGGTAGTATATATTGTACCCTGTATGTAGTTTTTTATCCCATACCCCCATCCCATTCTCTGTGATGATTTTTTTTTAACCTCCTGTTTTTTTCTGTTGTATTTTCTTGGACCTCTTGGCTTGATTGTATAATTTTCTCTAATTTTCTCTTGCATTTTCCATCTTATTGTCTATTTTTTCCTACTTTTAGAGATTTCCTCAACTTTTTATTTTTATCTATTGCTTTATTTTTAAATTTCAGCAACCATAATTATTTCCATATTAGTTTTTGTATCTTATAAACGAAATATAGTCTTGACACTCTCTAGTACAATGACTTCTTAAATTGCCTTAATGACACTCATTAGAGTTTTGTGTGTTCTTTCTCACTCCTGAATTATCTGCTTCTTCTGGGATCTGTTCTGTTAGTTCATCACACACAATCCCTGCACTTTTGGTGTTTCTTGGTTGAGTTGGTGCTCCTTTTTATTTGTCAGTTTTGTTCACACAGCCATACAAAAGCTTAGGTCAATCTAGTAGCAGGTATGGGTTTCACTTGCAGTTGGGATAAATGTTATCTCTGAAGAGCTCTCCCATAAATGGGAGGCTGAGTGACGGTTCTGCGGGTGGGATGTATCGAGTGCACATCTACCATGACCAAATGACCACAGCTCTATACAGGGTGGTCATAGGTTGTTTAATTTCTTTAAAGGCTATACTGTCCATTTTTGCTTGGGCCTGGGCTGCTTTAGAGAGTCACTGGGCAGGTGTTTGCGGGGCAGTGAGGGGCAAGGGCCACCTGCACAGCTGCACAGGTGTTTGGGTGACATGCACTCAATTAATTACCCAGATTGCTGATCCCTCCTCACTTCTGGTCCCCATAACCTGCCAGGTCAGAGTTTAGATCTTGCTGAACTTCTGCTAGGAAGACAGTCTCCTTCCTCTGCTCCACCTTCTCCCAGGCCAGTTCACACCGCTATTTTCTCTACGCGGTTTCAGTGTCTCTGTTTTTCTTCTTTCAGAAACACGTACGTTCTGGTTCATTGACAATACCCTTCCCTTGTTCTTAAGACTGTTGTGGGTTAATTCCTCAACTTTTCTCTACCTTCAATGGAATCTGGCCGAGAGGGAGCAGAAAAAACTTGTTTTCTGTCCACTTTCTCCTACTAGAACTTGAACAAGAAAGTTTTTTTGCCAGTTTAGAAAAGGAATACTATGATTTTCTCTGTCTTCTTCGTGTCTTCCCTGTTTGGTGTAGGGTGTGGTGTTGCTGGTTAAATGCATACCCATAGGCTGAGGAATAAGGGGAGGAGTGCATGATGGAATGGAGGCGGCAAGGTCATTCTCTGGAGAGCAAAGACTCCTAGAACACTGGACCCGTGGCACGTCCATGTCTGCCATTGCCACCCTGGTCCAAGATGCTGTCATGCTCCTCTGGACCATGGTCATAGCCTCCCAGAGGGCACTGCTTCTACTCTGAACCCTCTCCAATCACTTCTCCATACTTTCATTATTTCTTTGATGGTTTTTTTAAAAATTGACAAAATGTTTTATCATTTTATAACATGGGTTTACATTTATGATACAAATTACATTGATGATATCCTTTCAATATGCAAATCCACACTCTATTCTCATTTCTTTTAAGACAAAGACACAACCCCTTAGAAAGCTCTCCAAAGCCCTGCAGGTCCTGTGCTCGCCCTGTCTCCATCTCCACCTTGGCACAAATTCCCCCTTGCTGTCTACTCCTTTATGAGGCCTGATGGCCAGGGGCCAAGCTCTGCTGTGGCAGCCAGGAGATAGCAATGAACACGATAGGCAGGACTATTGGTTCATTAATGATTAGACACCTACAAAACTCAAACATTGTAAATCACTTTTGCTAGAGTGGCTTCTATCCCCCACAGGTGTTTACATACACAGTTCCCATTCCGGGAACACGTTTTCCCCATTATACCTGAGTTACTCTTATCCTTCTCTCTTAAGTTATCAGGAAAGTAACGTCTTTATCATAGGCTCTTGTAAGGTCACATAGCAAGCACTCTTTTCCTTCCTTCTTTCCTTCCTTCCTTCCTCCTTCCTCCCTGCCTTCCTCCTTCCCTCCCTTTCTCCCTCTTTCTCTCCTTCCTCCCTCCTTCCCTCCCTCCCTCCCTTCCTTCCTTTATTTTATTTTTAATTGACACATAATAATTTTGCAAACTTATGGAGTGCAGTATGATGTTTTTATACACGAATACATTGTGTGATGATCTAACCTAGGTAATTGGCATTTCCATCACCTCAAACATTTATCCGTTCTTTGTGGTGAGAACATTCAAATTCCTCTCTTTCAGCTTTGTTGAAAATATATGACATATTAAAATTGCAATTTTACATTGGTTTGTTTTATTGTCTTCTCTCCATTTAGGAATATCCCCATGACAACTGGAACTGAGCCTCTTTTTATTCCCCATTATGTCTCAAGGGCCAGACATTGTGGGTACTGGATAAATGCGTGTTGGCTAGATGAATGCTTGAGGGAGTGAATCACCTGTGGAGAGAGAAAGCGTGTGTGTGTTTGCACACGTTAGGCAACTAGTGGCACCTATTGAGATGCCAGCCATGCCATGAACCATTGCCTTTTCCTGACGTTTGTCCCTGATCTATGGGCATGGGGACTGGGAACCTTATTTATACTACATGATACCAGCATCTTGGAGATGGCCACCTTGACCAGGGGAGACACTTGTTCCCAAGCTCACCCAATCACATTCTTCCTTAAGAGTAAGAACAAGAGGCCGGGCACGGTGGCTCATGCCTGTAATCTCAGCAATTTGGGAGGCTGAGGTGGGCGGATCACCTGAGGTTGGGAGTTTGAGACCAGCCTGACCAACATGGAGAAACATCGTCTCTACTAAAAATACAAAATTAGCCTGGCGTGGTGGCACATGCCTGTAATCCTGGCTACTCGGGAGGCTGAGGCAGGAGAATCGCTTGAACTCAGGAGGTGGAGGTTGCGGGGAGCTGAGATCTTGCCATTGCACTCCAGCCTGGGCAACAAGAGCGAAACTCCGTCTCAAAAAAAAAAAAAAAAAAAATCAAGAGACAGAGACTGGGAATTGGGAGCTGAGTCAAGTGATGGATGGTAGGGCTCCAGAGGGAACAAACATAAACTCTCGTGGCTAACATCATCAAATCACCCTGATCCCTGCCCTTCTCAAGTTCTGAATGTTCCTGGGGTTGGATTCTATGCGCTATTGCAGTATTCTACCCAGTTTTCTTTCTTTACGATAGTTTAAGTTTATTTTCATTACTTGTAACCAAAGAACCTTAACTAACTTAGTATCACTATTGCAACATTCCACGTCGAAATTAGGGCCATGACTAAGGTGAGTGGCAATAGTAATAGAGACAAAGCGATGGATTTACAGAAGAACTGATACTGGTAGAAGCTGGTGACAAGCAGGGCAGGATTTCATGTAGTTATGTCTGAAATGGAAACAGATGATTTTTAATGTGCTCTGTGGTAAACTCACGAATTAGTTTATGTGACTGAACATTTATTGACTCTAAATGAAATAGATCTAAGTGCATAAAATGATTTCTCTAGATTTTTACTTACTTGCAGCATAATAAATTGAGCAAGGTTTTATCCCCCTTTGTTAAATGCATCTGAACATTTCTTACAGCTTGTAACACTTGAGGGTTCCTGAACCTATGGCTGCCCCTAAAACTGCACTTGTTCTAATCTTACCTGTTTGTAAGAAATCATAGTTTTTAGTTAAGTAAAATTTTCCATCGCAGACTTCTCTTTTGTGTGGTATTCTTTGTACAGAACCAGGGTTCCAGCCTTCAACGGCCAAGGGTCAAGACTTCCAGTGTGAAGAAGAGGTGCTGGGGAAGTTCGCTCTGGCCCCAGGGGCCTCACCTAAGCAACCCACACCCCAAATAAGTGTGTACTTGTTGCCTAACCTCAGACAGTCCCCCGCCTTTTCTCATAGATGCTTCCAGGACAGTAACTATTTAGGTTTGATGTTTATTGACCCAGGAATGGTGGCTCATGCCTGTCATCTGAGCACTTTAGGAGGCTGAGGCGGGAGAATCACTTGAGCCCAGGACTTTGAGACCAGCCTGGGCAACATACTGAGATCTTGTCTCTGTAAAAAATTAATTAAAAAAAATTAGCCACGCATGGTGTTGCATACCTATGTTCCAGCTACTCAGGAGGCTGAAGTGGGAGGATCACTTGAGCCTGGGAGATGGAGGCTGCAGTGAGCTGCAGTGGCACCACTACACTCCAGGCTAGGTGACAGTGAGACCCTCAAAAAAAATTTATTTATTTTTCCACACCCATCCCTCACTAGGTTTGAGTTTTTTTTTTTTTAAATGTCTGTTAGTCAACAAAATGCATTTAGCCCCTTAAGACCACAGCATCCTGTCTGGCGAGGGGAGAAGTGGCCCCAGATGACCCACTGGACTATGAGCCACACTGTCTCCTGGAGCGCTGCTCCTCGGGATGGACTCCTGCACCTTCCACTTGTGCTGCGGGAGACTTGGGAAACCTTTCTTTCTCTCGACCTTTTGGAAAACATCCTTCAAGACCCAGGCTTCTCTGTGCTCCCAAGGAGGCATCCTCACAGGACTACAGGGATGATTGCAACACTCTGTGTGAATTTACCTCCTCTATCCTGCCGCACTGAGAGCTCCTTGAAGCCCAAGACTATGTAATCTCATCTTTGTCTCCCAGCAACAAATGCATTGCATGTATTCAGTGTTTATCCCGACTTACTCTTGCCTGACTCTTGTTTGTTTGTTTGTTTTGTTTTGTTTTTTGGAGACAGAGTCTCACTCTGTCCCCCAGGCAGGAGTGCAGTGGCCCGTTATCAGCTCACTGCAAACTCCGCCTTCCGGGTTCAAGTGATTCTCCTGCCTCAGCCTCCCGAGTAGCTGGGATTACAGGTACCCACCACCATGCCCGGCTAATTTTTGTATTTTTAGTAGAGACGGGGTTTCACTATGTTGGCCAGGCTTGTCTCGAACTCCTGACCTTGGGTGATCCGCTCAAGCTCGGCCTCCAAAAGAGCTGGGATTACACGTGTGAGCCACCGGGCCCAGCCTTCTTGCCCTACTCTTTCAGGAGCTAGGCTGTGATTCTTAGGTGCAGAGGGAGTTTATGAAGTCTATTATCTATTTTATGTACCTATTCTTTAACATGGGAAGTTCATGTATATGTTCTTAGGCAGCATGTGTCTCCCTGCACTCCTGAAGCAAATTGTGTTATTTACACTCAGAAAGAAATAATAACTGAGGCTTTTGTCGGTTTATTCTCTTCCCCGTTCTGTTTTTCCCTTGGTCGAGCACAGAGAGGACAAGATAATTACGGTTTCTGTGCCAGACAGAAATTGAAGGAACATGGTCCCTCCTCGGGGGGGTCTTGGCTGCCAGGATCCTTGTGTGTTTCCCCTTAAAAGAGATCCAGGGAGAGCTGGGTGCGGTGGTTCATGCCGGTAACCCCAGCACTTTGGGAGGCGGCAGATCTCTTGAGCCCAAGAATCAAGACGAGCCTGGCCAACATGGTGAAACCCTGTCTCTACTAAAATTAAAAAAAAAATAGCTGGACATGGTGGCACACGCCTGTAGTCCCAACTACTCAGGAGGCTGAGGCACAAGAATTGCTTGAGCCCGGAAGGTGGAGGTTGCAGTGAGCTGAGATCACACCACTGCACTCCAGCCTGGGCAACAGAGTGATAAAAAGAAAAAAAAAAAGGAGAGCCAGGGAAAGCAGCCTCCTCTGGTCTGTGAGGAGATGAATGAAGGCTGAATGCACTTCCTCCTGAGCACTGGCTGCAGGGTGCCGGGCGTGGGAGACACAGCCTGGCTGATTCTATTCCACGCATGCCAAGGCCTTCCATGACCCGACTGAGTCATCTCTTTGCACAGAGGCAGCTACAGTGGCATTTGTCGCTCTGTCAACCTAGGGTCCTCTGTCTCAGGTGGCCGCTGCTCTCCAGCTAATGGGTGATTATCTGGTTTGCCCCTTGTGGAGCCCTGTCTAAATGGAATCCAATAAAGTCCTTGTAAATGAGTTTACTAGCATAAAACCCGCTCCTGATGTGCTCAAACCCACCCACGACTCTTTCTGCAGAAGCACATTGACTCAGTTGATATTTTATTTAAACAAAGCCAAACAAAGCCCTTAGTTTCTAGTAGGAGCTACCCAGGGCAGTGAACAATCACATTCACAGTGCATCTGTAGATCCGGTTGACTTACCAGCAACAGCTCCATTAGAGGAGGCGATTCTAAGACCACAGGGAGGAAGAGTGATTGCAGGACAGAGGAGGGGAAGGAAGGGCAGTTTGCCAGGGCCAAGGCCCTTCCAGATATTTTCCATTAAATTCCTACAACCCTCTCCCATAAGTATCACTAAGCCAATTTTACAGGTGAGGAAAAGGCACTCAGAATTCATAAAGTGAAGGGACAATATATTATTGGGAAGTAGGGAACTTTGCCATTGGTCTAGGAAGTATTGAGGGGGTTTCTGGAATTTTGGAGTAGCTGCCTTAGATTCAGGGTGAAGGTAAGACAGAAAAATCAGTCCATGACTCTGCCATCCTTCAATGCCGTTATGGAATATTGCTGTAAAGACGAGATTAATGGTGCCAATGGGTGGGGGTCCTTCATGCATTGAGTCTACTCATAGACTAAGTAATCTCCTCATAATTTATGATAGGTTATTATGAACGAAACAGATAATCACTCAATGTGAGAATTTAATTCCCTACCCATGTGTAACTAACTATGGTTCATTCTCAATATATATTTTACCTAGAATTCCATCATTCTTTTAAAAATGTAAAGTGAGAGGATGCTTTGTCTTTGCAGCTTTAAAAAGCCCACACACACACACACACACACACACACACACACACATATTGAAACACCTCTTTCTTTACATCTTGGCTGCTAAGTAATAATTGGAACATCTGCTCATTCCTGAAAATAAACTAGCCCGGCCCAGCCAGCCGTGGAGACGCACAATGAGAAATGTTTTTTCCCACTAGACTATGTCTCCCTGGTACAGAGGGGTTGTGAACAATTTAAATGAAAGTGAATAGTAAAGAAAATCCCTATCCTTTACTATCGTAGTCTCTGCAATCTTAAAAGAGACAAACTGTACAGGAAATAAAGAGAAGGCAAAAGACACGGCGGCAAGATTTCCTTTTGACTAAAGTCTGAATTGAGACTCTGATTCTCTCTTATTTTTTTCACGTTTGTATAATTGAATTTTCTTGGAATTTACAAAGTTACTGTGTTTAAATAAATTGAAATCCCTTTTGAAAGTGATTTTCTTGCCAACTGTAATAAGCTTTTAATTACTTTTCCACAGCCTAGAAACCTCTCTTCTGACACTTTGACAGGGAACACAAACTTTTTTTCCAAAAGCGGAGACAGGATTGCAGGTAAAGAAGTGGCTGTTCAGCCCCCAGGAGTTCATAGTTTATTCGTGTTTATCCTGCACAAGCTACAAAGCAGGGGCTAACTCGGAAGCAGGGCTGACCTCAACTCAGAACTTTTTATGCTCCTTTGCTACTTGCGTGTGTGTGTGTGTGTGTGTGTGTGTGTGTGTGTGTGTGTGTGTGTGTGTGTGTGTTATTGAAAAGTCCTGAATGGCTTTGGGGAGAATAAATCACTTTTCCTTCTTACAGTGTGTCCTCAGTTGTTTTATTCAGCTATGGCTGGTTTAATAAAACAACACAGACTGGAGGGCTTATAAAAGACAGGAATTTCTTTCTTTAAAAAAAATTTTTGTTTTTAGATAGAGTCTCCTTCTGTTGCTCAGGCTGGAGTGCAGTGGCACACAAGCATAGTTTACTTCAACCTCAAACTCCAGGCCTAAAGTGGTCCTCGCGCCTCAGCCTCCTGAGTATCTGGGACTACAGATGTGCCCTCCCATACCTGGCTAATTTTTTCTAGAGATAGGATCTTGCTATGCTGCCCAGGCTTGTCCTGAACTCTGGATCTCAAGCGATCCTCCCACCTTGGCCTGCCAAAGTACTGGGATTACAGGCATGAGCCACTGAGCCTAGTCCAGAAATTTATTTCTTACGGTTCTGGAGGCTGGAGGTATGAGATCAGGGTGGCAGCACTGTTGTATTCTAGTTAATGCCCACTTTTAGGATGGAGACTTCTCGTGGCATCCTTATATAGCAGAAGGGTGAGGGAGCTCTCTGGGGCCTCTTTCATAAGGGCACTAATCCCCTTCATGGGGTTCCACCCACATGGCCTAATCACCTCCCAAAGGCTCCAGCTCCAAATACCATCCCACTGGGGATAGGTTTCCACATATGAAATCTGGGGGGACACAAACCGTGGTGAGTTGGCACCAATGACTACTTCTCATTGTGGAAATAGAGGCCAGTAACCATTAGGCAAATGACCATGTTAGCAATTCTTATGAAGCCAGAACTTCTGTTCCATACCATTTTGCTCTAACTCTTTGATGCGTGCCTGTCTGAGGCAAGAATGCACCTGGGGAATGAGTAGCAGGTTATCATTCCAACTAAAATAATTGATTTCCTCTTGCTCTTCCTTCCTTCCCCCACTCTCCTGCCCAGCCCTCTGGGTCTCTGTCCAGTCACTAATAAAGCTAGGACTAAGGATGTGATGGGGGCTGCCTCCGTCACCTGCCTGCTGTCCTCAGGGATGCCTCATAAGTGGCTTTCTACAGGGTGACACTGCTGTTCATGATCCTTTATGTGGGAATTCATGATCTTCTCTGGGTGAGTTTAGGTAGCATGAAGGGCCTGCCTCTAAGCCCAGTCCTTTCAGGTGACACCACCAAATAAAGATAAGATTAACACATGTTGCAGTCACTCTGTTCCAGGCATCGGACTTTTTTCTCATTTGAATCTTCACCATCACCCTATGAAGTAAGTGTTATTTTTGTCCCTGTTTTACAGATGACAGAACTGAGGTTCAGAGAGGTTAACTGCTTTGCCCAGGGCCACAAAGCTAATAAATGGCAGAGCCAGCATCTGAGGCCAGGCAGTCTGACACTAGCTACTGCTCCAGCAGTCTCCGCGTGAGAGGAATGAAAACGTGAGAGCACAGACCTGACCTCTCCTGGCAGGAATCTAGGTTTCCAAGATGCTGCAAACCCAGGCCGTTGGGATACCTCCTCCCGTGAAATCACAGCACTCCTAACTTTTTTTTTCTTTTTTTTTTTGAGACAGGGTCTCACTCTGTTCCCCAGGCTGGAGTACAGTGGTACAGTCTCAGCTTACTGCAACCTCCATCTCCCAGGGTTAAGCAATCTTCCCATCTCTCCTGAGTAGCTGGGACTACACGGGTGTGTCACCAAGCCTTGCTAATTTTTGTATACTTTTGGTAGAGACGGGGTTTCACCATGTTTCCTAGGCTGGTCTCAAATTCCTGGGCTCAAGTGATCCTCTCGCCTTGGCCTCCCAAAGTGCTGGGATTACAGGCATGAGCCACCGCACCCGGCCACTCCTAATATTTACCAAGTCAGATTTGTATTTGCTTTGCTGTGGACATCCCTGGGAAGGAAGTTAATAGAACTCAATGCTTAGCAGGCATTAGAACAAAAAAAAAATTTTCTTCCTAAGAACCCTTGTCTTTCAGAATTAACACCTGCAATTTGTTGTTTTATCATAAACACTGGGCAGGCCATTCAAATGCTGTTTGGGTTACCATGGTAATTGGAATCCCTCTACTATTATTACACATGAAAAAAATATCAGGCAAGGATGATGGGAGTAGGGACATCTCTAAAAATCCCATATACATTGAATATTAATATTGTTTCTACAATGAAAACAAATCCCTTTCATTATTTAGTCTTAAAATACTCACATATGCATCTGATGTAGACATTTGGTAACTGCAGTTCATCAAAGGCCACAAGAAAATAAACTCTAATATCCTTTTGGGATGAAGAAGATAAAACTGCAATAACAGCTTTGTTGCCCTCTCTTCACACTCATCTCCCTCCCCATCCTCTACTGCTGACTTCCCCTGGGAGTTAACTGGGACAGCCAATATTTAAAAAGCACTGAGTTTAGAAAGTCATTTCAAATCAGAGCTTTCTTTGCATAAACAAGGCAGATGTTAAACCAGGTGCTTTCCCTAAATGGACGTTTTGATCTGTGTTGCAGAGAGTTGTTGGTTTCCATGCAGCGGCAGATGTTGTCAAATGTGTGAATTTGTTTGAATCATGGACCAGGAAACAAACGTGAAGTAGAAGAATTGCCACTCCCCTCATTGAAGCAGGGAACCATCTACATCATGATGTAGCCCCAGAACTCACTCTGATCTGAACCAAACAGAGTGAGGCAAATATATTTTGGTATTTTTACAGTCACAGCGTCTAATCCATCTATCAAAGACTGATTTTGAAGTTTTTTGTTTCTTTGAAATATCATGAAAGATCCTAGGTTCTGATATCATTAAATGGCTACCTGGGGAGGAAAAAGATGAAAATCTCATGATTTTGCATTGCCAGAGTGAAGCCAAAGATAGCACCTGCCTGGGTAGATTGCAGTAAAATGCACACAAACAGGTAGGATTCCAACACTGAGAGGTGTTGGGATGTGTGTGAATTTGAAATGAAAACACATTTTCATTTGGCAGATCCTTAGCTTCTAGTAGCACAGAGATTACACCACAATCCACGGTCTTCCAAAGCTTTCAATTTGACTTGTAAATATTCAAGTCACTTTGAATAACATTTATTAAGGGCTAATTACCCTGAAATGCGGTGGGGAGAATCTGCAAGATTTGATGAAATTGGTGGTTCTCAGATTTACAGTTTATATACCACTATAATTTTTAAGATGCAGGGGTTTAAAATGAAGTTTCTGACTCTTTTGTCAACTAAGATGTCATCACTATATTATCTTTTAAATGAAAGGATACCTTATGAACAATAACAATTTAAAAATATAATGAGGACATAATCTGAGATGAGACTGTCCTTGAAATTGAATAGCTTTAGCTTCCCAAAAACACTTCTTGGTTGTCCTGGGCTTCTCATTTGGCCACAGATTGGACCCATCTTCACTCTGCCTGGGTCCAAAGCCCAGGGTCTGGGAAACTCTACCTTAGATGACCTTTCAGGGTGTAAATGAAAAATAAAATTCTAAGCCCCCAACCATCTGAATAGACCCCTGTCTCTCAGCAAAGAGCATTCCAAACCTAACCTGAAAAACTAGTCTGGGCCATGATGGGAAGGGAGGGTCGGACATGCCTCATTAAGCCCTCTTCCCATTTGGAATTACTGATAGATCAGACTGTTTAAGTCTGATAAGAAACATTTACAATCTAGTCTCTCTCTGAAGTCTGCTACCTGGAGGCTTCACCTACATGATAAAACCTTGGTCTCCACAACCCCTTGTCTTAATCCAGACATTCCTAAGTCTTATAGTCAATAACTTAACTCATTCAACCAACTCCCAATCAGAAAATCTCTGAATCTAACTATGGCTGCCTGCTTCCAGTTGTCCCACCTTTCTGAACTGAACCACTGTGCATCTTACATGTATTGATTGATATCTTATGTTTCCCTAAAATGTATGAAACCAAGTTGTGGCCTGACCACCTTGGACACATGTTCTCAGAATCTCCTCAGGGTTGTATCTCGGGCCATTGGTCACTTGTATTTGGCCCAGAATAAATCTCTTCAAATATTTTACAGAGTTTGACTCTTTTAGTCGACAAGGGTATTTCCAGCTGTCTAAGTCTGTGACTGGAAGGCATGTCTCTGCCCTCAAAGAAAAATGGAAAGACCAGATTTACAGATGGCAAACTGCTGGAGAACAATTCTAGGCAATACAGATGCCAGGAGTGACAGGATTACACAGACTTAATGTTTCAAGCACAGTATGTTTCGTTAAGGGTAAGTGAGGAAGGCTTTATGGGATAGGTAAATGCAGTCAGGTCTCTTAACTAGGTATTTTCTTCTTGGGAGAGATGTGGCAAATGCGAGCATCCCCTTTAGACTGGGCTACTGGGAGGGGCCTCAGAGAGCCCAGGACTGGAAGAAGGCCAGCAGCGTCCCTCAGTGGAGGAGAATGCAAGGTCCAGGTGAATATTTTCATTTAGTTCGTCTTTAGCTTATATCTATCCACCCTGTCTCTCTTCCCCTCTTGTCAAAAATTTTATACTGTCTTTCACACGCAACCATCTGCTCTCCCCGTGGCAAAAACTGTCCATCTGTGGAGCCGTCCGATGGGTTCTTCCTGCTCACTACACAGAAAAAAAGAAAACAATTCACTGAGACCACAGCATTGCAATGAAGAGTTTAATGGACACAAGCCCGGCCACACCACGTGGGAGACAGAGTTAATCCTCAAATCCATATCCCTGAAAATTCAGAGGCTAGGGTTTTTCAAGGATAGTTTGGAGGGCCAGGGAGTCTGCTTCTAGGTGGGGCTGCAGGATGGCTCAGCAGGGTCAGGGTCGGTGGGTTCCGATGGAGCCATGGGTTGTCAGAAACGCAAAAACCTGAAAAGACATCTCAAAAGGCCAGTCTCAGGTTCTACAATAGTAATGTTATCTGCAGTAGTAATTGGAGGAGTTGCAAATCTTAGGACTTCTGGAATAATGGCTGGTAATCCTTTATGTCTATACCTTAGCAGAATTCAGGGTCCTTTCATCCTCCTAACCTGGTGGCCTTTCCTTAGCTTTACAAAGGCGGTTTAGTTTTGGGGAGGCTATTATCATTTAAACTATAAACTAAATTTCTCCCAAAGTTTGTTGGTCCAAGCCCAGGAATGATGAAGGGCAGTTTGGAGATTACAGGCAAGATGAGGATTGGTCAGATCAAATCTCTTTCGCTGTCATAATTTTCTCACTGTTACAATGTTTGCAAAGGCAATTTCATTTGTAGTTCCTTTACCATTTAAAAGCAATTTTTATTTTACATTTTCCTTAGAGATCACCGGTGAAACAACAGCTCGGGGGCTGGAAGAACAGGGAGCTGGATGAAGGGAGAGTGGGCAGGATGGGGAAGGGATATGGGGCTAGTCCCCAGAGCCTGCTCCCTTCCTCAGCTGCTCTGCTCCAGGCCTTTCCTCTCTCCCAAGCCTCTCCATTTCATAGACATAGATTGTTACGCCTGTGAACCACCCGCATCCTCACAGTGTGTTTTTATAGCATTACTGTTTAATTTTGGGGAAATGGACCACTCTAGTTCTCTCTAAACGTGAACTCTGAGCTATTGATCTTTTGGTGTTTGCTCCTGTTTTGTGTCAATAATTGAAATAAATTATAATGTTATTATTGGACCACCAAGTCCATTAAATTATAGTGGGTGTGTCCATGTGCACTTTCAACTATATAGCTATATATGTGCATATATATAACATATATGTATATACACATACTCATGTATGCGTGTTTTGATAAGCAAGTAAATTAAAAGAGTAAGACGGCTCTGATTGGCCCTGTTAATGGAAAACACCTATGAAGCTTCAGACAGAGTTGTCTCAGATGGCAAACACCGAGTTGAACTGAACATTGCCTTGGGTTTAAATTTAGAGAGAGGTGTGTTCACCTAATTGGAGTAGGCAGCAGTTCTTTTAGCCAGCAAATCTGAGCGATGTTAGCTGACTCTGTTGGTAATCTACATTGGACAAGCAGAAGATGATGCCAAAGATGACATTTCCAGGCTGGACTTGTTAGGTGGGTGCCCAGTGACCACTACTGATGGAGAGTTAGTAGTTGGGGAATTCAGAGGAGGGTAAATATTTAAGGAGGTGACGTGAGTTGACTTACAGAACTCATCATCAGTACAAGCACAAGGTTTGTTGAGCACTTACTGGGTGTCAAGCACCATGCTAAGTGCTGTGCATCCATGTTATTGAATCCACACAAAAACATCATGAAGAAGGCTGTGTTACAGGAAAGGGTCCTGATCCAGACCCCAAGAGAAGGTTCTTGGATCTCACGCAAGAAAGAATTCAGAGTGAGTCCATAAAGTGAAAGCAAGTTTATTAAGTAGAGGAATAAAAGAATGGCTACTTCATAGACAGTAGCCCATTTTTATGGTTATTTCTTGATAATATGATAAACAAGGGGTGGATTATTCATGCCTCCCCTTTTTAGACCACATAGAGTAACTTCCTGACATTGCCGTGGCATTTGTAAACTGTCACGGTGCAGATGGGAGTGTAGTAATGAGGACGACCAGAGGTCACTCTCATCACCATCTTGGTTTTGGTGGATTTTGGCTGGCCTCTTTACTGCAAACTGTTTTATCAGCAAGGTCTTTATGACCTGTGTCTTGTCTTGACCTCCTCTCTCATCCTGTGACTTAGAATGGCTTAAGCATCTGGGAAAGCAGCCCAGTAGTTCTCAGCCTCATTTTCCCCTGCCCCTATTCAAGATGGAGTTGCTCTGGTTCAAACACCTCTGACAATTGCTGTTGCGAAACTGGGAAACAGTCAGGGAAGTCAGGTGATGTGCTCAGGTCTCACAGCTGGTCAGTGTGGGACTGTGATTAGATCCCCAGTGATCCTACTCCAGAGCCTGCACTCTTAGCACCTACAAGAGATGCTCCCCAAACCGTGGAGAAGTGGAAAATTCTTCCTAGGCCAAGGGAATAATGTGAACAAAGGCAGGAATGTGCAGTGTCCTCTTTATCTGGCTATCTTCTACTGGTTCTCCTATAATCAATATCGAAATTAGCTAGAAATTCAGCCTTCTCTCCTTTTTGTCCGCCTGTATCCCATCTCTGTTTAAAATCGTATCTCTTTACTCCATCCAGAATTTTACCATTAGGGGCAACTCAAGCCTGTCGGGCAACCGGCACCCGACAAGGCACATCAGGCATATCTATTCCATCTGTTAAATTCCTACGGTTTTCTAGCTTTTAACCTGAGCACACCTCTTAGCCTCTGCTCCTGAGAGCCAGGGAGCAAAGCCCCTGAACACAAGACCAGAACTTGCAACTCACAGAAGTCCAGAAATAGACTCAGCACACTGGAAAATACACACAGCATATGCACAGTGGGGCATATATGGCGTTGTACTGTGTGCCTGAATTGTAGATGTCTCCGCTGTCCTGAAACACGTAGCCTCACCAGATTTTCTGAGCCACAGGCCATGGGCTTTGCTATGAAATTAAGAATTGGCAAAATGTGAACAGTAGTTGGATATTTGACATTGTTATGGTAATATTACTATACTTTTAGCTGTGATAATGGTATTGAGGACTTTTTTTTTTTAAGAGTCCAGGCTAGGCACGGTGGCTCACACGTGTAATCCCAGCACTTTGGGAGGCCGAGGCAGGTGGATCACCTGAGGTCAGGAGTTCGAGAACAGCCTGGCCAACATGGTGAGACCCCGTCTCTACTAAAAATACAAAAAAACTAGCCGGGCATGGTGGCGGATGCCTGTAGTCCCAGCTACTCAGGAGGCTGAGGCGGGAGAATGGCGTGAACCCAGGAGGCGGAGCTTGCAGTGAGTGGAGATTGTACCACTGCACTCCAGCCTGGATGACAGAGCAAGACTCTGTCTCAAAAAAAAAAAAAAAGCAAAAATTAGCTGGGCGTGGTTGTGCACACCTGTAATCCCAGCTCCTTGAGAGGCTGAGGCAGGAGTATCACTTGAACCTGGGAGGCAGAGGTTGCAGTGAGCCGAGATTACACCACTGCACTCCCATCTGGGTGACAGAGTGACACTCTGGCTCAAAAACAAAAACAAAAAAAAAGATTCCTAATCTCTTAGAGGTTCAGATAAAAATAATTTAGTGTTGGGGAGGGAGAGGGGTGGGGGAATGGATGAAACAAGATTCAGGTTCAGAATCAGTAGATGTTGAATCTGGGTGAAGGCTACACAGGAGTTTATACTATCTTCTCTACCTACTTATGTATGTGAAATTTTCCATAATAAAATATTTTTTAAAAAAATATCAGATCTGATTGAAGGAGAAATCAGAGTGGGACAAAGATATCCTTCAGAAGCTACAGTGTGGGCAGCTGCAGAAGAGCTTTTTTTTCCCTACAAAAGACCCAAAGACACTTTAAGCTCCTTGACAAGTGAAGGGCCTTTGATTCTAGCAATTTGTTGAAAATCATCTCCACTATAAGACAAAGTCAAAACAATTATCCACAGGCTGAGATGTGTCCACATTTACACATTTATTTGGGTTTAGAGAGACAACACAGATAAAATACTTGGATCATACACAAGTTTATATTTGGTAGGAAGAACAGGTTGCCACATGTTTGTATATTTTATGTTTTTATTTTTTTCTGTCTTTAGTAATGGAGTAATGTTGGGGGAATGTTGATGTCATTCAGAAACACCAATTTGGGAACGGTAGTTTGGCACACCTAACTAATAAATACACAGTGTTTGCATTTAGCATTTGAGAACAGAAGAGCACGTGCAAAATGATACCCAGTTTGAGGTTCCTCATCCTGCTACTATATTTACACCTGTGCCTTCTTTGTCCATATTCTGAAGAGTAGCAACTACTCCAGTGACCAGCAGAGCCAACACCTACGATTTTGGCAGCTGGTGACACTCCATAATTGGTAACGTCTGTTCTCAGAGACAAAGTGGTGTTCACCTTGCATTTTGTGAAGTCGCACAATTCTCAAAGGAAGTTTCTCAGTAGGGGGCTTAGCTGAGGGCATGTTCTCTATTAGAGCCGATGTGGAGGGCATATAGTTAGGAAAGAGAGAGAGAGAGAGAACAGGAACAGATGCAAATGTAGTTTTCATAATATCAAAGTTCAATACAGCTACCACACAGAAAAAGACATATCAATAATATATTGTACAAGCTTTTACAGAAACACATGTTGATTTGCAACACTGTACAGTTCAGATCTAAAGTGCACAACCCCAATCTGAGGTGACAAGACAGTATTATCCAGATAATAAAGGCAACACAGTCAGAATTGATTTCCTTTTCTTTCCTCACATCCTGTGGCAGTATATGAAGTCCATACCATGTATAGGTCTCAGATAAAGACATATCACACTTGTTTGTTCAAGTATTTTAAATGATAAACACAATATTGCTGTATAAATGAAAATGGCCATGTCAGTTCTGATTAAAGCTAAAACCAAACTTTTCTAAGATTTGTAAAGAATGGGCACACATAAAGACCATGGCACTGGGAATTTGGGCTAATATTAAAAATAATCTCCCTTCTTTCCTCCCTCCCTCCCTCCCTTCATTTCCTTCCTCCCTCCCTCCTTCCCTCCCTCCCTCCCTCCCTCCCTTCCTCCCTTACTCTCTTCTGACCTGATTCCACATCTCCTTTCAAGATGATTTATTAAACTACTGGGACCTACTAGGCTTTTATTTGCTTCCTTCTTTGGGCTACAGTTGGTAAGGATTTCCCTGCACAGGCCTGAGCAAGGCTCTCAGCCAATTTGAAGGAGTACTGGGAAGGGGTAGGGGAGCGGGGAAGAAGAGCTATTGTTGTTGCTAGAATTGTTTTGCTGGAATTTCATATATAGGCACAAATTGTCCTTTAAAATTTTACCATCTCATTAACCTAAAAAGCAGCAGTTTATAATCTAGGATCTGTAACTCAAAAGATAAAGCATCCTGGAGTACAGCAGGGTTGGTTCACCAGGGCACTGGGCCCCACTGTCTTCTCCACGAAGGACAGCAGGTTGGATCAATTAGCATCTCTGTCTCTGAAGTGGAACCTTTGGGCCTGAGGCTCCGGATAGTCGGGCAGCTATGTGCTTATTCTCAGCAGGCAGTTTTGAGAAAGGAACTGCTTTCTAATGCTTTGTCTAATGCTTGGCCATTAGACAAAGCCTAGAATGGAAGGTTACTCCTTCATGAAATTCTGCGGGACAGATGAAAGAGTTTATTTCTGATTGTCATAGTGAACCCATTTGTTTTTCTAGACAGAAAGGGCCCAAAGCCATGTTCATATCAAGTTATCACTGTTTTTGCATATAGCCTAGGAGAAATAATGTAGGGGGAAGCTTATGAAAATTTCAGATGGCTGGATCCTGTGGTTATATTATAGGGCATTTCTCTATGTTATATTGTAGGGCATTTCTACCCGTTGAAGGGCAGGGCCTTCTCTCTTCCCTTGTATACCTGCAGTCTGAGTACTGAACTACCTGGTCCATTCAGAAATGGAGAATGTTCCTAAATTTGCATTTGCAGTCTGCATATCAATCTATTGTTCTCCAATCAGCACTTGGAATCTGACGATGTGTGACCCCATAAATATCTATGGAAGCTTTTGTTAGCTCATGTTTTTCTATCAGGTTCACAGGGAAAGAAGGATGTTTTAAAAATACTATTTTGAATTCTAAGGATCTTATTATTTCTGCATATTCTGGTCACTTTGGATCTCGATGGGAGATGGATAAAGGAAAATCTTAAGATAATGCCTCAAAATCTAGGGTGAGAGGCTCATTTCATGGAAGAAAAACAACCACCCATGGAATATAAAGTAACTATTTTGGGTCCCAGTGGTAGGGAGTCTAGTGGGAGAGACTTTGTGGGGAGGAATGGGGAGGGGATGGAAATGCGCAACTGGCCTGGAGGTAAATTTCTCTTTCCTGGACAGTGGCAATATGGCGCCAGGATGATGTCATTATTGTCCCACAGAGATCTCTTCTCCCAAGGCCAACTTTAATTTTCTGGGCTCACCACATTCTGGGAGTGTGCTTCATTCCTCTTTGCTCAGGCTGATAAGGTTTTATTTTTACTTTCTCTAATTAATTCAAATGACCTAATAAAAGAATACTATTTGGAAGATGCCTCAAGAACTAGCATCAACCTTCTGTTCAAAACAGGCCGAACTGGAAAGCAGAATAGAGACAATTACCCTAATTTAATCTGAGATGAAGCCTGGTTTGTCACGCTTGCAGAGTGAGTCCGCTAAGAGTAAAATGGGTGGAAAACTTAAAGGGGAAGAGAATCTTACTGCCAATGGGATCAATTATTTTAAAGAACTCGCAGTATTCTTTTGTGTTTGTCTTGAAATACTAACTTTAGAGATGTGATAAGCCATAACATGTATAGAAAGAAGCAATAATACCTTTTAAGAATTTCGTGGGTCAATGTTTCAAAATAACTTTGCTAAGTGTTTTATTGTGCCTCCATTAAGAGAAAGGAAAAAAAAATCTGGCTTAGATTTTATATCTGCCCCCGCAGTTTGTATAACCTATATAAAATAAAAATCTATATGTTACAAAATAGGATATCTTTTTTAATATATATATTTTCCTTTTGTAAAATTATATGTATTTAAATACATTTGAAATGTTGCTATAGGTAAATTAGAAATTTTTTTCTAATACTATGAAAAAGGCAAGAGTTTTTATTGTCAACATATATTTTATATTTACTTTGTCCTTTTTACTGCACCCCAAAGAACCTTTTATGATTCAGGGGCAATTTGGCACTATTCAGTCCTACTAGTCTGAAGTGAAAATAAAGTTTGCTTTGCACACTATATTAAAAGTAAGGGAAGTATTTATAACAATTTTAAGCTTTTCCTTATTGATTAGAACATAGCCTTTTGTCACGAATTCTTAGAGAGGTATTCTAAACTTAAGAAAGGACTTTTAAAAGGAGCAATGTCTTTTTTGTTTAATTTTTAAACTCTACTTTGACACCACAATATAGAAATAGATTTACTTTGGAACAAACTACAAATACATTCACACAGTTTGTGACAACTTAATTGTCTACCTAGAGAAGTGGAACAGCTTGGTGAGCAAGGTTATTATAAATCTTGTCCAAGGCGTTCTATTTCTTCAATCAGGAAGTCAATGTCTTGGTGAGTTGCCGCTGGGTTTGAGATGACCATGCGGAAGAAATTGACCTTGTCTCCCAAGGGTTGGTAGCTGACCATTGTGGTTCCATACTCCATCATTCTGGCTTTAATCACTGGAGCCACCTGTGGGACAGACCATATCAGCATGGTGACTTTCTCCTGGGACTCTCCCCTGAGTCAAAGAACCCAACAGCAAGCAGCGTCTTTAGTTTTTAGCTCAACAGTCAGAACCTTATTGTTTTCTCTTGAAAGAGTTACCTCCAAGTTTTCTTGGGATCAGAGAATTAGAACAGTCTAACACATTCAAGATCCTGCAAGTGATAAGAGGAATAATAAGTGATAGACTATCAGCTGCCTGCCACCTTGTCCTTGACTTTCCAGTTAGTGTTTTGGGAGGATGGGATGAATCTAGTATTGGCCCCAAGCTAAATGGGTTAGCAAGACGTTTGGGGGCATTTTCCCCCCACAGTAAATGTAAAAACATTGGAAATAAACAGTTCAGAGGATTGTTACCAAAATGTAAGTTTGAGTGTCAGGTGATATATGAAGATAAGCAGACTTTTGGCAACTTTCTTGAAACCCCAGAGCTTTCTAGTTTCTTTTCGTTCTCTCTTTGCAGTGCCTCACTTTATAAGATATTTTGAAAGATAATCCTTAATAATGATGATAATTAGCTGGGACAAAAAGCTGAACTCACAAGGACTTAACATATGTTTCATATCACAGACAGGATAGCATACCACAGACGAGATTATACTCTATTTATGCCAGATTTTTGATTATAGCCTCAGTAGCTCTCTATTGTATATGAAATTAAGTTTAAACTCTAGTTCAGTGCAAAGACCTTTCATCATCCATTTATGAGGCCTCATCTTCCACCACTTGCCAAAATGAATCTTCAACTCTGACAAGACTCCTTTATTAAATATCTCTTGAATTTACCATATGTATTTTTATCCCTTCACACTTGTCATCAGTGTTACTATGTCATACTTGTTCTCTGTGCTTAGAATCCATCCCTTTTCTCTTCTGGTTCATATCCTACACACACTTCAAGATTCCACCACAGTCCTACAACTGCTATGAAGCCTTTCCTGACTTCTAGTGTCCATCAGTAGCTCTCTTCCTTTAAGCTGTAAACATATCATCCATGATCCTTCCCCATAGATTCTGACTATATGCTAATTTCCTACTATCCTCTTACTTTCAAGCAAATACATTTTCTTTCTCTACCTCAACTGTCAGGTCCTGGAGGGCAGACACAGTGTCTTCTACTGTTTTTGTTGTTGTTCTTTACCAGCACAGTGCTTGGTTCATGTTGGGGGATTCCTAAGTTCTTATTGCTATAAAGAGTAGCATAATAGAAACAGCTATCTAGGAAGAAGCAAAAACTTAAATCATGTCTAACTGTACATACAGTCTATCCACATATATTTACCACTGGAGTTTGTAAATATATAATATCTGATCTTCATTTCTGCAAATGGTAGATAGACATCAGAGAAACTTTTAGACTTCTTTGAGTTTCATATGGTCAGAAACCCGGTTCAAAATGGAGACCATGCCTTCTATCACAGCTGGATTTATCTTAAATAGACAGTTCAATTCAAATGGAATGCTGTTATGAACATGTGACTTATAAATATCAACTCTTAAATAATCATTGGTTTATAATGAAGTTTTCATCTTCAAAGTATCCAATGCATAAAATAGCAATGTTCCCATTGGGTCCAATCATTTGTTAGTTACCAAAGACAAGGTCAACAGGTAGACTTCACCTTCACTTCTCATTCTGAACCTAATTTCCTTCTCTAAAAATGAACGTGGATGATTCCAGCATTGAGATCTTCTGACTCTACATTGAGTTCTTATATCCCTTCCCACCCCTTGTTCCATGGGGAGGAATGTTTCTCTTGGCCTGATCCTTCTTTCACCTAAAGCATTAAGAATGTATGCAGAGCACTGGACTCATCCCAGGGAATAAATAAGAAGAAGAATTAAAATATCTCAAATCTGAGATTAACTTCTGAAAATAGATCTACTAGCATATTCCAGCCAAAGGGGCATGGAATTTATCCTTTGTGTTGTGAGGCGTGTCAAGTCAATGTGGTTCCTGCGAAGATAAATCTCAGATTAGAAAAGGAATTCCAAATCCACTTGGCTGCAGGAATTTAAGGACAAGTCACATAACCATTCCTTAGTTTTATTTGTATAATAAATCACGCTTGCCCTTTAGAACTGATAAAATAATGACAGAGCTTTACTCAGTAAATTAAAGTCTCATTTAGTTTTCATGGGTAATCCAAGCAAAAATACAGAAGAATGGCACTAATTATTAAGGACAATCATCTCTAGCTTTTCAGATGAATGCAAATCAAAGGTTAAAAGATTAATGCTAACAGCCACAAGCAAACAGATTTGGGCATAAAGTAAGATTGAATCCCCTCAGTTCCCGAAGCAAGCTGAATTGGCAGAAATCACAGCTGTCTAAATACATATGACTTTTGGTTGCTTCCAGAAAATGCTGATGAACTAAAATTAGCCGGAACATGAACATCTACTTCGTTGTATATTCACTCATTGCAAGTTAAGAAGGAAAATAAGATTCGGACTATTCTGATGAATATATGTGATCTGTGGGGCCAAAATAGACACTCCTATATCAACTAAGATGGGTCCAGGGTTCAAGGCCTGGCTGGAGGGCAAATTACTAAATTCCTAATGATTGAAATTCCCTAACAATAGGCGCTATGAGACCCCCTCCTTACCCTGATTTACTAACCAGACCACTATAACTCTGACTAGACAGAAGACTGACCTTACACACATTCTTTCCTGGTAAGCAATTGCAGACCTTAAGCCAGTTTTAGCAGCTTATAGATGCGGTGCACAAACTGTGTTTATGTCCTACAGTTCACCTTTTGACATGAAGAGCCAAATTTCACCTCATTCTAACACTAAAACCCTGCCCCGAAGTAAACATGGGATGTATGTTACATATATGTTTACTCATTCTGCATGTGCTCAGCTCCCCTCATAAATATGGATAGCTTTCCCCCAAAACCTACTGAATATGTATGACTCTACTGTGTGATACAGGCCCTGTGAGGCATAAAACCCAACCTGCCCTTCCTCTCTTGGAAGAGAGGGCACCTTCCACACATGCTGGAGGCTGTCTCTTCCCAGTTTGCAAACTGATATCATCAATAAAGCTCTCCTTTCTACTATCTAGCCATCCCAGTGGTCTTTTGGATGAAATACATAGAGATTTCACTTATTTCTAGGCTTTTGTACTTTTTGGTTGGATTCCTAGTTTTCCTAAATAAAGAACGCAAGTTGAGAAAGAGTGGTTGCATGTTGAAGAATTCGCTAAAGGTATAGTCAACAAGAGCTCTTTGGGCCTGCCTTAATAATTTTAGGGTATTGTCTTCTCTCTTGTGCCATTAGCTTTTTCAGTCCTTTAGAAAGCAATAACCAGGCGACTTTTCCATAATTGGAATCCACATTTGTCCCTTTCAAAGAGGGTGCATAGTAAAGCATTATGAAATAAACTTAAAAGATATCACAGAAATGTATTTTTCACTATGTCTTAGAAAACCTCTTTGTTTTTACATTTTGGAAGACTGCGAGAAATTTCTGAAAAATGTAAAAGCAGAATAATTAAATGAGAAATTCTAAACTGTTGGCTAGGCTTGGTGGCTCATGCCTGTAATCCCAGCACTTTGGGAGGCCGAGGTGAGCCGATCACTTAAGGTCAGGCGTTCGAGACCAGCCTGGCCAACATGGTGAAACCCCGTCCCAACCCTGTCCTGACCAAAAAATATAAAAATTAGCTGGGTGTGGTGGTGTGTGCCTGTAATCCCAGCTACTCGGCAGGCTGAGGTGGGAGAATCACTTGAACCTGAGAGGTGGAGGTTGCAGTGAGCCGAGATGGCACCACTGTACTCCAGCCTGGGCAACAGAGTGAGACCCTGTCTTAAAAAAAAAAAATTCTAATATGCGAAAATTTCACCAATTAAATCCTCTATTGCACTTAATAACACAGACTTTCAAAGAGTCTGTATTAAATATAAGTCCAGGCTACTTCCTTACAAATTTAGTATTAAATCCACTGCTAACCTTTGAAAAGTCCTCCAATCAGTGTAGGACTATAAAAGCTGACAGAACCAGATAATGATCAAGAATAAAAAAAATTAAAATAAGAAGATAAAGAACCAGAAACACAAGAGGTGATCAATAGACCAGCCCTTTTGATTCTTGTTTGGTAAACATTGGCACAGCCCACTTGCTGCCCCTCCCTGTGTCCAAGGCATGTGTGTGGCGTCACATCCTCATAGTGCCCCAAGCATTCATCATCTGCACTGCCTCAGGGACAAAGCGCCATCTGCAAGATCATAGTCCTGACAGAGCAGCAGGAAGCACACTGACTGGATTCTCGTGTTTACCACCCTCATGAAGATATGACTGTATTTGCTTTATTAATAACTTCTGTTATCCAGATATTTGTCCCCAAATAGTGCACTCTGGAAAAAGGCTTATGAGCCACTATTAGGTTTCCTAAATGTTGTTTCCCTTCCTTATTCTGGAATATGCCTAAGGTATTTGCTATAGACTGAATTTTTCTGTCCTCCCAAAATTTATATGTTGAAATCTTAACCCCTCAATGTGATGATATTAGGAGATAGGGCCTTTGGTAGGTGATTAGTTCAGGAAGGCACAGTCTTAGGGACCCCAGAGAGCTCCCTTGACCTCTTTCTGCCATGTGAGGATACAGGGAGAAAAAGGCCATTGACGAACCAGGAAGTAGGGGTTCCAGCAGACACGGAATCTACTGGCACCTTGATCTTGGACTTCCCCGCCTCTAGAACAGTGAGAAATAAATTTCTGTGCTTATAAGCTACCCAGTCTATATTAGTCTGTTTTTGCAGCTCAACCACGCTAAGATACAATTTTAGCTCAACAAACGATTTTTGAGTTCCTATTGTGCACTACAGCTATGAATCAGGCAAGATGGTACAGAGTAATTTCTCTGCCTTGTCTTGTCCAGAATTTAACTTTGTTCTTTTGGTTCACATAAACTGCACAGGAAACTCTGCATTTCCCCAAATTTTGAGTCTATATCGGCCTGGACCAACAGAACTCTGTGCAGTGATGGAGATGTTCTATATCTGCACTGTCCCATAAAACAGCCATTGGGCACAAGTTGAGTGACTGAAATGTGGCTAGTGTGATTGAAGAACCAAATTTTTGGTTGAATTTAATTTTAATTGATTTAAATTTAAATATGAATAGCCACATGTGGCTATTACTACCATACTGGACAGCATAGATTATTTCACCTCAGTTCTTTTCCCTCTGGGACTGTGTGTGTGTGTGTGTGTGTGTGTGTGTGTGTGTGTGTGCATGCGTATGAATATTTTACTGGTTCCTGGACATGATACTTTAAGGGCGTCACACTTAATAAAGAACTTTCCAGAAAGTCTGAAAAAATCATTGGCATACGTGAACAAAAGTTAAACTTGGTATTCATGTGGTTCTATTTTCATTTCCAAATCTGAATTGCTGAATTCTCTTGATTACAGTAATAAAATTGGAGAAAAATCAGGAGAATTCATTCTGCAATCCCCGGAGATTTTCATATTTGAATTGTCAACAGTATAAAAACAGTTTACTAATATTCTAATTGCCATCTCCAGGAAATAATCTCCATCCCCATTCTTCATTACAGCTCATATGAGGTGCTGAAACCTAGGAGGCATTTGAAGAGTGATATTTAAAAGGGGGAGCCTCCAAGTTGACTTTTGTTCAGAAAATGATGAAAAAAAAAAGTTTTTATTCTGTATTCCCATCTTGCTCCATCCCTCAGCCCAGTGATAATGGACTGATTCAACAAATGAAATCAGCCAAACTAGTCCATGGATTCTCTTTCTGGCCAGTCAGTTCAATAAGGAAGTGAAAGCCAAAAAGAATGGAGGCATCTAATTTCTAACTGGTTAAATAAGTCATTGTTAAGAAATTTTACATTATGAAGGTATACCATAAAAATTCCAGGAAAAATAAGAATTTTTTCCTCTCAAATGACAGCAGACACCCGCACCCCCTATTCTCGTTGTTATTGCCTGCACCGATCATCTTATCCAATGCGACCTCTACTCATTCCCTCCCACCCTGTGGGCTTGATTTCCTGGAATGAACCAACTTCACGAAATCATCAAACACAACCACAGCCCCTTCCATCTCAGACACATGCACCACGGATCCTGGTTCTAGAAGCTTTCTTCCATTTTTTCCTCTAGATCAGGGGTTCTCTAGCTGAGGTGCACATTGGAATCATCTAGATAACTTCCAGAATCATTCCCAGGCCCATCCAAGCACAATCTGATTACATTTTCAGGGTGAGACCTGGTCACTAGTGTCTTTTATGAAGTTTCTGGATGATTCTAATGTATGGCCAGGATTGCAAATCACTACTCTAATTAGGAGGCTTGGTTTAAAGACCTCAGCCATATGGAAGTTTCCTCCCGATGAGGAGTTTGATCTTGGGTTGCTTAAGGACAGATGTTAACACATAAAAGCTTTAGTGAAGGTTTTATATCTACACAAAATCCTCTTCTTCATTTTACGTAGAAGGAACTAAAGTGTTCCCAAAGGTCAGTGAGACAGCCCAAGCTCCTGAGCAGTGAGGGGACAGCCTGCGGGGCTCTTGGCAGTGACTGGAGGAGGTTCCCTCTTTTATGATAAATGAAAAGAACCCCCAAACCAACCAAATCAACTCTGAGATCCAAGTCTACATGACCATCCCTAGTTTCGAATGGGGGACAGGTCCTGCATATACCCCGCTTCGATGTGCACTGTAAACCCCATTTCACCCATGTATAAGTGCTGGGAGCAGGAGAGGATGAAAGATTAATGGTGTCTTACCACAGTACCATTTAAAGCTCAAGCCCTTAGGCTCGGATGCAGACTTTCTGCGAGATTTTGGGAGTTACATTTTCTCCCTGTGGGTCAGTTTCTCCATCAGCAAGATGGGTGGACAATCCTTCCCATGTCAGGTTGCTCTGAGGCTTTAAGTGACCTAACACCTGATATTGAGCTGGGACACAATGCACACTCAAAACAGTGGCTGTTATTATTGCTCTTTGCCCTCTTACCTTCTAGGGGTCACCACAGCTCTAAGGACACACCCAGGGTAGCCTTGACCTTGGCAGCTCAAGAGGGTCAGCAGCAGCGTTGTTTGCTAACCATTTCTGGTACCTAAA
Source organism: Homo sapiens (assembly GCF_000001405.40). Taxonomy (NCBI): domain Eukaryota; kingdom Metazoa; phylum Chordata; class Mammalia; order Primates; family Hominidae; genus Homo; species Homo sapiens. The sequence continues at coordinate 26,293,651 of NC_000010.11, read as the reverse complement.
GTCTCTTTTGTGCTTGTAACTGAGCACCAGTTTCACTTGGAACATCAATGAACTTCAGCAACGTCCTTGTTGCTTTGTGAATGCCAGCAAAGGTTATCGCCTGACTACTTCTTTCAAGACATCATAAACTCACTCTCAGAAAACAAGCAAATAGAGTTGTTAAAAGTCTGCATAGGCCGGGCACAGTGGCTCATGCCTGTAATCTCAGCACTTTGGGAGGCCAAGGTGGGCAGATCACCTGAGGTCAGGAGTTCGAGACCAGCCTGGCCAACATATTGAAACCCCATCTCTACTAAAAATACAAAAATTGTCTGGGCGTGGTGGTGAGTGCCTGTATTCCCAGCTACTCGGGAGGCTGAGGCAGGAGAATCGCTTGAACCCGGGAGGTGGAGGATGCAGTGAGCTGAGATCACGCCACTGCACTGCAACCTGGAAGACACAGTGAGACTCCATCTCAAAAAAAAAAAAAAAAAAAAAAAGAAGAAAAATGTCTGCATATATCAGGCTCTATATGTCCTGGCTCTGTAGGAGTCCACAGACGGGAATGGGCCCATGTACCCAGGTAGGCTGTCTCCTAAGGCCACAGGCATATGTCATAAAGAAGATGTGCACATGAAAGGCTCAATACACACATGTATCAGAGGAGCTTGGAGCACTGACCTTCGAGAGGCGACTCATTCTCTCTTCATTGTCTTCCAGAGTACGCAAGCTTGGAGGAATGTACCAGAAGCAGACATTTGTGTGCTGAGGCTACAAAGAGGAAAGGAAGATTCACATTTGGCCCAGGCTGGCAATTTTGAAAATTCCAAGAACATTTCAAATCGATGTATTCAGCAGGTTCAGAACACAATTCCCACTTTTCAATCAGGAATTGCCATTGGAGGGCATGATTTTGACAACGTTATATGGACCACTTTGAGAGTTTCGTCTTTATTCCAGCTTGGAATAGCTACCCCGTCATCCACTGCTCCCCTCTGTAATCGTCCCACTTACCTGGACAGCACATCATTTACATCATATCAGTGATGAGGGTTGGAATTGACTAAACTTTCTGAGATTGTAGAAATCCAAATACATACCTTCCCATCAAACACCATCTCATATCCTTCTCGGTTTTTTATGATGTTGTATAAATACTCTGCCAACTCCAAACATTTATCAACATGCGCTTCAAACCCGGTAGTCCCCTAGGTAAGAGAAGGACACAGCTCATTAAGCAGGCTAAGAGTGCGGAGGAAGCGATTTCCCTGGAGACTGACCGTCATCCTGCCGTCTCTGTCTTAGCCCCGTCTGGCACTTTCTCAACACAAGGCTGTTTCCAAAGGCTTTTTCAGCGCTATTTTCTCTTCAATGCTCTCCCCGTCAGGTGCTTTTGTTCCCTTTCATTACTGCTTTCTACACGGAACTCCTTTTCTTCCAGAGCCTCCATTCCCCAGGCAATTAGTTTGACTACTCAAGAGGAAAATGTGCCTCTGCTATTCATAGGAATAATCATGGAAGTCATTAATAACAGGAGGGCTGAGCTACTCTCTTCCTGCAGATAAAAAGCATCACCAGAGACCCCCCAGAATGCCTGCTTAGTTCCCCTCCAACGTGCACATTTTCCATTCCCAGAGCCCATCTTTGTCTGCCAGTGTACCTGATACAGAAAAAATTGGGTAGGTGCTCACTGACTTCATTGAACAAATGGATGCAGGAATTTTAGGGAGCACCCAGATGCTTTGTTAGCCTGTCGAGCTCTGTACAGTTCTCCTTTGGGGGCAGATAAATGACTCACGTGTCTGTAATGGGTGAACATTATCACTGATTTCTTTTAGTTTCTGGCTCTGGAAGCTCTGAATCCAGACTTGGGAAAACCAACACAACAGTCTTGGACTGGAGCTGTTTAACTGACATCGGGACACACAAGAGAGTTACTTTTCAAAATGGCTTTCCTCTTATCTCCTTGGGTGTTTACTGGGTGCTGATGGAGAAAGCTTAAGAGTAAAAGCCAGTGCTCATCTCAGAAGCACTTTGAACCTGCCTACCAGTAACTTCTCCAGCAGAGAACCTAGAGAAAGCAATTGTAATGGAGATGAGATGGGCCCACTTGCCTGTTTCATACAAGATCACATCATCTCAGCTAAGGGGGCCCAACATAGCCCAGTGACTTGTGACATCTGAAGCAGGTTTAAGAACAAGCTGCCCTGGAGATATCAAATGGGTTCAGAAATTCACTTCTTTGGAGACTGCTCCCCCAGGTAATCGGCTCAAGGAGGCTGATGGGTTCCTGATGCCTCCCCAAGAAGAGCTTGGGCTGATGCCTGATGCTTGGCCAGCACCCATACCAGGAGCTCTCTGCATCTATGGGTGCTAAGGAGATTATAATTGGTTTGGAATGACCTGACAGTTTGGGTTCACTTGGGATGGACTGTAGGTAGAAGTGAGGGAAGCTAATTGCTCTTCTCCAACCTGGATCCTTTGGACCAGTCTGGAGTTGGGTTTAAACTTTTGCATATCTGATCTAGGATATGGCATGACCAGCTTGCCTCTGACCCTGTCCAGATGAATGGCTTTGGCCAACTCTCTGATCAGATGGGAATGATGATGCCTCTCTGATTTCCCATGAAGAAGAGTTTGCACTGCAACAGCAATGGGATTACTAAAGACCTCTGGTTCCCCTGGTCTGGGACCTTGCTATGGGGATGATCATGGGCCATGTGACTGCCCCTTTAGTTGGGGGCTAAAGATATACATGGGGAATGACACAGAAAACTCTAGTGTGCCCTGGGTGCCTCCCGTTCATATTGAATATTTATGGGATTAAGATCCACATTTTATTTTCAAGGTTTTGAAGGCTTTTAGGAGATTCTTCAAAATTCTTTCATTCATTAAATACTTCAGCAATCTCACCATCCAAGTGTTCAGCTGCTGCCTCTATGTGGTCTTGGGGTTTGACATCTTGAGAGCTGGTCATGATCATTCTCCACTTCTTGAAATGCTTTTATAAACATTCACAGGCCCCAGAGACAGTGCTTTTGAAATAACTACCGAATCCCTTGCTGTTATCTCAATTTTTGCTGCTATCACCCTAGTTCAGGCTCTGTTACTTTTCACCTGGAACATAGCTCCCAAGTCGCCCTTCAGTCAATTAGACTTTCCCTCACTTTCATAATATGCACTGAACTCCTGCTCAACCACTCCGTGGAATGGCCTTCTCACAGCACTGCTGGGTGAAATCCTACTTCTTCTACCTATCCTGTTCAAGTCCTATCTCAAAGGTCATCTCTTTGTGAATCATCTTGATTCTTAAACCAGGAATGAGCTCTCCGTCCTTTAAATTCCCCAGATGTGTCTGGATTTCTTTTGTGATCAGTCCTAATCTGTCTTTTATGATGGATTTCTGTGCATTTATCTTATCTTGTCTGGAAAATGAGAGCCTTCTTATCCCATTCAGTACTAGACACGATAATAGATGCTGAATATCTACTTGTTAAAATAAATTAATATTTTAGAGAGAAAGTAAACATTCATTTTCAGCAAAGGATGCCAGATGTCCATTTCCCTTTAATATTTTTTTCCTGGTATTTTTTTTCACAGCCATTTGCCAGTCCCTCTGTTATCCACATTTTTAATTAGAAAAGCTAATCATAAAAAAACCACAAGGAAAACTGACTATTTGTATGACTACATACAAACACAGAGATTTGCTATGAAACCTTGGTTGTTATAAATGAAGTTATTCCTGCAGGCCTGAAAAGGGAATGTAGGAGAATCGCTTGAACCTGGGAGATGGAGGCTGCAGTGAGCTGAGATCACGCCACTGCACTCCAGCCTGGGCAACAGAGCAAGACTCCATTTCAAAAAAAAAAAAAAAAAGGTGGGGGGGAGATGTAATTTTAAGTTTATTTACTTATTTTTGTTAGCTACTGAGTTTTAGCCACCGTAGAAATCTGTCAACATTGGGAAATAATCATTAGGTCCTAGGATTATTTAATAAAATGCAGACAAAATGAAAGGCCAACTCCGTAAGAGGAGAGTCAACGGTAGGCACTGGGCCTTTGCTGATGATAATAAAAATCCATATCTTAACCAGCTAGTATGCCGCTTAGCAACCTAAATCAGGGGTCTTATTTTTTGCATAAATTGGTTCTAATCAAGTTAATTTGGACTTAATATGATGGCTGTCATCAGTGCATTTAGCTCCATTAGTCATTAGCAGATTAGTTCAAAGAATAATTTATACTTAGGCTATTTCTCATGGGGTTTATCTTAGGAGAAAATGTGGAAAACACCGAATTCTCCAGGCATGTCTGACAACAGAGGGTTTAGTGAATTAATGCTATGTTCTTCCTCCTTCTCCTCCTTAATCTTTTCCAGATTGTTTCCTCATTCCTGTGGGGAGGCAAGATTCAACATCATAGCCAACTCTTTCATGGCTCTTCTTGCGGGAAGAGGATGACTTCTTCCTTGGCCAGTGTGGCTAGAGAGAGAGCTTTGCTGTGAGAGTACAATTTTCCTCACCTTTGATCTAGATTGTAGGACTTAGCTTATTACTTTAATAATGATTATCATTTCGTTTTTCAAAAAAAAACTCACAAAGGTTTAGATTGAAAAACAAAATGGAAGTTTTTGCGGCTAGATGTCTAGATACTTGCGGTGTTTCCACAAGTAAGTAAAAGAATAAGTAACACAGTGGCTGTGATTTGCTCTTTTCATCCCCTTCCCTGGTGCCTTCATGGGGCTCTTGCTTTTATTTTGGGCTTCATCTGGTCCTGCTGTTCGATTCACACCTGATGCCCTCCATATTATTTCTCTAAGAAACTGTGCTGCCCCTGCTGGAGAGGAGGCTTCAGATGGAAAGGGAGCAGCAGAAACTGATGAACCATGAGAGAAACGTTTTCCTATAAATATCACTGATGATCATTACCGTAATAAAAACACCACAGGGGAAAAAAGCCACAAAGAATGATACTTGAAGTAAGAGAGAACTTGGCACAATATTCAGAGATCAAGGTTTCCTCAGCTTGCTACCTGATATTTACATTCATCATTTTGTAATTCCCACCAATCAATGAAATGAAAACCCTGCTCATTTTAAAGCTGCTTGGAGGTACATCAATACTTTACATTCTTGACTGCTTTGGGTTTTTCTTCCAAATGAAAGTGTCATTGCTAGCAGAATGAGTCTCCCACTAGGTGGTGGGGACCAGATACCTGTCCTTGTTGGGCTGTCAATTTTCAAAAGAGGAAGGGGGCCCGTCACCCCACCATTACCAGGCAACACAGTGGAGCTTCACTTCATGTAAAGCTCCTGATATTTAGCTTCTTGTAGCTGCCTAATATTTAGCAACATGTAAAAAGTTCAGCTGGAGTAAACAGTATTAAGGAGGCTTCCCTGAAGGATGTACAGTCCAGCCATCCTTGGAAACCACTAAAGAGTTATTTCTTCTTTAAGCAAGACCATCTTTCTGTTTAAACTGCATCTTTTTGCCAGAATGGACTTAAAGGAGATTCCATAAAATATTTGTGGGTCACATTGCTTCACTCGAAAACTCCCTCTTTTTCTTGTTAAGAATCCCATCATCTAAACTGCTTAAAGTAATTTAGGTTACTTTAAAAAAATTATAAACAAAAGCATAAGGAATGCATTGCCGTGGACATGGTTCCTACCTTTTTACACAGACTTGTGGAAGAACCCATTCACTGGTCTTATCCTGGTATACTTCCCTCCTGCTGACCAAGTTATTTGCTTTTTCTTATGGGACTGAGCATGTTACCTCTTTAAGTAGGCTATTTACACACCTTAGAGCCAAATGTATATCCACTCCACCAAGCATAAAGGACCTCATGGTATCCCAGATTTCCCTTGTGAATGTTGTTAGAATCAAAATGGAGTCACTAATGCTAAGAAAATCCTGATAGATAGAGCCAGGGAAAACCATGAAGAGAGGGTTCTCATGCCTTGTATACCAGATAACAAAAACTGTCACATAAGACTGCAAAAATGGCAACCTTGCTCAAAGGCCACCACAACCTTACATACAAAAAAATACTTCTGCAAGGACATCTGCCTAGCAATTGCCTATCCAGCCTCGGACTGGCATCACCCTTGTTATTGATCTTTGTAGCCAAGGATATTTATCTCAAAACAATTATGTAATCTTCCTCATTTCTTCCTTTAAAAACTTTTGCCTTCCTTTACCTCCTTTGAATGTGCATAGAGTTTACTATGGCACATGTATTCCTATTGCAATGCTTTATTTCCAAATCAACATCTTTTCTCTTAGAGAGACTCTCTCTGTTATTAAGGTTGACACCTTTAATCGCCCCCTTTCTCACTTTCTTATGTCAGGTTTCCTCGAACTCTCTTTTTGCATTGGAGTTTCTATAGTATATACAGCTGGCTCTGTCTATTTATCTCCTACAGGAGACAAATGAAGCCGGATGGGCAGGCACTAATTTGTGACCTTTAAGTTAAGAATCTGGTCAAAATTAAAAATAAAATCTTTGACCTATCCAGCCTGCTTACATTTAAACATAAATGTAGGCTCCTGGAAAGCTACAATTAAGTCTAAGCAAGTCCTGCACACTGTTAGTTAGTGAGTTTTCCTTGCTGAAAAAAGGAGGGATCACCTACAGCTAAATTCAGAGGGAAACTCAGAATCTACATAAAAGGAGGTGATTAGGTATTTTGGGAGATTAGGGGGAAATAAAAAGCTTTGTAACTAGAGGTTATCCCTTGAAATGTCAAAAAATAAGCTATCATGGTGGGCTTTTTACTTTTTCTTTTTTGTTCTCCAGACCTATACTTTCAGATTGCATTCACCTACCCAGGTGATCAATCACTGGGTAAAAACCAAGTTAGCAGACAAAAGCCAACAACAATAACAATAAACACCTGTTAAAATTCAAGGTGTTCTGCTATATAAAGCAAAATGGATTTGTTTTCCAGATGAGTGAGCATTTGAATCAATTTGGCTAGAAAAGAAACAAACAATGGATTTGACTATATTTTTCCTCATGTCAAATGAAGGTATTTAGACGCAAGTTTAAAGAAAGCAAATCTTGGGTAAGGAAATTTCAATTTGGAAATCACTTTTTTGACATTTCATAATGGGGTCACCAGATAAAGGTTCTGTTTTTAGTTGACATTTAGCTGGTCCATACATACTCACCTTTGCCCTCCACATCAGCCATAGTTTAAAAACATCAACGTGGCGTCCGCACTGTAAGGCCTTGTCTCCAGTGTCATAGGACAGGTCATAATGTTTATCTTGCTGAAAGAGGTAGGAGGCATGCATTTGGTTGCAATTCTGCATCAATCCCTACAAGAGAGAAGAGAAAATTTAGGAAATTCTACTGACTACTTATTAGATTTATATTGGTAAAAATTAATAAGAAAAAAGAAGTAAGAGACATTGCATATCTTAGAGAAAGAAAACAGTAAGAATCAATTTTAAAAAAAAGAATGGGGGCAATTCTGGACAGGAGTGTCTAGGTTGTTGTAATGGTCAACTCTGTGGGATCAATGGCTCAGGGTCAAATGTCACGGAGGTTAGCAAGGACACATTTATACTTTTACTCTCCCTTTTAAGAGAAGGCATTTATAAAAATCAACTGATAAATAAAAATCACAACCAGAGCATATATTTATATTTAAATGTTCCCCTTCTTTGGGAGAATATCCTACTATTCTGGTTTTGTCATGATTAAAATATTTTGGAAACTCTTTGGTTTTGTGAAATATTATTAGTGTGGTTCTTCCAGTATTTCCATCCATATCTAGTTCAAGTACTTTATCATTTAGCTGTTAGGGAGTTTGAGCTCCCTTTGGAAATCATAGCTTTTAAGGCAGCTCATTGCTATCATTTTTATATGCTAAAATCTAAAAAAAAAAAAAACCCACATATTGCAATTTTGAGGTGAATTTAAATAACCAATCTTTCAAATGTCATATTCCTCTCTCAAGAGTGGTCAGAGCTTCAGTCCTGCATTCGCATACTCAGTTCCTTGAGATAGATAAGTGGAAAGTTTCATCGTCAATGGCCATTCATTTGCCCTGGCACTGTAACCTTACTATGGAAATGGGTGGCAAAGTGATTGAATTATTCCAGAGAATAGTGACTGAATCATGTTTTCCGACTAAAATAGTATCGACAGTCTCTTCACTAAAAACCCCGTGTTTCAATTTGTCATGAAACACTGGAAGCCTTTGACTATTTTGTTCTCTTCTGTCTAATTGTGATTTTACAAAAGCTTTGGCATTTGGTTTTGTTTCTTTTGTGACTCACGACAAAAGAAGACAAGACTAAAGTGTCATCACTTAGTTGAAGTTAAAACTGAGAACACTTCTGAAAACTGTCCACACTAAAACACAATGCAATGCAACTACAATTTTAATTTGGTTTTGAAAGACGGAGTGCTGAAATGGTAGACAACAGAACTGGACTCTACCTTGTAGTTTAGGCTTCACATATATTGGAATCCTTTCATTATTTTTCAGAATAAGAAAAATTAAATACGATGTATTTGTATTAGATCAGTAGAAATATACTGAACTCAAAAAAGAAAATTCACTTGAAGACCAATAAGGTGAAAATTTGCAACACTCACTTTTATTTGGTTTCATGGTCACAGAAACTTTGTACCATTATTCCTCAGGCCATGCAAGCTCACACCTTCGTGCCATCAATACTAAGGAAGACCACCTCAGAGAGTGTGGAATGCTGAATGGATCAGACCTATTCCTACTGTGATAAAGAAAACAACTCAAAAACACATGAGCCCTAAAAAACCTGGATGGCCGGGTGCGGTGGCTCATGCCTGTAATCCCAGCACTTTGGGAGGCCGAGGCGGGTGGATCACAAGGTCAGGAGATTGAAACCATCCTGGCTAACACGGTGAAACCCCATCTCTACTAAAAATACAAAAAATTAGCTGGGCGGTGGTGGGTGCCTGTAGTTCCAGCTACTGGGGTGGCTGAGGCAGGAGAATCGCTTGAACCCAGGAGGTGGAGGTTGCAGTGAGCCAAGATCACATCACTGCACTTCAGCCTAGGCGACAGAGAAAGAGACCCCGTCTCAAAAAAAAAAAAAAAAAAAAAAAGCTGAACAGCCGCAGTCTCATTACTGTACAACATGACAAGCAAAAGTGATGCTGTTTTCCCTACAGAAGGCCTTAGTGAGATGATATCCTGGTTCTGAGCCATGAAAAAGTTATAGACCATCCTGTCCCAAACTATTTAAAACACATTAAAACACATTAATAGTTGCTGTACATAAAGAGATTCCCGTGCTCAAATAAATTTAGGAAACTCGATATCATCTAGTCTTTCTTCTTAGATACTGCAATAATTATCAGCATATTAAGGGCCCCAGTAAGCCCTGAAATAACATAAGTTGTTTTTAACTCTAAACCAATATATCCCAGCCTTTTTAAAACTGAGAACTCTCTTATTGGGGAACTCTTATTACCATCTTATGGAACAGCATTATTCCTTGGATGCCAATAAACAAATGCTGTCAGAGCATCATAAAGTCTTGGATTTGTAAGGGAATTTAGAGCTCGTTTACTCTATTCCTCCTCAATAAAGGAATCATTTCTACACCCTTACTAATAAGTGGCTGTCCAATCTCTCTATTTAATCTCCTCCCCTTATTAACTTATTCCTATTGTTGGACAGCTTAATTTTTAGAAGTATTCCTTTTATTGAACCCAAGTCAGATGTTCTGATTTTGCTGTCAAATCTCTACCACCTGGTGTTACTAAACCAGCTCCCCACAGCCTCAACGGTAACATCAAATTGCCAGTCGGTAGGTCCTTCTGATGCAGTCATCTAATCATTTCCAAATCTCTTCCATTTGAGAGTCCTTTAAATGGTGAAGGCTGCCATCCTCCCTTCAGCCCTTTTCTTTTCTTTTCCTCTCTAGGCTAAACATCTTTAGCTATTTCAATCATCCCTCTTCCACGTTTACCAAATGGTCCCCACAGTTTGGGCTCTAGCTTGATGGAACCCCATGGACAATTTGGTACCAAGCTAAGCAGAGCATGGCAGGTGTGGTTTAACTAGAGGAGGGTGGGAGACCACCACCTTCTCATGCTGAAATTCCACTTGCTGTAACTCATTAATGTATTTTGTGTGGCATTTTTCTCTTGACTCGTTGTTGACCCTGTAGAGCTGATATCCTTTGCCTTTTTCACAAGTCCAACAATTTAGCTGTAGAAACAAGCCTTCCTTGTCCAATCAAAATACAGCCACGGTATACATGGACCTAAGAGCACAGCCTTACAATGGTCTCCAATAACAGTGTCCCTTTTTGGATGTGGCTTACTGCTCCAGTCTGTAAAAATCATCTTGTATTCTGATTCCATTCCTACACACATTTACTCTACCTCCCAGTCTCCTCTCATCTGAAACATTAATAAGCTTCTATGTTTTACTCAAACAGTCCGTGAATATTTCGAATGCTACAGGTTAGGTACCAAGCCATAGGCTCTATCCTGGGTAACATCAAATTGCCAGTCAGTAGATCCTTCCAATGCAGTCATCTAATCAGTTCCAAATCTTTCTATTTTCCTCCGGCTCGCATTTCCCTTTTGGTCTGTAAGGACATGATGGGAGCCACTGTCAAAACATCTGGCTGAATTCTAAATAACAAAAATTTATTTTCTCCTTTGAAGTAATTATAGTTGAGGTCTCATGCCCTGCATGAGCTGGGGCAGATGATAATACATTGGACTGGATTTTTAACTGATGAAAAACCAGTCCAAAAGGATATTTTCCAATGCATTCATCTCATTTTGAGGGGAAGTTGCTGTCTTCAATCCTGTGTCCATATTTTTATTACTGATGAAGACACAGAAGGCGTGCTGTGTAAATTTGAAGTTGACAACAGGAGGTATTAAGAACCACAGAAGTAATAACACTCTTTGACCCAGCAATCCCACATTGAGGAGTCTACTTTGAGAAAATAATCAGGAATGTGATCAAAGGTATATGTTTAAGGATTCTATCAAGTGACTCTGTAAAACATTGGTTAATATTTTAACCATAGAGATATTGTTCATTGAATTATGTGATAGAATAATATGAGGCCATTAAAATCAGGTTTTGGAAGATAATGCTCACAATATAATGTAAAATATAAAGAAGAATCAACATGTATATATGAGGTATATGAGGTAGATGATAGCAACTTTATTATAAATATATATTTATTTATACTTTTTAAATATATTTATTTCTAGAAAAAATTGTGGGAGAAAATATTAAAAATGGTAATAATGGTTATCCCTAAGTTACACAAATTTGAGGTGACTCTAAATTTATTTATATTTTCTGTTCTGCCTCAACTTTCTAAAATAATGTATTAACTGTATAACTAGGAACAAAGCAAAATATTTTTAAGTAAATGAAGATAGATATTTGGCTGGGCATGGTAGCTCATGCCTGTGATCCCAGCACTTTGAAAGGCTGAGGTGGGCGGATCACTTGAGGCCAGGAGCTCTTGACCAGCCTGGCCAACATGTGAAAACCCTGTCTCTACTAAAACCACAAAAATTAGCCAGGTGTGGTGGCGGGTGCCTGTATTCCCAGCTACTTGGGAGGCTGAGATATGAGAATCGCTTGAACTCAGGAGGCAGAGATCGCAGTGTGCCAAGATCGCACCATTGCACTCCAGCCTGGGTGACAGAATGAGACTCTGTCTCAAAAAGAAAAAAAAAGTAAATGAAGATCAACATTTAAAATTTCTTTTAATCTGGGGTTGCTTTATTAATGCTAAGAAGATAAAATTGAATGGGGATCATCTGAAGCTCCTTATTTGGGTTTCATCAACAAAATAAATGTGGGAGTGAGGAACTATGAGTCCGGCCTGGCGTCACGGAAGGCAGATGTAGTGGCCTTGACCAACAGTGCTCACCTACTGAGAATGGTCCTAGGCCTGGTGAACAGAACCATCTTTCAAGATGGTTTCAAGATGGTTTCATTCATGAAAGTGCTCATTGATGCTGCTTCTCTTTTCTGGTTAATAAGGATGCAGCTTCCTTACACTTTGAACATGGCTTTAAATATTAAATAGATAGACTGTAATCATCTGTAATCAGAGATTACAGATTAATCATCTGACTGTAATCAGAACATGCACACATACATATACATGTTATGTATCTGGATCCTACCACCACCCTTAATCCTATATCATGTATATTTGTTATATAGGAAAAATGATCTCCTCTCAGATTCCAGAAAAAAAACCTGGAAATTTAATTTTTTGGGAGAGTGACATAGAGGGTCTCTGGATTGGAGGAATGCAGGAACAGTTGAGGAAAGGGGTATCATACTGAAAACATGGAGATTAGGTCAAAGTTTATGTTCTGAAATTTGAGGTCCTCTTATCCTTTCTTCCCTGTTAGGCACCAGACCTTCACCCTGCAGACAGGAATCTAGAAAGGGCTCTCTGGGGAATGTGAGTAGGACCATAGAGAAGACCCGGTGATCTTGACATTTCCAGAGAAAGTCAACCGCATAAAGACAGTCAAAGCCCACGCACGGACTGGGACACAGAGTCAAGAGAGACATACCTCTTCTCTAACCAGGAGAGCAGAGCACTGCAAAGGGACTCCCATCATCTTGTGTGGATTCCACGTCACAGAGTTGGCCCTAAAATAAAGAAATCACATAAGCGGGTGGCACTCCACCCTGACAGGCTCAGGGCATGCGCAACTGAGCTTCAGTTTCTTGGTATTGTTTCTCAGACTCCAGATTGACACTAAATGTATTTATTTATTTTAATTTTAAAAATTAAATAGATTGAGGGGGTACAAGTGTAGATTTATTACACGTATATAGTGCGTAGTGGTGAAGTCTGGCCTTTTGGTGTACCCAGCACCCAAATAGTGACCACTGTACTCAATAGGTAATTTTTCAACCCTCACCCCCATCCCATGCTCCCATGATACTGTATTTAGTAAACACAAAGTAGACTCTTAAATATGTGTGAAAGGAAAATATCTCGGACCCCCAAAATCACTAAGCTAAAGGGAAAAGTCAAGCTGGGAACGGCTTACGGGAAACCTGCCTCCCATCCTATTCAGTTACCCCTCTGCTCACTGAGATAAATGCATAACTGATTGCCTCCTTTGGAAAGCCTAATCAGAAACTCAAAAGAATGCAACCATTTGTCTCTTAGCTACCTATGACCTGGAAGGCCCCTCCCCAGTTCGAGTTGTCCTTCCTTTCCAGACCAAACCAGTGTTCATCTTACATATGTTGACCAATTTCTTACATCTCTCTAAAATGCATAGAACCAAACTGTGCTCTGACCACCTTGGGTACATGTTGTCAGGACCACCTGAGGCTGTGTCACGGGCGTGCGTCCTCAACCATGGCCAGATAAACTTTCAAAATTAACTGAGACCTGTCTCAGTTTTTTGGAGTTCACACTGCAACTTTTCTTTGTCCACAGAAATAGCAGGTGAGGGCGTGGGTCTCCATGTGGTGTGCCCCTGCTCCAGTGGCAGCATGCACCCTGCCTCCACGGTGATCTCAGAGCACAGCTTAGAGTGATTGGGATCCTCCAGTCCAGGGTCCCTCCTTTGGCCAGTGATGGCCAGAGCACCTGGCCAGTGAGGGCAGCTGCCTCCTGTGCCTCTATGGTTCTTGCTATTGCAGTGTCCTGGAGCTCAAAGAGAGGGCTCATTCCACTGCTTAACTCGATCTTTCCTTTCTAATCAATTGATGTCCAAATTTCTCAGATGCGTCCTTTTGTAGTAGCTTCTGGCAAGGCCCCTGCTTCCATCTGTTTCCTAATCCAGAGTTATTTTCTTTCCAGACTGCAGGTGAGATGTGTGTGGTTCCCACAGCAGGGGAGAGTTCCATCTTTTTTTGCCTCATGCCTTGGGGAAATTTGATGCTCTCTCATCAGTAACAGTGGATCACACAACAGCGATTCCGTGCTCAGGGATTTACATTATTTCAAAAGTCTGAGCTGTAGTCCTGGTTCAGATTCCTTTAATAATAATTATTATTTTAATCTGGATTCAGCAATTGTGTCATAACTGACTCGGTCTTCATTTCATCCTTCACTTGGCACCAGAATTATTTTCTATCTCTGTTTATGGCCCTCTCCTTCTCTGAAATCACTGACAGTTTTCTTTTGCCTCCAGCCCAAATTCCAAATACAGGGTACGGCTCCTGCAGCCCCTGGGGTGAGCCCCAGCTACGCCTTAGGTCTTGGGTCTCTTCGCTTTTCTTTACCCATTTCATCAGGCCAGATTAACTTTTGTTCTCAGAGAATTCTATTCTCATACTCCTGGGTCTCATCATGCTGTTTCCTCTTCCTGGAACACCATCTCCCTTTGCTTCACTTTGTTAAATCTTGCTTATTTTTTAAGGCCCCAGATTCTTTCAGTATGATCTCTGTGGCTTTGTTTAACTTCTGCGGCTTCTCTCCCTCACTTCCACCGTGCTCCTGTTTGGATTCTGGGAAAAGCAACTGCTCCCACTGTGAATGTCATGGCTCACTTCACACATTTACTGGGTAAGGTGAGCCTCTACGCTTGTCTCCGGAGAGACTGACGGGTCCTGGCAGTGGAGTTTCATGAGTGGCATAAAGGAGGAAGGAAAGTATTACAGTAGAATAACCCGTGGCAGCTGCCTCCAGAGAGCCATGGATTGCTGCCCTGTCTGGCCGTACAATGGACGTGGGCTCATCCAGTTCCCACCTCTCGGGTGTGATGGCCTTGGGAAAAAATGAGAAGCTGGGAAAGACCCGATTCATTCATTTGATGAAGGGCAGGTGTCAGCCAGACAGTCAGAGAGCGCTCACTGGCCTGGGGATCTCATCTGGGCCAACGAATAGTCTAGCTCAGCTTCTGGTCTTTCTCTGGCTCTGACACTGGTTGTCAGATACATTTACGACTGGAATTGAGGAACTAGAAGCAAAGGCAGTTCATGGTCAGATAACTACCCCTGGAGAGAAGACTAAAGGACTTAATGAGTAATAACAGCATTGAGGTATTGGAAAGTTCCCTCCAAAAAAATACCTCCTTGCTTTGTAGAATGACCCTGGAGTCAGGACCCTGGGCTATAAAGCAGACATAATAGTTAAGGGGGAAGCCCTCAGGAGCCAGATAGTATGGGTTTGCGTTCAGGTTTCATCACTTCCTGGCTGTGTGACTTTGAGCAAGTTACTTAACCTCTCTGTGCCTAGATTTCCTCAACTAGAAAAGGAGAATAATAATATGTATTTAGGTGAAGTGCTTAGAACTGTGCTTAACATGCAGTAAGCATTAAATAAGGTTGGCTTTTGCTATGGATTTCATCTCTGTCATTTGTGAGCTTGGTGACACCGTGCATGCACGTACACATGGCCATTCTATACATTCCATCATGTTCTATGGCTAGATGTCTAATTCGGATAAACTCAGCTTTGTCAGTAAGAATGCCTGATGGGAGAGGAAAACAGCTGTCTTCCATGTCTGGCTGTGGTGTTTATCTCTACGTGGGGGCCTATTTGTCTTTTTAGAAGAGAAGCTGCCAAGGCCCCCAACTACCTGTCACTGAATTCTCTGTCCCACCTCCCTCTCAGAGGCATAAAGATGGCAAAAAGCCCTGCAGATTGATTCGATGACATGGACTTGATTTCAGAAATGTTGGCAATTTATTTAAAAAAAAAAAACAGCCTCAGGTTCATTTCAAAATGTTTTGCTGTGGGATTCGGTCATGCGGCTTCTGCAGTTTGTGTAAGTTGGAGAGAACTGAATCCCGCAGGGCTATTTTAAGACATCTCCCTGTGCTCTTATTTCTGCCTCAAATCCATAGGCCCCAATCGCCACTGCTCAACCTTCTAGATTGATTCTTTCTCCTCTATATTCTGTGTTCCTGGCACCATTTTCCTTCCAGGCCTCCAGCCTCCAAACCTCACTGTTGTCCTTAGTTTCACTCTTTTCTTCCCCGTCTCTATACCGCCCCTTACAGTTCTCTCTCCCCCTCTCCTAGGTCCATCCACTTACTTCCTTCTCTGCTACTACAGCTTAGGTCACACTCAGCTTCTTTCCTGTCCTGCACCTGGACGTTCCTAAGAGCTTAATAGCTTCTAGTCTGTCCCTGGCTCCCGTCTCCTCTCTAATGCAGAGTTAATGCCAGAACACAGGTGAGATCACATTGCACTTCTGCTCAAAGCCCACTACGGCTCCTGCAGCAAAGGTTTTCCATGGGTTTTGTCGCCCCAAGGAATCTAATGCTCTCCACGCATAATGGCAGCCACACAGCAGTGACTCCCAGCTCAGGGATCTATGTTTCGTGGAAAGAACCCCCGCAGATTCTGACCTGGCTCTGCGGGCGGGCCCTGGGCTGGCCAAGACTTCTGCACTTTCCACCCATGACCTGGCCACAGCTGTTAAACCATGGCATCCTCCAACCAAACGGGTTTGAACTTTCTCCAACACACTGTGCACTTTCACACTTGTGTGTCTCTTCAGCCTGAATGCCCTTTTCCATTTCTGCCCGATGAAGTACCCTGTATGCTATGATGCTGAGCTACAATGTTGCCCTGCTTGGTGAAAGCTCCCTGTAATCACAGAAGGAAACATTCCTTTCTCTGTGCTCTCCAATCAGCTCCCACGTCTGTCTCTCCAGCCTTTACTTCCTTGCCTTGAATTTTAATCCACTGTTCATTGACAATCTTCCCCACTAGATTCTGAACTCCTTGAAGATAGGCTTTATATCATACTCGTCTTTGCACCCATGCAGTGCGTTGTGCTGTGGCTTGCCTATGACAGAGGTTCAGCAATGATCGAATTAAATCCTGAACACCTGGCTCTCAGGGCAGGAGTGAGAGCAACTGGTGATGCAGCAGAAACTGTACCAGCACCTTCAGCTGCGACTTAAAGCCTTGAGAGTGGAACACATCAGAGGATGATTACGGTAAGCAGCAGCCTGTGGGCAGGAGAGACTAAAGACGCGTCAGTCTGATGCACAGAAGCCGGCGCGGTGGCTCACGCCTGTAATACTAGCATTTTGGGAGGCCGAGGCGAGCGGATCACTTGAGGTCAGGAGTTCAAGACCAGCCTGGCCAAAATGGTGAAACCCCATCTCTACTAAAAATACAAACAAACAAATTGGCCAGGCATGGTGGCGCATACCTGTAACCCCAGCTACTCAGGAGGTTGAGGCAGGAGAATTGCTTGAACCCGGGAGGCAGAGGTTGCAGTGAGGCAAGATTGCGCTGCCACACTCCAGCCTGGGTGACAGAGTGAGACTCCATCTCAAAAATAAATAAATAAAAATAAAAATAAATAAAAATACAATGCACAGAGTCATGCTCTGGAGTCTCAGGGTTTGTGGCGTGCCCTCTCAGCGGCACCATCTCTCGACATTCTGACAGTGCTAGCAAGGAAGAGAGCTGTTTTCTGAGAATTTGGTTGGTTCTTGAAGGGGATGCCAGAAAGGGCTCCAGGTGTTTGTGCCATTTTATTTATTTATTTATTTTTATTTTTATTTTTTTAGAGATGGGGTCTCTGTTGCCCAGGCTGGAGTGCAGTGGTGCCATCATAGCTCACTGTAGCCTTAAATTCCTGGACTCCAGTGATCCTCCTGCCTCACTCAGTCTCCTGAGTAGCTAGGACCACAGCCATGAGTACCACCATGCCTGGCTAATTTAAAAAAAACAAATTCTTTTTGTAGAGATGGAGTCTCACTCTGTTACCCAGAAGGGTCTTGAACTGGCCTCAATGATCCTTCCACCTCTGCCTCCCAAAGTCCTGGGATTACAAGCACCGTGCCCGGCCCCCTTGTGCCATTTTGTATGAGAATGGCATTCAGGATCCTCTGTGACTACTAAGGATCCTCTGGATTTGGGGACAAGAATTGACTACGGATTTCTTCTACTTTTAGGGTGAGTTCTAAACTTTGGTTTGCGGAGCTTGGAAAAATGTCATTCCCTAAGTGAGACACATTTCTTTCCTAAACTTGTGGCCATACACATTATGTGGTTTCCACTGGTCTTCCAACTGTATTCACTTAGAAAGTATGCCTTTTGCTAATAAGTCAGTGAGAGAGGGGTATCCTCAGTTAAATGGGTGGCTAAAGGGGATTCTGCTCAGAGTGGAACACCAGCAGCCCCCTCATTTTTAGGACTTCATATATGGTTATTCCATTTGAAAAGTTTAGTTACAGTACAGTTTCAAGAATTGCGGCAATAAGAGGAAACTCTGTGTTCCCTGATGAACGTTCTAAGCTTTGCTCTCAAATAATAGTCTTTGGTACAGAATCGTGTGGGTGTTTATTTTTCTAAGGCTCAGGGTAGGTAATTTAGTGAGTTTTTAAGTGGAGGATGTGCCAGGACTTTCAGCACTTACAGTTGCAAGTGGCATCAAAGGTAAAGTAACAGACTTTTTGTGCCAGTCAGAAACTCACAGAAGAGAAAGTACTGTACATAGGCCACCTCTCTTGAAAGCACATGAATTTAATTATTGTTCTGATCATGTGAGCAGGCACCTTCCAAGTTGTTCTCTCTCTCTCTTTTATTGTCTCTCCCTGTTTACTTCATTGCCTCTTCCTTAAGCTTCTGCTTTCTTGCAGATCTTCAAGATGGAAAGGGATTAGGCCTGAGAGAAGCCCCAAGGGTCCAAGAGCAGAGGCCTGGCACTGGCTGACCCTGGGAGGGAGACACACCTGCCCTCATCCACTGGCATCTAAATGGGGCCCTGCAATCAGAGCTTGGGTGGCTCCAGGTGCCTTAACACCGCTGTGCTCAGGCCAGGCTCTGACCCCAGCCATCAGACTCAGGGACAGTGACCCTTCTGACATGGGCCTTAGCTGGTGTATCCCAACTCTTTTTTGCCTTCTTTCCATTAATTTGGTGGGATGCTCTTGACTCCAGCCCAGTAACCATACCCCTCTCTTTCCACACTCACGGGTTCTCTGTGTATTTTGGGCCTGGGTGTCAGATCGCACCCTCTGCACAGCCACTCTGGCCTGGGCCTCCCACATGCCCAGGGCTCACAAGTGCCTCTGTGCTCCATCAGCGTCTCTCCTTGTCCTGGAACAGAAACTGTGCCAAGATATCTAGTGGCAGAGCCAGTGTGACGCTTTTGCTGGGCAGCATCTGGCGACTTGGCAGGGGATGGTGGGCATTTGGCAGCCTCTGATGAATTCAGGCTTTCTTGGTCACTTGGAGTGCCAGAGCTCACCACTGTGTCTGACCTGCCATGTTGTGATGAGAGAACTGGGCTCCCCTTGCATGTGGTTCAGAACCAGAGCCTGTATTTTGCATTCTGTTGTTCTCTTTTCTTTGGACCTGAATGTGCTTTATGCCAATCAGATATCACTGCCTTTGTGTTTTTCAGCTTTTCTCAACAGTCTTCTGCGTAGGCTCTAAATAAAAGGTGCTTTGCAGCATCAGTCGGAGCTGTGTCAGAGAAAGGTTATTACGGGAATGAAACATGAGATGAGGCTATTGCTAGTATGTTTCACTTTAAGTGAACTGGCCATCTTAGACCCCAAACCCAAACTTTCAACATTGATAAGTTACAAGGTGCTTATTTGCTTTGAAAAATTATTATTTTTTTTAAGCAGTGGATATTATCCTTTTATGAAACATGAAAGCTATAAATCTTCTCCCTAGTAAAACGTGGGCTGCCTGTAGGTTTTAAACAATTTTTGTGGTTGGTTCAGAGATCCCAGGAATAGACCCTAGACAGGAATCTCTATGTCTGAAAGAGATTCTACCTGGGTCGCTTGATGTGTATTCTGATTTTTCTGTTGTTTACACATAATATTTACATATTTGATTTTTCTGTTGTTTACCCACATTCATGAGTGTAATACCACATAAGGCAAGGAACACAAGCACTGAATAGAGTGAGTTCACTCAGTATTCCAAAAGTTCCTGGAAATTGACTGTAATTTGTGTTTCACAGTTAGCTTTTAACACTTTATGTTGTTAATAAGAAAAATGCAACATACCTCTCCACGCCACTCAGTTTCCACTTGTGTTTTCGGGACATCAGTAATCCCCCACCCCAAGCTGCCTGAAAAAAAATCATATGAGGAAAATGGTAGCAGTTTGTCATTGCCTAGATTTCTATAGTCTGGTGTCTTTCTAGGTGAAAATGATCTTGACCCCAGGCCACTTAGGAAGTTGACCACCTCCTTCTGGCACTAACCTTCAGAGTTTACACCGAAGGGCCCTTCTAAGGTCTCAGATTCCATCCCACATTTATATGGGTGTAAGGAGCCACCTTGGAGGCATAGCTCCTGGTCCGTAGAAGAGAGAGAAAGACCCTCTCCCAAACCTATCACCAGCACCATTAGTCCTCATGAAGTCATGTTCTCAGAATACGAAACCCTGTGGTCCCCACAGTGTAAGGCAGAGAAGATGGGCAGGAGGGCCATTAAACAGCTTCCAAGTTGCAGGGAAAACTCTTTTGACAAGTCTAAATGATTCCAGAAATAAGAAGTGGCTTCATAACTCTATTTCACTGATGTGTGATTTTGGATAATTTCTGTGTCCAAAATTCACAAGCAGGGAAGATTCATACCAGTTAATTAGCTGAGCAGTTAGAACACGTCTTAACAATTTGTACTTGATCAAGGTTGAAGATTTGAATTGGTGTAGTAATCTCCTTTAAAAATAGAATGCCAAGATGGAGATTCATTTGGAAATATTAACTTTCTTTCCTCTGTGTGTACAAATAATTCTAGGATAATTTTAAATGGATTATAAAATTCTTTTATGATATAATCACTTCCCCCCACCTTTTGTTGTAAGTTCAGCCCTCTTTTTGTTTTGTTTTGTTTCTGAGACAGAGTTTTGCTCTTGTTGCCCAGGCTGGAGTGCAATGGTGAGATCTTGGCTCACTGCAACCTCTGCCTCCTGGGTTCAAGCAATTCTCCTGCCTCAGCCTCCCAAGTAGCTGGGATTACAGGCACCCACCACCATGCCTGGCTAATTTTTGTATTTTTAGTAGAGACGAGGTTTCACCATGCTGGCCAGGCTGGTCTCGAACTTCTGACTTCAGGTAATCCACCTGCCTCAGCCTCCCAAAGTGCTGGGATTACAGGCGTGAGACACTGCACCTGGCCCAGTTCTTTTGCACTTTGAAAAATTATGATTTTCCAAACGTGTACTATTTTAAGATTCTTTCTACTTTATAGAATGTATGAATGTTAAAGCTAATAAGAGTAAGTGGTAAACTTGGTATGTTTCAAAGAAAAGCTAATAAAACTGGTTAAAAGATTCCCTAGTTCTAATTTAAGTAGGAGGCCCAGAGGAACAACCCATAGCTTCTGCTGGCTCAGGACACACAGACATTCTCATTTTTGAAGTTGCCGGGTAATCCTCTTCCTGAATCAGCCAGCAAGGTCTACCAGGATTTCCAGTCCTGAGGCCCAGGTCACTAATGATATCGGATAGTTCAGTCTTTTCTCAGTGTCTTCATGTGTAAAATGAAAGGGGCTCTGGTAGCCTAATGAACGACTCACACTGTGAATCAGGGAGGATAAAGAACATTGGTGATTGCTCTGCAGGAATACTCTGGAATAATGGAAATGCACCCAGCTAAGCCTGTGGAAATTTTCTGCCCCTAAAGAAAAGAACATTAATGAGGCCAGGTGTGGTGGCTCCTGCCTGTAATCCCAGCATTTTGGGAGGCCAAGGCAGGTGGATCACCTGAGGTCAGGAGTTCGAGAGCAGCCTGGCCAATATGGAGAAATCCCATCTCTACTAAAATTGCAAAAATTAGCTGGGCATGGGTGCGCACGTCTGTAATCCCAGCTACTCAGGAAGCTGAGGCAGGAGAATTGCTTGAACCCTGGAGGCGGAGGTTGCGGTGAGCTAAGATCACGCCACTGCACTCCTGCCTGGGCGACAGAGCAAGACTCTGTCTCAAAAAGAAAAAAAAAAGAGCATTAATTTGGTCTGAATAATTATTATAAAGCCAAAATGATCTAAGCCAGGGCTAGATCATTGTTATAGCCCTGGCTTAGACCCAGTGCTGGCCCATGACAACATAAGGATCTTGCACTCGAATGAACATCAACTTATGCGTTCCTTCACTGAGAAAGTCTTGCAATGAAAAAATTATCAGCTGAGCCAAGCATTGCGCTTAGTTTGTGATGGTTTGTGATTAGCGATGGTTTGTGACTGATGATGGTTTGGCACAAACTCTTTATCTCATATGGATCATTAACAGTTTGCAGGTGGTAGCTAATCGTCAAACCACACTTTGAGTAATACTAATCTAAACTTAAATCCCTTCGGTCCTTCTAAAACTTAACACATTTTTTTTCATTGGAAAATGTTCTGGAGGGAACACCTTCATTATTTTTTAGTGTGACAAGGCCTGAAGTCAAAACGTTTCAAATATAATCTATCTTCTTAGCTGACCAAGCTACGAAATTGGAACTTTGGTGGTCCTTATTTCCCAGGAAGTTGTCAAGCCTATTTTCCTCTCTAAATACAGGAATATCTAACTTGAGCTTCAGTTTTTTGCTTTTGTTTGTTTTTAATTCTCTGGGTTTCCTACATAAATGCAACTCCTCTTTACTCTTCTGACCATTCTGGTAAGTGAGGAACAGCAGGACTGTGTGCGTAGGTTGTATTCCTCCATGGATGCAATGGCTCGATGAATTGAGAACAAAGTGGTCAGCTTGGGTACTGATCATAGAAATACAAATATTACCATGTTGGGGACATTAAGGTATAATCAGCCTTGGGATGCTTCTGGTGCACGGTGTGTACTGTGTGAGTTGTGTGCTAATTTGCTTCATCCAGCTTTAAAAGCTTTAATATCACCACTCTGAAAATAAGCTGACCAAGTTAAAAAAAGAGAAAACAAATTTCCTTTGTGTGTCCCACATGAAAAACGTGCAAGGACGTTTTAGTGGCCAGTCCCTAAGGGATACTTACATCCACATGCATCCAGATCTTATACTTTTTGCAAATGTCAGCGACAGCTAAGAGGGGGTCAAATGCTCCGTACACGGTGGTTCCAGCTGTGGCACTCACGAGGAAAGGAACAAACCCCTGTGCGAACGAGAAAGCCCCAAATCATGGAAAACAGAGTCAAGGGTTCTTTTAAAAAGCTGATTCAAAGCAATGGAAATTCTCTCCCTAACAGACACGTCTGAATTTGAGGAAGCAGCAGCAGAGTTACTGACACCCCGGGGTCTGGGACAAATTGATGTTCACTCTCTGGAATCTGAGTTCTCTAGGCTATGCTGTTGGACCTGACTGTGTCTTAAAAGAACAGACATTCTGATTCTCAGAAGAGGCTGTAGTGAACCCAGAGGCTGTCAGGGACGTCCCCGAGACATGTATATATTCCCGGTAGACTTTCTGGCCCTTTTAACCCCCTTTGCTCACTTTCAAGTGTTCCTTATTCACAACGAGGCCTCTGAACTTCATAAATCCCCTAGAGTGAGTAGGCAGGAGAATGAAGAGAAGTAGCTCTGACCAGCCCATTATTCCTATTTGGAAAATGCCCAGATAATTTATTTCACGTTTCAGCACGGAGCGGCTAAAATAATACGCCATGACTTTTATCCGTCTAACTAGTCCTCAGTCTCTCTGGCCATGGCTAAATGAAAACTGATTGAAGTAACGGGCTGGAAGAAGGCAGGAGAATGCCACAAACAGGATCGCCATAGTCCCTCATTCCATAAGGACTCTGTCCTGTCTATAGAACGTGATGTTATGGTGTCAGTCTTTAGGTGGCAGCAAAGGTTTAATCTTCTAGTTGATGTTACTAGAAGTAGTTCTAGTACTTGCACAAGGAGGGAAACCTTCTCCTGCTGCCTGCCACTTAGTAAAACAAAACCAAACGAAAAAGGGCATATGAACGTAAATCATTATTTCTGAGTTCCTAATGATAAAATGCATGTGTATGTTATTAAATCAGAAACTGTAGGTTATATCTACCAAATGGTAAACAAAGAATTCTAGAAACAAATTCTCTGATTTGTGAGCCATCCCAGGTTGTAAATGACTTTCTAGAGCTTTGGGAATCTTGGGCAGGCATTCAGAACTTGTTACTTCTGAAAAGAGTTCTAAATTGCTTCCTGCAAAATAAGACGTCTGGAGAGCCAATGCTAACAGCATGCACCTACACGGGAAAAACTGGCCCCTTTTGAAGAACTGCACCAGGGTCTCTCACATACTGCATTAGCATTCTGCTATTTCCCCGCCTCTGAAAATATTCTTTCAAATGTGTGGGTGTTTCATGCCAACCCTCAGTACCTAGGAAGACAAATGCTTTGGAAACGCTCACTGTATCTCTGTATATAATATTTATTCAGCAATTTAAACTTTTCTAAAGCAGAGCCTATAACCCAGAGAAATAAATAGTGACTGGATGCAGAATTCTATGTTCTCATTAAACCTGGGAGATTGAGGCTTGGATCCTCTTTTTAAAATAAAACCAAAACACATTTTGTTCTCCGGTGGATGGAAATAGAAATATGGGCTGGATAAAGCTCCCGGCAGAAACTTACTTTCTGTTTGGCTTCAAGAATCCTTCTTTCAAGATCAGATGGAATCATTTTCCCTCTGGAAGGAAAAAGAAATATAGATTTGCTTTGAATAATTTGCTTCATCGTCTTTACAACGTAAGTGGCCGCAGGAGGGTAAAGTCCAACCCCAAACTGTTGATAACAATACTCGGAGAAAACAACTCCTTGACTGCTTCCAGGAAGGATGCATTTACTTGCCTGGATGAGGCATGACTATCATTTCTGGCACGTTTTGCAGACTTGTGACCGTATTGTGTTGTTCCCTATAGAACGATTACCATGACCCTCTGCTGTGCACAGAAGCTTCTTATTAAGTCATCCTCTTAATTCAGTTAAAACAAGCCTGATTTGGAGCAAAATGTTTGGCAATGAAAGGAGAGTTCAGAGAAACCTTTTTATTCCAAACCTTTGAATAAACCGACCTGCAATTTCACATACCAATGAAACAGCAGGAAGAGAAAATCCATTCTGAAATATCTGGATGAAGATACTAAGTGAAATAGCTACCTAATGACATTCCAAGTGCTAAAAGCGTAAAGAAGGCCAAAAATTCATGGGCTCAAGTTTCAAACATCCTTTCAACCCTAAAAATGCTTCTTTCCTAAAATAAAAACACAGATACTGCTTTGCTTAATATTATAATAATCATGGTACGAGAGACAGAGAAACATTTTTTTTTTTTTTTTTTGAGACAGAGTCTGGCTCTGTCGCCCAGGCTGGAGTGCAGTGGCACAATCTTGGCTCACTGCAAGCTCCGCCTCCCGGGTTCACACCATTCTCCTGCCTCAGCCTCCCGAGTAGCTGGGACTACAGGCGCCCGCCACCATGCCTGGCTAATTTTTTGTATTTTTAGTAGAGACGGGGTTTCACCGTGTTAGCGAGGATGGTCTCGATCTCCTGACCTTGTGATCTGCCTGCCTCGGCCTCCCAAAGTGCTGGGATTACAGGCGTAAGCCACCGTGCCCGGCCCAGAGAAACATTCTTTAAGTCAAAATAGCTCTCTGGAGGTTGCTAACATAGCCAACTTTGCATCAGGGTCATTGATCTAGGTTTTTAAAAGGCTTTTTGGAAAAATAACTGATGGTAGAGGTGATTATCACAATCAGTGGTTGTGGGATGCTATTGGCATATAGTGAGCAGTGAGTGGGGTTTTTGGTATTTGTCATTGACTCCATAGTACCTTTGTGGCTCTCCCTGTGAGTCTAGACATACAGCAAGCACTGGACTTCATCACAGCTTCTAGTGCTGTCTTGCTTAGGCTTTTACATATTGAAATAAGTTAATTTATTACAAATTACTTCTATCACATTTCTTCATTTAAAAAAATAATTTGGGCATTATATAGTGAGAAGGGTAAGTTATATTTTTGACCCTTTTTTTTTTTCAGGCCAATAAAGGAGGCGTGACAAAATAATTGGAATATAAAGCAGACATGAAACCTCAAAGCATTGGGAATCACTGATTTAAGTGAAGCTGTTTCCCAAAGAAAGACAATTACCTGGGCAATGGTAATGGACAAGTTACCAGTGATTAGTTTGTCAGGCTGGAATGGAAAAAGGGGCATTACAGTTACATTTGATGCAAAGACTATGGACTTAGATTAGGGCAGCCTACCTTTGGGGAACTTCTGTGAGACTGAGGGGAGGGAAGGGAGGGTGATGTGGTTGAGGAAAGGACACAGAGAGCTTCTCACTCCTTATAAATCTTCCTACACTTCATAACTTTGCCTGGGGGCATCCCTTAAAGCAGTGATTTTCAACCTGATCAGATCAGGCTGTGCTAAAGCACCTTGCTCCAGCCCTGATATAAATAAAAAGTTCAAATTTCTGAGAAAGTGTGGGTATTATCTTTATCTTTTACATAAAGTTTAAAGCACATTAAAATTGCCATAGTATTTTTGCAGGTAAACAAGAAAACTGAGAGTGAGAACTCTTAGAAATTTTTTTTTGCAAATCTTGAATTTTACCCAACTTTACCAAAAGCTAAACACCTTTGCCTGGGAGAATTTTGGGTAGACTAGCTTGACAATCATTATTTGCTCATCAAATCATATCATACTTAACTTTTTTTAAGTATAAGGCAGTAAGATGGCACTGAGGAGTCAGAGATGAGAGTGCATTCAAATTGGAAGGGGCTCCAAGACATGCCTGATTCTAGTCGAACCTTCTCATTTTTCAAATAAGGCAACAGCCTGAAAGGAGAAGTGACTGCCCAAGATCAAATACTGGTAAAAGTCCAGGGAGTAACTCAAAATATAATCTAAGCTTCCAGAACAAACTCAAAGGTGCCAAACATATAGGAAACCTGTTTGGAAAGGTTTGATTATTTTAAGATAAGATAAATATTTTAAGCTCACATCTGACTTTCATGAACCAGAGGTGTCATACAAACCTGCCGGGAAAACAGTAATGAACATATAGTCTGTTTCTTTCCTGTATCAGCGAACTTTGGGCAGAAGGAGGGAGTAGGCTTGTCAAACCATGAACTCCAAGTGTTCACCTCTGGCAGATTGGAAAGGAATGGGGGTGGCTCTAGTTTTTCCTGGGCACTCTGCCTTCCAAAACTATATTTGTTTTCTCTACTTAGGACCCAGAGCCTGACATATGGCAGGTGGTAGATAAACATTTGTTGGAGGAATATGGCTAGAAGGGAAAGTTTAACCCAAGGCTATTAATATGTTTAACTTAATGTCTGACCAGATAGTGAATATGGACGCCTTGGGGGAGGAAACTTACCATCTTTTTCTCTATCTTAGAATTGGCCGGATTACCTTAGAACGCTGGTTCTTAAAATTTAGTGAGCATAATAATCATTGAAGTCCCGGTTTAAAATACATGGCCCCATTCTTAGGGATTTTGATTGAGTAGGTCAGCATAGGGCCCAGGAATTAATTCATCCCACAAATATTTATTGAGCACTTGCTATGTGCCAAGCAGTGTTGCAGGAACTGGGGTAGCAGGGTAAACAAGACAGCTTCTACTCTCCAGGGTTTCCATGCTATCAAGGGAGACAAATAATAAACTGATAAAAAGACAAATATGCACAAGAATTTGCATGTTCATCAGTCACCCAGGTGATTCTGATGCACGTAGACCTGGGTCCATATGTTAAGAAAAGCTGCTTGGGACATTTTAGCCTGGGAGGTATTTAAATAACTGTGGAACACACTAAGTACTTCTCATATGTGCCATGGTTTGGAGCCTTCAGGGCTGCAGGGCAGTGAGCAGAAGGAGCTCCAGATGTAGCCTTGTCCATCCTCTGACTGCCCATATGTTGCGGGGACAGAGACAATTGGGTGACAACCAACAGATTGTCCTCTGCAGATGAGAAGCTGTTGGATCAGTCCTGGCCTTTCTGCACAAGCATCGCCTGGTGCCTGGGAGGCTTTGGATGGCGACTGTTCCATACTCTTTGTGTGGTCTAAAAGTATGTCTATAACGTAAGCATATATCTTTAATAATTATACATCCAGCCTTTAAGCTTACAGTTAAGTGGCCACTGATGCTTTATAACACTGCTCTCAGTTAGTTGTTAGTGTTTAGGAAGGGACTGCTACTAAAGTCAGGGCCATTGAAACAGACTGCTGCTTTGGACAAGGTGTTTTGCATTGAGATCCTTGGTTAGCAGTAGCCTTTAAGAAGTCGTATGATGCTGGCCATACTCGGTGGCTCGCACCTGTAATCCCAGTAATTTGGGAGGCTGAGGCGGGTGGATCACGAGGTCAAGATATTGAGACCATCCTGGCCAACACGGTGAAACCTCGTCTCTACTAAAGATGCAAAAATTAGCTGGGCATGGTGGTGCACACCTATAGTCCCAGCTACTTCGGGTGGCTGAGGCAGGAGAATTGCTTGAACCCGGGAGGTGGAGGTTGCAGTGAGCCGAGATTGTGCCACTGCATTCCAGCCTGGCGACAGAGTGAGACTCCGTCTAAAAAAAAAAAAAAAAAAGTCGTATGATGCTATAGGATCAGATAACTCCCTTAAGTTGACTGGAAAAATCCCAGGAAGAACAACAGGTAGAATCACCAGCAGGAAACATCTTCTCTTTGTGGGAAGAAGCAAAAAGACACAGAATGTACCTTGGACCATGGTCCCAGTTTCATGCCTAATTCCCCATAGCTCCAAAGGGAAGAACTGATTATCTTACCAAAGAAAGCAGGTTACTGGAGAGTCTGTATTTCTAGGCAGGCTTGCAGATGGTCACATGTAGGGTGCCTGAGTCACTAGTTGACCCCGTTCATTGGCCCTGCTGAAACTAGAGATACTATCAGCCTTTCCTAAGTGAGTAGGGCTTAGCTCTATTCCTAAAAACGTGAGTGCAAAGAAGAAAGTATGCGTACATCCTTCCTGCTAGAAATTGACTAAGTTTACATAATAGCAGCACTATCAGCAGCAACGATAAATGACCAGTTTTAGAAGCAGTAACTGTGCGATCCCTGCTCCTCCTCCCGACCCTACAAGAGAGTTATTTTGCACTTACAGTGCAGATTAGGAAACCGAGGTTCAGAGAGGCAGTTGACTATGGTTAAAAGCTTGAAATCTGGGCCGGGCATGGTGGCTCCACGCCTGTTATCCCAGCACTTTGGGAGGCTGAGGCCGGCAGATCACCAGGTCAGGAGATCGAGACCATCCTGGCTAACACAGTGAAACCCCGTCTCTACTAAAAAAATACAAAAAATCAGCCGGGCGTGGTGGTGGGCACCTGTAGTCCCAGCTACTCTGGAGGCTGAGGCAGGAGAATGGTCTGAACACGAAGGCAGAGCTTGCAGTGAGTAGAGATCGCGCCACTGTCCAGCCTGGGCGACAGAGCGAGACTCTGTCTCAAAAAAAAAAAAAAAAAAGCTTGAAATCTGGAGATGGAATAGTGGGTTCCTGCCACAGATCATATATGCTAACTGTGTGTACTTGAAGTTTAAGTTCTTCTTTTTACTCATTTATAAGATAATAGTATTTGTCTCAGAGGATTTGTATGAGGGTTACATAAGATAGTAAGTATAAACAATATTAAGCAAACTCTGCCTAACATTTGGTAACCACTCAATGTGTGTTTGACAGTCTAACATTGTTACATTGTTATTAGCAGTAGTATTGTTATTGTTGTTATTAGCATTATATGACTTGCAGAATGTCACACAGCTAGCAGGAGGCAGATTTCAAATCTAGAGCTGTCTGATAACAAAACCTAGATTCTTGGCACTGTACAACTACCCCGACTTAACAAAAAAACTTTTCAGGTTGACTTCTAGGATTGTAATGACATATGCAAAATGTCCATGTGGTTTTCTGGAAGCCCCCTGGATTGAGCGGTCCAGTGACCCCAATTACTGCTATCAGCATTGGCTAGTAAATAATAAAAGCACGTAACCTCACCCTAAAACATATTTGAGGATGTTGTTCTACCTAGTGTAGCATTCAAACGCAATAGCAGTAAAAAAAACCTGCTAGTTGTTTGTTTATATTTGCTTTTTAACTAGTCAGTGCTAGGCAAAACTATCCTATCAAGATGGCAAGGAGAGTTAATGGATGCAGGTGAATTTTCAAATTGCACAGACTGCGTAGTGACTACAGAAACTGCATAGACTGACTTGGGGAAAAAATTGTTGAAGATGAATTGCACAGGAGCAGTAAAAATTACCAGAGATTTCTCCTGGGGAAAAGAGCTCCCCGTGTCTTTACATAGCTGATACCAACATGGGTAGCCTGTCTTAGGCCCCTAAGATAAATAAACTAACAAAAGTCAAAACTGACCATTTAAGAAGTACTTGTATTACAAAACCAGGCCCTTTGCAAAGAATTTTACCATAATTATAAATAGTGAACTTCCTATTTGCTATAAATAGTGAATCCAAATACATAGTTGGATTTGGAAAAAGAACTTTAACTATAATGATTAATGATATTTTTCTCTTTTAGGATTTGTTTTCCAATGTGCACAATTGAATCACTTAGCATTATTTTCAGGTTATAAGAGAAGGATATTTTGGGTGATTTTTTGTGTATAATTCTAGTAATATTTATTCTTCCCATTGACTTTCTCCAAAAGCATTTACTTAGCACACATACTATGACTATACAACAATGCAAGTGATGTGCAACTGAGACTCCAATCATGATATGGTAAGGAGATATTTTCTTTTGTATATGAAACCTCCTTACTGCTGCCCTTGAAGGGTAGTATTAGAGCTGACAGGGAGGTATATGTATGGGCAAGAAGGTGTGCTGACCACCTCACATTACTCCTCCTTCTCCCCAAACTACCGTCCCTCTTCCCTAAATGTATCTGTAGAGAGGAAAAAAAAAAAAGGATTATGATAAAAGGTTCAAGTTATCATGTAAGAAAACATGCTTGGCTACTCTAAATAAATAACTTTGGAGTCCAAGAGGAAATCAAGATGGCAGTTACAGAACATTAAAAATTAATGACATGAGAATAAAACAAAAACATGAGAAGCATCCTAAATCATTCTCAGAGGAAAATGTATAGCTCTGAGTGCTTCTGAAATTAAATAACAGAGAATAAAAAGAACTAAATTAATTAATCCAAAAAAGCTAGGGAAACAACAGTGTAAGCAGAAACAAGGAATTTTTTTTTAGTGAATTAGAAAACTAAATAAAAAGTAAACTTAATAAATTCAAAAGATGGGACATTGAAAATATCAACAGATACACAAATATCTGATTAGTCCAATAAATAAAAGAGAGAAAACGTAACATTTGAAATGAAAGAGATGTTATGAATAAAGATATTTTAATATTTTAAAGCATTCTATGTAAAGCTTTATAATAATCTTAAAGTTTTTGAGAAAATAAATAATTTTTCCCTGGGAAAGGTAAATTACAAGAATTGATTCAATAATATATAGAAAAATTGAAAAAAAAAAAAACTAATAACCAAGAAATAAGTGGGAGAAAAGTTACCAAAAATCTGCCCCCACCTCAAAATGCCAGGCCCAGATAGTAAATTTTAGCAAGTTTACTAATAACATATAATGCTCTTTAAACTCTTATAGAGAAGACAATGGAAAGCTGCAGAATGAATTTTCTGAAGCTAGATAATTCTGAAAGCAAAACGTGTCAGAGATAGCCCAGAGAAACCTATAGATACATTTTACAAATGTAGCTATAATAATCCTAAATATAATATTAGAAATTATAATCCTGAAGGAAATTCAAGATTCGCATTGCATCAAGTAGGATTTGTTGCAAGAATGCAAAGGTGTGTACTACTAGGAAATCCTTTTAGCACAACTCATCTTATCAATAGATCAAGGTTAGAAAATTATCTCAGTGTCAATCTCAATTGATGTCTAAAAGGCATTTTATGAAAGACAACATCCATTCCAGAAGAGAAGGAAGTGGATGAGGAGAAGGAGGAAGAGAAGAGGGTGGGAAGAGAAGAGAAGAAACAAAAGAATTCTTGGTAAATTAAGAAGATACTTTCTTAACACGATAAAAACATCTACTTCAAACCAAGAGTCAACATCGTATCTAAATGCAAAAGCCTAAATACATTTCCATTAAATTTGGGACAAGAACATTCTTCTTAAAGAGATAGAAAATTCTAACTGACCAATAATGAATAAGGGAATTGAATCAGAAAACAAAAATCTCCCATCAAAGAAAAGCCCAGGACCTAATAGCTTCACCTGGATAGTTCTATCACACATTTAACGAAGGATTAATAATAATCCTTCTCAACTTCTTCCATGTAGTTGAAAACGAAGAAATACTTCCAAACTCATTTTACAAAGGCATTTTACAAGGAAAGAAGGAGGGAAGGAAGAAGAAAATATTACATACTTCCCAAACACCATAGACCAAAATACATTTCAGTTAAGTCAACTACTTAAATAATAACACAAAATTTCTAGGGGAAAACAAATGAATATTAACATGTTCTAAGAATGGAAAACATTTTCTAAAGACACTAAAGGTAAAAAATAAGTAATTGATGATCACTCTGACTACCAAAAATTGAAATGTTTTAAAAGATACAACAGATGAAATAAAAAAGCAGGTGATACATTTTAGAAAACATTTGCAACATACATGACAAAAGAGAGTTTTGTTTTCTTTTTCTTTTTGAACTATAAATAACTGATAAGTATAAAATACTCAACTTTGCAAGGATAAATGCTTGAGGGGATGGATACCCTATTCTCCATGATGTGCTTACTTTGCGCTGCATGCCTGTGTCTGTCAAAACATCTCATGTACCCCATAAGTATATACACCAACTATGACCTACAAAAATAAAATAAATACTCAGCTTTGCTAATTATCAAACTGTAAATGAAAACATGAATAATAAAAAAGCTCCATCCATCAGATTGACACACATCACTTAAGGTTTTAATTCCTAGCCTGAGTGAGGACATAGTGGGTAGGCACCCCTTTATAGTACTGGGGAAGTGTAAACTGGCTGAGTCTTTTCTGAAGGCAACATGACAGCAAGTATCATAACTCAGCATAGACACAGTCCTGGGCTCAGAAATTCTACGTCTGGAAAGTTTTTTTTGTTTTCTTGAGATGGAATCTTGCTCTGGCACCCACGCTGGAGTGCAGTGGCTCGATCTTGGCTCACTGCAACCTTCGCCTCCGGGGTTCAAGTGATTCTCCTGCCTCAGCCTCCCGAGTAGCTGGGAATACAGCCACGCGCCATCACACCCAGCTAATTTTTTATTTTTAGTAGAGATGGGGTTTCACCATGTTGGTCAGGCTGGTCTCGAACTCCTGACCTCAGGTGATCTGCCCACCTCGGCCCTCCAAAGTGCTGGGATTACAGGGGTGAGCCATGTACCCAGCCGGAAGTTATTTTAAGAAAATAATACAAGGATATGTGCAAATATTTACCCGCAATAATGTTTATAATAGCATTTTTTAATAGTAAAAGTTTAAAGCAACTTAATGTTTAACAACAGATTTGTTAAGTAATATAAATTATAAACAGTGGATTATTAAATAGTGAATGAGAATTGTATTGAAGAATTTCTAAGGCATGCAAGTCGTCCATAATATTTGCTATGTAAAAAACAAATTTCTAATCAGTAAATACTTATAGTGTCTTTTATGTTAAGTAAATACTTATATGTCTTTTATGTTAAAATATATGTAAATATATTTTAAACTACATGCCATCAAATACTATGACAG